>NC_000004.12:11822916-12447916 GCF_000001405.40 Homo sapiens
GGGAAGGTAGTTGATGTCAGAGAGGGGAGGACCACAGGTCATGAAGCCAGGTGATGAGATGGAAATTCCCTGGAGGGTTGTGAGCAAAACAGTGAGGTGACTTGATCTAAACCTGTTTAAAGGATCGTCCTGGCTGCTGTGTTGTAAACAGACTACCTGGGCTAAAGGGCAGAAGGAGATCAGTTATGGCAATCCTGGCTACTGATGATGAAAACTTGGACCCAGGAGTTGCAATGGAAGCAATGAAAAGAGCAGAAGTTTCTGGATTCATTTTAAATTTAGAACTGACCAGGTAGGTTGATCAATTATATTTGGCCTATAAGAAAAAAACAGGATTCTTTGGCGGGGATTGGGATTTTGAAAGCATATTGGTATATGCCGGAGTTAAGGGGAGATCAGGAGTTCATTTTTGAGACGTGTTAGTAGAATGGAGGTGTGTTGAAGGCAGAGATGTGTTTGGGACATTTTCTTCTCTCATGCTGACTCCAATACATAGGAGGTGACTGATGAGAGTGTGGTGGGTATAGGACTCTGAAGACCCATCCTGGCTGAGAGAGAGCCTTGACTGATTTCCAGTTCTGATCAGAGCTTAAACAGTAGAGAATATGTGAAAATAGCATTCTTATTTTAAATAATATTGGTAGGTGATATTGTTTGAATGTGTTCCCTCTAAAATTTATGTTGAAACTACTTCATGCAATAGTATTAACAGGTGCAGTCTTGTAAGGTGATTGAGTTATGATGGCTCCACCTTCACATGTGGGATTAGCACCCTTTTAAGAGGGCTCCAAGTGGAAGGGAGCACTCTCTTGCTCTTCTGCTCTTCTGCCATGTGAGACGGCAGTGCTCCTCCCCTCCAGAGGACGCAACAATAAGATGCCATCTTGGAAGCTGAAAGCAGCCCTCACCAGATGCCACTTCTGCTAGTGCCTTGATCTTGAACTTTCCAGCCTCCAGAATCATGAGAAATAAATTTCTATTGTTCATAAATTATATAGTCTGTGCTATTTTGTTACAGCAGCACAAATGGGCTAAGACAATGAGTCTTTTTTTTTTTTTTTTACAATCCTTTCTATAGGTCAGATGCCCCATATAAGAAAGATTTTATAAGTTTAATTTTGAGCTTTTCATACTCACAGAAGCTCCAGGTTAGACTATCTCTCCCAATTGGCTTCACTGTCTCCTGCAGACCTGGTTTTAAAGGAGATCCACAGAGTTCTTTTTGCTCCTCAAGGAGATTGAAAAATGAACTCAGAGAGCTCATCTGAACCTTATCAAGAGTTGCCTCCTCACAGCACTGAAGACTTCACTGTTATACAGCACATAAGAGACCTTGCTCATGAAGCAATCTATAAGAACTGATTATCTACTTTTTCTTAGAAGATTAAGATTAACCTCATCAAGTTTACATCTTAGTTTTCTTCCTAGGTCAAATGGGAACCTCTCGTTATTCTCACTCTTTTCCCAGGGTTATTTACTGAAATAGCTCTGGATTAGAATCAGTTCATCCTCAATTTTTCATAGTCTCATCAAAACTTCCAAGCTGTCTTCTGAAAGTCATTGTATCTCACTAGGAAAACCATATGGGAATTCTCTAACTTGCACATCTTCACGTTCACCGATCTATCCGTATCTAAGCCTTTTGTTCCCTCTTTTCTACCTATTCCTAACTCCTTTCCCATTGCAATAGATTTACTGTCCCCCCTCCCATGGAGGACCAAATTCTGGTTCGTGCATTGGCTCCCATAAGCTCTTGGGTACTCATATTCCTCACTTCTGTGATTATACTCCTTCCTCCCAGAGCATCCAGCTTTCTTTGCAGAAACATCTGTATTATGCAATGCAGGATGTTACCAAATATTCTGTAGTATCTCTCTTGATCTCTCATCACTCTAGCTACTTCCTAATTTCTCTAGATCACTGAGAGAAAACTACAAGGAATACTACAAAATACTACAAAAACCCTACTTGCTGTCCTCATATCCTCACTTACCGTTCTTTCTTGAACCCATTTCTATCCTATTTTTCTCTCCACCATACCACTGAAATTGCTTTAGTCAAGGTTGCCAGTGATTGCTGCATGGTTAATCCAATGGTCAGTCTCAGTCGTCATTTTTATTTTACCTGTCTGCAGGGTTGGGCAGAAATGAAACTTCTGGTATCTAAAACATTTTATTTATTTAATATCTCCCAATTTTTCACAATTTTACCAGCATACTTCCTTAGTCTTTTTTGTTTTTTTTGTCTTTTATAGACACCTTATATTTATGAAAATTAAATGAGATGATGTCTGAAAACTACCTAATAAATGTATAAAACAGTGGTTCTGTTTCTCCATTCCTCCTTCATCCTTTTTGTGTATGTGTATATGTGTGTGTGTGCATATGTGTGTGTGTGTGTGTGTTGCTTTTCAGTATGACTCAGTTTATTTAAAGGTACTCCAGTGAGCACTTTTGCAGTAGCCTGGAGCTCATATTTTAAGATAGTTTTCTCTCTGTTATCATTCCCTAGATGATCTTATTGAGTTTCATGGATTTCCAAAACAACTGTATGCTTAACACTGACAAAACAAATTAAACCCATTCTTTTACCTGAGCTTCAGAGTCAATGTATCATTTGTATGCCCAAGAGTTATCTCACAATTAACATATTTAAAGGAGAACTCTCAATTCAACACCTCTGCACATTTTTTATTCCAATAAATGGCATTATAATTCAGTCAACTGCTCAAGTCAAAAACCTAGACATCACCTTCAAACACCTTCTTTCCTTCAAAATCTTTAACCAATACATAACTATGTTCTACTAGCTATATTTTCATAATGTAGACTATATTCAATTAATTTTTTTTTTACCATTTCCAAGGCTGTCACCATTATTTCACCCCTGGGCCATAATAATATTCTCTCTACTAATCTTTCCTCTTTCACTCTTGTCTTCCTGACAATTTATAATTCTTCATTTTCTTCTTTGTCATTAAAAAAATTCAACTAGACTGCAAGGCCCATTAATACAAGTAACATCTGGTAGTTTTTTTGGGGGGGGGGAACTTGTCTGTTTTTTGAAAAATATTTTTAACTTTTGGATACATAATAGATGAAAATATTTATGGGATACATATAATAATTTGATACAAGCATACAATGTATAATGATCAAATCATGGTAGTTGAAATACTCATCACTTCAAACATTTAGCATCTCTGTGTTGGGAAAACTCCAAATTCACTTTTTTAGTTATTTTGAAATATACAGTAAATCACTGTTAACTATAGTCACCCTATTGTGCTATTAAACACTAGATCTTACTCCCATCTAACTGTATTTAGCTATCCACTAAACAACCCTTCTTGATCCCCGACTCTTCACTTCTTATCCCAGCCTCTGGTAACCATCATTCTACTGTCTACATCCACAAAGTAATTTTTTTTTGTTTTTTTAGCTCCCACATGTGAGTGAGAATATGTGATACTTGTTTTTCTGCACCTGGCTTATTTCACTTAACATAATGTCCTCCAGTTCCTTCCATATTGTCCCAAATGACAGGAATGCATTATTTTTATGGCTGAATAGTATTCCATTATGTATATGTACCACATTCTCTTTATCCATTCATCTGTTGATGGACACTTATATTGCTTTTCATTTCTGGCTACTGTGAATAGTGCTGCAATAAGGATGGGAATGCAGATATCTCTTTGATATACTGATTTGTTTTATTCTGGGAATGTACCCAGCAGTGGGAATGCTGGGTCACATGGTTGTTCTATTTTTATTTATTTGAAGAACCTCCATGCTGTTTTCCACAGTGGCTATACTACTTTACATTCCCATCAACAATGTATGAGCATTCTCCTTTCTCCAAATCCTCACCAAAATTTATTTTGTTTTGTTTTGTCTTTTTGATAAAGATGACTTTAACTGGAGTGAGATGATATCTCATTGTGGTTTTGGTGCATTTCTCTGATGGTTAGTGATATTGAGCTTTTTATCATATACCTGTAGGACATTTGTATGTCTTCTTTTGAGACATGTCTATTTAGATTTTTTGCCCCCTTTTTTTTCTGTTACTCAAGCAGGAGTGGAATGATGTGATTATAGCTCACCGCAGCCTCAAACTCCTGGACTCCAGTGATCTTCCCTCCTCAGCCTCCAGAGTAGCTGGGATTACAGGCACGAGCCACCAAGCCTGGTTTTTGACAAGTTTTAATCAGATTTTTTTTTGCTTTTGGGTTGCCATTTTTCCCAGAAACATAACCTTTTAATAGACGAAATAAATACTCCAGTACATGCAAGGTAAAAACAATGTTGGGGAAAAATCATACTACAGTGTAAATTAAAAAATAAAACACATGCTGACAATAACTTTTCCTCCATTTGGAAATCACATGGCAAATTTATACTCTTTCCACACCAAGTATACTAATTCAACACGATTGCTTAAAATAAATAGCAACATCCAAAAAAAAAAAAGGTAGCTCCATTTATGTCTAAGAAGTGAAAACTGAGGTAACCTTTCTTTTAATTAAAAAAAGCAAAAAATTTGTTTTATATAATCTGGTTACTAATCGCCAGTGAGTTGAAAAGTTTGCAAACATCTCCTCTGAATCTGTAGGCTATCTCTTCACTTTGTTGATTTTATCCTTTAAGCTTTTTAGCTTGATGTAATTCCATTTGTTCATTTTTGCTTTGGTTACCTGTGCTTTTGAGGTCTTAGTCAAGAAATCTTTGCCCAGACCAATGTCCTGAAGCATTTTCCCAATGTTTTCTTCTAGTAGCTTTATAGTTTCAGGTCTTGCACTAAAGTCTTCAATTCATTTTGATTTGTTTTTTGTAAATGGGGAGAGTCTAGTTTCATTCTTCTGCATATGAATGTTCAGTTTTCCAAGAGTCATTTATTAAAGAAACTGACCTTTCCCTAGAGGTTCTTGGTGTTTCTGTCAAAAATGAGTTGACTGTAAATGCTTGGATTTATTTCTGCATTCTCTATTCTGTTCCATTGGTCTATGGGTTCTGCTTTTATGCCAGTATCATGCTATTTTAGTTACTATAGCTTTGCAGTATAATTTGAAGTCAAATAATTTGATGCCTCCAGCTTCAAATTTGTCCTGTTTTGTTTATCATCATATGCTGTATGCCATGAAATAGGGCCTGATGAGTAGTAGGCCTACATATGTCCTTCCCCTTCCTCCCTCCCTCCCTGCCTCCCTCTCTCCCTCCCTCCCTTCTTCCTTCCTTCCTTCCCAACAACATTGTTTAGATTGGAAAACCACTGGATTTTTATCAGCATAATGTCTATTAATTTATAAAATTAAAAACATAAGATATAAATGTTTCAGAGCTGCAAGTAGAGGTGTTAAGAAAGGAAGCTATTTGGAAGAAGTGCTCTTTGAAATAAAGTATGTGAGACATCAAACTGAAGACCCATGATGCGAGAGGTAGAGCGGGAGGGGGGATAATCTCATTTCCAAGATGTAAACTAAAAAAAGGAGGGATGGAATAAAAAAAAAGAAAATTTGCTTCAGTATTCTTTGTTTATTCCTTCATTCAAAAATGAAATATTGCATATCTGTGACGAATCACACGGATACCTTATGAAACATTTTGAGATGAATAAGACTTGGAATTTTTTCTAAAATGAACACATATATCTAGATAATATGTTTTGCATGATGCAGGCAATATAAGATTGTGAAAATGCTTCATGGATTCAATATTTTGTATTAGGCTTCTCTGGAGAAACAGAACCAATAAGATAGATAGATAGATAGATAGATAGATAGATAGATAGATAGATAGATACAAACATAGATCAATCAATCTACATAAATAGAGTTATTATTAAGTATTGGCTCATGTGAGTGTAAAGGCTGAAAAGTCTGAAAAGTCCCACAATCTGTAGTCTGCAAACTGGAGATCTAGGATAGCCAGTAGTACAGATTATCATCTGGGTCTGAAGGCTTGAGAACCAGGAGCACCAAGCGCAAAAGATCAATGTTCCAACTCAACCACGCAGGCAGTGTAAATTCAACCTTCCTCTGCCCATTTGTTTTGTCCAGGTCCTCAACAAACTGGATGATGCCTACTCACATTAGGGAGAACCATCCGCTTTACACAGTTCATCCATTTAAATGCTAATCTCTTCTAGAAACACTCGCACAGACACAGCCCAGAAATAAGGTTTTACCATATATCTGGGCATTCTGTGGCCTAATCAAGTTGACACAAATAATTAACTATCACAGATGGGTAACATTCTCTCATGAGAATACAGTACTGAGGATGCTTTGTACAGAAAGAATAGAACTTCCTTAGAATTGGAAATTAGAGATCATATCTCAGAAAATGGCATTAAGAATTCCGTGTTCTAGGTTCAGAGAAGTGCTTGCTGTGAACCTGGACTATTGCATACAACTGCCCAGAAAGTGCCACTTTAGAAGAACCAATGGAACTACAATCTTCCTGTATGTGGAAGGGAGCACATGAAAATAATACATTAGTTTCCTACTGCAGCTGGAACCGATTACCACAAATTTAGCCGCTTAAACCAACACAAACTTATTATGATATAGTTCTTCAGGTCAGAATTTGAACACAGAATTCACTGGGCTAAAATCAAGGTATCAGTAGAGCTGTAACCTGTCTGGATGTTCCAGGGCAAAATCTATTTCCTTGCTCATTGAGAAAGTTGGCACAATTCGGCTCCTCAGTGTTGTGGAACTGAAGCCCTGTTTCCTCGCACTGTTCGCAGACTGCTGTTCAAGACTCTGAAGACCACCTTCATTTCAGTCTCGTGGCTCCCTTCCTCCCTTTTCAGAGTTAGCAACAGCAGATTAGTACCTGTCTTCTTTGTCAAGTCTCTCTCTTTACTTCAACCTGGAAAGACCCTCTGCTTTTATGAGCTCATATGATTAGATTGAACTATCTGAATGATCTCAGATTATTTCTCCATCTAACGGTCCATAACCTTAATCACCACTTCAAATTCTCTTTTGCCATGTGTCAGGGTAAATTCATATGTCAAATTGACTGGGTCATGGCAGGGCCAGATATCTCATTAAACAACACTTCTGTGAGGATGTTTCTGGAAGAGATTAGCATTTAACTTGGTGGACTGAGTGAAGAAGATGGCACCCCTCAATGTGAGCAGACCTCACCCAATCAGTTGAAGCCCTGAATGGAGCAGAAGAAAAAGGAAGGCTGGATTAGCCATTTCTCTGCCTGACTGCTTAGATGGAACATCAACCTTCTTTCGCTCTAGGCACTCCTGGTTCTCAGGCTTTCAGGCTTGGACTGGAATTTATACCAACAACTCCCTGGCTCCAAGGCCTTAAAACTATACCATGAGCCTTCCTGAGTCTCCAGCTTGAGGGCAGAGGGAGGGAACTCTTAGCCTCCATAATCATCACAGGGGTCTATACCCTGGAGTATCTCTCTCTCTCTTTCTTTTTCTCTGTGTGTCTATGTGTGTGTGTAGACATATTCTTTTTCTCTGAAGAGGTCTAATACATATTCACAGATGTTGACAATGAGGCTGTGGACATCTTTGAAGGGGGTATTATTTGTGTTACTTTAATGAGTTATTCTCCAAGTTCAGGGGTATAATTTAAAAGGAAAATAAAACATACATATTGAGTTGAGGTTGAATTACTGAGGAGCCAGAAGGTTTGCTAACCTACCCTGTAATTATAAGAGATAAAGAAAAAGAGAAAGAAATGTTGGTAAGGGTGGTATTTCCCTCTTTGTTTCCTGAGATGAAGGGAAGATGTGTTCTGCCAGTGCTCAGGGAATGTGAGTGGATGAAACTGGGTCTTCAGGAAAGGGGAAGCCCACCGCAAGCTAGAGGAAAGCAGGCAGTCCCAGCCCACAAGGGACACTTATGCCTAGAAGAAAGGATTGTGCTTGAGTATTCCACCATTAGGATTCCCATTCACATACATTGAATAAGTAGAAGATAAGCTGAAGATGCCAAAGATCATCATGAATGAGGCAGACACATTACCACACCTACTACATAATTGAGCATGTAAGGGGACTTCTTTTTCCCTTTCAAACCCTGATCAAATATAGAGAAAGGTGAGCTAATTGTAGAATAGAAGATTATGCCCTTAGTTATAGTCCAGGCTTTAGGAACTTCCAGTCAAGTCTCACTGGAAACAAGAGAAAGGGCTTAGAATACAATTACTAGCAATTCTTGAGATAATAAAGCTGTCCATGTTTATATTAGAGTGTAGTCTCCTCAATTAAACTAATTAAAATAGAAAAGGAAGTAAGAAAAGTAGATGGTAAAGGTACATGAATAGGGCTGTTTTAATAGGATATTAGATGAAGTTGGAAATATTGTGTGGGGGACCCAGCCTCTCTAGCTTAAGGAATGTATGAGCTTGATTCTGTCAGGCACTGCATCCCAGATTGAAAAAAAACGCAGAAACAACTTTAGAAATAAGCAATTTTCAGGAGACCTGTATTGAGTTCTACCATCATTTATCCAAGAAACTGAAAGCAAATCACTTTGTTTTTGATGTTTATATTGTCTAAATTTAAGAAGGAATATTGTTACTATAAAAAAAGACATTTTTAATACACCATCAATGAAAGTTCCTTAATGAATGAACAAGTGAATGATGAATGCAAAGCATATAGGGCAGTGACTGAAGAGGTAGGTGATGGAGTTGAGATGAACTAGGGATCTGTTTGCTTTTGTGTAATTTGGAGGAAATAATCACCCACATCAACAGCAAGGGGAGGAAAGGCTCCAGCAGGATAACTTTGAAAATGGAAGATGGGGATGTACAGCAAGTCTTTGAAATCTAAGTTTCGGGTCTCTTTCTACATAACAAAAGAAATTAAACAACTAGAACTGCCCGTTGAAAGCCTTTTTAGTTTCTCTTTGCCAGCTCATGTGTTGTTAGAGAGACCACGGAATTATATCAGAAAGGAACTTCGCACGTTTTCAAATAGCCTATTTTTAGGGAGCATGAATAATTACACCAGATGGCTGTTTAAAATCTGTTGGCATTGTTTCTACTGTACATTCATTGTTTAGAAATCCATTTTGTTAGATTTCAAGGAGAAGTACAAAGTTGCAATAGTCATCATATTTAGCATTTATTTCTTTTGTAAATCTTTGTAAAAATTTCCACTGAGAGAAGGTTAACAGATATGCGGATATAGAGATTTTTAATAAATTATGATGGCAATGAAGCCAGAAAGCTGCCTCCATAAGAATACAGTATTTAATTTCCAGTGGTTGCTAGGGGTTTGTGTGTGTGTGTGTGTGTGTGTGTGTGTGTGTGTTTGCTCCACACTTGCATACACACACACACACCTTTCTATGGTTGCCTTTATTTAACTTGTTATGATTTTTAAAGATTACTCAGGATAATATTATCAGGGTGATCTGAGAGTAACTGGCCTTTTTTATTTTCTACAGCAAGTGAAAATATGCTATTTTCTTTCCCTGTTTGTTTGCGCCTCTTTGTTCTTCCTTCCTATCATCTATTCATCGGTTTGTTGTTCTTTCATTTATTTATTATTTTTAAGCTTCTCTCTTTTATATACTCAGATTAGTAAACTGCAAAGAAAAATTAATCTCTGGTAAACTCTGAAGTGTATCACAGAAAGCAGGGAAGACAGAGTAAATAGTTGTTACTTCTTCACGATTTATTAAATGTATGTATGGTTCAAAACAGTCAATCCTTCTACATTATTTTTTAATTCTGAATTTTTACGGGCACCTTTAAATTAGGAGAGCAGATGCAGGGGACAGGTTATTACAGGATTAGTCTTGATACTAGAACTACCTTTGAAACAATGTTTCTCAACTATGATCTATCTATATGGGTCCTCTAAGTTGTCTCTGATCATATGATCACCCGTCCATTTGCCTGATGGTTACACATCTGATCAACATATTCAACGATAGCATAGCTGCGAATTAAGTTTCATTTAAATAATTAATTTGAAAAGTAAATAGCTTTCAAATGTTTCTGCATTTGGCTCTACATTAAAGGGGAATATCCTTTACCCAAAGAATTATTTGAAAGGGCTTAGAAGCAGCATGAAGAAATCACAATAGGCTTGTGATAGATGATATTAGAGAGAGGACAGAATAATAAGATTAAAGAGCAAAGGAGAATAAAATCACACACTAAGCAATTTGGAGACACTGAGTTGAGGGCAAAGAGCTCTATAGTGCTCAAAAGAAAAACGCCTGCAGGTTTAAACAAATTGTGTGTGTAATCTAGAACATGAATCAATAATAAATATTTCTGAATAATTCTGGTCAGAAAGGATTCTTTTGAAAATGTGACAAAATAAGACTGAAATAACAATTACAATGGAAGCCGGCTATTACCTCTGTTATTCAGCATTTTTTTTTCTAAGAAATTTAGACAAACCATTAGGGAATAGTATGAATGCTTACAACGAAAATCCAATAGATTTGGCTTTAAAAAGTTTGTGGTAACAAGTAATAATAATTAAATTACTAATTTAAAAAATTTTTTTATTTCTTCCTATAAAAATACATGTGCAGATCGTGCAGTTTTGTTACACAGGTATACGTGTGTTATGGTGGTTTGCTGCACTGATTGGTCCATTCTCTAAGTTCCCTCCCTCCTTCCCCCACCTCTCAACAGGGCCTGGTGTGTGATGTTCCCCTCTTGTGTCCATGTGTTCTCATTGTTCAACTCCCACTTATGAGTGAGAACATGCAGTGTTTGGTTTTCTGTTCCTGTGTTAGTTTGCTGAGGATGAGGGCTTCCAGCTTCATCCACGTCCGTGCAAAGGACATGATCTCATTCCTTTTTATGGTTGCATAGTATTCCATGGTATATATGTACATTTTCTTTATCCAGTAAATGACTAATTTTTGAGGCAAAAAGTAATGTTTTCTTTACTATATTGTAGCCACTTCAAGACATAAAATTCTATACTAAATGGAAACAAAATTTGAGAATAAATTGATCAAGATATATTCAGAAATTGTTGATTATAATTTAAAAATATTAAAAAATATGAAAAATAAGGATACCCAAGCCACATTAAAAGATATTAGTAGAGATTTAGATTCTGGACTTGATTAAGAAGAATTAATGTACCAATTTTTCAATTCTACCCCAATTAATAATAACAAACAAAACAAAATTACAGTTATAGTGTCAATGGGGCTTTTGGGCTAGTTTGGTAAAATCTCTTTAAGCTGATCCAGAAGAGTCAACATAACAAAAACGCATGGAACTATTGGAATGCCTTGTCTTACTATTGCTAAAACTCATGAAGTTAAAATAACTAAAATTGAACGATAACAATCTAGGAATAAATAAGTAAAATGATTCAATAGAAAAGATAACAAAGACTGAACCACATTTTTGAGTTTAGAAAGTGATGGTTCACAATTCAAATGATTGGTAAAGAATAGATTATTCAAACACGTATTGGAACAATGAGGTTGCTTTGGGAAAAATAAAATTTGGTTAGGATATCATCATCTGCAAAAAAATAACTTACACATTTGTTAATATGTTAATAAACAAGGTATGAATATGTTAATTAAAATTTAAGTACAACATCTCTAGGAGAAAATATAGACATGTATGGATATTAATTCTTAGGAAAGGACTTCACTAGCTGAACTCCAAAGTCAGAAAGCAAAAAGTAAAAATACTAATAAATTTGAAAAGTAAAAATGTAAAAAATAGTGTACCAAATAAATCATTATAAAAAGTTAAAGGCAAATGATTAATTGGGAAATATTTAAAATAAATGTCATGAAAAGAGTATTACTTGTATGCCAGTGAATTCTTAAAAGTAAAAAGAAGAAAAGATGGATACTTAGTAGAATAATGGACTGAAGTTTATGAATAGGCATCAATTACAGAAGTAACAAAAATGGAATGAATTCATTACAGAAAAAACCATGCATTAAAAGTGATTTTTCTAATATGTTTTTAAAAGTTCATTCTATCATTCAACAATTGTCACTGATTATGATATGGCAGGAACAACCTAGGTGCTAGGGTTGAAGCAGAACAGAGAACAAGGGCAATGTCCCAGGCACTTGTTTACAAATGGGAAACAGAAATACAAGATAATGTCAGTGTCAGTAGGTGGTATTGATACAACAAAACAGGATAATCTGACACAGAGCCACTGGAATGGAGCACAGGCTCCCTTGGTTAGGGTACTCAGGGAAAACCCCTCTGGGGTATGGATAGGTAAACTGAGACCTAAATCAGGAGAAGATGTCAGTCACGGACTATCTCAGAAACAGTGTTCCAGGCAGCGTGGGAGCAACTTTAAGATCCTAAGAAACAGAAAGAAGAACATTGTGGGTAAAATTAAAGAGGGCGCGATGGAGAAGCAGTGGGAAGGGGTTGATAGGCAGAGTATGAAATTAGGTTAGGCAGGTAGAGAGAGATTCTGTCTAATAGGACCAATTAAATTTCATTATAATAGCAACAAGATCTTATTGAATGATTTTAGGTGGGAGCAGTGATAGGATAGAGTCACTTTTCAAAGATATCCTTTGGCTGTTCTGTGGAGAACAGGTTGTCAATGACAAGAACTGAAGCAAGAGAAAGCGTTGGGAAATATAACATTGGACCAGGCAGGAGATAATTAGGACAAAATAAAGCAATACAGACATTTTCTAGTTATCATATTGGCAAAGAGTAAAATGAATAAATAGGGATGGTAAAAATGAACATCCATATATATGTGTGCATGTGCATTATGTAAATGTATGTCTATATGCTATCATTACTCTCATATTCTATAGACTTGTTTAATTATTTATTGATATTTATCAAAGTAAATAAGCATACACAGGTTGACCCAGCAATTTAACCTCACAAAGAATTAGCTTCCTAAAATAATTGAATTGATTTCCAAAGATTTTATACCATAGTTTAATCTCAGATTTATTCATAATATGGAAAAGTGGAAGTGTCTGAACTAACCTTCAAGGCATAATTGGTACATTAATCATGCTTTGTTCATTTCATAGACTGATTACTCAGAAGTCATTAAAAATGATGTTGCAACCTTTCCCTTAATAAAACGAACTACCATTAAGCGATCAATTTTGCTAATGCATATATGTAAACATACATGTTAAAATCATGAAATATTATAAATCATGATATAAATAATTATAATTAGTGAGTATGAGATTCTTATGTAATTTTTTACACATTTGTATTTTGTTATATTTCTGTCATGTAATAAAATTATAATTTAAAAAGTTATTTTAAAATAAACAAGATACAAACTGTGCTAAAACCATATGACATTGCCACCAAAACTATTTGTATTTTATACATGCTATGAACTTTCATAATAATCAGACTTAATATCTAAATAAGCCTACATTATTGGAAAATTAGCTTAGATAGGTTAACTGTCTATTTTTTAATCACTCAGCTCTTCTTAATATTAGTCTATATTGACTTATCCATGCATCTCTCCATGCATGTTTGACATGACACCACCACCAAACTCTATTTGTTTTGTTCAGATATTAGGCTGGATAACCCAGGTCTCCACCTCATGAGCATCAACTGATAAACTCTTCTGCTTTATTTCTAACTCAGATCTAGAAATCTTTACTTCAGAAAGTTCTCTGAACCTATTAAGAAAGAACTGGATCCTGCTCCTGAGGCTCTCATAACCCCTGCCTTTCCTATTACCACAGCTCTGTTTATGTGTCTGTCTTTGCTGATGGACCATGAACTCCTAGAAGAAAGGGAGGTTCTGTCTGAATACCCTCTTTCCTTAGTGCCTGGCTCAGATGTTAGAATGCAGTAGGTGCTAAATATATAGTGGATAAACAGAAAGAATAAAGCATCACCATACTTATATTTATTATGTGGTTATATTATTATAGGAAGGAGTAATTTATACCTTACTCTTTAAAAATAAATGGATGGAGAAAATACTCAACATCATTAGGGTGTTGCAAATTAACACAACACGATACCACTATACTTCTACCAGAACGGCCAAAATCCCAAAAGACCAAATGTTGGCTAGGATGTGGGGCAACAGGAGCTCTCATTCATTGCTGGTGGGAATGAAAATGGCAAAGCCACTTTGGAAGACAGTTTAGCAGTTTCTTACAAAGCTACATATACTCTTATCATATGATACAGGAATCATACTCTCAGATATTTATCTGAATGTATTGACAATTTATGTTCACACAAACACTACACATGAATGTTTATAGCATCTCTATTTATAATTGCCTCAACATAGAAGCAAATAAGATACCTTTGTGAACATTAGTGGATAAACATTCTATAGTATGTGTATACAATAAAATAATTTTTCAATGATAAGAAGAAATGTGATATCAAGGTTAATAAAATGGAGGAATCTTTAATATGTATTTTTTGTGTGAAACAGAAAGGCCAGTCTGGAAAAGCTACATACTGTGTTATTCCAGCTGTAAACATTCTGAAAAAGGTAAAACTATAGAGACAGTAGCAAGATTAGTGGTTACCAACGGTTTGCAGGTAGGGGTGGAGGAATGAATTGGTGGAGCACAGGGCATTTTTAGGACAATGAACTCTTCTGTATCATACTGTAATGGTGGGCACATGACATCTTGGATTTGTCAAAACACATAGACTGTACAACAACACAAAGTATACATTTTAATGACAACAATGGTGATAAACTGTGGACTTTGGTTAATACCAATGTATCAATATTGATTCATTAATTCTAACAAATGTGCCATGTTAATGCAAAATGTAAACAAGAAGAGAAACTGGGAATTAAAAGAAAAGAAAAACCAACAATAAGTAGATTAATTGTTCAGCTAAAGGTTTGTCCTAAAGGTTTTACAAGCTCACCACTAACTCAAATAGGAACTTGAGTAATATTTTAACTGAATGTAAAAGTGGGTGGGAGGTGTTTTCTATAGTGTCTGTTACAAGAGTGCTCTGCAGCCTAAAAAAGTACATGTCTTGGAATAGACTATGCACAATTAGGTGCTTACCAATCAGAGTCTATTGCTGCTTTGAGTAAATTCCTCCAAAAGTTTCTCGTTGCACTTTGAATAAAATCCAACTCACCAGGTCTCTATGAGCTGGCCACCTTCCACTCCTCTCTTCCCACCATGGTCCATGGTCTCCATGGCTCAGTGTGCTGCAGCCATCTTATTCTTTCATCTGTTCCCTCTTCCTCTCCAAGCTTACATGGACCTTGCATTTGGTCTTTTCACTCTCTGGAAACATCTTTCGTCACTTCGTTGGCCTCTTTTCATCATGGTTATGAGTATGAACCAAAATGGCACATCCTTTCCTCTTCACCCTACCAGAAGCAGCTGCCTCAATCCAGGCACTCTCTCCAATGTTATCTTGTTGCACTTTCTTCATTGTACCTATCTTTCGTCCAGTGTATTTCGTTTCTGTTTGACACTAGCCACTAGAAGGTAAGTACTCTCAAAAGCAGAAATCTTGGCTCTTTACTACTGTTTACCCCTGGCCTTCTATAGTGCCAGCCACATAGTGGATGTCAATGTATCAAACAATACATTGGGTGTAGTGAAATAGAGGAATATATGGAAATTGAATTAAGATCAGAGAGCACAGTTGTACGGTTAGGTAGCTCCAGGGTCCAGAATCAATTCTCAATTTTGCCATACATAACTTAACAGGCCCATGTGATACACTTTACCTCACTGAGCCTTACCTTCTTCTTATATAAAATGAGACTTTCAGACTATATAGGATCTAAAGTCTTTTCTAGCTCTAAAATCATACATTCTTTATGGCTCAAAATGATTGAGGTCCCACTGGAGAGCCACTAATTCAGATACATTCTATTAGCAATGCAATTTCTGTGATGATATATGTCAGTACAGCATACTGAAACCACCTTTCAGAGTGACATTGTCACACATCTGGTCAAATAATTAATATTTCCATCTGGATCAATGCTTTTGGCAGGAACATTGAGTACTTATGCCACATGACCCTTCCATCATAAAACAGAAAATGTGTTATTATTTTGTGCCATCAGGCAATGAAACAGTTGGCTTTCCATTTTCCTGTTTTTTTCTTCTTCTTTTTTTTTTTTCATAGAGTCATCCATTAACCTACACCTGGCATTCCATGTCATAAAGGGATGCAAAATCTCACATGTCTTCATGGAGCTACGAGTGTCCTTTGGTCTATCTTGTTTCTGTAGAAAACTTAAGGGTATACTAGATCAACAATTATTTTAGGTAAAATATATTCCAATATTAGAAACCCTATGAATATTCTTGTTAGGAGGGGTCTGGATTGTGGGGGGACACACACAGAATTCCAAATTGGTGCTGGCTCCAGGAAGAGGAAGCTTTCCTACAGTTCTGCTTTCCAGGGTTTGTGTAGACTTCCTACCACTAGGATTATGGACTCATATATTTTTTCCTTACAATAGCAAATTCTGCTACTAAAAAGGAAATAACTGATTGCATCTAGCAATCCCCTACCTTGTATACATTTGCTTCTTGCTTTGAAATTCAGCTTAGTTATGGATCATGATGTTTGAACTAACACTTAAAACTCACATGTCAAGGAATTTACCCTTCACTCTTCACTCAACTGCAGGAAGTTAAATAGTTTGTGGCAGATGAGCTACTGTTAACAAAGTAATGAGCACTTCATAAAGACAGTCTTGTCTGTTGAGAAGCCCCAGAAAGCCCACACGCCAGGGTAATAAATGATATTTAGGGACCTTTCTAACAATGGCATGACATCATACTGTTCCCTCTCGACCAGATCTTAGTAAAGAAAGTGTTAATGGAGAAAAAAGAAATGAGAGGATGGAATTCAAGAAGGATAACTATTAACTCAAGTGAACTTAAGTGCCAAAAGAATCATCGACATTTCCCAAATACATATGAGGAATAGAAACTCCTGCTTAGAGGTAAAGAATACACTTTGAAGTGCCAGACACAGTATTTGCTTGGTAAACATTAGTTTTCTTCTTTAGTATAACATAAACTTCATATTCTATTTGCTCAATTTCAAGAGCAGTAGTGTTTTAGGGAGTTTTCTATATGCATAACACTTGGGAGAAACTGAACTGAATGAGACCATGTCTGTCACTTCATAGAACTTTCAGTACACTGGAGGAGGCACAAACTCAAACATGCTTGAAGATAAAGTGAAATCAGTGCTAAGGAGAGGTTTGGCAATGTTAAAAGCCTAAGTATGTGTGATTAATTTCAGTCAGAAAATTGGAAAAGCATCTCATAATAGATGTTACTTGAGCTGAGTTTTGCAGAATGCTAAGATTGTGAGGAGCAGACAGATTGAGAGAACAACATAAGTCAAGACTTGATAGTGGCAACATTCAGATTATTGCACTTATGGTACCTGGAGAAGATAATGGGGGTTAGAATACCTGTTCAAAAAGAGAAAAAAAAAAGGGAGAGTGGATAAGGAAGGGTATGTATAGTATTACATAAGCCTGTGATACAGTTTGGATTTGTGTCTCCACTCAAATGTCAACTTGAATTGTAATCTCCAATGTTGGAGGTGGGCCCTGGTGGGAGGTGACTGGATCATGGGGCAGTTTCTCATGGTTTAACACTATAGCCTTTGGTGTTGTTATGATGAGAGTGAGTTATCATGAGATCTGGTTGTTTAAAAGTGTGTAGCACCTTCCCCTCTCTTTCTTCCCTGCTCTGGCCATATAAGAAGTGCCTGCCTCCTCTTTGCTTTCCAACATGATTGTAAATTTCCCGAGGCCTCTGCAGACATGTTTCCTGAACACCCTGTGGAACCATGAACCAATTAAACCTTTTTTCTTTATATATTACCCAGTCTTAGGCATTTATTTATAGCAGTGTGAGAACAGAATACAGTCTGGAAGAGTAGGTGAGGGTTAGATCGTGATAGTAATTAATGCTGAGCTGTAAGTTTTATTCTATTCTGAAATTAAGGAAGAGCTAAGTATAACAGGGCTTTTTATCTGTTGGGTTTTGTTTGCTTGT
The DNA here is from genome assembly GCF_000001405.40 of Homo sapiens. NCBI lineage: Eukaryota > Metazoa > Chordata > Mammalia > Primates > Hominidae > Homo > Homo sapiens. The sequence goes on from NC_000004.12 coordinate 11,840,911, forward strand.
TTAATGAGCAAAGTAACTTTACTTTGAAAGAGAAAAATTTATATTCCAATATTGACCACAGAAAAGCACACACACAGACACACACACACCACAAACAGACACACAAGCATGTTAGCTAGATGTGTCTATTAGCTTAATTCATTATGTTAACATTTACTGTTATTAAAATATATGTTTACTGTCATGACCTCAGTTGCCCTAGCTATATGTTTTCAAATTCTAGATGGTGGCACATAAGCCATCAATGACAGAGGTTTGTGTAGTGAATTGAAGAGTATAATTTGTAGCAGACACTAGCTCTGTGGCCAGGAAGAACAGTTATTATGGAATAAATTGACATAGGAAGCTTCTGTATTAACACGAAGCTACCAAGGACAGTAAGGAGGAGGGGCAGGCCAGAGGTGGGTGACTGACCTCTGTGATGGCCCCAGGACAAGAAGGCAGAAGCTCACTGGACATTTGGTGCCTAAAAACTTCTTTATGCCTCTTTCACTGATATGCTAGTGAAAGACTCACCCCAGACTTCCCAGATCAATCAATGATGGGAATTTTGCAAGGTGTGATTTTGATGGGTCCAGGGACTGAATGGGATAGAGCAAATTCATGAGCATAATTTGTCTTCTGCACTGGTGAGGCTGTGCTGGAGCTGAGGGTGAACTGAGTAAGCAAGGAGTACAGGGTAGAGCCCAAACTCTGTGAGCCCTTCCCACTCAATTAAGGTGCCAAGCCATACATTGACATCAGCTGTCTCATGCATATAAGCTTAAGGCAACTAGTGTATACACAGGACTCAAATTCTCCCCTTCATTGTCTTGTTCTTTGTTCCTCACCTTCCCCAACTCTTTTCCTCACCTTTTCCACAAGGCCCTACCACTTATTTACTATTTACTCCATCTTCACATAATTAAAAAATAATAATGTAATTACAGGAAGGTGGGGGTCCTCTTGCTAGGGAAACAGTGATACATGCAGTTTCATTAAAGTTATTTAACTAGGACTACTTACATCTATTGTTGTTTCTATTGATTCTATTGTTCCTATTGCTATTACTCGTATTGTCAGAAGAATATAAACCTTATTCTTTCCATCTTTCCATGTTCTGGTAGATCCACACAATGTATCTCAATATGATTACATTATTTAATTATTTTTATTTCTACTTAATAAGCTCTTTTTTTTTTTTGAGACAGAGTCTTGCTCTGTCACCCAGGCTGGAGTGCAGTGGCACAATCTTGGCTCACTGCAACCTCTGCCTCCCAGGTTCAAGAGATTCTCCTGCCTCAGCCTCCTGAGTAGCTGGGACTACAGTTGTGCACCACCACGCCTGCCTAATTTTTTGTATTTTTAGTAGAGATGGGGTTTCACCATGTTGGCCATGATGGACTTGATTTCCTGAAGTGGTGATCCACCCGCCTTGTCCTCCCAAAGTGCAGGGATTACAGGCTTGAGCCACTGTGCCTGGCCAAGCCTTTTTTTTTCTTTTTTTTTTTTTTTAAAGCATTCCCTATTCTTACAAGATAGACTTTTCCCTCTGACCTATGTTGGCTTTTCAACTGTCAACTCACCAAGTCACCTCCTTTAATCTGTAAAATGTTCTAAATTCCTGGACCGGTTATTTCACAAAAATATACACATTTCAAATGTTAATATATAGCAAATAAATCTCATTATTGAAAATTATTAAATAATTTTGGTTTGTAATCAAAGTAGTGTGATCTTGATATATCAGAAAGGGAGGTTGTATTGGTTTTGTTGTGGTTTATACCTAACAAATTGGGCAAAATATACATATGTCATCATATTTAATATACAGGCACAGCTTATAAAAGCAGAGGCTTAATGACAGGGCTATGTCCTGAGAAATATGTTGCTAGGCAATTTTGTCATTGTGCAAACATTACAGAGTGTACTTACATAAATCTAAATGGCATAGCCTACTATACACTTTGGCTGTATGGCATAACCTATTGCTTCTAGGCTACCAACCTGTATTACAGGTTACTGTATTGAATACTGTAGGCAGCTATAACACAATGGTAAGTATTTGTGTATCTAAACATTTCTAAACATAAAAATCATAGAAAAACTACAATATTATAATCATATGTGACCACCATCATATATTCAGTGTGTCACTGACCAAAACTTTGTTACGCAACACATGAGTATACAAAGATATTGGTGAAGATGGGATGAAATAAAAATTAAACTTTATCACTAAAAATTTGTTATAACTTTTTGTCAAAAAAAATTGGCAACATAAAGTGAGTCTTGTAAAGATATTTATTTTATTTGTTAATCTGATTCCTATCAATTAATCCTTTGAAAAGATCAAGAAAATATTTGGACTCAAGAATGCTCATAATAGCATTATCTGTTAATTAAATAAGCAAATATTTATTAAGCACCTACTATGATCTGGAAACCCTTCCAGAATTTGCAGACAAATAACCATTGTCTTCTTGACCTTGCATTCTAGCTGGGCAGTCTGACAGTGATTAGCACTAACATAGATTATTATGGATGGAACTATTTCAAAGGTCAAGGAAGACCTTTCTAAATAAGTGACATTTGAGCAGAAATTGACTAAAATGAGGAAGTGAGTCATGAGCTATCTGGGGAAAAAAACCTATTTATAACAGCAAAAATCTGTAAGTCACTTCAATACCCAGAAAAAAATTGAAGGGTAAAATAAAACTTGATAGGGCCACATCATCTTGGTTTGCCCGGGAAAGTTGTGGTTTACACTTATTGACCCAGAATAAGCATAACAGCATCCTACTTTACTTTTATATATGGTCTGGTTTGGGTAACAAATTTTATGGTTGTCCTCATACAATGGATTCACATGTAATAAATTAGGGAATTATCTTCCCAACAAACCATATTTTCTTACCCATGATGTCCTTGGCTTCCCCCTCCAAGATATAAATCTAGGTTTTTACCATGGCTCAGAACATATTCCATTACTTTTTAACCTATTTATGACTTCATTCACTTTTTTTGGCTTTAAAAATAACATATACATATTCAAGTCACAATAATTTTATTGAACAGTCACTTCACTCACACTGACAAGTGTTGAGATACATCAAAGGAAAACATGAATGACCCCTGCTCTCACGAAGAATGTGGTGTAAAGGAGGGGGTGGAGAAACAGGAACTCATTGTATTATAAATTCTATGTCACACTGTGCAGACAACGGTCTATGACATTCAGAGGATTCCGCAGGACCATGAGGGCAAGTGGTTCTAAATTAGGCTGTGAGCTCTTGAAGGACGTCACTTTCATAACATTTGCATTCTGTTTTGAAGGACAAGTCCATTTAACTAGGTGAAGGAGTGGGGGAATCTATTTCAAGAAGCATGAGTTGATAAAGTTTAATGTGCACAGAGTTCATGACATATAAAAGCAAAGGCAAGTATTTTTTATGACTCGAGAAACTGGTAGAGAGAAGCAGCTGGAGACGAGGCTGGAGATTTAGGGAAAGGACATATAATGAAGAATTTGTAGACCAGTCACCCCGGCATGTGCCTGTAATCCCAGCTACTCAGGAGGCTGAGACCCGAGGGTTAGGGGCTCAGCAGACCAGCCTGTGCAACTGCAGTAAGACTTTGTCTCACACACAAAGAAAGAACACGTGTGTTGATCCTATATGTGTGAATTGTGTCCTATAGATACAGATAAACTGATTTTTAAAGTGGTGAATGATATAATCAAAGTTTGATTTGGAAAATATTATTTCTTCAGCAGGCAAACAAGTTACCAAGTTTGTTTTTATTGAGATATAATGCACGATATCATGAAACTCATCTTTTCACATTGTAGGATTCAATGTTTTTTTTAGAATATTCTCACAAATGTGCAACCCTCACCATCTCATTTCTAAACATCAATTATTCCAAAAATAAATTTCATATCCACTTGTAGTCATTCTCCTATCCTCCTCTACCCCTAGCAACCTCTTAATCCAATATTTATCTCTATAGATTTCCCAATTCTAGGGGCTTTATATAAATAGTATATAAAACTTTATAACCTTTATATAAATAGTATAACTTTATATAAATAGTATGTGACCTATTGTGCTTGTCTTTCTTCACTTAGCATACTGTTTTTAAAGTTTAGTGACATTGCTGCATGTATCAGTAGTTCTTTCTTTTTTATGGCTAAATAAAATTCCATTGTGTAGACAGACCACATTGCATTTATCTATTTTTAGGTTGATGGACATTTGACTTGTTTGCACTTTTTGGCTAAGAATGTTGGTATTATAAACATTCGTGTACACATTTTGTGTATGTATTTTTGTGTACATAAATGTCTTCAATTTTCTTGGGTATAAACTTAGGAGTGGAATTACTATGTTATATGGTGACTCTGTTTAACTTTTTATTTGACCTGCTGCTGAGTTAGGTCACATTTATTCTTTAATTGTTTGAGTATTTCCATGTCAGTATTGAACATTACATTTATTTCACTGTTAAAGATATCCCCAGCCTGGCGCAGCGACTCATGCCTGTACTCCCAGCACTTTTGGAGGCCTAGGTGGGTGGATTGCTTGAGCCCAGAAGTTCAAGATCAGCCTGGACAACATGGTGAAACCCCATCTCTAAAAAATAAAAATAAAAAAATACCAGAAATTTGTCAGGGCACGGTGCTATGCTCCTGTAGTCCCAGCTAATCAAGAGGCTGAGGTGGGAGGATCACCTGAATCTGGAAGGTAGAGGCTGCAGTGAGCTGTGATTGCATCATGTACTCCAGCCTGGGTGACAGAGCAAGACCCTGTCTCACAAAAAACACAAAAAGAAAAAAGAAATCCCCTGATCATATGACCCTCTATCCTACTATTTTCTTTTAGTGCTTAGTTGTCTAAAATTTTCATGCATATTTATTATGTTTGTACTTTTTTCCCCAAATAGAATGTAAGATTCTGAAGAATGGGTTACTATTTATTATTATTATTTGTCAACACTATATTAAGAGTGTCTATTTTAGTGTTTGACACATACAGATGATAAATACTGATTGCCTAAAAAAGTAACCACAATCATTATTTTATTAGATTTACCATATTGCTTTATCTATTACATACACTTAAAAATATGCATGTTGTTATTCAAAATACTAGCACTTTTTCTAACAGATCTTCTATTAAGGGACATATGCTACCTATCTTTTTCTTTGTCCACCTCAGTGAAATCTCTAATGACTTTCAAAAGGGCAGAAGTCAGTCATCAAGATGGAGATGAGGCAACGAAAGACTGAATAATTCACACCATGGATATTCAATGCCTGAATGATGTACAGTGACTGTGTGTAAAGTCAAAGGAAAGGAGGTGGAGTTATTTGTAATAACCATTCCTTTTAATGAATTTATTTAGATATTTTAAGTGTTCTCTGGAATCAGCTGACAATGTGAGGTTCCCAGAGACCAGGGGACACAATTCCTAATTAGGATGAGGAGGCTTAGCAGCCAACCTTGGAACCGTGTACCATGCTCAGCCTCCGATATGGCTAAAATACAATCTCTTTGTACTCATGACACAGGGATCTATTCCACAACCAAAAATGCTGTTGAAATTTCTAGAGTTGGTTCATTTTCATAAGTGAAATTGACCACTTTTAAATCTGAGAGAACTAGAAAAGGAAGATGTTATTTGGGTCTGCAAGTCTGGTCTAGGCACGCTTTCTCTGCTTTTCCTATAAATACTGTTCCACTTATGACTCCTGTAGCAAATATCAGTTGAATTATAATTTACCATCACTATATTGCTGGTTTGTATTAAAAGAAAAAAAAAACCTTTGGTTAACATCTGAGTTTGGTTTGAGGGAAAGGATATTAATTAGATCAATAAGGAAAGAATCTCTCTATCCAGACCTATCGGAATGTAAAACTTGTAGTCCATGTTCAACAAATTTTTGCTAAAATTGAGGTAATAAGTTGAGTTAAACTGAACAGCTACACCTTCTGGAAAAAAAGTAAAAGGAGATAATCTTTTTTTTAAATAAGAAAAGAGTAGCATTAGAAGAATTCAGAATCAAAGAAAGGTTCTCCCATTCAACCTTCATTTGGCAAATACATGCTGTGTCTATTTGCATGATGGTGCACAATGTAATACCTGCTTAAGAGGAAATGAAAGAGTTCAATAGCAAAATCTCAGCAAGAAGGAAAACAGCTTTAATGCTTATTACTGAAGTTACAGTGAGCAAATGATGGTTGTAATACAAATGATTGTAGTTTGGGCATAAGTAGCGGGGGAATCCCATTCAGATGACACCCAACATGAAAAAAACTCAACCTTTTACGGTGGCTTAGGCAGAAAGAAGGCCTTGGGTAGCAAGCAGTTGTATTCAGTGGGTTTGCTTGAGATAAAAACTAAACATTGAGAAATCTCTGTATTTCAGCAAAAAAGCTTAAATCTTACATAACAGATTGAGTAACGGAAGCTGTGGGAATACAATTAATGACAGCTTTCCACAAGACTTGGAAGTGCGTTAAAAGAGAGGGAAATGGTTTCTTAATGACTGTGGGCAGAGGCACTTTCACTATCTCAACTTGGATATATCTTTCCTGTGCCTTGATAAGAACATTGACATCAGAGCAAAGCTGTACTGTCCATCTATAGAAGTAGACTTGCAGTGTGTATATCCACAGGAACAGGAGGGATAAGCATCCGCATTGAGTTTAGAGTAAAGGGAAAGAGGCTGCTGCCGCAAAGAGCTCCAAGCCTTGGAGTCAGGACATTCTGATTAGCTCAAGAGAAAGAAAATAAGTGTTTCTGGGCTTGAGAAGAAAAAAGGAATTGAGAAGTTAAATGTTGTATGTCTCACCGTCCTTAACATCCAGTCTTTGTAGAAATAAATATGCATGTGTTCAAGATTTTCTCGGTTTTTAATATGATGGTTCAGATACTGACATGCTCAATAGCCCTGGGTTAGTACATAAGTCAATTCATTTATTCAGCACATATTTTTTAGCACATACCATTGTTTTAAACTTTTCTAAGTACTATAAAATAGTGAAGAAAGTCAAGTTCCTGTCTTGATGGAGTTGACATTCTAATTAAAAAGAAAAATGTATTACAAAAAATTTATAGTACAAAAAATTTATTTAAAAACAGACAAGATAAAGCAAGGCAAAGGGTGGCAAAGTAGGTCATTATATTAGGTTAGACCAAAGTCCTTTTCTCTTCCATGCTTATCAAAATCACCAGATAAATGACACCCCTTTTATTATTATTATTATTATTATTTATTATTATTTTTTGAGACAGAGTCTCACTCTGTCGCCAGCCTGGAGTACAGTGGCATGATCTCGACTCACTGCAACCTCCACCTCCTAGGTTCAAGTGATTCTCGTGCCTCAGGCTCCCGAGTAGCTGGGACTACATGCGCGCGAAATCACGCCCAACTAATTTTTGTATTTTTAGGAGAGATGGGGTTTCACCATGTTGGCCAAGATGGTCTCAATCTCCTGACCTCATGATCCGCCCGCCTCGGTCTCCCGAAGTGCTGGGATTATAGGCAGGAGCCACTGCACCCTGCCACCTTTTTTTTTTTTTTTCCTAAGAACTGATGTATAACTAAGATCCTGAGTAGAAGGCACTAGCTAAAGTTGATAATGAGTCTGTTCGGGTATTCTTCTCATTCTGGATGATGTACAAATTATATATGGATTTCTGTAATATCTTAATACCTGCCATCCATATTCAACTCTAAGCTTTGCAAGAGCAGTTTCTGTGTCTGTCCATTATTAAATTCACAATGTTTATTAAGCTAAGAATTAATAACTGGAGGAACTGATGATAAATGAACGAATGAAATAATCTGAATATCACAGGCATCAATATTCTATGATAGTCTTGATACCATAGATGTCACATTTTTGAAATTAGAAACATGTGAAAAAATTCAATTTGCTTGGTATCCCCACCTACCCAAAGACAAAAAGGAAGGAGTCCAAACTCAGACATTTGTTTGGGCCTTCTGTTCCTTGACCGACTCTGTCCAAGAAAATGAGGATACACTCTTGCTTGCTTGTACTTTGCTAATACATTCCCTAGGTCCTAGCACTTGGTGTCTCCAAGCCCCTGTTTTCTAGCTTGGGTGGAGAGACATTCACTTAGGTTCTTGTGGCCTCTGCCCTAGTGCCCAGTGTTTAGATTCACCCACATGGTTATGCTAGCCCAACCAGTATCCATGGTGTTCATGGATAGTCAGTTTATTAACATTCTGTGGAAATTCCCAAGATCTTCTCAGCTGAAAGGATTGAACCAACTTTCTAAATTGTATGCATTTTTCCCTCTCTGAGACAACATAGGCTAATGCTATCAAAAGCCGTACCCATTTGAATCATAAGACTACTCTACCAGTGGACATATCCTGATGCTGAAACAAGAAAATAGAAGTGAGCACCATCAGGTGCCTGTAGCCAAATTTAGTTTTATACTATTATAGCTAATCTTATTACAAAATTATGTACTACTTTTCTAATTCAAATAAAATGTCATAAAGTTGAGAGAAGCAAACAGTGCTACAAACTAATCTGATGTTTTATAAAATTAATACTTTTTAAAAGCATGAAACATGATGAAAAATTCAAGCATAACTCACTCTTTGTCTGAATAAACAATAAACCCAAGAAGCATAAAAATGATATGTTTGAAGTGAATTAGGGAGAAATTTAACATAGTTTTTTCCTTTTTTTTTTTTTTTTTTGGTGTGTGGGTATAAACGTAACACTCCAGAAAAAGATGAGCATATAATTTGCAAATGGAAGAAAAAAATAAATCATTTGAAATGCTTTGTCCATGGCTTCTACAGTTATTATACTTTTAGAAACATTTCCTAAGTCAGTAATTTAGCAGTACTACAAAGATGAATGTACAAAGATTTTCATCTCACTTTTGTTAATCAAAGCAATGGAAACAAGCTAAATGCTCATCAATATTGGATAGGGTAGATAAATGATGGTTATTTGAGTAATGGAATACTCTGTAGCCTGTATAGAATTTGATGCATACTTGTTTTTTACATTACATTGGAAAGATGTCCATACCATATTTCTGAGTGAAAAACAATGGAATAATCTTACTTATAAAAATTATCTGTGAGAGGAGAAAGAGAAAAAAAAGAAGGCAGTAATAACATGAGCATGTTCCAGAAAGAAATCAAACAAATTCTGGAGGAGAATGCTTCTGTTAAATGACCCAACTAACTTGAAATCTGTCATTGATGATATTGTGGCTTTGAAGGAGTTTCTGCACTTAATGCAATTAACAGTTATTGCTTATGTATATATTCAAAGGTTAATGTTTTTCTTGTATTGCTATGGATTGAATTGTGTCTCCCCCAAATTAAAATGTCGAAGACCCAATCGCCAGTGGGAATAGGTTTGCAGATAGAGTCTTTGGGAGGTAATTTGTTTTAGATGGAGTCATAAGGGTGGGATGAGGGTCCTTATGAAGAGACTTGGGAGAGTTTGCTTCCTCTCTGCCCTCTCTGCCAACTAAGCACACAGTGAGAAGATGGCCGCCTGTCTGCAAACCAGGAAGGAAGACAGCTCTCACCAGAGAAACAAGTTGGTCAGCACTTCATCTTGGACTCTCCAGCCTCCAGAGTTGTTAGAAATAAAGTCATGTTGGGCCGGGTGTGGTGGCTCACACCTGTAATCCCAGCACTTTGGGAGGCCAAGGTGGGCAGATCAAGAGGTCAGGAGATCAAGACCATCCTGGCTAACATGGTGAAACCCTGTCTCTACTAAAAAATACAAAAAATTAGCCTGGCATGGTGGCAGGCACATGTTGTCCCAGCTACTCGGGAGGCTGAGGCAGGAGAATGGCGTGAACCCGGGAGGCGGAGCTTGCAGTGAGCCGAGATTGTGCCACCGCACTCCAGCCTGGGTGACAGAGCGAGACTCCGTCTCAAAATAAATAAATAAACAAACCATATGCAGCCATAAAAAAGAACAAGATCATGTCTTTTGCAGGGACATGGATGGAGCTGGAGGCCATTATTCTCAGCAAACTAACACAGGAACAGAAAACCAAATACCACATGTTTTCACTTTTAAGTGGGAGCTAAATGATGAGAGCACATGGACACAGAGGAGAAAAACACACACTGGCGCCTTTGGGAGGGTGTAGGGTGGAAGGAGGGAGAGGACCAGGAAAAATAACTAATGGGTACCAGGCTTAATACCTGGGAGATGAAATAATCTGTACAACAAATCCCCATGACCCAAGTTTACCAATGTAACAAACCTGTACTTGTACTCCTGAACTTAAAATAAAAGTTAAAAAAAAGCAGCCTCCGTTAAGATAGAAATCTGTTTTGAAATGTTAAAGGAAATGTCTCTTAACCTAGCCACATAAAATTTTCTAACTGCTGCAAAACCACATTTAGAATTCTAAGATAAACCTTCTGATTTAAACTATAACTATAAAACAGAGATAATTTCAGCACTATTTAAATCATTTCAGAGCCTTACACGCAGTGTACATAACTTGACAGTAAACTCCAACAAAAACCACAAACAGAAAAAAATGTCAATTTGAGAAGTGTCTGTTCATATCCTCTGCCCACTTTTTGATGGGGTTGTTTGTTTTTTTCTTGTAAATTTGTTTGAGTTCATTGTAGATTCTGGATTTTAGCCCTTTGTCAGATGAGTAGATTGCGAAAATTTTCTCCCTTTCTGGAGGTTGCCTGTTCACTCTGATGGTAGTTTCTTTTTCTGTGCAGAAGCTCTTTAGTTTAATTAGATCCCGTTTGTCAATTTTGGCTTTTGCTGCCATTGCTTTTGGTGTTTTAGACATGAAGTCCTTGCCCATGCCTATGTCCTGAATGGTACTGCCTAGGTTTTCTTCTAGGGTTTTTATGGTGTTAGGTCTAACGTTTAAGTCTTTAATCCATCTTGAATTAATTTTCGTATAAGGTGTAAGGAAGGGATCCAGTTTCAGCTTTCTATATATGGCTAGCCAGTTTTCCCAGCACCATTTATTAAATAGGGAATCCTTTCCCCATTTCTCAAAGACACATGAAAAAATGCTCATCATCACTGGCCATCAGAGAAATGCAAATCAAAACCACAATGAGATACCATCTCACACCAGTTAGAATGGCAATCATTAAAAAGTCAGGAAACAACAGGTGCTGGAGATGATGTGGAGAAATAGGAACACTTTTACACTGTTGGTGGGACTGTGAACTAGTTCAACCATTGTGGAAGTCAGTGTGGTGATTCCTCAGGGATCTAGAACTAGAAATACCATTTGATGCAGCCATCGCATTACTGGGTATATAACCAAAGGATTATAAATCACGCAGCTATAAAGAAACATGCACACGTATGTTTATTGCGGCACTATTCACAATAGCAAAGACTTGGAACCAACCCAAATGTCCAACAACGATAGACTGCATTAAGAAAATGTGGCACATATACACCATGGAATACTATGCAACCATAAAAAATGATGAGTTCATGTCCTTTGTAGGGACATAGATGAAGCTGGAAACCATCATTCTCAGCAAACCATCGCAAGGACAAAAAACCAAACACCACATGTTCTCGCTCATAGGTGGGAATTGAACAATGAGAACACACGGACACAGGAAGGGGAACATCACACACTGGGGCCTGTTTTGGGGTGGGGGGAGGAGGGAGGGATAGCATTAGGAGATATACCTAATGCTAAATGACGAATTAATGGGTGCAGCACACCAACATGGCACATGTATACATATGTAACAAACCTGCAGGTTGTGCACATGTACCCTAAAACTTAAAGTATTAAAAAAAAAAAGACGAGATATGAAACCCACTGACAAAGATAACATTGGCATTTTATCAGATAGCATGCTACAGTTTCATCCTCTCATTCAAGCTAAATAACAACACCTTTGCTGTTAGATTAACTTTTGAGCAGATTAAAATGTACCTTTTGTTTTACTTGTTTGGAAAATTTTGTAAGTTTTTGCTTATCTTTGCAAAAATTTTGCGTATTTACCAAGAATGAGCATGAATTTCTGCCTGAAAAAATGGGAGTGAAGCATAAGCATAACAGATTTTTTTATATTCTGTAAAAAAAAATGTCAATTTATTGAATGAAAAAAATCTCTATTTTGAGCAATTACAATATTCCAGGCATAATTTTCAGTGCAATGGTTTTAGGAGAAGACTAAAGTGATAGCAATAACTCCCTTTGGACCTTTTATTGTAATGAGAGGAAACAGCCAAAATTAATTAAATAAAAAAGAATTTGATGGAAAAATTATAAACAGAATTTTAGCAAGCAGATTTTAACAGTATTTTAAAACCAGGGCATCATTACATAATATTCAGGAAGATAAGAATGAATCAAAATGAAGAAATGCTTTAATATAAATAACCATATTACTAAGTAACAGAAAAATATGATTACATGTATAGATATTAAAGTAGCCTTTGATAAAATTCAACATCAATTATTGATTAAAAAATAAACTAAGAATATAAGTATTCCTCAGATAATCCAAAATTTTCATTTCAGCCTTAAAGCCAACATCCACAGAAGAAAAACAACATAATATTCTTACTAAAGTCAAGAACAAGAATGCGCACTGTTAATTATATTTCTGAACACAAGCAAACAGCAAGATAAATAGGTCATGGAAATCATTTACAAGTATACAAATGAGAAAGTAGGAATTAAAACAGTCACTACTGGCAGGAAAATTATTGTTTATCTGGAAAGCTGAAGATAATCAACTGAAAAATAATTGCAACTAATTAGAGAATTCAGTCACATAGTGGGGTACTATCATCTATATCTATCTATCTATCTATCTATCTATCTATCTATCTATCTATCTACTATCTATCTATATTTACATGTAGGTACCATAGCAAGTATTATAATTTTGGACAGGAACATTAAATGTTGTAAGTAATTCAAATTAACCCAAATTAAGCTGTAAATGTAATATTATTTCTATAAAAATGCCAATAATTTTTGTCTTTTAATTTTAATTAGATAAAATGATTCTAAATAATAAAAAGCAAATAGCATTAATATGAGCCCATTCAGTGGGATCACTGAATAAGATAAAATCACTGTAAACCTAAAAGGCCAAATTTTCTGTTCTCGTTAATAATTGGTCTAAAATATCATAAAGTTTATGGACTCTTTTGAAAATCAGTTTTGAAGAACTGTCCATCTAAAACACTTGATACCAAAAAGAGAATTTTGTTTAAACCACAGAATGATAAGATCAGCCTTAAGTTGGGGTGGGGTAGAAAAAGGAACCTGTATGTGTATAAAGGTAAATATCTGATCAGAGAACACAGAAACAAAATTTTTCTCAAAAATTAAGGAAATTGCTTGGAATTTTTTTTTCTAATGGTAAAAGGATTGTGATTGTACACCATCTCTACTGCATGAATCAGATAAATATAATTAAACCAGGGAAGACAAGTCTGATAGGATGGAAGAAAGATATTCTTGCTCGACACTAGGAATCAATTTGCAGATAAGAAAAGCCATATAAAGGTTTTTATGGTCACTTTAGCTTCAAGTCCTAGAGCCCTAATGTCTCATCAAAGCTGAAGGGATTTCTTATTAAGATTTTTAAGGTTAAGTTACATCCAAAGATCATTATTATCAAAATTTATAAACCCTGCCATAGAATAAATTTATAGCAGCTAAAATTATGATAATATAATTATCATCAATAAGAAAGTATGTATTTTCTGAAATAAATGTACTTATATACAATTAAAAATAAAATAAAAAATATTTTTTCTGATAAAAATAAATGAGTCAAGAATATCCAGAAAAATATAAGAATCAAAATTAGTAATGAATAAAGACTACCTGAGCAGATATTAAAACTATTAAAAAGACACCATTGTTAAAACAGTATTTGAACTGCTACATGAATTTAAACGACATTAAATAACTAGAATAGAAAGACTAGAAATAGGCCTATATCCATATAGAAATTTGTTACCACAAAAGCAAAGTCTAAAATAATTTGGAGAATTATTGGTTCTTAAATTCTTATAGGCAAGCCCAATAGTTCTATTTCTAGAAATTAATTCTGTAGATGAATCAATGTACAAGGTACAAGATTACTCATTCCAACATTATTTTGATTAAAACAAACTGAAAACTGCCTAAAGCAAGCCTGTACAACTCACGGGCCTGTGAGCCACAGCGGCCCAGGACATCTTTGAATGCAGCCCAACACAAATTTGTAAAATTTCTTAAAACACTATGAGATTTGTTTGCGATTTTTTTTTTTTTTAGCTCATCAGCTATCTTTAGTGTTTGTGTATTTTATGTGTGGCTCAAGACAATTCTCCTTCCAGTGTGGCCCAGGGAAGTGAAAAGATTGGACACCCCGGCCTAAATGTTCATATGTATGATTTATTAAGTCATGGTGTACACATATAATGTAATATAAAGAAAAATAAGGAGCACTGATGTAATTGATGGAAAGATCTCCAATATTTACAGAGTGAAACTGTAAGGTACAGGTGGATATCTATAGTGAGATATTATATATTGGTTTATTATATTTTTATAATTATTTATACACTTATTTATAATTTTGATTATTAAACTTATGAACATATTACCTAGAAAATAAAGTAAAATAAAATGAAAACACTAGTGATTTTCCCAAGAAGCATAATAGTAATAATAACAACCTCAAAGAACATGGGAAAACTCAGGCTTATATGAATGTCCTTGTCACTCAGTTGAGATTAAATCCAAGTCTGTCTGATGTATTGAATCCATGTGGTGCACTTTTATGAGGCTGATGTCCCTCAGAGCTCAGCAAGGGAGCCTGCGACCATGGGGATCTTTGGGCACACACCAACTTCCCCCTTCTATCCATTTTGCTTCTGAAAGGGCTTCTCCACTAAGTAGGAAATTGCTTATTTCATAACTGTTATTTTTCTAGCAATACTCAGTAAACTAAAATGACATTTTAATAAGATAGTCCCTATTGCCAGAAAATTGGGTATTTAGGGAATTTTCAGAACACGTATTTACTATAACTGATAGAGCAGAACAGCTTTTATAATATGCATTTTCTGAATGGAAAAACACGCATTTACACAAATAAATGTTTACAAGCCCAGGTTTGAAAATGAGTCTCAGATATATATTATTCATTATAAAGACCTTCCTTCCACCTACAGCCCCCCAAATCAGGTAAGGGGAAAAGAACTGCATTAATTGGGTTCACGTTTAATTTGAAATCAGTGCCCTCAAGTGTTTTCTCTTATAAGACATGTTTTTTCTTCCCAAATTCAGTGTGAAAAGTTAAAGCAGAAAAGATTTTTTTCAGTACTTTTTACAGAAAGGCACTTCAATAATTGATGTTAAGGATTTTCATGAACCAGGATCAAAAAAATACATGAATCGCCTTTTGTTTTATGAGAATTAAAGAGCAAAGTGAAAGCAGTAGTAATTCCCTTTGGAAGTAAAGGGTTTTTTGGTCAGATGAGGAAAGGGAACACAGTATGGTGAAATTGTAGAGATGGAAGACAGATGTAACAATTTTTCCCTTTAGCCTCTCTCATGCTTTCAGAAGATAGAAACACTTATCAAGCCAAGAAGTCTCCAGGCTCAGACGGATCAAAGTTTGTCTATCTGGGTTTGAAATTAATATCTGCAGAAGTTTCATGTTCTTGCTAATTTGCAATCCATCAAATCAGGTTGAGAAAAACTATCCAGAAATCATCTACACAACAGTAAGTCACACTCCTATACAGGGCACTGTTTTCTTTTAATTATGGGGCTTGCTTTAAAGATCACTTGATAAAGTGGAAAAGGACTTTAGAAGCTACCTGATCAACTCTTCTCATCTTATACTAAAGAAGCTGAGACTCATAATAAAGAATGGTGACCTGGTCACTGAGATGAACACAGATCTAGACCCAGACTTCTGCATTTCCAGGTTGCTCCCTCCTGCCCTCCACTGCAGCAGTTTTCCAGACTAGCCCCATCAAAGCCACTGCACAATACAGTGGCACCACCGCGAGGGAGCAGAGCATAAATGACTTTGGTTCCCAGAATTCACTCTCACTCACCCCCTCTTCAACACAGAAACGCAATTAAACTTTAAGTGTTTTACATAGCAAATTCATGAGTGAGAATTTATTGGAAAGTAAAATACTAGGATTATTATTTTTAATAGGTTCCTAATAACATTTCTTTTAAGTCACAAGAAATTGCTGATATTCAACTAGTTGACCTACAAAATAAAAAAGAAAAAGAAGGAAAAAGGAAATCCAAGAAATAAAGAGAGAAGGAAAAAGTAGTGTAATATGGTTCAAGTTACAAATACATCTTAGAGTATTAAAACGTAGGCGAAAGATGCTGAAGCTCTTGAATATCAGCTTCAGTTCTGTTTAGTGACCTAACATTACCTTAATCTCATCGCTAGCTTAATTCTTTATTAATTTATTGATCCTTTCCTTCCTGTTTAAGTCTCTCCAAATCATAATATGACCTTCCCGTTTAAGTCCTCTCTAAATCATAATATTTCCTTCCTGTTTAAGTCTCTCTAAGTAATAGTATGGCCTCACTTGCTATATACATAAAGACGGTCATCAGCAACTCATCTCAGGCCCATCTATCCCTAGTGTAATAGGGATAGATCCATTTTATCAAATATATATATATATGCACACGTGTGTGTGTGTGTGTGTGTGTGTGTATACAGGGATTTTAACAGTCATTATTTCAAAGCATATTTCTCTTTTCTTAAACTATTCCCAATACTCCAAATCTACCACAGAGTTTATCTCTTTGCCTCTGATAAGAACTTTTAAAAGCATACTTCCTGTCTTTATCACTCTACTGAGACTTGCTTTCCATGACAGCCAAGTATTCTTCAAGGTGTCACATGTAGCCCCAAATCTAAAGCCCTTATATGATTGTTCCTCTCAATAGCAGCCTTTAAGGCCCTAAGAAAGACCAGTAAATAATATATAGAATGGAAATCTGACTGTGTGGGCTCAAGACCCAGCTGTCATTTACTAGAGGTGTAAGCTTGGTCAAATTAGCTTTTCTATGCCTCTCTCTCCTCCTGTGTAGATTGTGGACAATTATACTTACACAATAGGGTGGGTTGTAAGGACTGTCATATACAAGAGACTCTGAACAACATCATCCTTTCTCTTGTACAGTGTCAAAGATAAACAAAACTGAACACTGATTACAGTGATAAGTATAGATTTTATACAATAATGATTGCAATAAGGAAAAGGATTCAGCATGATCTGAACTCAACTTTCCTGAAACAAAGGCCTGGAGACTTTTTAAAGGCTGGTATGCCCTTTAGGAAGGGCATTGAAAGTTTTCAAGGAAGATTGATTCGTGTGAAAAGGCCAGTTGGATTTGTGAATTGGTGCTTATCTGGAGAAGAAACAAACGTCTCCTATCTTTATCACAGAGGTCTGTGGTGTAAGTTAAGGTGTTAAGGTCTATGGAGCTAGGTGTGTGCATTTCAAAGAAAATAGATGGTTCTTTGTTATTTCAAGTTTTTTTTTTATTGTTTTCTAAGAGAGAGTTGAGAGACCTATCTATCTATCACTTAGCTTTAATTGGAACAGATATAAATTATCCTGTTATCCTGGCAGTTTTGAGCTTTCTCAGACAGGCTTGTTAAGAGAAAGGGGGATAGGCATGGAGTCTTCCTAGGGACTTGACCTTAAGTTGCCAAAAGCCATGCTAGAGTCTGGGTAAATCTCTCAGTGCAGAGGCTTCCATGTGGTGTTGAGCCTGTGGTTGCACAGAAGTCAAGAATTGGGGTTTGGGAACCTCCATCTAGATTTCCGAAGATTTACAGAAATGCCTGGATTTCCAGGCAGAAGTCTGCAGCAGGGGTGGGGCACTTATGGAGAACTTCTGCTAGGGCAGTGTGGAAGGGAAATGTAGGCCTGAGGCCCCACACAGAGTCTGTACTGGGGCACTGCCTAGTGGAGCTTCGAGAAGAGGGCCACTGTCCTCCACACCTTAGAATGGTAGATCCACCAACAGCTTGGACAGTGCACCTGGAAAAGCCAGAGACGCTCAACACCAACCCATGAAAGCAGCCAGAAGTGAGGCTGTACCCTGCAAAGCCATAAGGACAGAGCTTCTCAAGACCATGGGAACCCATCTCTTGCAAAAGTGTGACCTGGATATGAGACATAAAGTCAAAGGAGGTCATTTTGGAGCTTTAAGATTTTACTGCCCCACTGGATTTCAGACTTGCATGGGGCCTCTAGGCCCTTCGTTTTGGCCAAGTTCTCCCATTTGGAATGGCTGTATTTACCCAATGCCTGTACCTCTATTGTATCAAGGAAGCAACTAATTAACTTTTGATATTATAGGCTCACACATAGGCAGAAGGGACTTGCCTTGTATCAGATACGACTTTGCACTGTGGACTTTTGAGTTAATGCTGAAATGAGTTTAGACTTTGCAGGACTGTTGGGAAGTCATGATTGGTTTTGAAATGTGAGAACATGAGATTTGGAAGGGGCCAAGGGCAGAATGATATGGTTTGGCTGTGTCCCGACCCAAATCTCTCCGTGAATTGTAATAATCTCCACAAGTCAAGGGCACGGCCAGGTGGAGATAATTGAATCACTGGGGCGGTCTCCCCCTATCTCATGGTAGTAAGTCTCATGAGATCTGATGATTTTACAAATGGGAATTCCCTTGCACAAGCTCTCTTGTCTCCTGCCATGTAAGGTATCTTGCTTCCCCTTCACTTTCCACCATGGTTGTGAAGCCTCCCCTGCCATGTGGAACTGTGAGTCCATTAAACCTCTTTCCTAGATAAGTGACCCAGTCCCTGGTGTATCTTCATTAGCAGCATGAGAACAAACTAATATTAAGAGTTTCACAGTTATCAGATGCCAACCTCTTTGGGTCCCCTTGATGACACTAATGCTGCAGGGTACATGAGTAGTATTCTCTATATCTCCATGACTTCCTCTTCCTATAACGTAATCTTCACCAGGACTCCATTCTTGAGCTCCACTTTTCCTTTTCTGCCTCTTGTCCTTAGGTCAGTGTTCATGCTAATTATGATGTGTAATGAAAGGTAACTTCTATAAAACCTCATATTTCATTTCTTCCATTCTCTTCTTCCTTGATTTTCCTCCTCAGTAAATGAAACCAGCACCCATCCCAGGCATGAAAGCTAAAACGCTAATTCTTATTCTTGATTCCCACTCTCTCTCAATATTTCTCAAATTTCTCACCCCTGGTGTGAGACCACAACATTTTATACATAAATCAAACTTTGCCCCAGACCTATTGTGTTATGGTAATGCAAATATATATGCATGCCAATCCAAGTTATAAACCTCTTGAGGATAGGAATCAAGGCTTAGTTATATTTGTATCTCAGATGTTAGTTTAATCTCTCACACATAGGATCCATTTGTTTATTAAATAAACTTATTAGACACCTGGCACATGCTAAGTACTATTATTGAGGGCAAAATATACAGAAATATTTTTAAAGACATTTTCTGCTCAAGTTGTAGACAGGAAAAATGGAAATTTTTGCAAAAGAAAATTTTAAAATATCCAATAGAATTGGAGTTTACAAATAACTGATTCAGATGGGAACACAGATATTTCAGTTGATGTCAGCATGGATGATGAAGTACAGGGAACACCAGACAGGACTGCTCACTTCAGCAGGTGTCATCTGAAGAAAGATGGCAACTGCTGGCCAGAAACATGTCATTCTCCATGTCATGATACTACCTAACCCTTCCCTCTCATCTACTCAGTAGTTCAGACTAAATCCTAGGTACAACAGGAAAAGGAGAATACCAGGATTCACCATTGCTAAGAAGGTCACTGATGAGAAGGATTCTGGAAAGTGGCTTTTGGTGTTTTAAATAAATAACTTGAAAATTCTATGATTAAATTCAGAGTCATAGGCAAGTACCAGGAAAATAGTCAAAACATGGCCTTAAGGAAAGATTGTTGGATGTACAACAAAGCAGACCTTGGAATGCTATCCCAAACTTTTCACTTCTTAGATATGGAAACTTAGGAAAGTTAATGCATTTATCTGACATCGTTTTTCTTTTCTTTGTCTTCAAAACAGATAGTATTAGCACATGGGTAAGGATTCAGTACAATAATAAATGCATGTCCCCACAAAAAGTAGGAAATAAATAGTAAACATGACAAATATGAAAAGATGACTTAGCTTCAAATCATGCAATAACTAATGATAACATGTTCTTAATATGGATGGAGTTGAGTTCCCTAAAATTTTCTGGGCTGAGTTTCTTCCTCTTTAGGAGAATTTGAGAGAACCAGAGGCAGTACAGACTAACTCCACTACTCACCACAATGATTTTTTGGCCAAAAAACACATTTTTAAAAAATCCAGCTATTTCTTAAATATCTTTGTTATTAACTACATAACATTCTACTCTATTCCAAACTGATTCTTCAAGTGGCTCAGTGGGTACTGTGAGAACATACCTGAAAGTGCTACCAAATGGAAATTCCAAGGGGCAAGACTAGCTCATCCAAATACTTTATGACTGTTAGTGGAATATCAATATGGACAGGAGAAATGGAAATACTGGGCAGAAGAAGGCAGTTCCATGGCAAAGGCCCCACCCTCATGCCTGGATACCCATGGCCCTAAATGAGAACAGAGATTCCTGTTTTTGTGCCCCAAAAGTTGCCTTTTGGCCCCCCATGCCTTCTATCTTGTACCTATATAAACTCCAGACCCCAGGCTCCAAGAGACAAGGAGACAAGCAGATGAGCAGACAAATGGCAGAACAGCATGGCAGAAAAGGAGAGAAGAGAAGGAGCATCTAAACACCGAGAGGAGTTTGGCTAGATATGATCAGAGAGATCAGCTGCTGGATGGCCAAACTCTAGGGGAAGAATATCTTCCCACTCCATCCCCCTTCCAGCTCCCCATCCATTCCACTGAGAGCCACTTCCACCACTCAATAAAACCCCTACATTCATCCTTCAAGTCCATGTGCAACCTGATTCTTCCTGGATGCCAGACAAGAACCTGGGTGCCAAGACGGTCCACTGAGCTGTCTAATGCTTAAGCTATCTGTGGACAGCAAGGCTAAAAGAGTGCACCGTAACATGCACTCACTTGGGTTTGGGGAGTCACAGATACCCACCTCTAGACGCTGCCATAGGGCCACAGCCCAAAAGCCCTCACCCTGGTTTCTGCACCCACTTGTCTGCTTGCTCCCTCTCCCTTAAGCGGTTTGAACTCTTGGCAGCTGAACAGAGAGCCACACCCCTGTCACACATCCTTCGAGGGGGCCAGGGAACTATCTCATCTCAACATGGCTGCATAGATTTTAAATACACTTAAAACCTGAACAGCAAAACAGAGTTCATGCTAAAAATTGTGATCTTTTTTCGTGAAAAACAAAACTAGTGCTTTTTCAGGGCTATAATTTGTAGGTCAGGTTTCTCTTCCAAGCCAGCTGTCAGCACTTAAAGTGGCCTGAAAAGAACATTGGTTTTGGGGTCAGACAGACCTGGCTGTGAAACCCTAACTTTATCAGTATCTTACTACTTATATAATTTGGATTAAGCCATTGTACTTTCTGAATTTCTATTTTTGCATGTATTCATTGTATTTTATCTATAAAATACAAATGTCACTTATTTCAAAGGGTTGTGAAAATTGAAAAATGTGATGCATATATTTAATGAAGTGTTTGGCAAACATTATTTTGTTTTCTTATGGTGAATTTATTATTTAATTTCTTAAATAATTAAATATCATTTAATATTAGCAATTAATTTTATTAAATGTACTTTATTATTCAAATATATATTTTTAATCACATGAATTATTAAAATGCTGTTCATTTTTAAAATTTGCCATGTTTATGTTTATAAATAATAATCAATACATGTTTCCTTCTCAAAATATATGACTTACTTCCTTTTGCTTACGGACTTCCAAATTGGGAGATTTCCATGACCTTACCCTTCACATTAATGAAGTCGGTAATATTCTCTCACTCTCTCCCTCCCTCTTTTTCCCTCCCTCCCTTTTCCTCTTGTTCGTCTCTTTTTCTCTGTCTCTCTCTCTCTCAAGCTCTCTCCTTCTCTGACAGCTTTTACAATTCACCTATCTTAGGTGTACTATTCAACATTTTGCTTCTCTTTTACGGGGATTTTTCCTACACTAGTTCAAAGGAGTAAAGGAATTTTTACAACTACCCTTTTCCTTCCAACCAGTCCAAGTGTATTTTGCCTAATAATCAGTAGAAAAGTTATACAGTTACAATACACTTGGGATACCACTGAGAAGTAGTAACCATTGTTTTTTCTATACCCCTTTCTTATTGTATCTATTGTCTCTGTAAAATTTGTACTCTAAGAACAAAATAGTCTCCTTATTAGCTTTTGAATTCCTGAAGTAGACATTCTGGCTCATACAATAGAATTAGAATATTTCCTGAGCCAGCTTTTCTTCTCATGGCCAAGGAGACATAAAACCTAGATCCCAGAAAAAAAGGAGACTGGTGATAATCAGATGGGAGAACTACAGGGTCAGATTCTTGTGGGGAGGCTATGGAAGCATCCTGTTCTCTGTCCCTTCCTGCTACTACCCAATAGTCAGCTCCAAAGGGCAGAGAAGGGGAAGATAACCCCAGGAAGGAACATGCCATGTTGCCACCTCCTTAAAAAAGTCTCCTTAAAATCACAGCCTGAAAGCAGACCAGGAGTAATGCAGAAGCCAAGAGGCAGCTATGCTCAGGATCCTTCTTTCCTAGGAAGTTCAAAACCATGGCTAGCATTTCTGTATCTTTGGGGAGGGAGCAAAAATTAGCTGAGAGGGGGATTCTTTGGCCTTCAGTATCCAAGAGACCAAGACAAAGAGATCACACTGAGGATGTCAACATGTGTCCAGAGACCAGAAAACAGATGGGAACACAGATATTTCAGGTGATGTCAGCATGAATAGGTGAAGGAGAGAGAGGACCAGACAGGACTGCTCACTTCAGCAGGTGCCATCTGAAGAATGATGGTGACTGCTCACTTCAGCAGGTGCCATCTGAAGAATGATGGTGACCACTGGCCAGAAACCTGCCATACTCCATGCTATGATACTACCTAACCCTTCCCCTTCATCTACTCAGGAGTTCAGGCTAAATCCTGGTTACAACAGGAAAACGAGAATACCAGGATCATGTGTTTTTTTGAAATACGTCTATGACCTACAAAAGGGAAAGAGGTGAAATTATAAAATACAAAAGTTATATAATGTAAAAATACATTAACTCACACAAAATATAAGTTTCAAATAAAATGTGAAAACACACAAACTCACATAAGATGTGAGTTTGACATTCTTAGAAGTTTTTAGCTACTCATTTATTTGGGATTTAGTGATTATGAATTGTATCTGAGTCTGGAAGATCAGATCAGCTTCTACCTGTACAGTCTTATAGAAGTTAAGTCCTGCCAGAGACTTAACTTTATTTTTTTCAGGTAATAACTTAGGGAGTTTGAAATCTCAGAGAATCAAGGCAAGGCCTTTCACCTGTATGCAGCTTTATAAAGATACTTCTCATCTATTTCAGTTATTTTCAGAGAGTGTTTCATTTCCTCATTCAGTGAGAATTTCTATTTTACTGTAAGAGTCAGATCATAGCTGGCATTGCCATATAAATGAATTTTTAAATAAAGACCTCCAAAAATACACCTAAAAAATGAAACTAAAAACTATGCACATACATACACACATGCACACACCTGAAATCTAAGAATCTCAGAGCAGTACATGAACATAAAGATCAACTCCAACTTCTTCATTTTATAGAGAATGAAATCTAGATCCTCTGAGCCATTTGATTTGCTGGAGAATACCAAGCAGATCTGTCCCAGACTCCAATGCCCCGTCACTTGAACTGGAGTTCACTTTCCCCTGCAATACAAATTGGGTTCAAAGAAGGCTCTAACTTAGGATCTTGGCAAAACAGTGATTTTTCTCAGCTACAGTAAGACAGACATGTGGGAGACGGCAACTTCTTGAATATACGAGATACATTTAGGCTACATTTGCATAATCTTCAAAATGCTGTGGGCGGTATGTGCTCCTTATAAATTATAAACACTAAATGAAGACTTTAAAAGAATGCCAATGGTTCCAAATCAGTACTCAGCCCATCAGAATTTATGCTTCATGCCTTTTCTTTTTTAAAAAATGTAACTATAAGTATTGTAAGATCCATCTGTGGCTAACAATGGGTGCATCTATACATGTGTAAAAGTGCAAAAGGAAAAAAACCTTAATGTGTTAAGTAGCTACTGACATTCTCATTTTATACGTGTAGAAACTGAGGCTCAGGGGAACTGTCACAATCTAAGAAGTGACACAGCTAGACTTGAACCTAAGTCTAGGGAATGTAATGGGTTTCTTGGATCTCACCCCACAATAGCCTCTTTTGCCTGACAAGTGCCATGCGGCTCTCGAGGAATTATATCAATTCCATTCGTGGGCCTGCTCTCTTATGCACAGGAACGTAGGATTTGGAGTTAAAATCTTTGTTTGACCATTTACTCTCTCTTTGTGACTGTGGCAAAATACCTAGCCTTCTAGTATTTAATTTGCTAATTAATTCATTTGACTTTTATTAGTAATATGCCTCGCTTTGTGCTAGACACAGCCAGGTGCTAAAGATATCCACACAGAGAGAAAATAACAGCATCCTCCATCTTCCTAAAGGTCCTTGCTTTCTAATGGGTAGAAATGTAATATGAGTTAATACATTTGCCAGGATTACCTCAGAGGTCTTTTGCATGAATCAAATGAGATATTCTAAATACTTCATAAAGCATAATATGATCTATGAATCTAAAGGGGTATTACGTGCACTTTACCTAGAACAGAGCGGAAGATCCCATATGCGTTTCTTTATTTTTTTTTTAACCCTCGTTTCTCTATATACCTATGAAGGCTTTAAGTTCTGTCAGGTACAAGTTAAGTAGGAAGTGAATTGATCCTAAGAAAATGCAAAGTAGGTCATTTCTTCTCAGTGTACTCAGATACCGCACGTTCTTACTTATAAGCGGGAGCTAAATGATAAGAACACATGGGCACACAGAAGGGAACAACACACACTGGGGCCTACCGGGAGGGCGAAGGGAGGGAGGAGGGAGAGGATCAGGGAAAATAACTAATGGGTACTAGGCTTAATACCTGCATAACGAAATAATCTGTAAAACAAACCCCCATGACACATGTTCACTCATATGACAAACCTGCACATCCTGCACCTGTACCCTTGAACTTAAAAAAATAGATGCAGCTTTCTTTCTTTCTTGAAGATTGGAAAAAGGCTCTAAGATCAAAATCTACCTGAGGAAGACTGGTGGAGTGAATGGGGAATTTCACATTAGTGAAAAAGGAAATTTTCTTCAGTTCATTAAGGAAGACTGCCTGCTTAGTGTTGCTAGATTCTAGTAAACAAAGACAATTATAGAGGCATTTTTGTATGTTGGCTACTATTCAGAATTGGAGTGGGAACTCAATATCCTGTCTCCTTAGTGGTTGGTTATGTAAGTACATTATGTTGTAAGCATCTGATTTCTTATTTACACATGGGGTAGCAATAAT
Source organism: Homo sapiens (assembly GCF_000001405.40). NCBI lineage: Eukaryota > Metazoa > Chordata > Mammalia > Primates > Hominidae > Homo > Homo sapiens. Next base: position 11,866,553 of record NC_000004.12, read on the forward strand.
TTCCTTCCTCAGATTTTTTGAGGCTGAAATAAGATATCATCATAAAAGAGATTTTTAAATTCAATCTTAATCACATGCAAGGAAATAACTACTATTTGCTGAAAACATTTGGCATGAGAACACTGGATTGCTTGTGAGAAAAAAAGGAAGTTGCTCAAAAGAGAAGGGAAGGTTTGCTGCGGTCAGATTGCTCTTCTTTGTTTGTTTGTTTGTTTTTTTTTTGGTTGTTGTTTTTGTTTTTCCCTCAAGTGCATCCTAGAATTACAGTTACTGGCTTTTAGGGATTCATTTGAGATTCCTTAGATAATAGTAAGAGAAGATGTAGCAAAAAGAAAAAAGCACTTATCAGACCTTTTAAGTACCTGGGACTGTGATTTTGTAACTAATCTTTTCTTCTAAAATTAGATAAGGTAGGTATAATTTTCTTCAACTTTTGTTTGTGGACATTGAAGCTTTGAAATGCTAAGTGCCACAAGGTCACATGGTCAGTGAGTGGTGGAGTCAAATTCAATCAAGATTTATCTAACCTTGAAGCCTGGGTAATGTACGTATACAACACTGCCTCCAAGTTATAAAATAATCTCATTTGGAAGAGCCAAGGTATCATAGAAAATGCTCAATAAGGATTCTCTGAAGGAAGTCACTAAATTATTCTCCAAAGTAGAGAAAGAGTAGGGGGTGGTTGGTACAGCCAGCTTTGAGGCAAAACACCTGGTTCAGAATCCTGGATATTCTGCTTATCTGCGGTGTGGGCTTGGACACCTCATTAGTCCTCCATGCCTCAATTTCTTTAAAAGGGGGTTCAAGATTAGTAACTACCCCATAGGATTATTTTGATAATTAAATGAGTTAATACATAGAAAAATCTGAAAATAGGGCTTGCCATGTTTTGAACTCTCTATAAACGCTTAATACTATTCGAAAAATAATAATGAGAAAAGTTAGTGACATGACAAGCCCTGATTTCAACTTCCAGCATGTTTTCATCAACTTTCAACAAGAAAATTACTTTAAAGAGAACCTCTGAGCTTTAAAATCAGCCAAATTGCTTAAACAGAAGTCCAGCCACACTGTAAAATACCAAGTGACCCATGACTGGAGACCCAAGAATGGATTGGCTCACTGCACATTTAGAGAGTACACATTAAGAGACTGCATATTCACTTCTTGGGCACTATAGAAAAAGAGAAGTAGCCACAAAGGTAAAATGCACTGAATTCAATAACAATAGTATTTGAAGAAATACTGTTTGAAGGGGATTCGTGTTTATTGACAGCAAGCATGTGCCACCAACATTAACCCTCAGACCAGCTATATAAAGCACGAATTGTTATTCCTACCTCAAAAAGCTTTCACTGTGGCTGTAAGAATTAGGTGATTAGTCAAAGGTCATAAGGTTATCAAGTGGAAGCACTAGACTATAGCATTTCTCACTTTGATCCTACGCTCACTCTTCCATTTTACTACCTTATCCCAATGGATATTCTTAAACACAATAGCTTTGCAAGATGATTCTCAAACTAAACAAACAGAAGGGTTCATGGTAAAATAAGTGGTTAAATCTAAATAGTTTCCCCCTGTTAGAGATTCATTCTCCCTAGCCTAGAGGTTGGGAAATCGGCATTTGCTTTTATAAATACATTTTGTTGGAATACAACTATGCCCTTTCCTTTCCATATCATCTACAACTGCTTTGGTACTTCAATACTAGAGTTGAGTAGCTGCAACAGAGACCATCTGGCCTGAAAAGCTTAAAGCATTTTCTATCTGGCCCTTTACTATAAAATTGTGTTAATCTCTGCTGTAGGCTCTTCCAGGATCTGACATGGCCAAAGTATTTTTGGAAAAAACAAGTTTAACTTTGTTTAACACATCATTTCTACTGTCTATATAGTACTTCTCCTTTACTTCTGTAACACCTACTGGGGTCCCAAATACCACACCTTGGGGAATGCCACTCTGAACGACAGTGCTTATATTACAAAAATAGCCTACTTCCCCAGCATGGAGATACAAGTCAAAGCTAGGTTGCCATTCAAATTCCAGAATAAAAATTTTAAATTCAGCGCAAAAATTCACCTTTTCCTTAAAAATGCTATACATATGTTTGAAAAACAGGATAATTCTGTTAAGAATCAAACTCTCCAGTATGGTTGACAGCATCTTTAGACATTCAGGAAATTCTGGTATATCTATAGTTTATTTTTAAATTCAGGATATCCTCGAAATTGAAGTACTCTAGCAAGGCCTTAGCAACTGGAAAGCTCCCCAAAGCAATTGGAAAACTTCTTAAAAGACAAAATTTTAGATGTTCAAAAGGTCATTGGTCACTCCAACCTGTGGCAAAAATTTTCCCTAGGATTCAAATTAGAAATAAGTCAATGAGTTAACTAAAGTGAGACTGAACCAATACATGTGCAAGAAGTAGCTCTGAAATTAACAATATAGAACATATATTAAAGTCCTGATTTATCACAATTAGTAAGGGATGATAGCAACTGGGATCCAACCACTTTATCAAACCTATATTGATATCCCTGAAAATAGAGGCAACTATTCAAAAGAAGTAAATTGTAGCTCAGTCCAACATTTTTATTTACCTCACTTTCATTTGCCAATTTAGTAACTGGAGATAAACCAAATTGATGGGTTAAGATGACTTTGTTCTGATTAATTTTATGGTAATTCTGAGGGCTTCCATTTTAAATTAATTGTTTGAATACTAAATTATGCAGCTTTATGATCCAGGAGATAAGCAGCAGCTCTAAAGATGCCTCTGAGACTTAAAAGAGACAGCATTAGAAGCTCATTATTGCCGGCACATTTAACATGGTTAAAGCAGGGGAAAATAGTCATTAAGTTAATGTAATAGTTAAACTGCATTAATTTGAAAAACTGCCCTGTGAAGCACTTACAGCAGAGGATGCAATTTCCCCCTCACGTGGAGACGTTCTTAAAAAAAAAAAAAAAAAAAAAAAAAAAGAAACCACGTCAAGATAATTTTCTGTCTTCAATTCACTCTGTAGTTTGGAAACCTAGGCTTTTTCCAATGTGGATATGCTAAAGAATGCTGTCAATCTAGACGTGCAACAGTGAACAAAGGAGGATCTGGTCCCATTGTGACTGATGATCTTGAAGATTCATGTGGTGCTGGGTGGTCCGTTCAAAGAAGGGAAAAGCATCATGAGTATACTAATGAGAAAATCACAGGGAACATTCAGGGCTTGGCTTGGGGATTTTTATCCTGGAGAACAGCAAAGGCTTTCTAATTTTTCTGCAATCTGGCTAGTTTTCTGAAAAGACAATAGAAGTTGGGTTAAAAAAAACACTCATTGACGATTCCCAAATGTCCCCATATAATAACATTTTCTCAGTTCATTTTTCTGCCTCAGCCTTCTTTCTGACTGTTCCTACTTTTTATTATTCCATTTGTTTTTGTTTCCTGAGAGTTCACTGTTTATCAGTAGTTCTGTGAGATATGAAAGATTTGTGAAAATAGCAAATGATGAAAGGATGCATCGTGCTTATCACTGTTATATTTTATAATTATGATAAAGAATGTGTTACATCCCATGACTTCAACTATGTCCTCAAAGAAGAAGATTCTCCTCTAACTATGGGTTGCTTAAAGTGAGGACACTGCTCCACTATTTCATGAAAATATCAACCTGAATACATTACCAGAAATCTAATGATCTAAAAGCTAAATGAATAACAAAATGAAAACTCATGTAGATACCCCAAGTTTATGCCTTTGGAATTCTCCCTTTTAGGAAAGAGTACTATTTTTTCATATGTGTTTATACATGCAGGCATACTAATGGGATTGTCTTTGGCTCTTTTCTACCTCTTTCTTTTTGTGTGCTCCCAATAACAGAGACCTGGTGGAAGAATACTATTTAAGGGGGAAGCGTGGTAGCATCACTTGAAACTCTTTCAACTAAAAAACATCTAACTTGAAAACCCAGCACAAAGTGTAAACTACAAATATTCCTATATAGAACTTTATAACTGGTAACCAAAGACCACAAACCAATACCCAGAAGGTTTCTGCTAAATTCAAGTAGAATGGGATTGGTTGGTGAAATATAACTCTGAACAACGTCTACATTTCACTCTGACTGAAAACAACATGACTTCTCAGGATCAACGCAGCAAGGGCTGTAGCTCAATTTCCCTCCCTGCCCCTAGTTTAGAGTTGTAGGATCTGTGTTAACTAGATAATGGGTAGCATCCTCATCAGTGTCAAGAAATGATTTCCTAACAAAATAAATAATAGATGTGTTTTCCCCCTCTGCACTTTTCTCCCTTCATTGTTTGCTATGCTTTGACATCCAATTATAAATTCCATTCTTATCAGATAAAGTATGTGGGCTACAAGGATAAATTCTATGTCCTGGAAGAAATGAGTTTTGTTGACATAGAGAGGAAAAGTCCTAAGGCTGTACATACAGTCATGTAGTGTATTAAATATGCCACAGCTGGACAGTGGACAAGAATTACAGATTGCTTCAAATTCTTTGCAGGTCAAATTTTAGATGGCCCTCAAGAATCTGCGATAATTACAAATTCTCTGTCCTTTCATCCCCACCCCATCCCTGTGATTTTGTAAATCTGGAGTGGTGCTTCCTCTGAACCTAGGGTTGTAATGAATTCTCACATAATTCAGATGACGGTGGACAGCAGATGTTTTCTTGAGAGATGGCTTAAGAAACATTAATTTAGAAGAAGATAAAGCTAACTTTAAAACAGATTAGTGTATGATAGGCAAAAGGAATTCTATCCTACTCTCCAATTTGTCATCAGTATAAGACGTTTTGCCTTTGCCTAAGTTGACAGTGAAGGAGTTGAGTGGACGGTGACTGACCACGTGACTTATTCAAAATGGGTTACTTTTCAGATTGAAGATGAGTACAAATATATTTTCATTTATGTATTTATTAATTGACCAATAGGTTTTATTATATTGGTAGACTTATAAAACAGTTAGTTAATATCTTTTTTTTTTGAGACAGTCTCTTTCTGTCACCCAGGCTGGAGAGCAGTGACACAATCTCAGCTCACTGCAACCTCCACCTCTCGGGTTCAAGCAATTCTCCTACCTCAGCCTCCCGAGTAGCTGGGACCACAGGCACAGGGCACTTTGCCTAATTTTTGTATTTTTAGTAGAGATGTGGTTTCGCCATGTTGGCCAGGCTGGTCTTGAACTCCTGACATCAGGTGATCTGCTCGCCTCAGCCTCTCAAATTGCTGGGATTATAGGCATGAGCTGCCCCGCCCAGCCAAAACAGAAACTTTCAAAAATTGTTTTCAAATATAAAATTATTTCTAAAAATAAAATAACATATATAATAACCATGTACACAAAACCCCAGCAAAGTCAATTCTTTATATTTACTATCTCGTTAAAAGTAACAAAGTGGTTGTTTTGGTACATATCCATTACTTCAATCATTTTCTTCAGCCATGTCTGTCTTTAACACCATCTCACTGGTATTTTTCTGACAAAAGTGTTTTGTTTTTTCCAATGTGGCCTTATTATTTTTTCACATATTTTATAAAATTATGCCATTATCTTCGTTTGTATTTTATGGTTAATATAAAATTGTTCACACTTCCATTTGATTCTTCTCTGGAGGTCAGACTAACTTTATTTAAGTAAAATGCTAAGATACCTAGTAAACAGAGAGCACGTTTATTAAATTGAATAAATTCTCAGTTCTAAATTTTATGTTGAAACATTTTAATATTTAATTCAAATAAGCTCAAAAGTTTTCTTTTTACCCTCAATGAAAGTTCATTTATCTGACAGATATTTTTATAGAAAAACGTAGTCAACTAAATTATCCCTATTTTCTTTTGTTTCATCATGTTTAGCTGTAGCAAAATCATAGGCCTTCTCAATTTTATTCTACTTCGTAGAGAATATAAATTCATTCAAATAAATATAGGACTTCCATCAAAACACTCTTCCCTTGAGTTGAAATATCCAGGGGGCGATTGTTTAATATCAAAGTTAAATATTAAGCTCATTTGTTTTGTTCAGTCCCTCCCTTGCTGTTGTAAAAATAAATTCAAGGTTTTCTTGTTTGCAAAAATAACAACTGGCAAAAAGCGTCAAAAGTCAAAGTTTTTAATAATGTTTCATTTATTAATACTGTGATAACAATTTCTAATTGATTTTGGAAAACATGCAAACAAACTTTAAAGAATTTATTTTAAACATTTTCATGTTAACCTTTGGATACTTACACCAATTTTAAAAGTGAATCTTCAAGGATTCAAATATTTCTAGAATCATGTTGATGACGCACAGACCCAAAGAAACCACATACCACTGTGCTTAAGTATATTTTTTTATTCCTCACTAGCTTTATAACAAAAAATTTTAATACGATTACTGTGCGTATATATAAAACTATTTGTACTTTTGACAAGTACAGCTTCAATTTCAATTGGTAGAATGATGCTTGATTTTGGATACAATTATAATAGATAGGTATGCCACAAAAATGCCACTTATATTTCTGTTTTATAAATGTCCAAATTCAGTAACAACATCATTCTACTATAATGCATTTTCCTACCAAAATTTATATTAACATTATTACCATGGAAACAAATAGTGATATTCAATGCTGAATTTTTAACTGAATTTACAATAGCATTCACAAAAAATATCAAATGATTGATCTTTGATGAAGAACAATTTCAAAAGCTTTACTTGGTTTTGCGATATGGATGAAATTCATTGAATTGGAGTCAGCTGAGTTTCTATTTCAAGTCTTTAGATGCAGTTTTCTTAAAGCAAAGCAAAACTAAAAAACTATTCTAAAACTATCCTTGTTTTTTAAAAATCTCACTTAATATTTATTATAACCTTTCTAAGCAGAATGTGACTCAGGCACTATATTTGCATTTGAAGCAGTTGCCGACCCATTTTCTAGTCTTCAATATGAGCAGAGATAGCACTATGGCCCCGTGGTGAATAGTAATTGTCCATAAGCATTTTACGCAAATTGTTGATTCATTGTCAACTTTTTTGAGAAACAGAGGTTTACAGCTTAATTTTTTACTAAAATGAACTTTTATGTTTTCATTCAGTTCTAACAAAACAACTTATTAAATATAAAAGTGCTACCAATTAATCGATTAATAGTTTTACATTTATATCATGAGAAAAACTGTAGAAAGAACATTCAGAACATACTCTGTATACTCTATGGCAGGAATTGTCAGCCTTTATTTTTCACATATGTGAAAATACTCATACAGAGGTAGAGAGTAATTTCACCCATTTCCTATACGATTCATGGAATTGTGGCCTGGAGACTTTATGCTTGTCACCAGCCAGAGTAAGGGTTAAGAGTCAATACTCCCTGCTGCACCAACTGGCTGCAGAAGCACAGCCTTGAATACTTCTCCTATCACCTTAAACAAGAAGTGAGAACTGTCCCTAGCCATGTATCAAGTGCCTATACTGACCTTGAAAGGGAAGTGTTAGTTTTGCTACATCCGGAAAGGCTGAGAAAAGGGGGCTGAGTTATCACTAGTTAAACTGAGTGATACCTGTCTTCATTCCACATACATCTCTTATACATCTGAAGGAGACCACAAGCTAACAATACAAAGTGGATGTCTAGAAAACCCATCCAGGTTTATTTCATTTTATTTTAATTTTAAAATATTTTATTTTTTAGAACAGTTTTAGGTTCACAGTAAAATTGAAAGGAAGGCACAGAGATGTCCCATATGTCTCTTGTCCCCAACACAGCCATAGCTTCCCCCATTGTTAACATCCCCTACCAGAGTGGTGCAGTTGTTACAAGTAATGAGCCTACACTAATCTATCACTGTCATACAGAGCCCATAGTTTATATTAGGGTTCACTCTTGAAGTTGTACATTCTATGGGTTTAGGCACATGCATAATGATATGTAAGTACAATGATAATATCAGACAGTATTTTCACTGTCTTAAAGCAACTCTGCCTTCTGCCTATTCTTCTCTCCTCTCCCACGGTACCTCTGACAACCACTAATCTTTTTACTGTCTCCACAGTTTTTCTGTTCCAGAACGTCATATAGTTGTAATTATAAACTATATAGCCTTTTCATGTTGCTTTATTTTACATAATAATGTGCATTTACATTTTCTTCATGTCTTTTCATGGCTTGATAGCTTACTTTTTCAAGCACAGTTATATATATATATGTATATATATGTATATGTTAAAATTTTTCATTTTATTTTAGTTATTCTTTTTATAATTTAAATATTTATTTTAGATTCAGGGGTATCTGTGCAATATTGTTACATGGGTATATTGTGTAATTCTGAGGTTTTGGGTATGATTGATCTTGTCACCCAGGTACTGAGCATAGTACCAAACAGATTTTCAACCCTTACTGTCTGTATTGGTCTATTTACATACTGATATAGAGATACTACCTGAGACTGGGTAATTTATAAACTGATATAGAGATACTACCTGAGACTGGGTAATTTATAAACAGAAGAGGTTTAATTGACTCACAGTTCCACAAGGCTGGGAGACCTCAGAAAACTTATAATAAGGGCAGAAGGTGAAGGACAAGCAAGCACCTTCTTCAGAAGACAGCAGGAGAGAGAGCTCAGGGGAAACTGCAACTTTTAAACCATTAGATATTACGAGAACTCCCTCACTATCATGAGAACAGCATGGGGAAAACTGCCCCTGTGATCCAATCACCTCCCACCAGGTCCTTCCCTCAAAACATGGGGATTACAATTCGAGATGAGATTTGGATGGAGCACAGAGCCGAACCATATCATTCCACCACAACCACTCCCAAATTTCATGCATTCTTCACATTTCAAAACCAATCATGCCTTAACAGTCCCCTAAAGTCTTAACTCATTCCAGCATTAACCCAAAAGTCCAACTCCAAAGTCTCATCTGAGACAAGGCAATCCCTTCCACCTAGGAGCCTGTTAAATCAAAAGCAAGTTAGTTACTTCCAAGACACAATGGGATTACAGGCATTGAGTAAATGTTTCCATTTCAAATGGGAGAAATTGGCAAAAGCAAAGTGGCTACAGGCCCCATGGAAGTCTGAAACCCATCTGGGAAGTCACTGAATCTTAATGCTCCAAAATCTCATTTGACAACATGTCTCACATGCAGGGCATGCTGATGCAAGGGGTGGGCTCCCATGATCTTAGGCACCTCTTCCCTGTAGCTCTGCAGGGTACAGCTCCTGTGGCTGATTTCATGAGCTGGCCTTGAGTGTCTGCAACTTTTCCAGGTGCACAGTGCAAGCTGTCAGTGGATCTACAATCCTGGGATCAGGAGGATGGTGGCCCTCTTCTCACAGCTCCATTAGGCAGTGCCCCAGTGGGGACTCTGTGTGAGGGTTCCAACCCCACATTTCCCCTCTGTACTGCCCTAGTAGAAGTTCTCCAGGAGGGCTCTGCCCCTCAGCAGACTTCCGCCTTGACATCCAGGCATTTCCATAAATCCTCTGAAATCTAGGCAGAGGTTCCCAAAGGTCAACTCTTGTCTTCTGTGCACCCACAGACCCAACACATGTGGAAGCCACCAAGGCTTGCACCTTGCACATTCTGAAGCCACTGCCTGAGCTGCACTTTGGCCCCTTTTAGGCACAGCTGGAGCTGGAGCAGCTGGGACACAGGGTGTCATGTCCCAAAGCTGCACAGAGAAACTGAGAAGCTGGGCCATGGGCCCAGCTCATTAGACCATTTTTTTCTCCTAAGCCTCCAGGCCTGTGATGGGAGGGGCTGCAAAGATCTCTGACATTGCCTAGAAACATTTTCCCCATTGTCTTGGCTATTAGTATTTGGTTCCTCATTACTTATGCAAATTTCTGCATCAGGCTTAAATTTCTCCTCAGAAAATGGGTTTTCTTTCCTACCATATGGCCAGGCTGCAATTTTTTTGAACTTTTATGCTCTGCTTCCCTTTTAAGCATAAGTTCCAATTTCAAAGCATCTCTTTGTGAATGCTTATAACTGTATCCTTTCAGGAAAAGCCAGGTAAGTCACATGTTGAATGCTTTGCTGCTTAGAAATTTTTTCTGTCAGATACCCTAAATCATCTCTTTCAACTTCAAAGTTCCACAAATCTCTAGGACAGGGGCAAAATCCCACCAGTCTTTCTGCTAAAGAGTGACCCTTGCTCCAGTTCTCTATAAGTTCCTCATCTTCATCTGTGACCACCTCAGCCAGGACTTCATTGTCAGTATCAATATCAGTGTTTTGGTCAAAACCATTCAATAAGACTCTAGGAAGTTCCAAACATTTCCTTATCTTCCTATCTTCCTCTGAGCGCTCCAAACTGTTCCCACCTCTGCCAGTTACCCAGTTCCCAAGTCACTGCCACATTTTCAAGTTATCTTTATAGCAGTACCCCACTCTCGGCATCAATTTTCTCTGTTAGTCCATTTTTGTACTGCTGTAAGGATACTATCTGAGACTGGGTAATTTATAAATAAAAAAGACTTAATTGACTCACTGTTCTGCATGGCTGGGGAGGCCTCAGGAAACTTACAATTATGTCAGAAGTTGAAGGAGAAGCAAGCACCTTTGTCACGAGGAGGCAGGGGAGAGAGAGAGCTCAGGGGAAACTGCAACTTTTAAACCATCAAACCATTGTATATCATGTGAACTCACTCACTATCATGAGAACAGCATACGGAAAACCACCCTCATGATCCAATCACCTCCCAGCAGGTCCCTCCCTGGACATATGGGAATTACAATTTCAGATGAGATTTGGGAGGGAAACAGAGCCAAACCATATCACCCTCTTCTGTCTCCCCCTCTTAGCACTTCCCAGTGCCTACTGTCATCTTTATGTCAATGAGTACTCAATGTTTAGCTTCCACTTATAAATGAGAACATGTGGTATTTGGCTTTCTTTTCCAGCATTAATTCACTTCGGATAATGGGCTCCAGTTCCATCCATGTTGCTGCAAGGGACATTATTTCATTATTTTTATGGCTGCAAAGTATTCCATGGTGTATATATACCACATTTTCTTTCTCCAATTTATCATTGATGGACACTAGGTTGATTCCTTGTCTTTGCCATTGTGAACAGCACTGCAATGAACATGCAAGTGCATGTATCTTTTTTTTTTTTTTTTTTTTTTTTTTAAAGATACAGGGTCTTATGTTATCACCCAGGCTGGAGTGCTGTAGCTATTCACATATGTGATTATAACTCACTGCACCCTCAAACTCTTGGGCTCAAGTGATACTCCCACCTCAGCCTCAGCCTCCCAAATAGGTGGGACTACAGATGTGTGTCACCAAGCTCAGCTTTAGAAAAAAAACTTTAGAGAAAAGGGTCTCACTATGTTGCTCAGGCTGGTCTTGAACTCCTGTACTTAAGCAATCCTCTCATGTCAGGCTCCTGGATAGCTGTGATTACAGGTGTGAGCCACTGCATCCAGTAATAATAGTCTATTGTCTGAATATATCAAAATTTATTTATCCATTCACCTACTTAAGAACATCTTGGTTCCAAATTTTGACAATTATGAATAAAGCTGCTATAAACATATGTGTGCAGGTTTTTCTGTAGGGGAAGCTTTCAAGTACCATGCCTAAATGCCAAGAAGTTTAATTGCTGGATCATATAGTGAGATTAAGTTTAGTTTTGTAAGTAACAGCCTAATTGTCTTCCAAAGTGGCTGTACCGTTTTTATCTAAAGTGCATGACAGTTGCTGTTGTTTCACATCCTTGTCACAATTCCAGGCTTATTTTCATGGTAGTATTAATAATAATACCTATTAAAATAAAAAATCTGGAATAATTCCAAACCAGACAGGATACCATCGTAACAGGAGTAAGTGGGTCAGAGTAGGCAGAACAAGATTTATGGGCACTGGATTAGTCAAACTGTTGGCCCTGACATGTTTGCAAACATAGATCCACGGGAGATGCAAAGATAGATACACAAGAGAATAAGAGAAAGTCAAACAAAAACAAAAAAATGCAATGGGCACTATAAAACAGAAACAACTCAAAAGAAGGCTTAGAGGAATACAAGGCATATGGAAAAAGATTTATTCAAGAAAACTGATAAAAAATGTAAAGTCTGTCTGTGGTCATTAATAAAATGCATCAAGGTAGGTTGTTTATTTTAAAAAAGACATAAACAGGCCGGGTGATGTGGCTCAAGCCTGTAATCCCAGCACTTAGGGAGGCCAAGACGGGCGGATCACGAGATCAGGAGATTGAGACCATCCTGGCTAACACGGTGAAACCCCGTCTCCACTAAAAATACAAAAAAAAAAAAAAAATCGCCGGGCGTGGTGGCGGGCGCCTGTAGTCCCAGCTACTCGGGAGGCTGAGGCAGGAGAACGGCATGAACCTGGGAGGCGGAGCTTGCAGTTAGCCGAGATCACGCCACCGCACTCCAGCGTGGGCGACAGAGCGAGACTCCATCTCAAAAAATAAAATAAAATAAAATAAATAAATAAATAAGACATAAACAAAACTATGTATTTAGAGAGTTAGAGCATAAGTAGGCGCAAGATAAAATAACAACAATCAAGGTAAAAGCTGGGAGATAATATGACGGATATGAATAAGTAAAAACCACAAGAAAATCCACCATGTTATAGCAACAACAATTGGAAAATCCATGTGGAAGCAAAATCAATATCAAACAATATAGACTTAGTAACGCTAATGGAAAATGAAGATATTTCTCTCTAGTATCCTACAAGCTAGAAAAAATGATATTGAGAAAACTCATAGATACAGAGGACAGAGAACAGAGGTCCAAACTACCGATGATACAGAGGTCCAAACTACCTATGATTCCTCCCCAAATGGAGGTGATATCGTAGAAATAGAAGCAATATTTCACCTTTTAAGACAAGATTCTATATTTTCCAGAAGAGAAAATGATGTGTGGCTATGCAACATACTAGCTTACCATATTCTTGGGAAAATTATTGGAAATAATAACTGGTCTACTTGACTTCATAGGTTTACTCACAATGATAAATAAGTTACATGATCTATTTTAAATCTTAACATAATGATGCTAAGGTTTACCTGAATCAAGAGATCACAGTATGAAAAAATACCAAGAAGAGAATGCTAATAGTGCTAGCAATTAACTTATATTGTAAAGCAATTATATTTAAATAAATTTGATTCTGATATAAGAATAGATATGTACATTGATATACCAGAATGAGTTAAAAAATACAACCTAGCTCAAAGAAATATCTCTATATATATTTACCTATATATGTAAAACGCTAAACATATATATATATATATTGCACATATATGTATGTATATACGCATACAAAATAGTGTGGAATGAAAGAGCTCTTTCTAAATAAATTTGAATTATTATTTAGCTACTCGAAGACAAATTGTTATTTAGAAAAAATAAATGAAAAAGGTAACAATAAACACACAACATAAACTGAATTACATCCCAGATATCAAAATAGGAAAGATAATAAGTTGTAAAATTTTTAGAAAATCATCAGCAAATAATTATCCAATTCAGGAATAGAGGCAAATTTTCTGAGCTGATCATCAAGTGAATTAATCCCAAGAGAAAACATCAATATTCCGGGACATTTAAAATAAAAAGAAAAACTCGTTCACATCAAAATGAGGAGCAATTTAGAAGGACAAAGATATATTTGAAGTAAATAAACCATGTTAAAGAATAATATGCCTAATCTATAGATTACAACAAAATGCTAAGGAAACTAGTAAGAACAGTGTAAAAGGGTAATACACAGAAATTTCATAGAGGAGAAGTGCAAACCCCATGCAAAAATGTGCCCCGTTATTTAAACTCATTATTCATTATTGGTGAAATGGATATTGCCAAACCATATTGGAAAGAGTTTGCATTTTTCTTGTGACATTGCACATTCATATACTTTCTGGCTGGGTAATTCCACACCATCAAATAAATCTCTTAACATATACAGAGGGAGATATGCAAATGCTGTTCATCACAACACTACTAACTGCTAGCTGAAATCTGGAGGCAGAAAGAAACTATATATACATATATATGCACATATGTGTGTATATATGTATGTATATAAAAACATATGCATGAATATGTGTACATATATGAATGTGTATATGTACATGTATATATTATACGTAATATGTGATATATACCACGTATGTCACACATTCTCCTGCATATATGTGTAGATATATGTATGGTGTGTGTGTATGTGTGTGTGTGTGTATTGGCTTACATATCAGCAACTTTCTAGCTGTGTCCTCACAGTCTTTCCCCAGTAGGTCTATATTATAAACTCCTCTTCTTTTTCTGTTATTTTTTGTTTGTTTTTGGTTTTGGTATTTTTTGGGATGGTGTCTTGCTCTGTTGCCGAGGCTGGAATGCAATGGTGTGATCTCGGCTCGCTGCAACTTCGGCCTCCCAGGCTCAAGCGATTCTCCTGCCACAGCCTCCCAAGCAGCTGGGATTACAGGTGTCCGCCACCACATCCAGCTAATTTTTGTATTTTTAGTAGAGATGGGGTTTCACTATGTTGGCCAGGCTAGTCTTGAACTCCTGAACTCATGATCCACCCACCTCGGCCTCTCAAAGTGCTGGGACTACAGGCATGAGCCACTGCGCCTGGCCAATAATCTCCTCTTCTTATGAGGACACCAGTCATACTGGATTAAGGCCCACCTATATGACTCCATTTTACCTTAGTTACTTCTCTAAAGGCCATCTCCAAGCAAAATCACATGCTAAGGTAGTGACTAGGACTTCAGCATATGAATTTATGGAAAAAGATAATTCAGCCCATAACATCAGGGTAAAGAGTGACAATATATTTTCCATAAAAGTTGTGAAAAGAAAATTCTTAAGTAGCTCAGTAAGCATGCTATATTATCTAAGTAAACAGTGAAACATATGATGTACAGTAGTGCTTTTACATATGTGTCATTGTGTCAGTTCTGTGCATGCCAAGATGCAGCTTATGTAAAATCCTAAAAGAAAGTGTCAAAAATCAATCTGAGATAAATGAAATGGCAGGAATGAATGTCAAATAAAAGAAGGATTAAGGTCTTCCACAGCACTTGAATTAGCCTATTTGTGTTCCATGCCTGAGTTACTCCAAATTCATTTCCAGCCAAGCAGCTCATGCATCTGCTTTTACATCAAAGCAGCTGATTCTGTGAGGTGTTCTTATTCTTGCAAAGGATGGGCAATAAATACGCAGTGGAAATCAGCTCCTAACATTGATTGAGCTTAAGACTTTGAAATACTATTTCTTTAAATAATTTTTCTATTAATAAATCAATTCATTTATCAGTAAATCACTGTATTTGTTACTCCCATTGTGGAATTCCCTCTTTCAAATAAGGGAAGTAGCACAGATAAATCAAAAGAGAATGGGACATCTGTCAGATGGCCTGGCTCCAGACAACTTATATTCATTCACAGAATCAAAAGAAGGACTCAATCAGCAGAACAACCAACCAAATACAAATTAACAAATGCATATCTTCATTAGTTAACCATGAGGAAAGCCCATGGCCAAGGGTCATGATGAATCATTTGTTTTAGTGCACACAATCATGGTATCATCTGCTTCCCAGAGATGAGTCCACTCTACATTATAAACCCTGGCACCCTGGGGGATGTTTCTGAGTGCTTCCTCCCTGGAAACACTTACTTTGGTTGCTCACTAGGAACAAAATTTATTTATTTATTTTTCTTGACAGAGTCTTACTCTGTCACCCAGGCTGGAGTGAAGTGGCCCAATCTCAGCTCACTGCCACCTCTGCCTGCTGGATTCAAGCGATTCTCTGCCTTAGCTTCCTCAGTAGCTGGGACTGCAGATGTGCACCACAACACCTAGCTAACTTTTGTGTGTGTGTATTTTTAGTAGAGACGGGGTTTCACCATCTTTGCCCGGGTGTCTCGAACTCCTGATCTCAAGTGATCTGCTTGCCTTGGCCTCCCAAAGTGCTGGGATTACAGGTGTGAGCCACCATGCCTGACAAAATTTCATGTACTCCTAATTACAATACTGGACATGGAATAGACCATCTATCAAAGCTCAAGTCAAATCCAAGCCCTCTGTTTGTATGTAAAGAGATTCCAGTCCAGAAGAAAAAAATAATTTCCTTACAATCACACAGCATCTTAGTGGCAGATATGAAACTATGCTGTGTAGGAAAATTAGTTTCAAAATTTTCTCATGAAGAATGACTATTTGATTTTCCCTGTCAGGTGTTAAACAAAGACCAAGCTAGAAAATTACCTCCTTATTCCCCTTTGCTAAATGAATAAAACAGAGTATATTAAGCAAATTTTTTTTTGAAAAGCTACCTAAATAGATTTCAATGATATAACATTTTTATTTTAAATTACATAGAAAGTGAGAGTGCTGAGCTAGGGTGCAGGACAGTTTATATTTCATGTGTACAAGCCCTGAATTAAATTTAGGAAGAGATGGAAGTAAAAAATTTGCTTTAATATATTTTATTTTCCTCAAGAACATAGTACATCCCTTTTAACAAAGCGTTCATACAACCCCATAGCCTGGCCTCAACTAACGTATCTTCAACTTTTCTTTTTTTTTTTTTTTTAACATTCTCTCTCATATACTTTACTGTAATTACATCTAAACTACTTGTCACTCCCCCAAATATACCATATTACTTTTAGCTTCTGCAACTATATATGTGATAATCCTGTCATTTCCCCTTCGTTTCTCTTTAAAGGAAAATCATCAGCATTTATTGAGGGCCCATACTGTCACAGGCACTTGACCTTATTTCTTCTGGTTGTACCATTTTCTAATCACACAATCTGAGGAAAATCAGTCTCCGAGTATTGACTGTAGACTCTGGCTGCTGATATCTACCCCCCATGGCAGATATGATCTTGTATAAAAGAGTACACTACAAGCACTAGCATGCCACGCAAAAGAAGGGGATGGATGGTGCCACATTCCCTGCTGGCTCCCGTGCGGAGGCTCTCGCTCATTGCTGAGACCTTTTGGACCTGTGTCACGTCCCTGCTTGTTCTTCCCCTTATGTTTGCCTTTATGGGTGGCACATAACCCACCTTCCTCCCCTGACTGTCTTATCTTCAGTCTCTGAGACCTCCTTAAAGAGCTCCTCAGAATAGCAAGAGACCTCATCACATTTGCAAATGTCAGCCCATTCGAACCACTGCAAGAAAAGAATGAGAAATTTTAACTCCCCTAAATGAGAGTTCCTCTCAGTGGTCTGGCTTCAGAGATCACTATATTCGATGGCCTTAAATGATTTAGGAGTTATTCAACTGTCAGTTCTGATGGACTGATTTGGTGTCAGGAGAGGAGTTATTTGCACGTTAAGAGCATTCTTCTATATTCAAGATCAGCAGAAAGATGATCCTCTGTCCTAAGAGTTCCAGGAAAAGCTGTGGAATTGAATCTTTTAGAAATGGTTTGTGTCAGGCACTCCTTCCTTCTTGGCCGGCAGATAGACATGCTTAACGCCTAGGCTGGAGTTCCATGCCCCTCCTGAAGCCTAGCTATATGGGGGAATAAGCCAATTTGAACTACCTGGACTAAAAGGTAGAGGGGAAATCTAAGGAAAGATAGAGTGTGGAAGGCAAAAAAAAAAAAAAAAAAAAAAAAAAAAAAAAGAAAAGAAAAGATAAATACATCCCAGGGAGGAAAATAATCCTCAGATGTTCAAGAGTTCAAATTAGATTTTCCCTGCTCCTAGTCATTTGCCTATGGCAATCGTATGATTATATATCCAAGATATTCCATGGCTTATCATAAACCTTTTCTGACAGCAGGTTCATCCCACTCCCTATCTTAGGCTTACTGCAAATGTGTGTTTCTGCCAAATGCTTTTAATAGAACAAAAGACCAAGGGGAACAAAACCCACTCTAGTCTAGAGACCTGAAAATGAGGAAGGTGACTTTAAGAGTATCATAGTCTTAAGTTATTAAAGAAATGATGTTAAAATCAAGACCTTATAAGCCGATCTATTTGTTAAGAGCTAACCAGAAAGTATTTATAAAAAGACTCAAGTAGATTCATGTTACTGATCACTGGCAACCTGAAGTTTGCATCTATTTGTCGCTGCTTCTAGATATTTTTTAAGGAGTCTGTGTGACTTGGAATAAGTCACTTTTTCCCCTGGGTCTCAAATTAATTTATTGCAAAATAATGGGTTTGTATATGAGTATTCATTTAACAAAAATACTATTAGCCACTTACTAAATTCCAAACACTGGTTATGTGCTAGGAAAAGAGTCTATTGATCTCAGTTTTGAAAGATGAGAATGCATTCATCTAAATGACAAAGGTTAGGACAGGGATTGTGTTGTAGGCAAAAGCCACATCATAAGCAAAGTTGTAGATTTTAAGTACCTGAAAAAAGCTCAGGATATTATTGCATGGGCTGTGAAAAACTCACAAATAATATTAATAGATTGTAAAGGCAGTGCTAATACCTTTTTATCTTTCATTTTGGATTTTCAAAGATGAATTTTGCAAGTTGCCTCTCAAGTTTCAATTTGGAGAATTTGGGTCAGGTTATCATGAGGACAAGGGCACATTGTCTGCTAGAGAGAATATTTCTGATGGTCACCATCTGTGTTTGCTCTGTGTTTGAAACAACCTCATAAGGAATTATTTGATTCAGGCTAGATGAAAATTCGGGTTATTCTTTAACAAATATTTATTCCCATTCTTCTCCCACAGTGGAAAAGTAGTTTTCTCTACCTATAGATGTTGGAATCTTGGGCTCTGGTAATTGTCCATAGTAAGTATGTGCCTGGTCTCCCTGCTTACTCAAATGAATAAGAAAAGTGGAGTGGACCTGAATACAACCCACATCCTGGAAGACATATATGGTTTCTTCTAAGATTAAATAAGATAGCTGCTGTATTTCTGGGACTCCCTGTCCCGGTCATTCTTTTCTACTCTCATCCACAAAGACCAGAGCACTCTTAGGTAAAACTAGGTATAGTTAAGCAGAACTCTGTGAAATGAAAGTCCATAGGGAAAACTTCATGCTTAAATTCCTTTCATTTCTTACATGTCCAGACATACCCATAGATTCTATAGGGTGGAGTGTCAGGGACAAAATAGCTTCCTAGAAAATAATTCATGTAAATGACAATGTCATGAACAAGAGCACAGGTCTGCACGATGACAATGGTCTGAAGAAGTAGAAGGGGGTCAGGTTATTTTCCAGCCCCTTCTTCAATTTGAGCAGGCGCTGTAACAAAATCACAAGGCAAACCTATCGTTAGAATTCTGCAAGACATTTTGAGTTCGTGGCACCAATGCTTTGTGGTCTATGTAATTGGATATAAAACAGGTGACGGTAAATAATATTTTAAACACTCCATTTTATTGTTACAGACTCCAATCGTAAGAGTACTGCTTCAAGATTTTTTTATTCCCTGCACTAAGGAGGAATATTCAACACACACACGCTACATACGCACACACCAATCTCACACACACATACACACACATGTAAATAAAACACACATACACACACAAATGTACAAAAAAAACACTTTGATGATTTCCCAAAGCTCTGCCACAGCATAAAAGAGCTTTCATAATTGGTTGCTGGCTTTTTGTTCATTCTCATTTTGTACCATTCTTCCCTTCTCCTGAGTCTGTCAAGTTCCTTCTACCTGGGGACCTTGTCTCTTGCACCTGCTGTTCCTGCTGCATGGTGCTCTCTTCATTCTTCTTGTTAATCTAATTGATGCCTATTCATACATACATATATATATATATATATGTATGTATATATATTTTCTAGTTGTTCAAACTCCCTAAGGAAAACTTTCTCTGAATCCCAAGCCTATATTTGATTTTCCCAGTAAATATTCTCAGATATCCTCATCATTTTCTTTCATAATTTCATCAGTTAACAATTATATTTTTATGTAATTAATTGATTAACATCGTCTCCTCCACTCTGTTGCAAGGTTTATATGAACTTGTCCTGATGGCATCTCACTATTCTATGTGCAAGGTGCTTAGTATGAGACCTAGCCACACAAGTGGGTGGCTTCACATTCTGTTTGCTGAGAACAGTCAAGTTTTATGCATATTGCCTGGCTTAATTGTTAATAGTGCTCTCTTGATTTTTAATAGTGCTTTCCTAAAATTATCCTGATGTGGAATTTACCATAAAGCTACTGTTCATGTATGGAATTCCAATAATCTTTGTTGGATGTCTCACTTTTTTTAAGAAGAATTTTTCCATCTAAGTCTCTTTATTCCTCCATGCAAAGTGATTCTACTCTAGACATGCTGGGATGTGTCTGAATGTGCAACATTTGTTCAGCTCAGAGTGTCATCTGTGCTACATAGCACCCTGAAAACCGTTAAGGTCAGCAAGCTCTACATTTAAAGATGTTTCAAGTTCCCATTGCCATCATGACTTAAAATTTCTTCAATGTGAATTGCAGATCCAGGGCCCTTCACAGCATTTGTTCATGCATGCCTTAAGTCAGCAGTCATGCATTCAGTGAGATTTGGGTTGTTTAACATGTGGTTTAAAACCATAGTCTCCCAGTCCTTATTTTCATGGAATTATGGCATAAGGAGCTCAACAATGCAACAACCATAACTGGGAAAAATTATTTCAAAAAATGAAATCAACTACTTACAGTGTCTGGAAATTATCCTAAGATCAAAGAAAAATAAAGACTTTTTTTAAAAAAATCTACTAAATATCAATAAGAATAGCAAGACTCTGTAGCACTTAAGACACTGTCTGCTCCTTTTCTCCCCAATTCCCCCAGTTCAGTGTAATGGAAGCTCTACTCTTGGCAGATGTTATTGGGAAGATGGGGCTTTCTCTCCTCCAGGCCCCAGTTAAAGGCTACAGTATCTCCCTGGGAGGAGCAGTGTGCCAGTGATTCTCATCCCACCCTAACCCATGTTATGAAGGCTAAATTCCAGATGGGTGCAACTGAGAGGGTCGGGGCTGCCTTCTACCACAAAATCCCTGCTGATAGTTTGGAGGCTCTACCCCACAAGCAACAAACTGAGTATACTGATGACCCATTCATTCATCCTCAAGATAGCTTGTTCATGTGGCAGCAGTTCCACACCAGCAGAGACAAAGTGAGAAGACCAGAGGCTAATATCATCATCCAGCATTATGCTCATCAAACATGAGTGTCACTCTTAAGAAAAGCTCATTATTTTCCATACCACCAGCAATGGCTCAGAGATTTTGCCCAGGCTAGAGGAACCAAGCCATAAAGAAGTCTCCAAAGCTTTCACCAAAGGAATTGCCTTTATTTGCAAGAGTGTGGAGAATTTCAAACCTAAATACACTCTCAAAAGCAAAGAGAATTAAGTGCTAAGGAATTAAGAGAAGGTTAGTAGATCTATGAGAGCAAGCTAAACTTTAGGTTTTCTGGTTTACAGGAGATGACTGGGGAAAGAAATGTCTAAGAAGAGCTATCCTGGTGTCAGAACAAACCTCAAATACAGACCTCAGGAACTACATCTGCAAAGGGCCTGATATTAATTGGATCAGATTGTGGAGCAATTTGTGCCTCAGGACATTGTCAGAAAGAATAAAGCAAACAACCAGCAACTAGTGGAACCTAAGGGTAGGGTGTGTTGTCAACAGAGGCAAACAGCTTAACAGAGAGATTATGGAAAAAAAGAGTGACATAACTCCTGCTAAAAATCATTGTCAACTCAGAATGACTGTGCACATGCCCAAAGGTGCATTCTCTTAAAAGTGACATGAGAGGTTTCACACTGCAAAGGATAGATACTTCACAAAAATAGTACATCCAAGTCAAGAAACCAATAAGCAAGTAATACACAAAACAAAAGAAAAACAAAAAACAACACATCCAGAAAGGGCCATAGACCAGTATCAAAAGCTGCAATGCTATATCACCTAAAATGTGCAATTTTCAACACAAAGATGTATGAGACATGCAATGAATCAGGACATTTTTATCCATCCACAGAGAAAAGGAGAAAACAGGAATTGTCTGTGAGGGTGGCCAGATAGCCAACTTAACAAAAATTTCAAAGGAGCCATTATAAATACAGTCAAACAACCAAAAAAAAAAAACATGATTTAAAAAGTAAAGTAAGATGTGAAGATATTGTTTTATTAAATATCAATATCAAAGATAAATAAATAATAAATAAAAACCAAATGAAAATTATGTTGTTGGAAACTGCAATAACTGATATAAAAAAATACAATAGAATTTTTTAGACCAGTTTTCAATAGAATGGGCTAAAAAGTAGATTTGAAGTGGGAGAAAAAAAGCATTAGAAAGCTTGAAAATAGACATATAGAGATTATGCATTTTGAAGAGTAACAATAAACAAAGAATGAAGAAAACAAGGAAAAGAGACTCAGATGAACATACATATAAGAGTATCAGAAGGGAAAGAGAAGACAAAAGAGACCATAAAAATATTTAACAAAATAATAACTAAAAACTTCCAAAATTTGATGAACAATTTAATGTATATATCCAAGAAGTTCAACAGACTCCAAAACAAATTAAAACAAAGCGATCCACAATAAAGCACAGCATTGTCAAAATTTTGAAAGCCAAAGTAAAGAGAAAAATCTTAAAATTATCAAGAGAAATATCACTTACCACATACAAGTCTTAAATGAGGTACAAGAAACCTCGATAAGGATAACAGCTGACTTCTCATCACAAACAATGGATGCCAGTAATCCCAGAGAATGGCATGTTCCAAGTGCTGAAAGAGAGAAAACAAATGTCCAGGGAGGTCTTTATATCAAAGGAAATTTTTGTTAACAATGAAAGCAAAATAAACAGAGAAGTAAGACTGATAATTTGCAGCTAACAGACCTGCCTTAGAGGAAATACTAAAGGAAATTCCTCAAGCTGAAAGCAGGTTATACCAGATATAATTTGTATCACATAAAGGAAAAAAAGAACACAGTAAATGTAATTGTGTAATTTCAGAAGACAGTTTAAATCAATATTTCTTTTCATTTATTATTTTAACTGACTTGAAAAATAAGTATGGAAAACAATATGTATATATTTTGTAGTTGGGTCTATAACATGTAGAAATGTAATGTATGCATGACATAAACATCACATAGGACTTGAAGGGGAGCAAAGCTATATTGGAGGAAGAAAATAACACCTGAGAGTAGCTTGAATCCACAGATCAAGTCAAGGGAACCAAAAATGATCAATAATAAATGATCTATAGTGTATACTTGATCTTTCTTCTCACAACTTCTTTAAAAGACATAAAACTATATAAAAGTTATAATTATAACAACATACTATTATGGATATAACATGTAATATATATGCTATCTATAAGGATAAAATGTGAATAACAATTTTGGCACAAAACAAAGGAAAGGAAACATGAATGTATAGCATTTATGTTTCTATATCTTACTGGATCTAAATTAGTATAAATCTAATGTGGAACTTAATAAGCAAATAGTTCAAAAGTATACTGAGTAAATCATTAAAGGAATTAAAATGTTACACTAGAAAATCTTAACACATGCAAATGAAAGCAATAAAGGAAGAATAGAAGAAGAAGGCATGTGACATATAGAACGCAGAAGTGACATGAAGACATAAATCCAAATACATCCATAATAATAGAAAATGCAAATGCTTTAAACAATCGGATCAAAGGACAAAGATTGTCAGACTGGATTAAAAAAGAATAATAACCAACGAAATGCTTTTTACAGGAGTCACACTTTAGATTCAAAGATACAAATAGCTTGAAAGAAAAGGATGGAGAAATATATATTATGCAAATAGCAACCTTAAGAAATCTGGAGTGGCTCTACTACCACCAGACTAGGCTTTAAAACAAAAGATGTTACTAGAGATGAAAAGAGACATTTTATAATGATAAAATGAGCAATCTGTCATAAAGATGTCACAATTATAAACAACTATTGAAAGAATTTAAGGTAAAAATAGACAGGCTATGATAAAAGTTGGAAATTTTAATATGTCATTTTCAATAATGAATAGAAGATGTGAACAACATTAGAACAAAGTATTGAGCAAACAAACTAGACCTAACAGACATCTATAGAATTCTCTACTTATCACTTGCAGAATGCACATTCTTTTCAAGTACACATAGAACAGTCTCCAGAATAGACCATATCCTAAGTCATAAAACAAGCCTCAGTAATTTAAAATAATTGAAATCATAAAGGGGATGATTGGCAACCACAATGGCATGAAATTATAAATCAATGGCCAAAGAAATTTTGAGAAATTTGTAAGTAGGTGAAAATTAAACCACACATTTCTACATAATTAATGGGTCAAAAAACTCACAAGAAAATAAAAAATACTTTGAAATGAATGAAAATGAAGACACATTATGCCATAATCTACAGGATGATGTTAAATCATTGATCAGAGGGAAATTTATGACTATAAATGTTTATATTTTTAAAGAAAGATCTTGTATTAATACGTAATCTTCCATCTTAAGACATTGGAGAAACAAACACAAAGAAAACTTAAAGCAAGCAGAATATTTAACCTAATAAAGATAAGAGTGGCCATTAATTGAAAAATAAACAATAAAGGAAAACAACAAAAGGAAAGGTTTGTTTTCTATGTAAACGTCAGCAACGTTGACAAACTTTTAGTTAGACTGACAAATAAAAAAAGACTGAAGACAGAAATCACCAAGATCAAGAGTGAAAGAATGGTCATGACTACTGGCCTTAAATACATTTTAAAAAGCAAGGTTATCAAATAATACTATGCCAGAACTAAATAATACAGTTGAAATGGAAAATTTTCTAGAAAGACGCAAATTACTGAAACTGATTCCACAAGATATAGAAAATTCGTATGAATTTATATGAAATAATAAGATTGCAATTGTAATTAGAAAACTTTTCACAAAGTAAAACTCAGGCCCTCATTGATTCACCAGTGAATTCTAACGAACATAGAGACAAAACTTAATATCAATTCTTCACAAACTCTTCCAAGAATGAAAGAAGAGGGAACACTTCCCAACTTGACCTATATAATCAGTATTACCGAAATACTAAAACCAGACAAAGATATTACAAAAAAGAAAAGTACAGAACAATATCTCTTAGGAATATAGACACAAAAGTACTTTTTAAAATACTAGCAAATTTAATCCAGTAGCATATTAAAAAAGTATTCACTATGATTAAATGGGATGTATCACAGGAATTCAGTGTTGGCTTAACATCCAAAAATACGTTTGTGTAATACAACATATCAATAAAATAAAAGACAAAAACCTCATAATCTCAAATAATTAAAAAAATCTTTTGACAAAATTTAACATGCTTTTATAATGAAAACACTCAAAATATTAAAATTAGAAGATAACTTTCTCATCATAAAGGCCATTTATATATATATATATATATATATATATATATATATATATACACACACACACAGTTATCATCATACCATCTGCTGAAAGACTGCCTTCATCTTAAGATCAGGGATTATGAACAATGCTTATTATTACCACTTTTATTAAACTTTGTGCTTAGCAGTCTAGCCATGCAATTACACAAAAGTAAAAGTGACATATAAAAACTCTCCAGTGTAGAAAATCAGAAATAAAGCTATGCCTAGTCTCATATGACAAAATCTTGCTTACAGAAAATTCTAAGAAGTCCATTAAAAGCTATTAGAACTAACAAACAAGTTGGACAAGGTTTCAGGCTATAATACTGACATGGTTTGTTTCTGTCTCCACCCAAATCTCATCTTGAATTGTAGTTCTCATAATGCCCACGTGTCCTGGGAGGGACCCAGTGGGAGGTAATTGAATCATGGGGGCAGTTGTCTTCATGCTGTTCTTGTGATAGTAACAGAGAGAGAGAGTTCTCACCAGATCTGATGGTTTTATAAGGGGCTTTTTCCCCTTTGCTCAGCACTCATTCTCTCTCCTGCCGCCCTGTGAAGAGATGTCTTTCACCATAATTGTAAGTTTCCTAAGGCCTTATCAGCCATGTGGATCTATGAGTCAATTAAACCTCTTTTCTTTATAAATTACCCAGTCTTGGATATTTCTTCATAGCAGCATGAGAGCAGACTAATACAAATATCAACCAACAAAAATTAATTGTATTTTCTATACTTGCAAAGAACAAAAATAAAATTAAGAACACAATTCAATTCAAGTTAGTACAGAAAATAATAAAAATTTAAAAGATTTTTTTGAAGTTTAAAACTTGTACACTAAAAGCCACAAAATATACGTACAAATTAGAGGATACCTGAAGAAATGGAAAGACATACTAATTTTATGGAACAGGGGATGGAATATTGTTAAGATGACAATGCTCCTCAAATTAATCTATATATTCAACACAATATTTTCCAATTCCAGCAGCCTACTTTGGCGAAATCAATAAACACTCTGAAGTTGATACACAAATCAAAGGACTCAAAATAGTCAAAACAATTTTGAAACAGAACAAAGTTGGATGACGCACAATTTTTGATTAAAACCTTACTATAAACCTATACTAACCAAGACTATGTTACTAATTAAATAGATACATAGATTGGAGACATAGAGAGTCCAGAAATGAACTCATACATTTATGATCAATTGATTTTTAAAAAGCACGAGAACACAATTCAATGAGGAAGAATAATCTTTTGAACAAATGATGCTGAAACAATTGGATATTCCTATGCAAGAGTGAAGTTGGACCCCTTCCTCACACCTTACACAAAAAATAATGCAAAATTGATCATAAACCTAAATATAAGAAGCAAAGCTATAATGTTTCTAGAAGATTTTCTTAATAATAGCACAAATGACAAAAAAGACATAATCAAAATTAATACTTTTGGATTTCTAAGAATATATCAACCTTCACAACAAGATAAAGTATTTATAAATCATATATCTGAAGAATTTACTTGTAGAGTATACAAGGAACTCTTATAAGTCAATGATAAATAAATAATGCAAATAATGATGAACAAATATTCTCAATTGACATTTCATCAAAGAAGATATACAAATGTCCAGACAGCACCTGAAAAAAAATACTCAAAATCATTAGTAATTAGGCAAAAATAAAACTCCAATGAAATATCACTTTGCTTTCACTGGGATGATTATTTTAAAAAGAGATGTAATAAAAAGTGTTAGGGAGGATGTGGAGAAAATATATATCTTGCTAATGAGTGTGACATTTCTTTTTGGGTTATACACATGCTTTAAAATTGTTATGATGTTTGCACAACTCTGAATATTCTAAACTTAACAGAATGGTATAGTTTAAATGGATGAATTGTATGTTATGTAAATTATATCTAAATAAAGCTATTTTACATGTAAAAATATATAACTATCGTTTTTAAGTGCATAGACTCCAGAGTGGATGGGCTAAGTTTAACTTCAGCCTCTGCTGATTCTTAGCTATATAATCTTTGGCTTTGTCACAGCTTTACCTCATTAACTTATATGTGGAAATATTGTTACATCATGAAATTTTGAATATTAAATTGAGTTAAAGTAGGTATATAACTTAGAACAAGGATTAGCAGACACCCTATAAGGAGCTAGATAATGAATATTGTCGTTTTAATGGGTGATACTGTCTCTTTCATAACCACTCAACTCTGCTGTTGCAGAGCAAAACAGACACAGGAAACAAGTAAATAAAGAAACATGAATGTGTTTCAATAAAATTTATTTATGAAAATAACCAGCAGGCTGGATTTAGCCTGAGAGCATGAGCTTGCTCTTAACTGAGAATATAATTTGGCACTTGGTCAGTACTTAAGACATGTTTAGTTATTATTTGGTATGTGCTGGAGGATTCAAATATAATCCTGCTGTCATGCGGATCTGGACTTTCCCCATTCATACTCAAATAATAAAGGCCTCCTTTACTTTGCCGATATACTGGGTAGTGATTCAAGCTCAAGTACACACCCAGCTTCTGAAGTAGATATGTGAATGGGGAGATTTGGTAACAGGAATGAGTCCTAAATCGAATTACTGGAGCTAACCCCAAAAGCCAGAACGAGAAAATGCACTGCTTTGGTGCTGAATCTCTGTAGTGATTGAACCACTGCTCTTTAAATCTCCCTCATCTATTGGTGAATCTCAGAGCCTGAAACAAAGCTAATATGATGGGTTGCTGTCAAGTGGGGCCAGATCTGTGGATAAGCAAGACATGTGTGAGAAAGCTCAGAAACTGCTAGGTTCCATGTATTACTGGATGATATGATATTTCTATCTACTTTTTATTTTATATAAAAAAATCCCCAAATCTTTAACCTGGCATTCTAGTGCCTCTAGAATATTGCTCTAGAGGCACTAGAGTAATATTGCTTTTAAAAATCTAAACTCTTTTTTTCTCTTAAAATTAAAATTGCACATCACATGTGATTAGAAAACTTCACACTCTTCCCTAGTCATAAAGCATTAACGTATATTGTTTTTGATGTAAACCTGCAGTGTTTGCAGATCCATCATCCTCTCAGAAGTATGTGGGGAAATGCCAAGCATGAAACATCAGGGAGATATATTGGGCTCATTGTTCCAGCTGCCTTCCACCACTGCTCTGCGATGATCTCTGTTTCCCAATCTTGTTGGGAAATAATCATTGGCATATTTTCTCTTGGCAATAGAGGTACTTTTTGTTGCAGCTTCTAGTACATACAGATGGTGGGCTTCTCATACATGTATTTGTTGGAAAAAATAATAGATGTGCCCTGGACTGGGTAAAAGAAAGATCTGGTTCAAATTTCCAATCTGTTTCCAAAAAGCAGGCTTTGGGTA
Organism: Homo sapiens; assembly: GCF_000001405.40. Lineage (NCBI taxonomy): Eukaryota > Metazoa > Chordata > Mammalia > Primates > Hominidae > Homo > Homo sapiens. Next base: position 11,895,396 of record NC_000004.12, read on the forward strand.
AACAGAAAAGCAGAAAAACCACAATTTCCTTTAATCTCAATCTTTTTATCTGTAACATAATATTGCTATATTACATTATTATGCATTATATAAGCTTGTATATATTAGGTATTATAAAAATGTTAAATCCTTTTATCTTTTAAAGATTTAATACTTTGGAGATATAATACCATCTCAGTACATTTTAACAACATGCATATTACCTGTTATTTATTCATTCATATACATTTGATGGTTTACTTTATACCACGCATTCCTATACCTCTGCAAGAGTAGACTATTTGCAAATTATAGTCTCTTTTTCTTCTAAATGAAAAAATGCAGACCAGAGGGGTGATTCAAGTTAGCAGTGATGAAATGCTGCTTTCCAGGGACAGGCTTGAGATCATAAGGTTTTAGTTCCAATAGGACTTGATGTCTCTCAAGATTATCCAGAAGTTTGGTACCATAACCCTGGTCTCAGGATGCCTAGAAAGTATGCTGACCTTCTAACTGATATCAGATGTATTTTGATAAGGAAGATAAGGCTGATCTATTTTGAGATGTGCATTGTTACTTTGCAAAACATTAGGCCTGAATCTATCAGCAAAAAACCGTGAGACATGGATAAGAGCAGGATTTGAAATCTGGAATAAGTTTTAAGAAAGTAGTCAAAAGTTATCATTCATGTGCATTTATGGAGAAGCTACATTACTCACAGTTCTGTCATTATAAGAGTAGTGTCTCTTCTAAAAAAATAACACAGAACTGTCAGGAGGGATTAGCCTATCTTCTAACAGTCTACCATAGTAGGACATTACTTTATCTTAGTTTATTGGTTTTTTTTTAATTGTGAGTCAATACTTATGCTTCATAGTGTATAAAATAAGAGATGCAGTACTGGCTATTCTAGAGACATGTTCTTGCCTTATTGACCCTTCCCTTCCAGGTTCTGGAGATGACAGTGAGGCCAGAGGCACTGGGGTAGTCAGGGCTATGAGGTGCCTATGTAGCATCTTTATTCAAATAAGAGATAAAAATCCAGAACAAAACAAAGCACTCTTTTCCTCAGGAGGAGATAGTTCCATGATGGGCTCATGGCTTGGCAGGCAGACTGTAGGCTGAATTTTTACCCCCCATACACCCCTTTCCAGGTGCTCATTTGGTTGGCAAGCTTGTGCCAACTACATATCATGGCACTGGATGTAGGTATTTGATATGGTTTGGCTCTGTGTCCCCACACAAATATCATCTTGAATTGTAATCTTCATAATCCCCACATGTTCAGGGAGGGAACCGGTGGGAGCTGAGTGGATCGTGGGAGTGGTTTCCTTCATGCTGTTCTCAACAATAGTGAATGAGTTCTCATGAGAACTGATGGTTTTACAGGTGTTTTATAGTTCCTCATTCATATGCTCTCTCTGACCTGCTGCCATGTAAGAGGTGCCTGCTTCCCATTCTGCCATGATTGGAAGTTTCCTGAGGCCTCCCCAGCCATGCAGAACTGTGAGTCAATTAAACCTCTTTTCTTCACAAATGAGCCAGTCTCAGGCAGTTCTTTGTAGCAGTGTGACAATGAACTAATACAGAAAACTGGTACCAGTAGAGTGGGGTACTCTTATAAAGATAACCTGAAAATGCGGAAGCAACTTTGGAACTGAATAACAGGCAGAGGGTGGAACAGTTTGGAGGGCTCAGAAGAAGACAGGAAAATGTGGGAAACTCTGGAACTTCCTAGAGACTTGTTGAATGGATTTGACCAAAACGCTGATAGTGATGTGGACAATGAGGTCCAGGCTGAGGTGGTCTTTGATGGAGATGAGAAACTTATTGGGAACTGGAGTAAAGATCACTCTTGTTATGCTTTAGCAAAGAAACTGGTGGCATTTTGCCCCTGCCCTAGAGATCTGTAGAAATTTGAACTTCAGAAAGACAATTTAGGGTATCTGGCAGAAGAAATTTCTAAGTAGCAAAGCGTTCAAGAGGTGACAGAGTGTAAAAGTTTAGAAAATTTGCAGCTTGACCATGTGGTAGAAAAGAAAAAACCATTTTCTGGGGAGATATTCAAGCCTGCTACAAAGATTTGCATAGATAATGAGGAATCCAATGTTAATTGCCAAGAAAATGAGGGAAAATGTCTCCAGGGTATGTCAGAGATCTTCATGGCAGCCCCTCCCATTACAGACCCAGAGAACTAGGAGAAAAACATGGTTTTGTGGGCTGGGCCCAGGGCCTTGCTGTTGTGTGCTGCCTCAAGACTTGGTGTCTTGCATCCTAGCTGCTCCAGCTGTGGCTAAAAGGGGCCAAAGTACAGCTCAAGTCACTGCTTCAGAGGGTGCAACCCCAAGCCTTGATTGCTGCCAAGTGGTGTTTGGCCTTCAGGTGCACAGAAGTCAACAGAGGATGCATAGGAATGCCTGGATGTCCAGGCAGATGTCTGCCGCAGGAGTGGAGACCTCATGGAGAACCTCTGCTAGAGCAGTGCGTAAGGAAAATGTGGGGTTGAAGTCCCCACACAGAGTCCCCACTGGGGCACTATCTAGTGGAGCTGTGAAAAGAGGGCCACCATCCTCTAGACCCCAGAATGTAAGATCCATTGGCAGCTTGCACTGTATGACTAGAAAAGCTGCAGGCATACAATGCCAGCTCATGAGAGTAGCTGCAGGGGCTGAACCCTGCAAAGCCACAGGGACTGAGCTGCCCAAGGCTGTGGGAACCCACCTCTTGCATCAGCATGACCTGGATGTGAAACATGGAGTCAAAGGAGATTATTTTGGAACTTTAAGATTTAATGACTTCTCTGCTGGATTTTCGACTTGAATGGGGTCTGTAGCCCCTTTGTTTTGGCTAATGTCTCCCATTTAGAATGAGAGGATTTGTCCAATGCTTGTACCACTATTGTAACTTGGAAGTAAGTAACTTGCTTTTGATTTTACAGGCTCCTAGGTAGAGTTATGTGCTTGTCTCAGATAACACTTTGGACTTGGACTTTTGGGTTAATGCTGGAATGAATTAAGACTTTGGGGAACTGTTGGAAACACATGGTTGGTTTTGAAATATAAAATGGACATGATATTTGGGAGGGGCTGGGGTGGAATAATATGGTTTGGCTCTGTGTTCCCACCCACATCTCATCTCAAATTGCATAATTCCCATGTGTCAAGGGAGGAACCAGGTGGGAGGTAATTGGATGATGGGGTGGTTTCTTCCATGCTGTTCTTGTGATAGTGAATGAGTTCTCATGAGATTGATGGTTTTACTAGCGTTTGACAGTGTCTCCTTCACACACACTGACAGTGTCTCCTTCACACACATTCTCTTGCCTGCCACCATGTAAGACATGCCTCCTTCCCTTTCTGCCATGATTATAAATGTACTGAGGCCTCCCCAGCCATGTGTAACTATGAATCAATTAAACCTCTTTTCTTTATAAATTACCCAGTCTCTGGCAGTTCTTTATTACAGTGTGTAAACATACTAATACAGTACTTCAACCTAGCTTCAGCTGAAATTATACAAAAAAAAAAAAAACCCTCCTCTCAACTCCAAAAGGAAGAAGGAAGTAAGAACCTATGCCATCATATGGTAGCATAACTGTGCTTTCATTGTTCTCCTGTGGTGCCCTTATGCTATGTACCTGCCATTCAACTGCATGTGCTTACTCATAGCATTGTTCCTCCTCTCAGGGGCCATCGTCTCTCCTTCCATACTCCAGGGACACACATAAACACTCACATCAGTGCACATCCACAAACTTACAAAAATCACTTATTCATCTACACTCACAATCTCACTCCTTTGCACAAACATACACACAAATACATTCATACACAAATACACTCACACAGAGATTTTATCTTGTTCTGCTTCACTAGTCCTGTATGCTGCTTTTAATGTCAAATACTCTCTCTAACTCACCTGGTTGAATTTCATTGCATTCCTAGTAAAGCTTGAATTTGGTTGTTTTGTTCTTTGTTTGCCGAACTTCAATTTGAAAGCATGAACAGAGATGCAAAAACTCACACCAGAACTTAAAATTATCTAAACCTATTCATCCCAAATCCATCTGTTATGGACAGAATTGTGTGTCTCCCAAAATTCCTATGTTAAAATACTAACACACAGTAACTCAGATTGTGACAGTATTTGGAGAAAGGACTTTAAAGAGGCAACCAAAATAAAATGAGTTTATGTGGGTGGACCCTAATACAAGATGACTGGTGCCCTGACAAGAAGAAGAGATTAGGATACTCACAAAGGAAGACAATGTGAGGACACAAGGAGAAGATGGCCATCTACGAGCCAAGAAAAGAAGCCTCAGAAGAAATTAAAGATCCCTTGATTTGGAAATTCTAGCCTCCAGAAATATGAGAAAATAAAATTCTGCTGGTTAACCCACTCAGTCTGTGGTATGTTATTATGATAACCCTAACATGTAACATAGTATCCAAGACCTCAATGATGGTGCTTTCTCTCACCAAATCTCATTCTAATGAAAAGGAAGTGATTTTCATTGAATTCAGCACCATGATCATTTACATTTATCATCTCACTGGGTCTTTAAGTTTTGAAACAAGACAATATTATTTAATTCTGAGTTTGCAAATCAGAAACTGAGGCTGAAGAAAGTTACACTACTTGTCAGGGGTCCCAGAGCTCATAATTTGCAGATACCCAAGCTCAACAAAATTAAGTTTTAACTTCAAAACTCATGTTCTTTTCTAAACATTAATCTGTCATAATGAAGACAATTTTAACAGAGCTATATAAAATTAAGTAAAATTTTCAACCAAGTTAGCCTGTTTTATAAACATAGCCATTTTTATCCTGTTGCATAACAAAATAGGCAGAATTAAACAATTCATAGGAATGACTGTAATTAATATTACATCTACATCTACCACATTCTTGACCCAACATTAAGAATAGATTAAAATAATGTACTGAATGCATATTCATTTTATATAATTGCAGTGAATGCAAATCTCCATCAATTATTTTCTTATTTCTACACCCTCTTTCCCCTTCTTCCCATTTTTTTCCCTGACTGTTGTAAAGCATTATGCTCCTGTCTGACTTGTCTTCCAGCAAGTCTTTATCTATGAGGCCATAAACACACAGCAATAAGGAAAAGATAAAAGCATATTCTATCTTTCTCTACTCCTATATGTTAGTAATTAAAATAAATGTAAAACTATACCAGGAATGGGGAAAAACAAAGGCTTCTAAAAATAACATGCAAACAGAAAGAGTTTGAATATTTGGGATTAAAGCTAGCCATTACTGGAACATTTAAAGGGAAAAATGCTGCCAAATAAGGAACATTCTTACTGAATGCTGAATCCAGTGAGTTTTTGGACATATGCGGTGACTGAGATTTTCTTGAAATGCTTCCCTTTAGAGAGGTCAGACATTTAAAGGACTATTTTATCCACTGAATGTAAACCTAACTGAAAAATGTCTCTTGCCTTTGGGAGTCGCACAGAAGTACTAGTTCTCTTTCACATGCAATCACATATATAATAACAGTTAAACATCCAAATGCATGACGGTCTGTATTTAGGAATTGATATGTTAGAATTTCACCTACCTCTATTAAATCCCTAGTCAGTGAAGAGAAGACCTGTAGGTTTCCCCCCTTTCCCTATATACTAGATGCATTTATTTCTAACATTTTCCCCCAAAACCTTATGCTAAAACCATACTGAACAACAAGATCACCATTCTCTGTGCACTCTGCCCTCTTCAGCTTTTGTGCCATAAATATTATGGCATCCTTAATCTGTAGTGCCCTTCTCCTCATCCCTGGATATCAAAAGTCTATTCATTTTTAAAAGCTCACTTAAAATATCATCTAATAGGCAATAAAACATAAAAGCATGGGATTTAGAGTGAGGCAGGGTTTAAGTTTGCCACTTACTAGACATGAAATGTTGAGCAAATTGTTTATCTTCTCTAAGCCTCTAATCCTGTATTAGCCAGGGTTATGCTGAGAAATAGAACCAACAGGAATATATATATATATATATATATGTAATTTACCATGAGGAATTAGCTCATGCAATTGTGGAAGCCGACAAGTCCCAAGATCTGCTGTCCTCAGGTTGTAGACCCAGGAAAGCCAGTAGTGCAATTCAGTCTGGGTTCAAAGGCCTAAAATTTAGGAACGCCAATCATGTAAATCCCAGTAAAAATGCAAAAGAAGATGAAATGAGATATCCCAGCTCAAACTGTTTGGCAGAAACAAGGGGGACAAATTTCTTCTACTCCTGCCTTCTGTTCTCTTCAGGCTCTCAACAAATTGTATGATGCCCACCCGTAATGGGGAGACCCATCTACTTTACTGAATCCACTGATTGAAGTACTAATATCATCCAGAGACACCCTCACAGACATAGCCAGAAATAGTGACTAACTAGATACCTGCGTGACCCTTAATTCGGTCAAGATGACACATAAATTAACTATCAAAAATCCCCTACCCTAAATTTAGGTGCTCTTTTTTTCTTTATACAAACTCTCCCCTTAGGTGTCTCTCACGATGGCCCATGTTTTTAAATACACTAACAAACTGACAACCCAAATTGGTGTCTGCAAGACAAAGATCTTGAGTTTCAAATGTGTATACTCAACTGTCTATTTAACTTCTGTTTTACATTCAAACAATATGTCCAAATGGAAGTTAATTCTTCCTGTCCCATCAAAAAAGAAAAAGAATAGCTATAAAAAAACAACAAAATCTTTAATATTCAGAGTTTTTCTTACCAGTAAGTGAAATTCTGTTTAATCAAGTGTTTAATGAGAAAATCTATAATTTATCCCTTTGTCCATCCTCCCATATCTAATATAACACCAGTCCTGTTTCTAGAAGCTACTGTGTATCATCTCCTTCTCTGATACCACTATCCTAATATAGGCTGACATTATCTCTCTCCCAGACCACCTTAGTAGCATCTTAACTGACTTCCTTGTTTCTACTCTTACTCTATCTTGTCCATTTTCTAGATAATAATAGTCAAAGTAACATTTTAAAAAGAATTAAATAACCACGTTGCTTCAAATCTTTCATTACTTCCCCATTATCACTGGAAAAAAATCGAAGTAACTTTTCATCATCTACAGAGCTTTGCATGGTCTGGCCTCTACCTACACCTCTCTGAATGTGTCCCCCACGCAATGCCTTTATTGACTGACTTCAGTCGTGTCTGCCTCCTTTGTTTCTTCTCTTCCTTTTCTAGGTCTTTGCACTTGCTTCTCCCTCTGGAGTTCTCCAGAATCCTTCCATAGTTGGCTTATCTTCAGTTTTCAACATGTAATACAATTCACAGTTATCTGTCCTTTATGCATTTCATTTTTCATGTCCTATTTGTACCACTAGAATCCTAGTAGATTGAGAATAGAGTTCTTGAGTGTTCTGTTTACAGGTACATCCCCAGAATCAAGTATATTGCCTGTCAAACAAGGAGTCCTAATAAATATTTGTGCTTGAATGAATGAATTTCAGTTTAGTCTCTGCTAATAAGAATAATGACAGTCCCTTCCTTAAGATGCTGTGTAAGTTAATTAGATGATACGATATGTTAAACTGTTGTTGGGTTTATATTTTTTTTTATTTCATCCCTCAGTTTTTGACATGGTTTTGGTGACAATGTATAAACTCAACATAATTTGGATAATTTTTTAAATTCAAAATAAATTGTGCTTTGTTTCTAAAATTACACCATATATCTGAACATGAAATTCAAAGTCCAAGTCTCTGTAGAATTCCTATCATATTTAAACAACTTCACATATTAGCCATATTTCTAAATGGCATCATTTTTGTTGGTTTTAATTTCAAAACCAGAAGCTTGCAATAAGCAGAGAAGGAACTCAATTAAGCATAGCCTCTAGTGCAAATATTTAATTCCTTTCTCATCACTCTGCCATTAATAAGGCAATCACCCGGAAATAGGGGATTGATGATCAGCACATGGAATAATAATTGTGAAATGATGAAGAAAAGATACTGAAAGAATATTAGAGTTTATGAATTTGCATTCATATCCACTGGTTATAGCTCATTTAAAAAAATTCTTCTTTCTTCTCAGATCAACAATTCTTAGAAAGAGACTAGATAAGCAGTACATTGGTCTTTTATATGTAAAAATAAATAATGGCTCATAAAATTAAGGGCCATGAATAAATAAATAAATACAACTGAAAAACACTAGGTAATTTAGTACATGACATTAATTACTCTTTCTAATTATTCATAGAATTCAAAGTTTAATTTAGTGATAGTAATCCTTAGCATCCACATAGTATTTTTTGAGCTTTCTTTTTCTCCAGTACACTAATTATATCAAGGGGATAATCTCAATTATCCCATGAGGTAGACAGACAGATAGTACTTAAACAGAAAGATTGTGAGTCCTACCTAAAGAGAGGAGAATACACTTAACCACAGTGGGTTGCTCTGTATTATTATTTTTATTTAATGCTCCTCACAAAACTTCTAGGTAAGTCAAATTTGAACCCACTGTATACATGTGAGACTCAGAGATTTTAAATTAAGCATTTAGAGTTGCACAGTTATGAGACAAGGCTGAAATAAATTTCCGTGTAATGTGCAATCTGAATCGCAGACCACATTGTAGTTTAGGTGTTTTCTATGAATTTTCTCATAAAATCTTCCACAGGTCCCTGCATCTTGTAAACGTCTACGCTGCAACAAAAGGTTTAGTATGAGTTAAAATAATAAAAGCATCACTATTTCACAGATAAGGAAGAGGAAGGCACAGGGAGGCTGGGCTGCCTGCCTGACATCACCCAGCTGGCAACACAGAGAAGCAGTCATCAGATTGAGATCCCTTTGGCTCTAACCCCAATGTTCCTGGCACTAGCTTGAGTTGAAGGGGTCATAGTAAGAACAAAGATTTTAGATAAGAGAGCTTGAGTTTGATTTCCTCCCTATGACTTGCCAGTTGTGTGATTTCATGCCAGTTCCCTAATCTCTCTGAGCTGGTTTCCTTACTTGTGAAAATGCACAAAATAAACAGCCTTTCTCTTAAGGGTCACTGCGAGGTTGAAATGGAACAATGTGTATAAAGCCCTGGTGCCTGTCTCATCACTACGTCCAGTATATGTGAGTAAGTATTACACTCATGACACAAAGCCTCTACTTCTTGGTTGATCTCTCCAAGGTGATGGAGTAACAGCACGACCTCAGTAAACCACTGTCTGGTTTCAAGTCTAGTGCTTCTTCACCAACCATGAAATAGCCTTATTTATTATTTATTATTATTATTTATTAGTTGGTATCATTTGGTTCTAGTTTTCTGCTCCGGCAGAAAACTGCTCTTGTGTGACAGGGAACACTGCAAAAAGAAATAGAAGTAGTTTCCAAAAAGTCTTTACTGAGAGGACCAGATTAGTCTTAAAGCCCCTGGAAATACCCCGAGAGACAGACATAAGCAAAGCTGAGGAACTAAGCGCACCTGAGAAGAGGGAAGCAGGCCTAGAATCAGAACAATCAAATGTGGCAGGCCCTGCAGCACTTTGTCACTACATGAGAAAGAGGAGTGGTTTTGGCAATTTTTTCCTAACAGCTTGGCGTTATTTTGAACTTTTGCTTCAGCTGGTCTGTGGGAAGGGAGGATGAAGGGAAGTATCTCTGTGCCTGCTTGTCCTTCTCATTGTCTTCAGAGTCTCCTCTCTTTGAGGTGAAGCTTTTAGGCGCCAACATAAAAATAAAGCTGATAGAGCTGGCAGCACCTCTCAGACTGAGCAACAAAGAGAACACGCCAGCATTCTGCAGGGGAAGGAAGAGTGAGGAAATGAGCTCAGGACTGGGCTGTTGTCCGGCTCTTCCCTTCCCATCTAAACCTCTGCCACCATCCTGGGCCAAATCACTTGGACCCGGCACTTGGGCTGCAGCCCCAGCCTCCCACCTGGCCTCCTAGCTGCATCTTGCAGCCTATATATTGCGGTTACTTATCTTTACAAAGCACAGACCAGATGAGAACACCACTTTAATCCTCCTTGATTAAAACTTTTCTATGGAACTTCGTGAATTACAGGAAAAAGACCTACGAATTATCAACAGGAACCATGATGACTGACCAATGCTTCTCACTTCATCTACTCATTCTATGTGCTCTACAGTGCTGTCATTTGTGAACCCCAGCTTTCTCCTGGCACAGGGCCTTCAAATAAGTCATTTTCATTTTCTCAAAGGCTCACTGCCCTTGCTATTGTTGTTGCCTCCTCTTCATGCTCCCCTTCTCAAAGAGTAGTATGTCACTGCTTTAGGAAACCCTTTTACTGGACAGCTCCACTGGGCCAGGAGAGGCCCTGTAATGTGCTTCACAGATACTGTGCCTTCCCAGAAGAGCACTCAGCATCGCCAGTCAGAGTCTAAGCAAAAAAGGAACAAACAAACAAACAAACAGCCCAAGTGCCTTCAGATTTCAAAGGAGAAAATATAATGAAAGAATATCATTGGCCGCACAGATGATGGAGGAGCTGAGAAACCAACGGTAGAAAATGAGACAAGTCAGACATTGTCACCAAGGAGCTGCTAGGAACCCACAGCATGGGGAAGATGCAACCACTGCCTGAGATAGACAAAGAAGTAAATGAGTAAATGCCCTGTTTCTCCATTCTCCTGGCCTTTGCACTCAAGCTATTGCCTTCCACCAGCGAAACTCAGCCAGGAGCTTGCCGGGGCAGGCACACTCTAACATACTACAGACCAGATTCACAGCCTCTTCTTTATCATCTGTCATCCCACCTTCTTCTCAGTGAAGAGGGAAATGGGAATTTATCAATTTTTGTATAGGGAAAATTACTAATTATTGCCAATTTTCCTCACTTGCGATATTGCACAAGTATTCCAGAAAGAGTGAAGGGCAAGGATTGGATCTGAGGAGGCACAGTCCTAGGATCAAGGGTAGTTATAATACATGCTTATTTTAGTATTTGTTTTCTTTAAGATCAGTGTCTTCACCTCACAGAATACCTCTTTGTGTTCACCACGCTGTTCCCATTTTCACAAAGTGATTATTAAATGAACAATTTTAAATGCTTCTGTCCATTCATTCATTAGGCTGTACATATCGAGCAACTTCTATGTGCTGGACCCAGTAAACAAAGCAGATCATGTCCCTGCCTCATAGGCTTCATAGGTTAGAAGGGGGTGAAAGACACAGACAAAGAAATACATGAAATAAACTAGTAGGTCAGATGGTAAAAAGTGACAAAGAGAAAAATAAGAAAGAAAAGGGGCAAAGGGCATACTAGGTACAGAGTGTGTGTTAGAGTCCCTGGATGGAAAGGGAATTCCAGGGTAAAGTAGGTCTCTTGGAAGGGTTGGCAAAGTGGCTGGAACAGAGCAAAGGATGGGGACATCAGATCTAAGTTCAGAGAAGTGGTATAGGGGAGGAGGTGGAGGGAGATTGCTGTGGGCCTTGAAGCCTCTGTAAAGAGAATACAAGGCTTTGGATGCATTAATAATGCAATTACTGAATAAATGCTAGGTTTGTGCATGTCCCCACAGTGGTCCAAAAAGTTTTAGGAAAGTTCAACCTACCTCAGGTCACCTCATCCACTAACTCTTGGTTTTGTTGATGCTTCCCCAGGGTATGTGTTGAGTCCCAAGGACATTTAAGAATATCTGCTGAGACAGCTAATGAGAAATAGTGTCCCCTGACAATCCGGAGACAGAAGAATGATAGAAGAGATGAAAAGGGAGAAGAAACTAACAACTTGTGTTATGTGCAAGGCAGTTTTCTATCCACTGATTTTTAAATGTTGCTACATAACTGCAAATGGTATATTATGAGATTAGGATATTGAAGTTCAGCAAATTTATGTGACCTGTCTGATGAGACTCAGAATTGCTGGTTAGTGATCACAACCTACCACACATTGTGTTTGATATTCTCCGAGATCTTATTGCATCTTGACAACATCTCTTCTGATAGGATGGATGAAGCAAACAGGGAGAAATAGCAAAGACAGAATTTTAGAAAAAGTAAAAAATGAAGATTAGAAAAATAAAAAACTTAGATAATTATATTAACAGTATTTCAAAAAAATGCTTTCATTCACCTAAAATTTAAACTACTTCCATCATCCAAAATATTTGGAATACTTATAAGTACCAAGAAATAGTGATTGCCAATGTTTCTGTTATCATTATTAAGCGCAGCACACATTTACATGGTAAATTGTGAACCTGAAGATTCTTCGAAGTTAAGAATCACTTTGCTCATTATATATATGAGAAAATGTAGGTTAAGAGAGGTTAAGTAGCTTGTTTATATTCACACAGCTAGTAAAGAAACCGCAAAGTTCTTATCTAGTCTGCCTGACTCCAGAGGTATTCTTGAACCTGACCAAATCAGAGGCAGGAGATCAAAGGAGGTGGGATAAGATTGGATAAGGCAGTGCTCTTGAAGAGCAAAGCCTGGCCAGTGGATTTTTGTGAATGCATTGGTTGTGGGAGACCCACAACCTCTTCCTTATCATCTATCATCCTACCCTCTGCTCAGTGAAAAGGAAATGTGGATTTATCACATTTCTGTATAGGTAAATTTAACAATTTTTGCCAGTTTTTCCCATTTGCGATACTGCACAAATTTTCCAGAAGAAATGAAAATGTATTTATTGTTATTCACCAGGTTTTTTGTTTTGTTTTGTTTTGTTTTCAGGCATTAATACTCCTGAGGTACAGCATCATTAGTGTGAGCTTTAATCCTCTCAGGTATTAAAAAAATTGTAACACCTGCAGATTTATTATAAGTATCATCAACAATGAAATATTTGAGAGAGTTTATTTGATACCAGGCATTGGTCTAAGCACTTTAATTGATTTGATTAAAAAAAAAAAAACAGCTCTTTGCAACTGAGGCAAAGTGCTGTTAAATACATTCTTTAGAGACAAATAGATGGAAAACCCAGGTTGGTATTCAAAACCAGGAATTTGGCTCTGATGTTCTTGCTCCTTGCTCCCTGGCAGTTCTGCAGCTTTGTAAGATAGAGACAGCACAAGTAAAGGGTCTCAACATAGAGCTGTTTCATGAGAGGTAAGCGCTGCAGGAATAATGCTGCTCTCAGTGGGGGAACTTCCCCGATTTTCCCTAACAATTTTGTGAAAATCTTCCATTCTAAGTCATGTTCACCATTTGATCTTGGGCATTTTAATCACTCGCCCTTCCTGAATATCATTATTTTAAATTAAATTTAATTGTTTTTACCTGCAAAATAGAGCTAATAATACTGACAGTGGCCATGTGGAAATTATTGAGAATGAAATATTTTTCAGCCAAAATTCTTTGGGGAAACATATTATTAGTAGTATAATAATGATCAGTTACTTCTAGTCCTAAACACTGTGATTCCTACTTATTCTTTCTGACCGTAGACCCCTTCTCACTTTGTTCCTTCACGAAGATTTTCAAATGACTGATTTTACAAGTTAAAGCCGGATACTTGTAAAATGAATAGTGACTCATTTTACAACATAAAGCCCAGATTAAGCCATACCAACTTCTTCTCCAAAGGCCTCCAGTGCCTTCTGTGTTCTATAGACTCACTCTAACATCTCAGCCTGTCATTTAAGCCCTTTAATGATCTGATTCCAATTGACTTTTAAACTTCTTGTTTATCCCTTTGGCTCACCAACTAACATACTCCTGATACGGTATTTAGATGTTCTCTCTTCCTTGCCTTTGATAACACTCTTTCCTCCAACTAGACTGGCTTTTCCTTTTGTCCCTACTTGTCCAAATCCAGTGTAGAAAAGCCACTGAAAGAGAGGAGTCTAGATTCAAATTCCTGCTCTGCTGCTCACTATGTCAACTTGTACATGTGAGAACATCTTTGGTCCTCAGTCCCTAGCTTTTAAAATGAACAGTGACTCACTGAGTTGTTTTTGTTGCTGTTTTGTTTTGTTTTCAGATAGTGTCTAGTCTGCTGCCCAGGATCGAGTGTAGTGGCATGATCAATCAACGCTCATTGCAGTTTCAACCTCCGGGCTCAAGCAATCTTCCAACATCAGCTTCCCAAGTAGCTAGGACCACAGGTGTGCACCACCATGCCATACTAATTTTTCCTTTTTGTAAAGATGCATTTTTGTCATATTTCCCAAGCTGGTCTCCAACTCCTGGGCTCAAATAACCCACCTGATGGGATTACAGGTGACAGTCACTGCGCCTAACTCACTGAGTTTTTATGAAGATTAAGTAATATTGTTTCTAGAATAGACTTAGAATATTGTTTCACACATAGCAGACACTAAATATTTACCCATGACAACAAAAACAATGATACTAATTATGCAAGATCCAATTCAGCAGATTCTTTCTCAATGAACCAGTCCATGATAACCATTCTAGTCTGATTGCACCCTCTCATGGAATCCCTAACATTTTCTCTATGACTCTATAATGGCACTGAAAAACCCTTACTTTTTTTGCAGATATATTCATAGTCAGTTCATCAGTCAGTCAATCAGAAAACAACAGTCGTTTAGGGAGCACCTATAATTGATTGCTACTTTGAACAATGAGGATACTGCAGAGAATAAGAGGCATAGAATTCCTCTGTATAACTGAAAATATTTATTATGAGAAGGCCTCAATACCAAGAGAAATATAACTGGCTTCTAAATATTGAGAAGGAGTTATTTATATGAAAATCTGTGAAAAGAACATGCAATATAGAGACATAGTAAGTACAAATGTCCTGAGTGAAGAACAAGCTTGGATGGTGTAATATAAATCATGTATAGTTTGGTAGAATAGCATGGGCATTATATTTCCCCACAAAAGACTTTTCTTTTTGTGTTTCTTGTTGCATGGTGGTTAAAAAGCACGGTTTTGGGGTCAAAGGCCTAAATGCCTCTTTACTATCTATGTGACCTTGGCTAAGTTAATTGGCTTCTCTAAGTCTCAGGTTCATAATGTGAAAAAGTGACAAAATATTAATTGTAAGAATAATAGCTTACATTAGTTTAGTGCCTATTCTGTTCCAGATGTCATTAGTAAGAGCTGGCCTAAGAAAGCTTGACAGGGGCAGGATCATACATGGTCTTTCTGGTCATGGAAAAGACTTTGGATTTTACTTCAATGGGAAGCCATCAAAAGATTTTATGTGGAGGACAAACATGATTAGGTATATAATGCAATAAAACCACTCTGGCTTCTAAGTGTGGAATGGCTTAGAGAATCTGGGAGAGCATGAGTAGGCTATTGCAGTGCTTTAGATGAAGAATGACTATGGCTTGCACTGAAGTGTTACTGCTAGATTTGACGCATTCATGGTTTTCCATTTTTCCTACCAGATTATAATGCAATATTTGATGCTTTTGAGTCTGCACACAAGACAACATACATTCAACTTTGCACATAGTAGGTAGGAATATTATCTTATAAATGAAGTAATGCATACTGTGGAAGCTAAAACTGGAAACACAGGTGAAAACGAGCAAGACATCTGCTCTTTCTTAAGATCAAAATATTCAAGAGACAGAAGGGAAAACAAACTACTCAGTAACTCTTAAGGGCTTCTATTTTTATCATTGCAAAAAATGCATGCACATCAAACATAAAATATGCTTGTCAGCAAATCTATCAGATTTTAAACTTTTTCACAGAGCAGCTGATTTATAAAGCAGTTGGTCTCGTGCCGTGAAGATGCTTAAATGACTGACTTTTGGCAAAGGCCATGAAAATAATCACATGAATTCTGCTGTCTTCCAAAGATCAAGTCTGCTTTATGCCAGCTTGGAGAGAAAATTAAACATATAGCTAGAAATTTGATATTCTCTAGGAAGTCTAAATTTAGTTGGAAAATATCCTGGGGTGAAGATATAAAAATCCATATTTCAACTCATCATATTTCCCCCCAAAAGACTTTTCTTTTTGTGTTTCTTGTTGCATGGTGGTTAAAAGCACAGTTTTGGGGTCAAAGGCCTAAATGCCTCTTTACTATCTATGTGACCTTGGCCAAGTTAATTGGCTTCTCTAAGTCTCAGGTCCATAATATGAAAAACTGACAAAATATTAATTGTAAGAATAATAGCTTACATTAGTTTAGCACATGCTCTGTTCCAGATGTCATCCTAATACTTTACATGTGTTAACTCCTTTCTAGTAACAATGATATTATGAGGGCTGTACTATAATGGACTATATTGGTTTCCCAAATGAGGAAGTCTAGGTACTGAGGCAAGAGGGGGTTATATCACTTGCTCAAGGCATTATACCCAGGAAGTGGCAGAGCCAAGACTTACATCCATGTTTAATAACTTGAAATTCTGAGATTTTGTCTACTGTACTATATCCCTAATTTCTGCCTTTAGCCACTGCGTTTCACTGCTATGGAAAGATGCATACCACAAAATTCTTATAAGCATCCAGTGACATGTAAAATAATCAGAATTATGCCTAACATAGAATAAGTATTTAATAGTTATTTGTTTTTAAAATATAAAGAGCAAGAGTGAAGACATATATGCAACCACATACAGTAAAAACTTAGTATTTTTAACCAATATTTATTGAGTACCTACTAGTCATTGTATTGTATTGAATACCCAAAACCCATTGTTTTGGGTGCTCTGATATGTCGTTGGACAAAACACATAAAGATGACCAACATTCTAACTAGAGAGGAAGAGTCACATAACAAACAATAATTATAACAAATAAGTAAATTATGTTGTAAATTAGAATACAATAAGGGGCCATGGGAAAAACAGATAAAAAATCAGAATAGATGAAGGGAATGTTGAATGCCATGTTGGGTGGTGATGGTTGCTTGACATTGTTAATAAGGTAGCTGAAGTTGGGTTCATTGAGTGGGCGTGATTTGAGCAAAACTTGAAGGAGTTAAACAATGAGGCATTTAAATATCCGCAGAAAGACTAGCCTGGGCAGACAGATGAACCAGGACCAACGGCCTAAGCAGGAGTGTTGGAAAATAAAATAAAATAAAAGTATCTGAAGCCGAGTTAGCAAAGGACCCATAGCTGGTGAAGTCGGCGAGCAAATAGGGATCAGTCATGTAGTTTAAACACTTCGGCTATTATTTTTAGTAGAGTGGGAAGCCATTGCAAGAATGAGCAAAGAGCAGCAAAATCTGACCTAATGGTTAAGCACCCTGGCCGCTGTGCTGAGCATGGACAACAGGGAACTGGAGTACAAGCAGGGAAGTCTATTAGAGCAGTGCTCACCCCAATCTACTGAGATGATGGCAGCTCAGACCAGAGGGTCAGTAGGGAAAGTGGTGAGCAATGGCAGAATTCTGGATGCATTTTGAATATATTCTAAGTGCCAGAAGGAATCCCCCCAAAATTGAATATAGAATGTGAGAGAAAGAGACATCAATGGTGACAATAAAGTTTTTGTTCTGAGCATCTGGAAGGAAGGAGTTGTTATCACCTGAGATGGGAAAGATCATGAGTACAGCAGGTTTGGGAGAATTTTTATCTTTTATCCTCAACACTGTATCATATCTGTCATAATACATAATAACAACAAAACTAACAGTAAAACCAAAATAATAAAGGCAGCTAACATCCATTAAATGCATATTAGGCTCATTTTGTTTTTTAATATTTGTTGTCAGTCAACTAGACTGGATTTTGGGATGGCCAGATGGCTGGTGAAGCATTGTTTCTGGGTGTGTCTGTGAGGGAATTTTCAATGAGTCAGTGGGTTGAGGGAGGATGACTACCCCTCAGTGTGAATGTGCATCATCCAATCTACCATGGGTGCAGCTCTATTAATAGAACAATGCAGGCAAAAGAAGGAGGGCAGTAAGGTTGCTTAGCTTACTTTTTGTGTACTGTTCTCTGTCTTCCAGAGCAGTAAGTCTTTTTATCCTCCTGACCTTGGACAACAAACTCTAGGTTCTTTGACCTTTGGACTCTGGAACTTCTACCAGAAACCTTCCGGGGGCTCTCAGGCCCTCAGCCTCAGACTAGAAGTTGTCCTGTTACCTTTCCTGATTTTGAGGTTTTTGGAGTTGGACTGAGCCATGCTACTAGCTTCCTTGGGAGCCACGTTATGGGCTTCTCTCATTCTCCACCTTGCAATCGCGTCTCGTGGGACTTTGTAATCATGTGAGCCAGTTCTTCCTAATAAACTCCCTTTCTCACACACACACACACACACACACCCCACACACACACATGCACACACACACATGCACACACACACACAAATGTTTATATAAAAAGGGGGCAGAATTAATATATACACATGCACACTGTGTGTGTGTTTGTGTGTGTGTTCTCTGGAGAACCCTAATTGAAACCTCATTCAATGCCATAATAAATCACATAGTTTTATTATCTTCATGTTTAGAGATAAGGAAACTAAGGCCAGTAAGATAAAGAAACTTACACACATATTTTACAGCAAAGCCAAAATATAATGCAAAAAAAATTCTATTCCAAAGTCTGAAATCTTGACAACTATGATCAATAAATACACATATATAATCCTCTTACATATTTCTAACTTCCTTCTGCTATTTCTTAGGTTCAAGTGCCTTCCTAATTCTATAACACATCTAATGTCATAGCTTCTTATCTGATATCTGTTCCTCTAATTTTACCAACCTGCACATTTCCAAACTAATTATATCATTCCTTTGCTTAAATCCTCCAACACTTCCACATCATCTACAGACAAGAATAAAACCACCTTACCAATTTACACAGATCCTGTGGCTGGCACAGTTGGGTACCCATATAACAACCAGTCTTTCCTAACTTTACTAACTATACCCCTATTTTGGCAATGTGCCCAGGCCCAGGAAACTAAGCTCATCATGGCATCTGCATTAATATTTACCTGTGACTAGTCTAGGGGTAAGCGTATATAATCCTGCTCTCACTATTGAAATAAGAGTAGAATTCTCGGATAAAATACCTAGTGCTCAGTTGAATCCTAATTTCAGATAAATAACTTTTTGTTAGTATAAGTATGTTGTGATTATTATCCTAAACAGTATTATTGCTTAAGTGAAATTCAAATTTAACTGAGCATCTTGTATTTTTGTTTTCTAAATAGGTATCCCTAAACAAAATGAAAAAAATCTACTGGGAGCTTCTGGAAATATTTTTTTCTCCTTTACAAAAAAAGGGGAGCTTAATGCAAGTCAGGAGCCTTTTCCTCCCATTCTCTCCCTCCGTATCTGGGACATTGTTCTGAGGGACTCTAAGAATGTTTGTTGCTATGGCAGCCATTGCAACAATGAGGGAAAAACCAAGAGAATGCCAGAGATTCAAACCCAGTGTTCTAATACTTTTGAGCTACTGAATCTGATCCAGGACAGCTTACCTTTGGACACTGACTAGAAACCTGTATTCCTTAAGTGCCTAAGGTTAGGTTAACTATTATTTGCCACTGATGGCATCTTAAATGTTACAGACAGTTTATGATCTGGTCTCTATTTACATCTTAGTCCTACTTTTACCACCACCAACTGTGGGAATGTATCTTCCAGTCTTTTCAAATTATTTGTAATCCCTGAACAATGTCCTTTTACTCGAACTTTTACAAAAGATGTTCCCCTCTCCTAAAACATATCTTGATCCTCTGATAATCTGTCTTTAAAATTAGTCATCATTTAAAATTATGATCAAAGGGTAATATTTCATTACCCTTTTTGAAATATTGTTTTAACAAATTAATATTTTTTATTAAACTATTGACTAATTCCATTCATATTTGGTTTGGCAGGTACAATGTGTTAGGTGCTTCGTATAACATGTGGTAAATATGAATAGTGCTCTTGCCCTTAGTAAGCTTGCAATCTAAAGGAGTGCCCAGACCACAAACAAATAATTATGCTGGAATTTAAGTTCAACTGTGAAACATGTTAAAACAGAAAAGTATAGGAGGATATAAGAGAATAAACTAAGGTTAACTTCAAAGGGATTAAGAGGGTAAAACAAAGTTTCTCTGGAGAAGGAATATGTATACTAACATGTTAAGGGTCATTGGGAGTTAGCCAAAGGTGGAGTTGAAGAAAGAGAATTTCAGAGAGAGGACATATTATGTATAAAGGTCTTACAGGAGGAGGAGAAGATAGTTGCTTTCAATGCAATAGTGAAGGCCAGCATGTTAGGAGCCTGAAAATTGAGAGATGAAGATTGGTTTGCAGAAGAGCAGCCCCCAAAAGATGCCTATGCTCTAATCTCCAGCATCTGTGGCCATGCTAACTTTTTGGCAAAGAAACACCGTGCATGTGATTAAGTGAAGGTCAATGTTGGAATGAGGAGGTTATCCTGGACTATTCAAGCAGGCCCTATGGAATCACAGAGTCCTTATACAAGGCAGAAGAGGCAGAGCCAGAGAAGATGTGACACTGGAAGCAGATATCGGAAAGACATGATTACTGACTAAATGCCACATAGCAAGAAATATGGGGCCTCTAGAAACCGAAAAAGGCATGGTAATGAATTCTCCTCTAGAGCCTCCAGAAAGAACACAGCCCTTCCAATCTTGATTTTGGCTTTGAGTACCATTTCAGACGTCTGGGTTCTAGAGCTGTAAGTTAACAAATTTGTGTTAAGGCACTAGATTTCTGGTTATTTTTATAACAGTGATAGGAAACTAATAAGCACGGTTATGAGATAAGGATACAGTGTGGGAAGAGTAATAAGGATGTGGACCTATCCATAGAGCCCAAGGAATCCTTTGACAGGTTTGAAGCGGGGATGACCATAATGAGAAGTCTTATTAAAAAAGGCACTTTGGAGGCTGGACACAGTGGGTCACACCTGTAACCCCAGTGATTTGGGAGGCCAAGGCAGGGGAATCACTTGAGGCCAACAGTTCAAGACCAGTCTGGGCAACGTAGCAAGACTCCTTCTCTACAAGACATTTAAAAATTAACTGGGGATGGTGTCTTATGCTTATAATCCCAGTTACTCAGAAGGCTGAGGTGAGAGGATCACTTGAGCCTGGGAGGTCGAAGCTGTTGTGAGCTAGGATTGCACCACTGTACTCCAACCTGGATGACAGAGCAAGACCCTGTCTCCCTCCCCCGATAAAAAAGAAATTCTAGAATGGATATAACATGTAGTAGAAGAGCATAAGAGTGGATGACTGGATCCTGAGAAACCCCTTACAAAGGCATCAAGGTGGTCCATGCCAGAAGTGATGGTAACTTGGTGTGGCAGTGGTGATATAGAGAGGTGATTACAGTTGAGAGCTCTTTTAGGGCTATAATTAACTGAATTTGAAAACCTAATATGGAGAGTAATGGAGAAGGAGGTGTTATGTCTGGTTTTCAGTTTTCTGGCTTAAGGAAATAGGTGAATGGAAAAAGAAAAGAAGAAAGATAAAAATATGGAAGGAGTTTGGAGAACTAATAAATAAAAGGTGGCTAGACTTGCTACTTTTGGAAAGAGAGAAAGGTATTCAGAGCAAGGTCTGGATGAGAGGCTTAGTGGAGATGGTGAGATGAACTTTCTTAATTTGGACAGAAATGTGAGACAGTCTCAGAAAAAAATGTTCAACAGGAACCTAGATAAATGGGTCTGGATGTTAGAAGATGCATCAAGTCTGAAGCATAGGTTTGAAATATCTTGGAAAATGGATGGCATTTGAAACCATGGAAGTAGGTGGCACCACCTAAGTGGGAAATATAGAGTGAGAAGAAAAGAATCCCCAAATTGAGGAAACCAAAATTCATTTATTTTATTTTATTCACTTGTTTTTGAGATGGAGCCTCACTCTGTCACCCAGGCTGGAGTGTAATGGCGCGATCTTGGCTCAGCGCAACCTCTGCCTCTGGGTTTCAAGCAATTTTCATGCCTCAGCCACCCAAGTAGCTGGGATTACAGGTGCTCCTCACCACACCCAACTAATTTTTGTATTTTCAGTAGAGACAGGGTTTCACCATGTTGCCCAGGCTGGTCTCGAACTCCTGACCTCAAGTGATCCATCTGCCTCGGCCTCCCAAAGTGCTGGGATTACAGGCATGAGCCATCATGCCCGGCCTTGAGGACACCAAAATTTAAGCTCGTGTAGAACTGGGGTAGGTGCATTGTAGCCCGTCGGCCAAATCCAGACTGCTGCCTAGTTTAGACGTAAAGATTTACTGGAAAACAGCATCATTCATCTGTTTACGTATTATCTATGGCTGCTTTTGCCCTACAATGGAAGAATTGAGTAGTTCCCACAGAAATCTTATGGTGCACAAAGCTTAAAATATTTACTATCTGACTTTTTAAAGAAAAATTTGTTGACTACTGATATAGATGAGGAATAAACAGAAAATTTAAGAATGCTCAGATAATAAAATAAAACTCTGCTATTTTACTGGTCTTTATTTTAGAATTACTCATTTCTCATTCCATTATTCTAAAAGCACTTTTTAGATATGAATATTATTGGTCACTTTATTCTAATTATTTTATTACATGTCTCTTTTCAATTGATCATGAGCTTCTTAGGGCAGAGCTTCCACTTTGTTTCCATGTGCATCCACAGCAAGGGTCCCCAACTGGTCCGTGGCCTGTTAGGATCTGGACTGCACATCAGGAAGTGAGCCACAGTTGAACAAGTAAAGGCTGTATTTACAGCCACTCTCCATTGCTCATATTACCACCTGAGCGCTGCCTCCTGTTAGATCAGCCAGCAGTGACACTAGACTCATAGTGGAGCTGCCTGCCAGTCCCAGTGCAGGATCCACTGGGTGAAGCCAGCTGGGCTCCTGAGTCTGGTGGGGATGTGGAGAACCTTTATGTCTAGCCCAGGGATTGTAAATACACCAATCGGCACTCTGTATCTAGCTCAAGGTTTGTAAACACACCAATCAGCACCCTGGGTCTAGCTCAGGGTTTGTGAATGCACCAATCGACACTCTGTATCTGGCTACTCTGGTGGGGCCTTGGAGAACCTATATGTCTAGCTCAGGGATTGTAAATACACCAATCGGCACTCTGTATCTAGCTCAAGGTTTGTAAATACACCAATCAGCACCCTATGTCTAGCTCAGGGTTTGTGAATGCACCAATCGACACTCTGTATCTAGCTACTCTGGTGGGGCCTTGGAGAACCTTTGTGTTGACACTCTGTATCCAGCTAATCTGGTGGGGACGTGAAGAACCTTTGTGTCTAGCTCAGGGATTGTAAACGCACCAATCAGTGCCCTGTCAAAACAGACCACTCGGCTCTACCAATCAGCAGGATGTGGGTGGGGCCAGATAAAAGAATAAAAGCAGGCTGCCCCAGCCAGCAGTGGCAACCTGCTCGGGTCCCGTTCCACACTGTGGAAGCTTTGTTCTTTCGCTCTTTGCAATAAATCTTGCTACTGCTCACTCTTTGGGTCCACACTGCTTTTATGAGCTGTAACACTCACCGCGAAGGTCTGCAGCTTCACTCCTGAAGCAAGCGAGACCACGAGCCCACCAGGAGGAACGAACAACTCCAGATGCACTGCCTTAAGAGCTGTAACACTCACGGCGAAGGTCTGCAGCTTCACTCCTCAGCCAGCGAGACCACAAACCCACCAGAAGGAAGAAACTCCAAACACATCAGAACATCAGAAGGAACAAACTCCAGACACGCCACCTTCAGAGCTGTAACACTCACCATGAGGGTCTGCAGCTTCATTCTTGAAGTCAGTGAGACCAAGAACCCACCAATTCTGGACACAATAGGAGCAAAAATCCTATTGTGAACTGTGCCTGTGAGGGATCTGGGTTGCATGCTTCTTATGAGAATCTAATGCCTGATGATCTGTGACTGTCTCCCATCACCCCTAGATGGGACTGTCTGGTTGCAGGAAAATAAGCTCAGGGTTCCCACTGATTCCATATTATGATGAGCTGTATAACTCTATCATTATATATTACAATGTAATAATAATAGAAATAAAGTGCAAAATAGATGCAATGTAATGTGCTTGAATCATCCTGAAACCATCCCCTGCCCCCAGTCCATGGAAATATTGTCTTCTATGAAACAGATCCCTGGTGCCAAGACACTTGGGGACCTCTGATCCACAGGACCTAACGGCACCCACAGCACATGGTAAGTGCTTTGCTTATTGAGTGAATTCACAGAGTAAGGTCAGTCAGTCCATTATTTATTCAAGGATTTTTGGAAAGTTGAAAAAAGCATGGCTTGACTAATGACAGAATAAAATTTAATAGGACTCATATACAGTTCTGGTAAAATAAGATAAAGTTTTCAGCCACTACTAAGAGATTTTTATTTTTTTTAATAATAAAAAAAGAAGATTACACAGACATCCCCCATTATTATGTGTTTGTTTCTCTCTTGAAAGTCTGCCTTCTGGCAAGAAGAATTCAAGCTTTTGGAAAGCTTTCAAACCCTGAAGGGAGGATTTGGACATTTTTCACAGGAAAACAATTTTTGGAGAAAACAATTTTTCATAGGAGAAACAATTTTGGAGAAAGATTTTTTAAGGTGAAAAATCATGCAGAAGTAGAATAATATTTTGCATGTTATATTTATAATTAATATTTTTATCAGAAAATGTGTAAATCTGGAACTCAAAATATAACCATGTGTGAATTAGGATTCAGCAGAAGTAACTTGTCCTGCTTAAAATTTGAAATGACACATATATTTATGTTTTATATAGGTGTATCTAGTTGAAGTCAACATGTAACAGATATATTTGGAAATTATTTACTTTCTATATTTTTCTCCCCTTTAAAAAAAAGAAACCCCTTAATCTTAGAATTTGCTTAGTGAACTTTCTACTGCCTTAAAAGTGAGATTAGATGCGTTAAATTTGGAATTGCATGCAACTTTTTATAAGCATGGCTGTTGCAAATAGAATGGTCCAGTCATGATATATATTTCTGGATATAAATAAGACATGCTTCCCTGACAATCAATATTTCCATATTGGAAATTATTTCTCCAGGACTGACTTTATGTGAGTTACTTCAAGACTCCTTCACTAAGTAGTAAGTCTGGATTAAATCGTCTGTCCCTCAGCCTCTAACTACTCTTCATAAGGTCCCATTGTATCCTGTGCTTCTGCTTCTCATTGCATTTCTACCTAACTACATTGTCTGTTTGTAACTCTGTTGGCATTTGTTATTTGCATTTCCATGCAACTGTCCCATAACATCATCAAGCCCTCATTGGCATGCATCAGTAAATGTTTATTTTCTTCTCAATTTTTGACTGGGTTCATCCAATCTGTGCCGGCTCACTCATGTGCCTGTGGTCAGCTACAGGTATGCTAGGAGCTCTGCTGTTCCTGGCAGGCAATCCCAGGCATGTTGTCATGTCTATGGCAGAAAAATGAGGAAGAACAAACCCACTCAGCCAAGTACTTTAAGACTTTACTTCGCCAGGCACGGTGGCTCACGCCTGTAATCCCAGCACTTTGGGAGGCCAAGGTGGGCGGATCACGAGGTCAGGAGATTGAGACCATCGTGGCAAACACGACGAAACCCCGCCTCTACTAAAAATACAAAAAAATTAGCCAGTCGTGGTGGCGGGTGCCTGTAGTCCCAGCTACTTAGGAGGCTGAATCAGCAGAATGGTGTCAACCCGGGAGGCGGAGCTTGCAGTGAGCGGAGATCGCGCCACTGCACTCCAGCCTGGGCAACAGAGCAAGACTCGGTCTCAAAAAAAAAAAAAAAAAAAAAAAAAAAAAAAAAAAAAAAAAATTCAATTGCATACATTTTAAAAGACTCTTTAGCCAAAGCTAATCACACGGCTGGATCCAGAGTCAAGGATTGGGCGGTTTCCACCTCCGAGAATGGGAGGGAACTGCAGGGTCACTTGAAAAAAGGCAAAGATGCAGACCGGGTGAATAATTAGAACTATTAATACAATCCTTCAACGACAAGATTCTATAATGATGAGGTCTTCAATGGCAGAGAATGTATTTAAGCTTCAAATTTCAACTGTCTTACGGGCTATGCAGCTGTGGAAGAGTGCTTTAAACTCCTTTGTACCTTGGTTTCCTCATTTATAAGCTGAAGATCATATTATACACACCAGGAAATCTCTGGTAATCTCTGTAAGGCTGAAATGAGTTATTACATGTAAAAGTGCTCAGAATAGTACATGGCACAGGGCAAATGCTTAATAAATTTAGTATTAGTAGTATTTTGGCTTAGTGTTGAGGTTCAAGAATTGGATTTGAAATTAAGTTATGGTTGACATATTGGGAGAGTTGGAGTGTGTATCAGGATAAAGCTCATGCTAAAAATTCTAATTCTACCAATTCCTAATTTTAGTAGCAAAGCATAATAAAAGATTAAATCCTGCTCATAGAAGCATCCTGTGCAATTTTTAGTAGCCAAGCATAATAAAAGATTAAATCATGCTCATAGAAGCATCCTGTGCAGGTGCTTTTGATTCAGGGACCCTTTCCTCCATGCATTTACCTTAGTGCTTAGCCTAAGTAAATGCTCGGTGAAAACTGATTTTAGACTGTACAAAAGGTAATATTTCCATGTAACATCTACATAGTCTTGCAGACAATGTTGATACAGTGGATGTTATAATGGGGTATACAGATCCTGATTCAGAAATAAAGAACTTCATAAACCAGGTACCGGGAGAACTTCCAGCAGATAACCCTGAATTATCAGCCTCCCGTAAGGACTGTCTCACTTGAAGAGGGCTATTTGCTCCAGGCTACAGCCTTTCTGGGGTGGCCAGTGTTCAATGACTGGTTGAAACAGGGGTGTAAAGACCCGGCCTTCTTACTCCAACACAGGACAGCCCTGAAGGGTGGTCCCATCTGCAGAACTCCCCACAGAGCTGGGTGAGGTGTCCCTTGAGACTGAAACTGAATCTTTCCTTGACCTCTCTCTCTTCAATTCTGCATCTTTCCCGTATCTTCCACAGATGCTGACTCCAAGGGGACTCCCTAATAACCTTTCCTCATGCAGATCTCCATGTGAGTCAACTTCCTGAAGAATCCCACCTGTGACAGGTTGTAAGAAAATGAACTGAACTATTTTAAGTAAGACTTTGTGAAGCTACGTGTGCCTTGGGCAACAAGTTTCAGGCAAAAGCATTTTTTTTTTCTATTCTACAATAGTCACCCATTATAGAAAAAAAATCTTGCAATAGCTTTGAGATATTACACCTTTTTATGGTAGGGTTTGATCTTGGCTCCTTTTTCCCTTATAGAAAATCATGGACAATACCTTGCCACTTTTCCAATACGCTCTAAATTCTCAATAGTTGGAGACTTCGTTTTTTCCATCTTGGAAACCACATATTTTATAAAGCCTTGTACACAGCGGATGTGTGATGAATAAGTTGGTGACTGACTGTATTAGTGAAGTAATGAACAAATGAATATAAGAGTCTAGCTCATGAAGCATTTTTTTTTACCCTGAATGAATTTTTCAAGGTATACAATTATGCAAAGACAATGAAATTAAAATACTAAAATAATAACAGTCTGGAGGCTCTCCTGCACAAAAGAAATCTTTAGCTATTGGAAGGTAGCACAGTTTTAGAAAAGGAATTATAAAAAAGGAGAATTGGCAGCAACGCTGGACTTCTGAAAGAAAGATCATGTAATATACAAGAACTTAAGCAAGCAATTATGCCACGTCGCAAAAGGCTGTTTTGATGTGCTACTTGAGAGTGCTATTTCATGTTGACCTTTGCGTTAGAAGATGTGGCTGCCTACAGCCGTGCATTTAAAGATGATGAATGTTAAGTGGAAAGGCCAGTGAAATGGTGAGTAGTTCCTACAGGGCTTGTCTTTGGACTTCCATTGCTGGGTGCTGTTACCTTAGTTTGGATTGAGAGAGAGCCGCTGGTATTGTGTGGCTTCCAAAAACCCTGGCAAATATCAGCCATGTTCATTCTCCACCAGGAAATCAGTATCATAGTTTGAAACTAAAAATTCAACCAATTATTTATACTAATTAGAGTCCTTAGATGCCGAATCACCTGCAGAATGAAGTTGAAACTTTTTAGGATGGTGTAAGATACATCACAATTTGACCCATTTCTAGTTTATTGCCTTCCACCTCAACTCCTCCCACTTTAGGCTCCAATGATACAAAATCTTTTACATTTTCTATTTGTTTCCACTTGGCCAAAATTGATTCCCCTTTCTTCTGGTAAGTTTTCCTAATTCACCTAGTTTTCCTTTGGGTAGTTGATCCATTCATCGCCCATTTTATGTGCTTTCCTGGAGATTGTCAATTGCAATACCTTGCCTGCCATCCACCAAGATAAGTGTGGGACATGAGTAGGCCACACGGTACAATTTGAGGTGGGCAGATGAAGGCCAGTGGAGGTTGTTTGTGAAAACTGGTACATGGTTGTTGAGAAACAGAGAATCTGTCTTTTTCCTAGCTCGTCAACCATTAGGATGTAGGCATAGAATTATAAACCCTAATTTCCACCAGCTGAAGTGATTCTGCCTGAGAACAAAGTTAAAACACCAAGAGAAAAGCTGAGGAAGAGTGGAGAGGGAGTGGGGAAAAATAAGAACCAAGGAAGAGAGGGGAGGTAGGTATGGAAGTAGGGGGAGAGTGGGGAAGTCCCTCACAACATTGCATGAGCCCCTGGATTTCACCATGCCTAAAGTGAGATTCTCCTTCAGATATGCCTTAAAATAATTCAATAAATCATCCTGTGACCTTAATGTGGTTAAGTATTATTTTTGCCACTACAACCTGAATAAGGCCTAATATTTTCTACAATATTATCTCAAAAAAATTGTACAATCGACTTGGTCTGCTTAGAATGTTTTCTAGTCTTTGACTATTTGGCTAATATGTATCCTTTCTTTAAAACCCAAGTTATAAGGCTTTGGGTATATACCCAGTAATGGGAGTGCAGGGTCAAATGGTATTTCTGGTTCTAGATCCCTGAGGAATCGCCACACTGTCTTCCACAATGGTTGAACTAATTTACACTCCCACCAACAGTGTAAAAGCGTTCCTATTTCTCTACATCCTCTCCAGCACATGTTGTTTCCTGACTTTTTAATTATCACCATTCTAACTGGTGTGAGATGGTATCTCATTGTGGTTTTGATTTGCATTTCTCTAATGACCAGTGATGATGAGTTTTTTTCCCTATGTTTGTTGGCCGCATAAATGTTTTCTTTTGAGAAGTGTCTGTTCATATACTTTGCTCACTTTTTGACGGGGTTATTTTTTTTCTTGTAAATTTGTTTAAATTCTTTGTAGATTCTGGATATTAGCCCTTCATCAGATGGATAGATTGCAAAAATTTTCTCTCATTCTGTAGGTTGCCTGTATAAATCATTCTGCTATAAAGACACATGCAAACATATGTTTACTGTAGCACTGTTCACAATAGCAAAGACTTGGAACCAACCCAAATGCCCATCAATGATAGACTGGATACAGAAAATATGGCACATATACACCATAGAATACTATGCAGCCATAAAAAAGGATGCATCATGTCCTTTGCAGGGACATGGATGAAGTTGGACCACCATTCTCAGCAAACTAACACAAGAACAGAAAACCAAACACCACATATTCTCACTCATAAGTGGGAGTTGAACAATGATAACACATGGACACAGGGAGGGGAACATCACACACTGGGTCCTGTCTGGGGGTGGGAGAATAGGGGAGGGATAGCATTAGAATAAATACCTAATGTCGATGATGGGTTGATGGGTGCAGCAAATCACCACGGCACGTGTATACCTATGTAACAAACCTGCACATTCTGCACATGTGTCCCAGAACTTAAAGTACTAAAAAAAAAAAAAAAAAAAAAAAAACCCCAAGTTAAATGTCAACATGTCTAAGAAAGCTGTTTCTTTCCCTTCCTTACCACCATTTATGCCAGGATTGCATCATTCCTTCCTTAGAGCTACCTGTATCTCATGATTACTATTTTACAGGCCACATTAGTTGGTGATATATTTGCAGATGTGTCAGCTTATCCTATTTCATTAAAAGAGCTTTTCAAGTAAGGGTTTGACATTCTTCCATCCTATCAGTTTTTTTTATTTTTACAGTGTGGCTGAAATAAAGTGTTCACTAAATGCTCACTGATTTAAAATTTGGATTCTATTAAGTTGTGCATTATTTATATTTTATTAGTTACCTAAGATGGGCAAAGGTACATGCTAAGCATTATGTGTATATCATGAAAATAAGTTTTTGGTTATGAGTACTGCTATTTTATCCACTTAAAAATAATAATACTGAGAGCCAGAGGGTTAAGGTCACACAGATAGAAGATGGCAGAATCAGGACTCAAACTCAATGTGTCTGATGCCAGATCCTGGCTCTTAATATGCTACTGTGTATTTTGTATGAGCAGGAGCTCTCAAGATTAATTGAGGGCAACTAGCACACAGGCAAACTACCTCACTAATAACAAGTGACACGTGCTTTGCTGGCCCAGGAAAGAGAGTGACTCTCTGTCAGAGTTTGTGGAGGTATACTTATTTTCTATTGCTTCATAGTAGATTATCACAAATGTAGCAGCTTAAATCCACACCATTTATTATCTTACAGTTCTACGGGTCAGAGGTCTAGGCAGATCTCAACTGTGTTCTCTGCTCAGGAGTAGGCACTCAAGGTGTTATATGGGCCACATTCTATCTGGAGGTCCTGGGGAAGAGCTTGTTTACCAGCTCATTCTGTCATTGGAAGAATACAGTTCCTTGCAGCTGTACGACTGAGGTCCGTGTCTTCTTGCTAACTTTTGGTTGAAAGTCACCATCAGTTCCTAGGGGCCACCCATCTTTTCCTACCATACAGACCCCACCATCATCACAGCCAGCAATGGAGAATCTCCTTTTTGTCCAATTCTTCTCACATTTCAAATATCTTTCCAGGAAGATTCTAATATATCTTCGAAGGGCTCGCCTGATTAGGTTAAGTTCACCAAGGATAACTGCCTTCTCTTGAGGGAGAATCTGGGACCTTAATGACATCTGCAAAATTTCTTTGCAGCAGCACCTGTGTTAGTACCTGATTGAATAACTGGGAGAAAGTGAATATACACCAAAAACCAGGAATCTTGGGGACCATCTTACTAGTCTGCCTCTGTGGGGCAATATATTCATTTTATGAGAATCAAATTTCTATTTACCTATTGAAATCTTTCTTCCCAGGCATCTCTCCTGTGCCTCATTATCCCTCCCTGACAGGAGCTACAATTTCTCTTAATGCTGGGTGGAGGGATCCAGATGTTGCAAATGCAAAGCTTTCCTGCCATCAGAGTCTGCCGTCAGACAATACCAGAAATCAGTGTTTCCTTCTGAGAGGTAGACAAGAGTACATAAAGAAGTGACCAGATTTTGATGGTCTGAAATACTGTTCACAAATATAATAAGTGAAGGAAATACGGGTGTCTAGCCTTGGGAAAAAAGGCTGAGTGGAGACATTAGGAGACATCTCTGAAAAATTGAAAGGCAAGAAAACCAATCACAGAAGCATTTGTTTCCTCACAAATGCATTCTGTTGGTGCATGGTCTTCTTCCCACAAGAAGGAACACGCCTCCTAAACTTATGAAAGCAAAATAGAAAGTGCTAAATTGTATTACATCACCTTTATTGCCATTCATCCTAGTATAGCTCTAGAACTGAGTTTTGCTCTTCACGAAGAATAGCTCTAATGGGTGTCTACTTCTCCCATTCACAAGAAGCAAGTCTTCGATCTATCATTAAAGAAAAATTCCAGGGATATTCCCAGCGTATTTATTTCATATGATATTTACAACATTAATAGGTAGCTCAAATAAAATGGAGCTTGTAAATGGTAATTAATAAATTTAATCACTTTGAACTATTACATCAGTTTCAGAGGCAAACCAGCTTCTGAGCTTCTCCATTATTTTCACTTATCCCTTTGGTCATTTTCACATTTATATAGCTTTGACGAGTTAAGTGATCTTGCATTTTTAACACAGCCACCGTGGCTTTTCTGACTCTTATTAAACTGAATGGTAGGCGACTTCAAAAATATACTGAAACCAACTTCATTTAGACGAGAATTGATTGTTTAAAAAATGCAGATCATACACAGCCACCTGGAAGAAAATACTCACACAGAAATTTCCAAGAAGAAACTAAAACCAATGAAAAATTGATGCTTTCCAATGAGGTAGGAATTCTAATTTAATGTGTATACCTAGATCTGATTCTCTTGGCATCACATGCTAATTTGGTTATATATTTGTTCAATCAATTTAGAGACACGGATAAATAAAAAGTCAGTTCATTTAATTTGTAAAAGATCAAAGCGATAGATCCTTAGCAGCAACATAACAATTCTACCTTGAACTAGTTACAGTTTCATGAATGAGCCAGATCCACATTTTTATTTGTTTGTTTTTAAGATACAAAGCAGAGAAGTAGAAATATCTTCTCTGGGAAGACTCAGGTAACACCCAAGAGACCCGTATCATGAGTTGGTATCTACCATGTTTGGAGAAAGAATAAATGTTTAACCTGAGTGTCTAGTTTTTCATTCCCCTATAAGCGTAGACTAAGATGAAGTTTCAAGTATAAGTTATTGATGTGGAAATTGAAGTAACCCCAGGTAGGTGAATGGAGATATAAGAAATAAAAGGAACATCAATTCAAGAAGAACATGATGCAACCACAAATAATGAACATTACATAACAAAAAGGACGTAAATTAAATTAGATAAATATCAATACAAACACAGTTATGAATGCACATGAGGAACAGCACGAGAAAATAAAAACACCTAATTAGTGAACAGGGATGTAGTGAAATGAGAGAATTGTTTCTTTGCACTAAATTTCTATTCACAACATACATAATAGTAAAAGTAAAAAAAACAAAAAACGGAAGAGAAAGCAACATTTCAGGGTGCACTGTCAGAGTAGCTTTGCCATTGACAACTGCAATGGTTAATATTGAGTGTCAATATAGTTGGAGTGAAGGATACAAAGTATTGTTCCTGGGTGTGTCTGTGAGGGTGTTGCCAATATATATTAACATTTGAGTCAGTGGACTGGGAGAGACAGACCCACCCTCAATCTGAGGGGGTACCATCTAATCAGCTGCCAGCACAGCTAGGATAAAAGCAGGCACAGGAACCTGGAAGGACCAGACTGGCTGAGTCCTCAGGCCTACATCTTTCTCCCATGCTGGATGCTTCCTGCCCTCAAACATTGGACTCCAAGTTCTTCAGCTTTTGGACTATTTGACCTACACCAACCAATGATTTGCCAGGGACTCATGGATCTTCGACCACAGACTGACGGCTGCACTGCTGGCTTCCCTACTTTTGAGGTTTGGGGACTCGGACTGGCTTCCTTGCTCCTCAGCTTGCAGACGGCCTATTGTGGGACTTTATCTTGTGATCATGTGAGTCAATACTCCTTAATAACGTCCCCTTTATATATACATCTATCTTATTAATTCTGCCCCTCTAGACAACACTAATACAACAATTAACTGCAGGTCAATTCCATTTGGTAAACTCTGGAAGCTTGTATAGAGCACACATCTCTATTCTATTTGAGGGTCAAGGAAACTGTGATATTTATAGATTAACTCACATTCAAGTATGGTTGAGGGCTGCCCCATGAGGTGTGAAGTGTTAACCTCCCATATGTTCCAGAAGCCGAAAGAAACACTCTGGAAAAAAAAATGCAAGGGTTTGAATTTGGAGATCAGGCAGGTGTTCTTGCTGAAGTGGTAAGGGAACTGTAATATAGCCAGGGTACCAAAAGCACAGCCAGAGAGTGAGTTCAACACAACATCTTTTTAGAGTGAAAATAATTATGTGCTTGGAAAATATGTCCAGGGTATTAACAGGAGACTTACCTAAGAACTCAGACTCAAAACAGGAAAGGAGAGAATTGTAACTGAAACCAGAATGGAGAACTGAAGGCTTTTGCCTATGGTCATCTGAATGTCTTTCTGAACATCTGAGCAAGTATAGCTGACATAGCAAAATAACAAAAGAAAAGGTAAATGGAACCATTTCACGCTTCAGTTTGATTCCCCTCTAATCAGGTCATTCCACATTCCTGGAATGTAAGACTTCCCAGTATCTGCTTTTGAATGACATACCCAAGAGTAAACTTTTTACCATCACTTTCCCAGATCTCATGCACACTCTGAATTTTTTTCTCTCTCCATGATCAAAACACACTCCACTTGCTCTTCTTACTGTCACAGAGTATTGTGGTTGCATGTCTATCTCTTTGTATCCTGGGACAGTGTGTGAGGTCCACAGTGGCTGGAATGTTTACATGCATCCTTCAGCCACACATTGCCTAGTACTCAGGCACTATGTGTCAGAATCTCCTTTGCTTTCCAGTGGGGCTAGAATACAGACAAGCTGAGCAACAGGTCTGCCAATGGCCCTCAGCCAAAGAATAGGGGTGAGTCCCACCTCATCTGAGGCCAGGGCATATTGAATGAATGGACAAATATTAAGCATATACCTATAAAACTCCAAAGGTAGAGCCATAGCCAGATGCTCAGATGAGGGTGATGTATTTTTCTATTCATTGAGCAAATATTATTGCAAGCCTTCTCTGATCTCATCAAGCACTGGCAATCTAGAGTGTAAAAAAAATCTTGAGGGAGACATTCAAATATAAAGTAAAATTTAAAAAAAGTAATAGAGACCACAATAAGAGTGAGTACCTGTAGAACAGAGTACATTACAAGCATCATAGGAGCTCTGAGTCTCTATGCACTTAGTGGCTGCTTCCACATTCTAGTCGAATGCAGTGAGCACTGTGCAGCTCTTCCTTGAGAAAGGTGAACCCCCACCCTAAACTTAAACATGTGCATAAGTATTGAGTATCAGAAACCTAATATTAGCCAAATATGGCCAAATATTCAAGTATAACTAATTATGTAACTAAATAAATATGGCTAAATATTCAAGTGCAACTAAACGTAACTAAATTATGCAAGCAAAAAAAAAATCAAAAAGTTTTTCCCCTATTCCTTCACTTCTCTACATACCCCCACCCTGCAACGAATTCTTTATCCTTTGTGTTTAGAGCTAGGTTCTGACATTATCATCTCAAAGATGGATAGCCTAACAAAATCCCAGTCTTTGAATAATGATTTTCTTTTGGAATAATTCTACTACTTATGTATTTTTCTGATCTATAACGTTTTATGTACCTGTGAGGAGATTCTAATTTCCCTGAAAAGTGAAATCTGGAAATCTGGATGGTCTGAGGTCTTTTTTTTTTTTTTTTGTTTGATTTTTTTTTTTTTTTCCCGAGACAGAGTCTCACTCTGTCACCCAGGCTGGAGTGCAGTGGTGTGATCATAGCTCACTGCAGTCTTGAACTCCTGGGCTCAAGCAATCCTACTCCAGCCTCCTGAGTAGCTGGGACTACAGGTGGCACAACTATGTGTGGATAATATATTTTTTTAATTATTATTTTTATTTTTTGCAGAGACAGTGTCTCACTATGTTTACCAGGCTGGTCTCAAACTCTTGGTTTCAAGGGATCCTCCTGCCTCAGCTTCCCAAAGTGCTGGGGATTATAGAAGCTCGTCCATCCTGTGGTCCTTTATCGACTTGGAATTGGCTCAGCTACAAGTGCTAAAGAAGCCAAAATAAACTGCTTTAAATGAGCTAATGTGCATCTCATGTTAAGCAGTTAAGGCTAACAGGATGGCTTCCTATTGTCAGGACTCACATTCCTTCTATCTTGTGGTCCCACCATCAGTTACTACCACTTTTCAGGCTGTTTCAAGTCCAACATGGCTGCTGGAGCACCAGCCACTAAGACCACATTTTAGTCAACATGAAGGTGAAAAGGACCAAGAACAGGTTTTCTAACTTTTATGCTACTTGCAAAAGATGTTTTTGCCACAACCACATACATCTCATTGGCAAAAACTTAGTCACAGAGTCAAATCTATCTGAAAAAAGGCTGAGAAATCTAGTCTATTTTTGTGGGTTACCATGTTCCCAGCTAAAATCTGTGTGTTCTATCCCTCAGGTAGAAGGAAACAATGGAGATTGTGAAAGCTTGCAGTCTTGATGCCATTTACATAACACAGAAGCACAATTTCCAGTTAAAAGATAACAGAGTAAAAGCATGTTACTCTACTGTTCTGTCTTGAACCAAATAGAGGAAGGAGGAATGCCAAATAACTCAGCATGCAACATGCCATAAAAAGAAAACAAATCACCAAGTAATAAATGGGTAAATGATGTAAACAGATACCTCAGCAAGGGAGGCATATGGAAGGCAAAAAAGTACATGAAAATATGTCCAACATATTTCCCTTAGTCATAAGGGAAGTGCCAACTAAAACCACACTGAGATACCACTAGAATGTATTAGAATGGCAAAACAGAACAAAAAGAAATAGAAACCTGACAGTACCTGGTGATGGCAATGATAAAGATCAATTAGAACTCTCACACATCGCTGATGCAAACGCAAAATGGAACTCCTTTGGAAGCTAGTTTGGCAGTTTCTTCTGATGTTAAACATACACTTTTCACGTAACCCAGTAATTACACTCCCAAATGGAATTTAAACAAAGTAAAAACTTAAATTTATATAAAAACTTGAACATGAATGTTTATAGAAGATTTATTCACAATCATCAAAAGCTCGACAAATTCAATGTCTCGCTTCTTGACAATGGATTAAAAAACTGTGGTATACACATGCAGTGAAATAAATGAAAGCGAATTACTGATATACATACAACTAAAAATAAATATCAAATTCACTGTGCTAGATTAAAGAAGCAGGCTTCAAAATGCTAGATAGTATATGGTTTGTGTTATATGACATTGTGAAAATGGTAAAACCATCGTAACAGAGACTAGATCAGTTATTGACAGCAGCTCTACATTGGGAGGGTTTAACAAGAAGGGAGGAATAAGCATTGGGTGTGTGTGTGTGTGTATGTGTGTGTGTGTATGTGTGTGATTGAACTGTTCCATATCTTGATTTTGGTGGTGATTACATTCCCACATGTGCTTGACACAACTCAGAACTGTAAACTACACTGGCTAAATCGTACTCTATGTGCATTATACATTAAGTTAAAATGTAAAGTAAAATAAAAGTGAGTCATCTTAGACACAAATCTTAGAGTAAAGGTGTCACAATAAAACCCAAAATCTCTTAACTGGTTAAGCGCATCATGCCAAAAATTTAGATTAAGAATATACTGACCCACTAAATTTTTATATTAAATAAAAACTATTCAGTGCAATAGTCATATTAAGAATATAGTTTTCTTCCTGTGTCCATGTGTTCTCATTGTCCAATTCCCACCTATGTGTGAGAAAATGCGGTATTTGGTTTTTTCTCCTTGCGATAGTTTGCTGAGAATGATGGTTTCCAGCTTTATCCACGTCCCTACAAAGGACATGAACTCATCATTTTTTATGGCTGCATAGTATTCCATGGTGTATATGTGCCACATTTTCTTAATCCAGTCTATCATTGTTGTGGGGTCGGGGGAAGGGTGAGGGATAGCATTTGGAGATATACCTAATGTTAAATGACGAGTTTCTGGGTTCAGCACACCAACATGGCACATGTTTACATATGTAACTAACCTGCATGTTGTGCACATGTATCCTAAAACTTAAAGTATAATAATAAAAAAAAAAAAGAATATAGTTTTCTTACGGAAACCATGGCATCAGTTGGTTAGGGGGTGGGAGGGAGTAGGAGGAGGAGAAGGAGAGAGAGAACACACTGGTGACAGATAAATCACTGAAATATAGCACAGCAAGAAATTTTTTCTTCAACAGAGAAATCCAGTAATGGTTACTGGAACATGGAACTTACTGGAATCAATCAAACACATAATAATCCCACTGATTTTTTAAAGAAACTTGAACTGTTAAAACTCATCCACCCTACCCTAAAAATTATTTTCAAAAAATTCTTAAGAGTCAACAATTCTTTGAGTGGGAAGTAAACAGTAAAAAATTAGTACAGTTCAAGGAGGATATATTCCCTTACACTCTCTTAGAATGTAGTAAAGAAGGATAGTGGGATGCAAAGACACACCAATAAGATGGAGTTAAGGAGCATGGAGTCCCATAGGTAAAGATCTTTCTAAAGGGTATAATCATAATATAATTAAGCAATAAGTTCATACCTAGGTAAAGGGAGCATGCAGTGTCTGACCAGTGGTATGTAAGAATTGCTAAGGACCAGTGAGAAGCTGTTCTCTCATTTTTATCTTTCTAAATGGGAGTATTTACCATAGTTACCCATGATGGTTAATTTATGTGTCAACTTGCCTGGGCTAAGGGATACCCAGATAGCTGACAAAACATTTCTGGTTGTTACTGTGATGCTATTTCTGGAAGAGATTAGCATTTAAATCAATA
Source organism: Homo sapiens (assembly GCF_000001405.40). Lineage (NCBI taxonomy): Eukaryota > Metazoa > Chordata > Mammalia > Primates > Hominidae > Homo > Homo sapiens. The sequence continues at coordinate 11,933,688 of NC_000004.12, forward strand.
CATTGATTAAGAAGATTGCCCTCACCAGTGAGGGTGGCCATCGTAAAATTCACTGAGGTCCTAAATAGAACAAATAGGTGGAGGAGGGGAAAACTGGTTTCCTGTTTGACCTCTGATACTCATTTTCTCTTGCTCTCAGACATTGGTGATCCTTGTTCTTGGGCAGTCAGGCTCATACCTGCCATCTACCACCTGAGGTAATCCCCACCAGCTTTCTGGGTTCCTCAGTTGGTAGGTGGCAGATCATATAACTTCTCTGCCTCAGTAATCATGTGGGCCAATTCCTCTCTCTCCTTCTCTCTCTTTCTCTCTCTCTCTCTCTCACACACACACACACACACACACACACATATGAACCTGACTTATGATGGTTCAACTTATAATTTTTCAACTTCATGAAGATATGAAAGCAATACCCATTCAATAGAAACTATACTTGAGCACTCATACAATAATTCTGTTCTTCACTTTTAGTATAATAGTCAATAGATTACATGAAGCATTAAATATTTTATTATATGTTAAACTTTGTGTTAGATGATTTTGCCCCACTGAAGGCTAATGTAAGTGTTCTGAGAATGTTTAGAAAAGGTTAACCTGAATAATGTTTAGTAGATTAGGTGTATTAAATGCATTTTGATTTATGATATTTTCAACTTACAATGAGTTATTAAGACTGAAACCAATTGGAAATAGACGAGTACCTATCCGTCTATCTATGTATCTATCTATCTATCTATCTATCTATCTATCTATCTATCTATCATCTATCTATCTATCTATCTATCTATCTATCTATCTATCTATCTATCTATCATCTATCTGATCTCTTATTGGTTCTATTTCTCTGGAGAACCATAACCAACATATTATTCTTTCTCTGTTCTTTATTAGATGTCTGTAAGTGACAATTAGGCTTCTTGTTCATAGCTGTCTAGACCGAGTGAAAGAAGTATGGACTTACAGTGAGTATTGTGCAGTATCTGGAGATTCCAGACTTTGAGCATAATGAGCTTCCTGGCTCAATCTTGGAACCTGAATTGCCTACCTTGGGAAAGCCATGACTATGTTCTACATGTTAGAAGAAGGGAGCAAAGGACTGTTTGATCAGGAGAGCAATCTTGGGCAGAGATATAATCAGAAAGACACATTCTATATACTTACCCATATTTTCTAACCTCTTCACAGTTAGGATCATGTGACTACATGTTATCAGTGGACTGTAAACAGTAGTGAGAATATAATTTTTTTGTTAAAAGTGTATAAGAGCTGTCTGCTTAATCATATGGCTATTTCTTCCTCTGTTGTGGAGACCTAGATGTTCTTGCATTCCAGTTGATGAAACTGCAAGGTAATGGAACATATATCAGCTTGGTTCCTAAGTGAATGGAGCAGAATTATCCCCCACCAATATCGACATGTAATGTAATATATATAACCTTGTTTTTATAGGCCAACGAAGCAATATATAGCTATTCTAAATAAAACATCTTGCAATCCCAAATATTATTATGTCTCAAAGTGGCATAATATTAGGAAATGAATTACAGTTTTTCTGAAAATACAGCTAGACGGAAGATGTATTCTGGCTGGAGAGGCATATTTTATTCAAAAGTTGTCTTGTATGCAGGACATCTCTGCTTTAAGGTAATTGAGTTGATTACCTCCTCATGGTTTTGGGGTTGCAATCATGACCTTGTACTTTGAAAACATTCTGACTGCTGTACTCCACTAGGATATTTCTGTTTACTGAACATCTTTGGATTTTCTTTCCTAGCACTGATTTTGTCACTTAACCATGTAACATCCTCTAAAGTTCAACTATATTCTGAAAATAAGCATGGTTTATCTTTGTTCTACTGCAATTATAAACTCTTTGAAAAGAGGAATCTTTTTATGACATAGTAGTTTATTTCAATTTAAACAGATGGAATTAAAGTGGAAATAATTATAAAGAAGATGGTGCTGTGTTGCTTTACAAAAATGAAATAAAAAGTGGCTCTTCAAGAATATATTCAACAACAATTTACTGGACACAAAACTTATATTATTCTTTGGGTGCAGGGACTGCTGTTCAATCTGCCCAGAGATTGTGAGCTCTTTCCTAAGTACATCTGGCTTTAGCTGTTAGATTTGAGATATATTTGCACCAATCAGTTTTCTGAAAAGAAAAACAAAGTCTTTTAGAAATCCCAGTGCTCACCATGTCAGACCTTTGACTTGATTTAATGTATTCAAGAATACAAAATTATCATCTGCTGTGTAAATATGCTAAGAATCCATGAGATTTTGTGACTCATAATTTGAGTTGATTAATCTCATGAGCTCTGAGTAAACAGACAGACTTTCCACTGAGAATATAAATTCATTTGGTAAGAATATAAATTAAAAAGACAACCAGTCAAAGGAGCCATGTTTACTTACAAAACCCAGTAGGTAGATAAAATAAACTATCATTAAATGTGCATTCATTATGTGTCAAAACTGTACTCACATCATAAAAAACAATCATTTATTTGTCAAAAAATCCTGCATAGTAAGTGCTATTGTTACATTTGAATCAACTTAACTAAGAGAAATGTGCCTACAATACAGTAGACTCTATTGAAGTTTGGACCATTATAGTCATGTGAGCCAATTCCTTCAAATCTATGTGTATATATGTTTATTCACTCTTTTGTTTCTGTTTCTCTAAAGAACCATGACTAATACAGATTTTTGTATTGAGAAGTGGGATACTGCTATAACAAATACCTAAAAATATGAAAGGGGCTTTGTAACTTTTTAATGGGAAGAAGGTGAAAGAGTTTTAAGATGTATGCTAGAAAAACATCTAGATTGTCTGGAAGAAATTGTGAAAAGGAATATGAACGTCAAAGGCGATTCTATTGAAATCTCAGATGGAAATGAAGAAAATGTATCAAAAGCTAGACACAAAGTGATTCTTGTTATAAGGTGACAAACAACTTGGCCAAATTGTATTCTAGTGTATTGTAGACAGTAGACATTATGACTGTTTGCCCATTTGCATTTCTATAAAGGAACCTAAGCCTGGGTAATTTGTAAAGAAAAGAGGTTTATTATCGGTCATGGTTCTGCAGGCTGTGCAGGAAACATGGCTCCAGCATATGCTCCTGGTGAGGTCTCAAAAAGCTTCCAATCATGGTGGAAGACAAGAGGGAGCAAGCATGTCACATGGTGAGAGAGGGAGCAAGGGTGGGGGAAATATCAGGCTTTTTTGAACAACCAGATCTTGCATGAACTAACAGTGAGAACTCACTTATTACCATGGGCAGGACCATGGTAATAAGGGTGATTGAGCCCCATGACTCAAATACCCTTCAGCAGACCCCACTTCTGACATTAAGGATTATATTTCAACATGAGATTTGGAACCACAATCAAACCACATCAGTGACAAACTTGGATATTTAGGTGAGGAGATTTCTAAGCAAAATGCTGAAGGCATGACTTGGTTTCTCTTTGCTGCTTATAGTAAAATGCAGGAGGAGTGAGATAAATTGAAAGTAAATCATTAAGAAGAAAAGAACCAAAATTTGGACATTTGGAAAACTCTCTCATCCCATACTTTTAAAAATGAACAAGTATGTTTGGGAGAGAATACCAAGGGTGTGGCTGGACAATTGCTCCATGAAACAATGACCGGTGTCACTCACAGGTCTAATTAGCCATTTCAGCAGAAGTCAAGGCTATAAATGAAGATAGCTTTACCAGAAGAAACACTGCTGGCCTGGGCTAATGGGAAAACAGATGGTAAAAATAAAGTAAGGATATAGGAGTTCTGGGATTCTATAGGATAAGACAATAGAGGTACTCAGCTGCAAAAAATAAATAAATAAATAAATAAATAAATAAAGTTATTCTTTAAGGAAATGGAAGATCATATGAAAATTCTACTTGTTTTGTTTTTTTTAAAAAATCTCCATACTCTTTTCCAAAATGGCTGCACTAATTTACATTTCTACAAACAGTGTCCAGGGTTTTCTTTTCTCCACATCCTCACCCACACTTGTTATCACTCCTCTTTTTGATAATAGTCATTCTAACAGGTGTGAAGTGATATCTTACTATGGTTTTAATTTACATTTCCCTGATAATTTAAAATGTTGAGCATTGTTTTAAATACCATATCTATTCATATCTCTTATTTTTTAATCAACAGAAAAAATTATATATGTTAATAATATACAACATGATATTTTGAAGTATATACACACTGTAGAATGGTGATTATCAGAGGCTAGGGTGGTTGGGGAGTGGAGTTTGGGAGATGTTGGTCATATATCTTCTTTTGAGAAGTTTCTACTCAGATCCTTTGCCAACTCTTAAATTGCATTATTTATTTTTTTGCTATTAAGTTTCCTGAGTTTCTCACATATTTTGGATATTAGCCTCATATCAAGGGATGGTCTGCCAATTTGTGGGTTGTGTCTTCATTCTGTTGTTTTCTTTTAGTGCAGAAGCTTTTTAACTTTCTGCAATCCCATTTGTTTATTTTTGCTTTTTTGGCTTGTGCTTTTAGAGACCTATCCAAGAAATAGCACATAATACTGTACAGTCTTACTTGTATGTGGAATCTAAAAAATATCAGTCTCAGAAACAGAAATTACCAGAGACCAAAGAGGGGCAATGGAGATGTTGATCAATGGGAAACAAGTTTCAGTTAGACTACAGGAATATGTTTTTTGTGATCTATTGCACTGCATGATGGTCACAGTTAATAATAATGCACTGTATATTTCAAAATTGTGGAAAAATAGATTTCTAGAGTTATCACTAAAAAATAATAAATCGGTGATGTAATATATATGTTAATTAGCTTTATCAAATCTTTCTATAACATATACATAGACCAAAACATCACATTATGCACTGCAAATATACACAATTATTTGCCAATTAATGAATGATCCCAAAGGTGGAGCTGTCTTTGCCTGAATCAGAGGGTGGGCCCATCTCAGTTTCTGCAGGCCAGGCTGCTGACACCTTGGGATAGAGTTTCTACCCAGGGTTATAGGGACAGGACTGTCACACAGGGTGAAGGGGGCAACAATGCCACACCTGTGAACCTGGAAGGTGAGGCTGCCTTCCTGATGCACCCAGAGGACAGAGCTACTAAGCCAAAAATCATTACTCTCAAGCATTAAAATCGAATGGATCTGCCCTGATGGGTTTTGGACTGGCTTGAAAATCATGATTCCCTTTATGACTTTTCCCTTTATAAATGGAAATGCTTCTCCTATGCCAGTCCAACCGTTGTCTTTTGGAAACAGACAACTAGACTGATTTCATAGGTTTACAGATGGAAACTTTGCCTCAGTATGAATAGCATCTCATCCACACTTTAGGTAATATTAATAGAGATTTTGGACTTAAGATTATTGCAATGGGTTAAGACTCTTGGACTGTTGGGATGAGGTTGAATGTATTATGCTTGTGAGAGGAACAGAAATATAGAGGTCTAGAGGGTGAAATGTAATGGCATAAATTGTGTTTCCCACAAAGGTAAATGTTGAAGTCCCAACCCCCAGTATCACAGAATGTAACTATATTTGAAGATAAGGTCTTTCAGGTGGTGATTATTAAGGTGGTACACTAATCCAAAAGGCCTGATGTCCTTATAAGAAAAGGGAGAGATATTAGAGATGCATGCATGCAGAGTAAAGGCCCTGTGAAGACACAGCAGGATGACAGCTTTCCTCAAGTCCAAGAGAATGACCTCGAGAGAAACCAAATTTGCCAAAACCTTGATCTTGGGTTTCTAGCCTTCAGAATTGTAATAAATTAATTTACGTTGTTTAAGATTCCATTGCAGCCCTGGCAAAACTAACACAATGCTGCTATTGTTATATTCAATAAATTTAATGAAGGGAAATGCTGCTAATACAATGTTGCTATTGTTGTTTTCAATAAATTTAATGAAGGGAAATGTGTGTAAAACATAATGTACCCATTAGAAGTACATGAGTCTATGAGTGTTTACAAACATATACATACATGAAACCTCCAGTACAATCAGATAGAAAACATTTCTGTCACCCAAAAATGTTTCTTTTTGCCTATTTGCAGTCAATCCCCTCCCCAAAGCAGGCCTCACACAACCATTGATCTGCTTTCTGTGACTAGAGATTGTTTTTATCTGTTCTACAATTTAATATCAATGGAATAATATACATTATTTAGTGTCTGGTTTCTTTCAGCTGGCAAGTAGTTGCGTAGATTTTCCAATGATTCTTATTGTGCCAACTGTTTGCTCTTTGCTTTTTGCCTCCTGTCCATCTGTCACATTCTACTATTAAAGATTTGTTTTATCTCCAGTTGGAGGCTGATATAGTTTGACTCTGTGTCCTCACCTAAATCTCATGTCAAATTGTAATCCCAGTGCTGAAGGAGGGGCCTGGTGTGAGGTGATTATATCATGGAGGCCGTTTCTAATGGTTTAGTACCATCCCCCTACTGGTGCCTCCTGATAGAGTTCTTCTGAGATCTAATTCTTGTAAAGTGTGTGGCACCTTCCCTTTCTCGCTCTTTCCGGCTGGGCATGTGAAGATATGCTTACTTCTCCTTTGCCTTCTGCCATGATTGTAAGTTTCCTGAGGCCCCCCAAGAAGCAGAATCCTGTACATTCTGTAGAACTGTGAGCCAATTAAAGCTCTTTTCTTCACAAATTACCCAGTCTCAGGTCTATCTTTATAGTAGTGTGAGAAGGGACTAATACAGAGCCCTTTGTGAATAAAGGGCTATCAGCATTCATGTACATGTTTTTGTATGGCTATCTATTTTCATTTTTCTTACATAACGTGTATATGTCCAATTTTTAGGTTTTATGGTATACCTATGTTTAGTTTTATAAGACACTGTTATACTGTTTTCCAAAGTGGATGTACCATTTTAGATTTTCATCAGTAAAATATGTTGATTGTTAACAATGTTCCACAGCCCAAACAAACACGTGGTATTCTAAGTCTTTTATATTCTAGCCATTCTAGCAGGTTTTCATGATATCCCATTGTGATTTAAATTTGTATTTCCTCAGTGAATAATGATGTTAAATATTCTGCTATGTGCTTACCATATTCTCATATTCTTCTTTAGTGAACTGACTATTCAAGTCTTTTGCCCATTTTAAAAGCTGGCTTGCTTGATTTTTTCCTACTGAGTTGCATGAGTTATTTACATATTCTAATGTAAGTTCTTTTTCAGATAAATTTAATAATGTGTTCTCCAATTGTGTGACTTGACTTTTCATTTTTAAAATTGGGATTTGTAAAGGAAGTTTTAAATTTTGCTGAAGACTATATATTTTTTGTTGTTGTTTTTACATTTATAATGTCTTTATTGAAATAACATTGTCATACAATAAAGTAAAAATATGTAAACAATTATTTGATAAGTTTTGGTACATGTATACACCTATAAAACCACTATTACATGTAGATAATGGACAAATCCATCACAGCCAAAAGTTTTCTTCTGCATATTGTCACATCTCTGCACATCCCCTTCCCCACTGCTAATCCTCTTCCCCAGGCAATCAGTAACCTGCTTCTGTCAGTTTAGATTAGTTTGCATTTTATGGAATTTTACATAAACAAAATCCCAAAATACGTACTCTTTTGGTGTGGCTTTTTTCACTTGAGAAATAAAAATAAAATCTTAAACCTCCCAATCAACTGAACGAATCCTAATCTCCATCTTGGCCAAGGGGAACCCAGAGAAACTTTAAAAACTGAGTTCCTGGCCATGACAGAATGGGAGGTTGGATACACCTCAGTATAACTCCTCTTTATTAATCTTTAACCCAAGTGCTTTCCTAAGGAGTAAACAGAAACCAGCTGTAAAAAACAAAAAATGTAAAGCACATTCCTTTGTCTCCTTAGGCCAATCATCTGAAGCCAGCAGCAGATGTGACAGCTCACCAGATTTACTGTGCATCTCTTCCTAAAAACTGACCATGATCACCAGACTAGTTTGGAGAGGACGCACAGAGAGGATTTTTGCATCCTTGGCATCACCTTTTGATGTCAGTGGGTTGAAAACTCTGCTCTTAGATCATGCTCACGCTGCCATTTTTAAATCATTTGACTCATGAAGAGGCACAAAGCTCAATTGCACATGTGCACATTTCTCCTTTTATAATTATGACTCCGCTTATAGATTATTAAATATGTATATTCAGCCACCCTATTCACCATAAATTCCGGTCTTACTCTTCCCTCACTCGAAGTGCTTGTTTCCAGATTCTGTCAGAGACTGTGCCTCCCTAGCCTGTCCGAATGGCCACTTTGCAGGGTACAACCCTTTAGAAAAAACAAAGTTCTCCTTTGCAAATTTTTTAACCTTGTGACTCTTCAGTCGACATACTTAATATAATTATTTTGAGAGATCCAAAATATAATTATGTATATCAATAATGTATTCTTTTTATTGAAGAGTAGTATTCCATTATATGGAAATACAATTTGTTTACTCACTTACATGTTGATAGACTGCATTGCTTCCAGTTTTTGACTATCGAAAATAAAAATAAAGCCACTACAAGTATTTATGCAGAAGGCTTTGTTTGAAAAAAATACCTTCAGTTTTGAAATACCTAGGATTGCAATATCTGTGTCCTATGGCAGGTATATTTTTAGCTTTTAGTTAAATGGCGACTGTTTGCAAAGGTAGTTGTGCCACTTTATATTCCTACCAGCAATTTAATGAGCATTTCATTTGAATCACATCTTCACCAAAATTTGGCATGGTTGGATTTTTTTAATTTTAGGTATACATACATATATATATATAATTATATTATCGCGGTTTTAATTTGGGTTTCCTTAATAACTAATTATAATAGGTATCTGTTTATGTGCCTATTTTCTGTATGTATATATTATTTGGAGAAATGTCTATTTAGACATTTGTCCATTTGTTTATTAGTTTCTTTTATTTCTTATTGACCTTTGAGATTTATTTGTACATCCTGAACTCAAATTATTTTACAAATATGTGATTTGCTAGCCATTTATATTAGCCTGTGACTTGTTTTTTTATTCTTTTACAGTGTCTTTTGAAAAGTAAAATCCTTACTTTTGATGAAGTCCAATTTATTGACTTTTTAATGTTAATATGTTGTGATGTTTTGTCTAAAAATCTTTGCCTAACCATTACTGTGTCATCTCCATTACTGCTTTACTTTTATCTATAAGTTTATAGCTTTAGGTTTTTCATTTCAGTCTGTAATCCAATTTGCATTCATTTTGGAAATGTGAGAAGTAAAGCTCTAATTTTCTTTTTTTTCCCATAAGAATATTCAAATTTTCTAGTACTGAGTATTAAAATTACTATGTTTCTTCATTGAATTATCACTTTGTCAGAAATTAACAGATTTTAAATTTGTAGCTCTTGTTCTGGGTTTTCTATTTGTTTTACTAGTTTATTTATAGTAATAGCACGCTGTCTTGCTTAATGTAGTTTTATAATACTCTTGAAACAAGATAGTAAAAATTCTCAAACAATATATTTTTATATCTCAAAGTTGTCTTATTCCAGTTTCTTGCATTTTTATATGAATTTTGGAATTAGCTTTTTAATTTCTGCAAAATGCTCTACAGAAATTTTGATAAACATTGCCTTGAAACTATACATTGATCTATGGAGCATTGACATTTTAAAATATTGAATTGTCTGAGCCATGAAATCAGTAATCTTTTTATTTATTTAAATTTTTTAAATTTCACTCACCAATGTTTCAGATTATACTTTGCCAAATTTATCTATGAATATTTAATTTTTCATACTATGGTCAATTACATTGTTCTAATTTCAATTTCTGATTGTTACTAGTGTATAGAAATATAGTTGAGTTTACATATTGATCTTGTATTCTACAACTTTGATAATTCACCTACTATTTTAGTAGCTATCAAAAATAAATTTAATAAAATTTCCTTCATAATCATGCCATCTATGAAACAAATAAACACATACCCAAGGACAGTTGTATTGTTTTCCAATGTAGATGCCCATTATGTTATTGATATTATTATTTGACTTGTTACAATGAGTAGCATTTTTAGTACTAGTCATTGTAAAAGAAATGAGTGGTATATGTTTACCTTGTTCATGATCTTTAAGGGAAAGCATTCAGTCTTTCATCATTAATAATAATGTTAGCTGTGTGTTTTTCAGAGGTCTTCAAACAATTTCAGAAAGTTCTCTTCTATTCTTAGATTGCTGAGTATTAACTTCGTGAATATAAATTGAACTTATCATAAGATTGTTCTCTATGAAATTATCATGTAATTAGCTTCTTTTTATTCCATTAAAGTGTTGAACTACACTGATTTGTTTTTGAATGTTATAATCTTATATTCCTGGCATAATACCCACTTAGTTATGGTGCATTATCCTTTTTATATATTTCTAGATAATATAAACTAGTCTTTTGCTGAGGATTTTTTTATATAAGTGTACTAAGAATATTGGATGGTAATGTGATTTTTTTCTTGTAATATTTTTGTTAGTTTTGGTATTAGAATAATGTTGGTCTCATTAAATGCATTGGAAAGTGTTTCCTATTCTTCTAGTTAAAAAAGTGTACTATTGGTATTCCTACCTTAAATGTTTGAGATTATTCACTGACAAGGCCATCTAGCTTTGGATGTTTTTATTTTAAAATGGCTTTCAATTTTGGGTTCAATTTCTATTTTAGACATAGAGCTATTACAAATTTTTAATCTTTTCAGTTTTTATATTGATGTCTCCAAAACTCTTGCATATTTTAAATTACATTGATGAAATTTTTGTCATAGTATATTGATAGTATTATTCACTATTATGCTCCTAAGACCCTATAGCGATGTCCTCTTTTTAATTCCTTGGAAATACACACAGAATGAGTCTCTGCACTAACTGGGTCCACTGTGAGTAAGACTTGAGATGAAACTTGACCTATTACCTGAAGACCATGAACTCCAATTTCCCCAATTTTTATTGGTAGGACATTAAGGTGTTTTGGATTCCCAGGCACTGACATCTTAAAGCCAGTTTCTTACGCTCCTCAACCAAATCTGTGTATTTTCTTTTCCAAATGCATTATCACTCTAGCAAATGACCATAAATCTCTTTTGAGGAGATTTGGAGGATGATAGGAAGCATTTACTTCTCACAATGGTGTAAGGTCATTTCCTGAAGGTGACTTGTTCTCCCTGTCATTCAAGAATTTTTTGTGTGTTTGTTTGTGAATTTACTGACATCTAGCTGAGTGAGATGCTGCAACTTCCTACCATGGAAGTTGATGCAGGTTTTTCTATAATATAGATCATGACACAATCTAGTAGGCACTCCAGACTGGCTTGAAGAAGATGTGTCCATGGCTCACAAGTTTAGTGAGTTGTCATCCAAATAGGATTTGCTGTATATCTGCCCTCTGGAGTGAGGGTGAGCTTGCCAAAGGGAAGCCTTGCTGCTGCTGGTCACTGGCCGCTGGTAAAAACAAGTGCTCTCTCTGTGGAAGTCCAACAGGATGAGCATGCTGGAAGCAGGAAGAGAAATGCTTTTGTATTCCAGTGAAGCTGAAGCAATTTCTATTGATTAAGCCTAATATCAGGCCATCTGGTAAAGTACAAATGCCTTAAAAGATTTTCCCTATTACACACAAGGAAGAGAGAATTTGGAACTTAGAGTCCATTAGTTGGTTATTACCCAATTGTCATATATTTTACTTGTCCATATGTTCTGCCATTCCAATATGCATCACTATTTTTTCTTATTTAAATAGTCAATTATATTTAAAATATTTTAAACAGGAAATACTTTTATTTACCTATTTACTATCTCTTATGCTTTGCATCTCTTTGTGTAAATTAAAATTTCCACTGGAAGCAATTTCTCTCCTCTCCTCTTGATTAACTTCCTTAACCTTTTCTCATAGCGCAGGCCTGTGAGCAACAGATTGTGCCAGATTGTCTTTGTCTAAAAAAATTTTTTTACCTTCATTTTTATTTCATATTTTTGATAAAGCTAGTATTTGAGGTACAAAACATTTTTTCCAGCATAAATATGATGTCTTTTGTCTTCTGGCTTGCACTGATTGCTGGAGTATTAGAGTTCTCCAGAGAAACAAACAATAGGGTGTGTGTGTGTGTGTGTGTGTGTGTGCGCGCAATTAAGGAGGTTGGAACGTTCAAATCTACAGTGCTGTGTGGGGCCATAGAGTAGAGACTCAAGAGAGCCAATGATGCAGATGAAGTCTGAAGGTAAGCTGCTGAGAATTCCCCCTTGGTAAAGGAGGCCAGTCTTTTTGTTCTAGTCAAGTCTTCAACTGATTTTATGAGCCCTACCCACATTATGAGGGCAATCTACTTAACACAAGGTTCACTGATTTAAATGTCAGCCTCATCCAAAACACTGTCCACACAGACACATAAAATTATCTATTGCAGATCATTCTTATTTTTGTTTCCTTTTATATACAATGTCTTTTCACTTTTAATGTTAACATTTTCTTTGTATCACTAGTGTTCAGCCTATTTAATTATGATATGCCTCAATGTATTGTTCTGTATGCTTATTTTGGTTGAAAGTTCATTCATGATCTGATCAACTAATTATATAATATATAATTATATATGCTATATATAATTATATATTATATATGCTATATGCAAAACACATTTATAAGATCTGTTTTGAAGTCATTTTCCATTAACATCATTTTATCTATCGTTTTTGACTCTGCTTTTATTGATTGATTATAGGCCCCATTTTTTCTTGTTTCTTTGCATACTTAATAATTTCTGATTGGATATGAAACACTGTGAATTATATGTTTTCCAACATCTGAAATTCATCTTCTTTAAAAGGATACAGAACATTGCTTTGGATGACACTGACATTTTATTGATAAGGCTTAACCTTTGGACTCTTGTTGTGGCAGCTCTAAGTTGCTTCTACCCCAGGGTTTGTTTAGCCCTACCACTAAAGTGTTAGCCTTCTCAGGTCTCTAATGACTGCCTCAGGGGTTCAATGAGACTGTTCTGACTCGTAGAAATACTAGTATCTTCCAGCTCTGGGAATTCTTTACCTAATAGTACTCTGATATTTCTTTGCCTGGTCTTTTGAAATCACATTCTCTATGTTGCAGCAACATGTTCAAGGGGATAGCTAAGCAGATTTTTAGAGGGTGTGTGTGTGTGTGTGTGTGTGTGTGTGTGTGTGTGTGTGTTACTCTCTGTTTTATAGTACTCATCCCTGAAAATTCTAACTGCTTTAGCCTCCCCAAACTTTCTTTTATCTTCTCAAATGAGACCTCCGCTCCCTCTACCACATTATGAAAAGTACCCGCAGAACAAAACCCAGGGTGATTCACCTTATTTGCTTCTTTTCTTTCAGAGCTAACGATCCCACACTCCTTATTTTATACTGTCTGAAAATAATTGCTTTATATATTTGTCCAGTTTTCTAGCTTCTTACAGAAGGAAATTACGTCCAGTATCAGTTATTCCAAATGACTAGAAATGTATGTCCTTTAAGTTGGTTTATATTATTTTAATTTTATACTTGAATAAATAAATGCTCAGGGTTTTTTTCTTTTTGATTGTCAATCCTCTAGTTTCACATTTTAGAAAGTAAATGCCTAAATACTACAACAATCACCATTTGGAGAATCTACCCAGTATCAAGCAAAATGCTAAACATGCAACATATCATATTTCATCTCATCTTTTGACAATGCCTTGGAAGTTTTATCATCCCACTTTCTAAATGAAGTAATTAAATACAAGGCAATATCATGGACTAAATATTAGTGTCACCACTCCCCCCGCCATTGATATTTTGAAATCTTATCCCCAGGCTGTGATGGTGTTACAGGAAAGGGATCTTGATCCAGACACCAAGAGTGGGCTCTTGGATCTCGCATAAGAAAGAATTCAGGGAGAGTCTGCTGTGCAAAGTGAAAGCAAATTTATTAAGAAAGTAAAGGAATAAAATAATGGCTATTCCATAGACAGAGCAGCCCTGAGGGCTGCTGGTTGCCCATTTTTATGGCTATTTCTTGATGATATGCTAAACAAGGGGTGAATTATTCATGCCTCCCCTTTTTAGTTGCCATGGCATTTGTAAACTGTCACGGTGCTGGTGGGAGTGAGTGTAGCAGTGAGGGTGACCAGAGGTCACTCTCATCACCATTTTGTTTTGATGGGTTTTGGCTGGCTCCTTTACTGCAACCTGTTTTATCAGCAAGGTCTTCATGACCTATATTTTGTGCTGACCTCCTATCTCATCCTGTGAACTAGAATGCCTTAACCATCTGTGAATACAGCCCAGTAGATTTCAGCCTGATTTTACCCAGCTGCTATTTAAGATGGAGTTGCTCTGGTTCACAGCTGTCTGACAAATATAAAGGAAATGGTCAACCCCCACTAACCGTCATGACCTGAGCCAGTCCCTCTGGGTTAAAATTTAAAATTGCCCTGGTCAAAAAGAAAGTCCATTCAGAAGGCCAGGGGGCCTTAGCATTTTATTGTTGGTTTACAGGGTTCTTTATGCAGGAACATTAAGTACAAATCAAGGCTATCCTGGAAAACAAGGATGCCTGGTCATTCTATTTATAGTGGATGTTTTCTCTGAAGTTTGGACCATTGCTGAGACCTGTGCGACGTTGCATTGTAAACCAAAATGTACATGACACAGGTCTCAAACAATTTAGAAGTTGATTTTGCCAAGGTTAAGGAATATGCCAGGGAGACAGATCCGTGCTCTTCTCTAAAGATAAATTTGAGGGTTTCAGTATTTAAAGGGGAAAAGCAGGGTAGATGAGAAAGAGGGAGGATATGGTCACATTACTGAATCCATACATTGCAAGAGAAAAGGAGTAGGTAGGAGAATAGTCAATTATGGATTCATCTGGTGCTCACTAATTGACACTTTACATAAGATAAGGTGAACATAGAGTATCTACCTATGCAGATATTTAACCTTCTATCTCTACGTGATGAGAAACAAAGGGAAGGCAGCTTCTTGCATGGCTCAGCTTTCAGGTTAATTTTTTTCTTTTGGCAGAGTGAATTGGGATCCCAAGTTTTTATTTTCCTTTCACAGCATCAACCCTGGGTTAGGTAACACCATCTCCACGGAAATGGCCTGACATCTTGTATAAAAACTAACCTTACAGTGACCACCAAATAGGCGCAAAATGTGTACAGGTGGGGAGCTGCAATATAACTTCAGGCTTCCCCAAAAAATGTTTCATCTGAGACTCTATGGTTGAACAACAGTCAGATAGGTTACTGGATGTGGCCCTTTTCAAGTAATGCACTAATTTATTCATTTCTGCAAGACAAATCATGTAAAAAAAAGACGAATAATCAGGCTTAAGGGTTAAACATGAGCCAGGTAGTCCTGAGACTTAACTCTGGGGAGAAAACGGCAATCACTGAACCATTTCTAAACATATAGGTAATAATAGTGAAACCACCTTTGCAAAAATCATATCAGTAAAAATAACTGTATAGTGATCTAACCCACCCCTACCCCCATCTTACCTTTCCCTTAATTATTCCTGGGATTTTGGACCAAGCTAGAGAGACATTTAGGCTCTGGTTTAAATGATAACAGCCCTTCCCCAAAATTCAACCACCTTTATAGAGCTAATGAAAGACTATCAGGCTGAGGGAAGAGAGAAATCTGAATTCTACTAAGGTATAGTCATAGACTGCCAGCCATTCCTGCACCTAACAACCACTACAGTAGATTAGTCTTCTGAGATATCTTTTCAGGGTTTTTTTTTTGCATGTCTAACATCCATGGCTCCATCTGTACCTGCCAAGCCTGCTCCTGTGGCCTTACGCAGAAGTGATTCAGCACGCAGGAGGACAGCTTTGAACTCCTATGATTCATCTTTGCCCCAGTCAATCAGTAGCAAGCCTAGCAACCACCACCCCTTCCTCCAAATTGCATTTGAAAAACCCGTAACCTACAAGTGTTGAATGAGACTGATTTGAGTACAAACTCCATCTTCCACTTGGCAAGGCCAGCCTTGTGTGTATTAAATTCTTTTTTTACTGCAATGCTATGGTCTTTCTTTGTGCAGCAGGCAGAAAGAAGCCCTCTGGCAGTTATAACATAATCTAATCATTAAATATTTTCTTGGATATAACATAGAAAATAAATTTTGCTGCACGGGTGTTGCAGGTGATAAGTTATCACAAGTATATGGTCATAGATAATATTAACTTGAAGTAACGTGGTAGAAGGAGACAAAAAACATAAAAGTTGTATGTTTTGTACTAGTTTTGTATAACCATATTAATTTATGTAAATTAATATGGTTATACAAAACTAGTATAAAACATGAAACTACTATAAAACATATTAGTTTATGTAAATTAATGTTTATATAAAACTAGTAATAACTAATATGATATACTAGTTATATCAAAAGGAAGGATATGAATTAGGAGTAGAATTAACAAACATGGATAGGAATTTTGTAAAATTTGTGGCTTGGTATCACCCACTGAGAGGAAATATAGGACAAAAATTTGTTTTTGGCAAGGTCTATGAGTTGGGGAATGGGGAATAATTAATGAAAGTGGAAAAGAGAGAAAAACAAAAAGAAATAATTCTTGTACGTCATGATTGTGCCAGGTTCTGCCCAATTTAACTTCAGTTGTGTATATTTTTTGTTTCACAAAGTAATTCCACTATCCAAAGTGAATTAATATAATTTATTTTTCTGAATAGATAATATTTATCTTATCAGATAATATCTATCTTATAATTTATCTTTTTGAACTGTTTCATTGACATGGGTCAGCATACTGTTTGAGAACTGGATCAGAGATTAAGGAAATACTTGGGTTTGATGCCTACTGGACTTTGCAGTATTACTTAACCCATCTGTCTTAGTCAGTTCAAGCCTTTTATAACCAAGTATCAGAGTCTGCATGGCCATGACAGATTTATTTCTCACAGTTCTGAGAGAACGAGAATCAGGAATGAGAATGGGAAGAAGCTGGGAATTCTAAGTACCTGCAGATTTGATAACTGGTAACTGACCACTTTCTGGTTGACAGTTGTCTTTACCCTGTGCCCTTACATAATGGAAGGGGTGAGGAGCTCTCTGAAGCCTCTATTATAAATACAACAATTCCATTCATAAATATTCTCTGTGCTCATAACCTAATCTCCCAAAGGCCCCACCTCCAATTACCATTGTCAGATACGTGTGAACTAGAGTAACTCCATTTTAAATAGGAGCTGGGTAAAATGAGGCTGAAACCTACTGGGCTGCATTCCCAGATGGTTGAGGCATTCTAATTCACAGGATGAGATAGGAGGTCAGCACAAAACACAGGTCATAAAGACCTTGCTGATAAAACAGGTTGCAGTAAAGGAGCCGGCCAAAACCCACCAAAACCAAAATGGCAATGAGAGTGACCTCTGGTCGTCCTCACTGCTACACTCCCACCAGCGCCTTGACAGTTTACAAATGCCATGGCAACATCAGGAAGTTACCCTACATGGTCTAAAAGGGGAGGCACGAATAATCCACCCCTTGTTTGGCATATCATCAAGAAATAACCATAAAAATGGGCAACCAGCAGCCCTCAAGGCTGCTCTGTCTATGGAGTAGCTATTCTTTTATTCCTCTACTTTCTTAATAAACTTGCTTTCACTTTGCACTGCAGACTCGCCCTGAATTCTTTCTTGTGCGAGATCCAAGAGCCCCCTCTTGGGGTCTAGATCCGGACCACTTTTCTGTAGCACATTGATCCCAGGTGTTTAGAAAAACTCAACCAATTGTCAAACAGAAAATTTAAAATGCTACCTGAAAGCCTCCCCTCCCCCACACCTCCACTGCCTCCCACAATGTATAAAATCCCAACCACCTCGGACACGTGTTCTCAGCATCTCCTGAGGGCTATGTCACAGACCATGGTTATTCATATTTGGCTCAGAATAAATCTATTCAAATATTTTACAGAGTTTGACTCTTTTCATTGACATTCTATAAAATATTCTAGTTTTAAAAAGTATGTCACTTTTTCTACAAGAGCATTTTAGCTAAAACAAAATTAGCCTTACTTTGGTCATTATTGTGAGGTCTTTAGGGTGCAGGCTGTTACAGACCTTGAATTATTCAGGAACTGCCTATAACATACATGTTTCACTGGGGCCTTAGAAGATACAGGAGGCAAACAGGGATGGTGACTCGCACCTATAATCCCAGCACTTTGGGAGGCCAAGGTGGGTGGATCACCTGAGGTCAGGAGTTTGAGACCAGCCAACATGGTGAAACCCTGTCTCTACTAAAAATTCAAAAGTTAGCCAGGCGTGGTGGGGGGCACCTTGAATCCCAGCTACTCAGGAGGCTGAGGCAGGAGAATTAAAATGAGCCAAGATCATTGGTTGCAAGGAGCCAAGATCACACCATTGCACTCCAGCCTGGAGGGACAAGAATGAAACTCTGTCTCCAAAAAAAAAAAAAAAAAAGGAAATGAAGGCTGACATCTGCTTTTGCTCAAGAACACTCATGAGGGCCTCATTTTAAATTATTAGTACCAAATTTTGGTAAGCAGTACTAGGTTGGCTGTCCTTGATCCCATTCCTCACTTAAAAGAAGGTGGAGATTGTGTAAGGACTGATTAGAATTAGAAATCTTCACAGAATTACAGGGTGAAACTCAAGGTGATCCTGTGGTGTTGTAAGTGGGTACTTAAATAAGGCCTATGTCCTGATGCTAGGGAAATTTATGAAATTAGAACTGAGAGCAAAGATGAAGAATACTAATGGGAAGCCATGCTGAATATAATAGATTTTCCAGGCCTGGGTTAGATGTTTATTTAATGGGAGAAGAATCTCCTGAGTGGGATTATCTAACCCAAGGTGGTAAACAATATTAATTTGAACACTGGGTACATGTGGCCAACTCAGAATGTATTAACTTAGCAATACATAAAAACAAAAATATCCAAGGCAGTAAGCAAAAGGGAAGTAAAAACAAAGTAGAGGTTCTGATCAGACAAAAAGTGTTAGGCTTATGTGTGTTCCAGAAGGAAAAAGACCAAATTCTACAACCACAGCCAGGCCCTCGGTAAGGAGTAGAACAGCAGAGGGAGGCACAACTTGAGAACTGCAGCCACTAGTGAATAAAAGAATAAAAGATGTAGCAGGATGAGACACTTCTTGAGGCCCGGAACACCCAAAAAGGAAAGGCAGACAGTGCCTTGAAGAACATGTAGAAGAGGCATTCTTCTTTGCTAGGCCGCTAAAGGAACACATTTCAGGAACATCACTAGCACCTTCGGTACTGAAATCTGCTGAACATGATTCTCCAGCTGAAAAACACTTGAGCAAGAGAATTTCATGAACCCATGCTATCCCATAGCCAGAGTTTCTGACAGCTGCTCCCATAGCATGAGACCACTCCTCAAACACGGTAGAGGCTGTGCCATTAGCCAGAGTTGATGAACAATGAAGAAATGAGATTTTAGAAACACAGGGCATGGAAGGAAATGGAAACTGATAAGTTTTGAATAATCATGCCAGGAAATAAACATATGTGATCCCGAGCTTCTGATCCAGGGACCTGGGCTCCCGCCATCACAGTTTTCTAAACTTAGCAAGAAGGTTTTTAAGGCTACTAAGACAGAGTTCAGCACATCTTTCTGTGAAGGCCGGGTGTTAAATATTTTAGGTTTAACACAACATATAGTCTCTTTATAAAGCCAAGAAAGCAGCCATCTATAATATGTAAATGAATGGGTATAATTGTGTTCTAATGAAGCTTTATTTACAAAAAAGTGCTATTTTTTTTGTTGTTTTTTTGAGATAGAGTTTCACTCTTGTCACCCAGGCTGGAGTACAATGGCATGATCTCGGTTCACTGCAACCTCTGCCTCCTCTGTTCAAGCAATTCTCCTGTCTCAGCCTCCTGAGTAGCTGGGATTAATGGCGCCCACCACCACACCTGGCTAATTTTTTGTATTTTTAGTAGAGATGGGGTTTCACCATGCTGGCCAGGCTGGTCTTGAACTCCCGACCTCAGGTGATCCACCTGCCTCGGCCTCCCAAAGTGCTGGGATTACAGGTGTGAGCCACCGTACCCAGCCCAAAAAGTGGTAATTCCTTAGGGCCATAGTTTTCCAACACCTGCCCCAGGAGAAACAGTGTTCATGGGGTGCTTCCTCCCCTTTGATATGGTAAATGCATTCTGTCCAAATCATCTTCTTATTGGGATATTGCTAAAGACTGAATTAAGGGCTGTACTTTATAAATTTTGTAATCCTGAAATACATTGCCTGACATCCTGGCAAGACTAAAAGAGAAAAAAAAAATCTCCTTTTACTATCTTTCCCACAAATATCACTGATTTTTAGGTATTTAGCAGCACCGAAGACTGAGATCTGGAAAAGTAATTTTGTTTTTGGATCTGGAGATAATCTTATTTCTAAATTTTGCTGTCAGATTTCAGTGCTGTAATAATTTCATATGTACTATAATCTCATTTGATTGTAAGGTAATATCAGTTCTTGTGCTATGAAGGAATTACAGCCCTGTCAAGAAGAGGGAGCTCAGACATCAGGAACGCCACCCTCTGGCTAAATCTAAGCAAAACAAGAACCTGAACAAGACTTCAATTGTTTTGCATTTTTAGCTGAAAAGGTGAAAACATTTAATTTGTAGATTTAATTCTTTAGTTTTGGAAATCTTTGGGCTTTAACTTGCAAGGAGATTTAATCTTTGAAATTTAATGTGTTCCTAGGGACTTCTTAATGAGCATGGATTTATATATTTAAATTTGGAGCATCTCTATATTGGTATCATTGAGATATCAAAAATATTGTTATTTGATTTTCTTTAAAAAACCTTACAAGCTGATATTAAATAGTGGCTAGACATATTTTGAGATGAACAACAGAATAAGAATAAAATATTTGCCTTTGGGTATAAGAATTTGTCTGGACATTACATTGATTAAATCCTCAGTGGATTTAAGCCCATCACCCACCATGATTTCACGTTGACAATGGGCAGTGGCCACGTCCACCTCTCTGTCCCCTTTCTCCCTCTGCTACTGGTGTTCCCTTCACCCACCAAATAAACTGCATGCTCTCAGAGTCTAATTTAGAGGTAACGCAAAGAAGAGAAAAAAAACAAAACATTGGTTGAAAGAGCAGATCAATGAACATGTAAACATTCCTTACATATAGATTTTTTAGTGGAGGAGGCAGCTGTGTTAAGGTCAGGAAGAAATTCAGAGACAATAGTGCTATCTCTACAAGGTCTTTCTCTCTATCCCTTCACATCTTCACTATTTGTGTCACTGACCAGTCAGCAGATTATCTTGGCTTTATTTCCACAGTTTTCCTCTGACAAGTCTCACTGCTTTGCCTCTTGAATCTCTATTTAGTCTATTACTAGAAGAATCCTTCAGAATATGAGATCAGGGCATCAGCTTTAATACGAACTCCACAATCCCTTCTTTAACCAGTACTTGCTGAGTATCCCCTAACTGCTAGTCCCTGTTCTAATGCTTAGGATGCACCCGAGAACAAAGCCAAACCAGGAAGTCTCGATAGAGTCAAATCACTTATATCTTGGGTCAGAAATCAGAACTACTATTCTAAGAATACGCACTATGAGAAAGAGGAATGATAGTCTCCCAAGCCACAACAACACACATTCCCTTTGGAACTCTGTTATCCAACTTGAAACAGATCCTTTACGCAAGCCAAAATAAGAAAGTCAGCATCAATGCTAACTGTATTTTTTTAAAGGAAAATATTATTATATATATTTAAGGTACACAAGATGATATTATGGGATACATATACAAAGTAAAAAGGTTACTAGAGAGAAGCAAATTAAAATACATGTCACTTCACATAATTATCCATTTCTTTGCTTTTGTTGCAGAAGCAGTTATGACACACTCATTTAGCATGAATCAGAAATATAGGAAAATTTTATTGCCTATAATTCCCATGTTGTATGTTAGGTCTCTCGATTTGTTCATGCTACATATTTGGATCCTCTGATCTATTTCTCCTCATTTCCTCCCCACATCCCAACCCATGCACATGGTAACTAGTTTGTTTTCTATCTGTATGAATGATTTTTTTAAGATTCTATGTGTATAAGGGGGATCATACAGTATGATTTTTCTGTGTCTGGTTTATTTCACTTAACATAGTGTTCTCCAGGATATATTGTAGCAAATGGCAAGATCTCATTCTTTTTTAGGGCTAAATAATATTCTATAGTTTTATGTACACACACACTCTTATACTTCATAGTCATATATATATATACACATGCACATATAGACATATATGTATATTGTATATATGTATATCATATTATATATCATATATTATACATATATGTATATATGTATATATGTATGTATATTTTATATATGTATGTATATTTTATACATATGTATATATGTATATATTTTACATATATGTATAGATAAAATATAGAACAGAAAAAATTCAAAACCTACAGGCCTATCTTTCTGATGAACATGTATGTAAAAATCCTTAATAAAATATTAATTAACCAAATCCACCAACATATCAAAATGTGTATACTTTATCCCCAAGTGTGAGTGATCCCTAGTATGCAAGGCTGGTTTAACGTATGCACGTCAATTGACACAATACATCACATTAACAGAACAAAGGATAAGACCACGTTTGTCTCAATTATGCAACAGTACCATTTGACAAATTTCAACATCTTTTATCGATAAAAACTCTTAACATTTTAAGAATAGTTTATATATGTACATGAAATATATCTATCTTGATCTATCTATCTATCTATCTATCTATCTATCTATCTATCTGTCTATGTATAATATAGTCGTTTCCATATCTTGGCTATTGTGAATAATGCTGCAATAAACATAAAAGTACAGATGATTTTATTTCTTTAGAAGATATGCCCAGAAGAGGGATTTGTGAGTCATCTGGTAGTTCTTCAGAAACCTTCACACTGTTTTCCATAACGGCAGTACCAATAAACATTCTCATTAACAATGTATAAGAGTTTTCTTTTTTCCACACCTTGAGAAAGGTTTATTATCTTTGACTTTTTGAAAATAGGCATCCTAACAAGTGTGAGGTGGTATTGAAATGGGAAAAGTTTGCTTGTCCCCCTCACAGGGCACGCGATGGGGGTTTGGCTCATTTATTCAGTGTCCCGCTGCTCAAACCTCTAGTGGGAGCATGAAAATGGGCAGGTTGTGGGGTTCTGACCCCATGGCAGTGTCTACGGGTGAATGTTCACAGCTGAAGCCCCAGTGGGTATGTGTTACATGGTGCTCTTTCAGTTTAGCCGTCAGTGGGCGGCTTGTGTTACCTCAATTAGACCCCTGCCTTATCGCAAGGATAGAGGACTTTCTGTATCCTAGGGCTTCTTGCTTTGGTATACTGGATGAATGGAATCACACGTGGGCTTGGAGAATGAGCTCAAGGTTTTATGGAGCGGAAGTCGCTCTCAGAAGATGGGGGAGACAGAAGGGAGATGGAGTGGGAAAGTGCTTTTTGCCTGGAGTCGGGTCTTTCAGCGGCCAGGTTCCCCTCCAACCACGCAGGCCAAACTCTGCATCATTCCACTGGTTGATGGCCTGCCAGCTTGCCGACATCTGCCCGTAACTGTTGGTAAGCTCTTACACCGGTGTGTTCCTCTCGACATCCAGTTGCTTGTGTCTTCTTCTGCCCGTGTGTTCCTCTCAACATTCAGTCACTTGTGTGCATGCCAGCTAGGGTCTCAGGGTTTTTATAGGCACAGAATAGGGGCATGGCAGGCCAGGGTGGTCTTGGGAAATACAACATTTCGGCAGGAAAACAGAAATGCCTGTCCTCACCTAGGTTCCTGGGCACAGGCCCCGGGGGTGGAGCCCTAGTCAGGGACCCAATCTCCTTCTATCAGCACTTTCTTGCCCTGCTCCCATATCAGTATCTCATAGAGGTTTTGATTTGCAATTCCCTGATAATTAATTATATTGACCACCTTTGTATCTACCTGTTGGCCATTTCAAGATACATTTTGAAAAAAATATCTATTCAGGCCTTTTACTGATTGTTTAATGAAATTGTTTTTCTACTATTTGTATGAGTTCTTTACAAATGTTGGATATTAATTCTTTATCAGATACACAGTTTCCAACTCGTTTTTCACAATTCATACTCTGCTGTTTCATTTTATTTATTATTTCTTTTGCTGTGCAGAAATTTTTAGTTTGATGTATTCCCTTTTTTTTAATTTTTGCTTAGTGGTCTGAGCTTTTAGTATGATATTGAAGAAGCCATTCCCAAGGCCAATATCTAGGATATTTTGCTTTATGTTGTCTTCTAGGAGTTTTGCAGTTTATGGTCTTACATTTAGGACTCTTCTTTGAGTTCATTTTTGTGTATCTTGTAAGATAAGGGTCCAATTTTATTCTTGTGCATATAGCACCATTTATTGAAAAGACTATCCTTTTCCTATTGTGTCCTCTTGGTGCCCTTGTCAAAAATTAGTTGACCATAAATATTTGGATTTATTTCTGTGCTCCATGTTTTGCTCCACTGGTTTATGTTTCTCTCTCTCTCTCTAATTTCAGTGCCAAAAAGTTTTGATTACTGTAGCTTTGTATTATAATTTTAAATCAGGAATTATGATGGTTCCAACTTTTGCTTTTTCAGAATTGTTTTGGCTATTCAGGGTTTTTATGTTTTCATGAACAATTTAGGAGTTTTTTTTCTATTTCTGTAAAGAACGACATTGGAATTTTTATAGAGGCTGCATTGAATTTGTGTATTGTTTTGGGTAGTATGCATGTTTTAATAATATCCTTCAGTGCATGAACATGAGGTATCTTTCCATTTATTTGTGTCTTCTCCAATTTTTTCATCAATGTTTTATAATTTTCAGCATACAGGTCTTTCCCCTTTGTGATTAGGTTCATTCCCAAGTATTTTTACTTGGGAGAGTTCAACAGTGAAGCCATCTGGTCCTTGGTTTGTCTTTATTGGGAGATTTTTGATTAGTTCTTAAAACTCTTCATTTGTTATTGGTCTGTTCAGGCTATTTTCTCCTCACTCAATCTGGATAGGTTGTGCTATTTTAGAAATGTATTCATTTTCTCCAAATTGTTTAATTTTTTGGTATGTAATTGTTTACCATAGTCCCTCATGGTCCTTTTTATTTCTGAGGCATCTATTATAATTTCTTCATATTCATTTTTAATTTAATTTATTTTAGTATTCCCTTTTGTTTCTTAGTTAAGACTAGCTCTTGGTTTGTATGTTTTAATTATTTTTTATAAAAATAAAGACAACTTATTTTTGTTGATTCTATGATTTTTCTATTTTCTATTTGATTTATTTCTGTTCTGATTTTTATGATTTTTCTTCCTTCTGCTTATTTTGGGTTTAGTTTGTTCTTTCTCTAGTTCCTTGAGACAACTTGGGATGTTTCTTCTTTTTGAATGTGCACATTTGTTACAGAAACTTTCCTTTTAGAATTGCTTTTGTTATGTTATATATGTTTTGGTATGTTGTACTTTCCTTGTTTGTATCAAGATTTAAAGAAAAATCCTTTTGATTAGGTCTTTGACCCATTTGTTGTCCAGGAACATGTGGTTTAACTTCCATATATTTGTACTTTTTAAAAATTTCATCCTGTTATTAATTTCTAGTTTCATACCATTGTCATCTGAAATGATACTGTGTTTGACATCAATCTTCCTATATTTGGTAAGACTTGTTTATTGGTCTAACATATGGTCTATTCTAGAGAGTACTCTATGTGCTCTAGAGAAAAAAAAATGTGTATTCTGTTGCTGTTGGATGGTAAGTTCTGTATATGTCGGTTAAGTCCATTTGGGCAAAAATGTAATTAAAGTTCTATATTCTTAAAATTATTTTTATGTCTGATCAATCTATTTATTGTTGAAAGCGAAGTAATGAAATCCCTTACTATTATTGTATTGCTACCTATATGTTTTTTCATGTCCATAAATGTTTATGTATTTAGGTGCTTCAATGTTAGGAAGATATATATTTACAATTTTTATGCTATCTTAATAAATTCACCTTATTATTAAATAATGCTTTTTAATGTCTTGTGACAGTTTTAACTTGATGCCTATTTTATGAGATATATGTATAGCCTAACCTTTCTGTCTTTTGGTTACCATTTGCTTCGAAGACCTTCAACCATTCCTTCAGTTTATGTGTCCTTAAATTTTTTTTATTATACTTTAAGTTCTGGGGTACATGTGCAGAACGTGCAGGTTTGTTACATAGTATACATGTGCCATAGTGGTTTGCAGCACTCATCAACCTGTCATCTACATTAGGTATTTCTCCTAATGCTATCCATCCCTCAATGTCTGTTTATATCCTTTGCCCACTTTTTGATGGGGTTGTTTCTTTTTTCTTATAAATTTGTTCAAGTTTTTTGTAGATTCTGGTTATTAGCCCTTTGTCAGATAGGTAGATTGCAAAAATTTTCCCCCATTCTGTACGTTGCCTTTTCACTCTGATAGTTTCTTTTGCTGTGCAGAAGCTCTTTAGTTTAATTAGATCCCATTTGTCAATTTTAGCTTTTCTTGCCATTATTTTTGGTGTTTTAGTTATGAAGTCTTTGTCCATGCCTGTCCTGAATGGTATTGCCTAGGTTTTCTTTTAGGGGTTTTATGGTTTTAGGTCTAAAGTTTAAGTCTTTAGTTTCTGTATAAGGTGTAAGGAAGGGGTCCAGTTTCAGTTTTCTGCATATGGCTAGCCAGTTTTCCCAACACCATTTATTAAAAGAGAATCCTTTTCTCATTTCTTGTATTTGTCAGGTTTGTCAAAGATCAGATGGTCATAGATGTGTGGTGTTATTTCTGAGGACTCTGTTCTGTTTCACTGGTCTATACATCTGTTTTCGTACCAGTACCATGCTGTTCTGGTTACTGTAGCCTTGTAGTATAATTTGAAGTCAGGTAGCATGATGCCTCCAGCTTTGTTTTTTTTTTCTTTTTTCTTTTTTTTTTTCCTTAGGATTGTCTTGGCTATGTGAGCTCTTTTTTGATCCAAATGAAATTTAAAGTAGTTTTTTCCAATTTTGTGAATAAACTCAATGGTAGTTTGATGGGGATAGCATTGAATCTATAAATTACTTTGGGCAGTGTGGCCATTTTCAGTATATTGATTCTTCCTATCCATGAGCATGGAATGTTTTTCCATTGTGTTCTCTCATATTTCCTTGAGAAGTGATTTGTAGTTCTCCTTGAAGAGGTCCTTCACATCTCTTGTAACTTGTATTCCTAGGTATTTTATTCTCTTTGTAGCAATTGTGAATGGGAGTTCACTCATGATTTGGCTCTCTGTTTGTCTGTTGTTGGCATATAGGAATACTTCTGATTTTTGCACATTGATTTTGTATCCTGAGACTTCACTGAAGTTGCTTATCAGCTTAAGGAGATTTGGGGCTCAGATGACGCGGTTTTCTAAATATACAATCATGTCATCTGCAAACAGAGACAATTTGACTTCCTCTTTTTCTAATGAGTATCCTGTATTTCTTTCTCTTGCCTGATTGCCCTGGCCAGAATGTCCAACACTATGCTGAATAGGAGTGGTGAGAGAGGGCATCCTTGTCTTGTGCTGGCTTTCAAAGGGAATGCTTCTAGTTTTTGCTCATTCAGTAAGATATTGGCTGTGGGTTTCTCATAAATAGCTCTTATTATTTTGAGATACGTTCCATCAACACCTAGTTTATTGAGAGTTTTTAGCATGAAGGGCTGTTGAATTTTGTCTAAGGCCTCCTTTTCTGCATCTGTTGAGAAAATCATGTGGTTTTTGTCATTGGTTCTGTTTATGTGATGGATTACGTTTGTTGATTTGCATATGTTGAACCAGCCTTGCATCCCAGGGATGAAGTTGACTTGATCGTGGTGGATAAGCTTTTTGATGTGCTGCCGGATTCAGTTTGCCAGTATTTTATTGAGGAGTTTCACATCAATGTTCATCAAGGATATTGGCCTGAAATTTTCTTTTTGTTGTTGTTTCTCTGTCAGGTTTTGGTATCAGGATGATGCTAGCCTCATAAAATGAGTTAGGGAGGAGTCCCTCCTTTTCTATTGTTTGGAATAGTTTCAGAAGGAATGGTACCAGCTCCTCTTTGTACCTCTGGTATAATTCGGCTGTGCATCTGTCTGGTCCTGGACTTTTTTTGATAGCTAGGCTATTAATTACTGCCTCAATTTCAGAACTTGTATTGGTCTATTCAGGGTTTCGACTTCTTCCTGGATTAGTCCTGGGAGTGTGTATGTGTCCAGGAATTTATCCATTTCTTCTAGGTTTTCTAGTTTATTTGTGTAGAGGTGTTTACAGTATTCTCTGATGGTAGTTTGTATTTCTGTGGGATCAGTGGTGATATCCTCTTTATCATTTTTTATTGCATCTATTTGATTTTTCTCTCTTTTCTTCCTTATTAGTCTGGCTAGCAGTCTATCTATTTTGTTGATCTTTTCAAATAACCAGCTGCCAGATTCATTGATGTTTTGAAGCGTTTTTATGTCTCTATTTCCTTCAGTTCTGCTCTGATCTTAGTTATTTCTTGTCTTCTGCTAGCTTTTGAATTTGTTTGCTCTTGCTTCTCTAGTTAGTTTAATTGTGATGTTAGGGTGTAGATTTTAGTTCTTTCCTGCTTTATCTTGTGGGCATTTAGTGCTATAAATTTCCCTCTACACACTGCTTTAAATGTGCTCTAGATATTCTGATATATTGTTTCTTTGTTCTCCCTGGTTTCAAAGAGCATCTTTATTTCTGTCTTAAATTCATTATTTACCCAGTAGTCATTCCAGAGCAGGTTGTTCAGTTACCATGTAGTTGTGCAGTTTTGAATGAGTTTCTTAAACCTGAGTTCTAATTTGATTGTACTGTGGTCTGAGAGACTGTTTGTTATGATTTTCATCCTTTTGCATTTGCTGAGGAGTGTTTTACTTCCAATTATGTGGCAATTTTAGAATAAGTGTGCTGAGGTGCTGAGAAGAATGTATATTCTGTTTATTTGGGGTGGAGGGTTCTGTAGATGTCTATTAGGTCCACTTGGTCCAGAGCTGAGTTCAAGTCCTGGATATCCTTTTTAATTTTCTGTCTCATTGATCTATCTAATACTGACAGTGGGGTGTTGATGTCTCCCACTATTATTGTATGGGAGTCTAAGTCTCTTTGTAGGACTCTAAGAACTTGCTTAATGAATCTGGGTGCTCCTGTATTGGGTGCATATATACTTAGGGCAGTTAGCTCTTCTTGTTGCATTGTGTAATGCCCTTCTTTGTCTCTTTTGATCTTTGTTGGTTTAAAGTCTGTTTTACCAGAGACTAGAATTGCAACCCCTGATTTTTTTTGCTTTCCATTTGCTTGGTAAATATTCCTCCATCCCTTTGTTTTGAGACTATGTGTGTCTTTGCATGTGAGATGGTTCTCCCGAATACAGCACACCGATGGGTCTTGACTCTTTGAAGAACAACTCAATGAAATAAAGTGTGAAGATAAGATTAGAGAAAAAAGAGTGAAAAGAAACAAACAAAGCCTCCAAGAAATATGGGACTATGTGAAAAGACCAAATCTATCCAATTTGCCAGTCTGTGTCTTTTAATTGAGACATTTAGCACATTTACATTTAAGGTTAATATTGTAAAGTGTGAATTTGATCCTGTTATTTTGATGCTAGCTGGTTATTTTGCCCATTAGTTGATGCAGTTTCTTCATAGTGTTGATGGTCTTTACAATTTTGTATGTTTTTGTAGTGGCTGGTCCCAGTTATTCTTTTCCATGTTTAGTGCTTCCTTCAGGCATTCTTGTAAGGCAGGCCTGGTGGTGACAGAATCCCTCAGCATTTGCTTGTCTGTAAAGGATTTTGTTTCTCCTTCACTTGTGAAGCTTAGTTTGGCTGGATATGAAATCCTGGGTTGAACATTCTTTTCTTTAAGAAAGTTGAATATTAGCCCCCACTCTCTTCTGGCTTGTAGGGTTTCTGCCGAGAGAACCACTGTTAGTCTGATGGGCTTCCCTTTTTGGGTAACCTGACCTTTCTCTCTGGCTGCCCTTAACATTTTTTCCTACATTTCACCCTTGGTGAATGTGACAATTATCAGTCTTGGTGTTGCTCTTCTCGAGGAGTATCTTTGTAGTGTTCTCTGTATTTCCTGAATTTGAATGCTGGCCTACCTTGCTAGGTTGGGGAAGTTCTCCTGGATAATATCCTGAAGAGTGTTTTCCACCTTGGTTCCATTCTCCCTGTCACTTTCAGGTACACCAATCAAATGTAGATTTGGTCTTTTCACATAGTCCCATATTTGTTGGAGGCTTTGTTTGTTTCTTTTCACTCTTTTCTCTCTAATCTTATCTTCTCACTTTATTTCATTGAGTTGTTCTTCAATATCTGATACCATTTCTTCCACTTGATTGATTCGGCTATTGATACTTGTGTATACTTCACAAAGTTCTTATGCTGTGTTTTTCGGCTCCATCAGGTCATTTATGTTCTCCTGTAAACTGGTTATTCTAGTTAGCAATTCGTCTAATCTTTTTTCAAGGTTGATAACTCGAACTCATAGTTGAAGGTATTTTTCTTGGGTTTGGGGTTGGCATGGCCCACAATCAGCTACAGAGACAATGGGATCCAGGGCTCAGGTGTTCAGAGAAGCTGTGGTGCCAGTTTCCTGGTCTCAGGGTCTTGTGAAACTCCTATAACACCTGGAACATGAGGCACAGGTTCACTAACTAAGCCCAGGGTGGATGCTGTTTTTCCAGTAAGCCAAGATTTATTCCTCTGAGGCATATCCCAGTAGCTTGGGCCTAGGGAGTTATAACGTAGCTGTGGTTCTGTCCCTGGCAGGAAGGCCACAACACTGGCATTGGCTTTGAAGAAGAAGAGGTGTTTTAGAGGCTGGGGCCTCAGAGAGCAATGCACAGCTGCAATTGGAGAACAAGAACAAACAATACCACTTGGGATCCAGGGAATGAGCTACCACAAAGTTGTAAATGTGGACCCTGGAATGGTAGGACACAGTAGTATCCTTTGCTCTGCGAGCCAAGATGAAACAACTGGAAGGACCCAGAAATGTCAAGATATGGCTTGGGCCCAAGGGAAGGGGAGAAAAACAGTGATGACTCTGCTTCCCAGAAAGGCAAGGCATGTATATGGCTTGACCTCAGGGGGCTAGTCCAGTTCTGTGTAGGCATGGCACTGTGGCTGTATGCCTGGAGAGTGGAGTGGCACAGCTTAGCCTAGGCTCCAATTCTCTGAGATGTAAGGCACCTCTGCTTGGTCCAAGAAAGTGTGGCTACATAGGTAAATGAAGCCTGTAGATCCCTGGGAGCTGGGGCACATTGTCAGCAGTGGTACCAGGAAGCATGACTGCTCTAGTGTGCCAGAAACCTGGGTCACTGGGAAGCACAGTGTCACTTCAGCTTGGCCCTAAAGGCAGGGTTCACCAGAGACCAGAGAAAAAGATGGAGTAGCTCTGTAGTATCTTGGCCCTAGGGGATTAGGCATAGCAGCAGCTTGGTTCAGAGATGGCATGATACCAGGTGGGCATCTTGCATTGGTGGAAGGTCTCATAAATAGAAAGTGCAATTACCACTCGCTTCTGGAGCAGGACACACTCTAGCAGTGACTCTAGTCCAAAGATGGTGCAGTGCGGTAGTAGTACAGGCCATGGGGAGGGTGTGGGGTGCAGTGTTGACTTCTCTAGGAGTAGCTTTGTCTGTGGGCTCTGGAGAGCTCCCTTTGCTGGGCTTGGAGCCCGTGGGGACTACAGCAGTCTCCAGTGATGAAGACTGCAAGTGTCCACAGTGGCTATGGGGGCTGCTGGTATCTTCTTGCTTACCCCTTAAGGAAAAGGAGGGAGTTCCTCCTAGTTTTGGCTGATCCAGAATTGGGGAATGGAGTGGCAGAGGCAAGATGTGCTCTCCTCTAAGAAGTTGTCTTGGGTTTCTGTGCTTTACAGGATTTTTGCTGCTCCTTTGCTGTTCTAAAGTACTTACTGTTAGTTATTTTGATTAAAATGCAGCTGCTTATTCATTGTGTGTGTGTGTGTGTGTGTGTGTGTGTGTGTAGGGAAACAGTGCTAGGAGCTTTTGGTTGGCTATCTTCCTCAAAGCTAACACAATTTTGGTGTTAATTTACAAGGCATTCATGTGACCTGATTAATGGGATGTACCATACAACAGAATATATTCTTAAAACACTTAAAAATTCTCAGGATGCTCCCCGTGAGGCCTCCTTATGGCCTATCTTTCCTCAGACCTTTGTTCTTCTTTCTCTGAATCACACGTGGTTTGATTAATATCAAACCTTTGGGAATATTTCTCGAGAAAATATCTTTTCTCTCCCCTTTTTCCGCAAGGTTTGTATAGGTTACTTAATAGTGCAGTCAGTTATTGTTTTATCATCAGATGAAAGGTTCCTTTTTTTTGTTCTTTCCTCAGATTTTTTTCTTGGTTGAAGGAGACAATATGAATCATTTTTTCTTCCCCAAAGGAGAAGAAAGTGGAGTTTGATAAAGGTCAAAAAGAGATAGCTGAAGGGCGGTAAATTCATTTATTATCTCCCTTGGCACTTTTAGCTGCTTTTTGAAAAATAAGAATCTGTCAGAATAAAGAATTTTAAAATAACATGTGTTCACACTAAAAACATGAGTTGTATTAACAAAATGTTACTTTTTTTAATTCCTCAAGTATTTTCTGTAGTAAACACAAGTGATAGCTTGAAAATATGCATAGTATCAGATCTTGTAAGAGCCAATTGCTGAGTTTTTCAATGTAAGCTAAACTTGACTCAAAAGAAGGTAATTTGCTGATGATGTATTCTCACATATTTCTGTTTATATTTTTCTTACCCCTGCTTATTCTAGATGGAAAAAAAAACATGCAACTCTGTATCTAGGTGAGAAGTTTTGGTATCTCCCTTTACCCTAGGAAGAAATAAAACATTATATAATTACAGAGGTAAGTCATGTACATAGTAGGAAAATACACAAGCAATAATGTGATGGAACTAACAGCATGATAAGTGTTCAACTGAAATCTTTGCAAGATAATTGATATATTGAATTAAACACATTTTGTGATGAAGAGCATTAATCTACTGGTTAACCCTATC
Source organism: Homo sapiens (assembly GCF_000001405.40). Classification (NCBI taxonomy): domain Eukaryota; kingdom Metazoa; phylum Chordata; class Mammalia; order Primates; family Hominidae; genus Homo; species Homo sapiens. Next base: position 11,966,859 of record NC_000004.12, read on the forward strand.
AGTCAGGTTTTGCTATAAAACAGCCACAAAATATCAGTGGCATACATCAGAAGTATTTAGTCTCACACATTTGCCAGTCCACTGGGACTTGGTTAATTCAGGATTAACTAGCTGGGCTTGCCACCAAGATGCAGGTTGGGCTCAGCACTGTTCCACATCCCTTTTAGACTATGATTAACTGAAGCATGTTCTTTTCGTTATGAAACTCAGGAGCTCCAGGAAGTAAACTCAATCGTTCAACAGCATTTATGCTTCTCTTTGGGTCACCTCTGGTAACGTCCATTGGCCAGAGCAAATCCGGCCAGCCAAACACAAGATCAAGGAGCTAGGAAGTACACTTCATGCACATGAGGGTGAGGTGAGGGAGAGAAAGTAGATGTATTCATGTAATTTTGAACATGAATTGATCTGACACTTATCTACTCCAGGAAACATTCACTGAGTATTTTAATTCTTTCATTCTGAAAAATTAAACATTTCAACCAGTTTTTCCTGTTTTGTCCGTATGACTTTTATACTTTGTATGCAATTGTGCATAGCATACTCCATTGTAATATACTTGTTTATATTTCAGTCTCTCATTAGAGAGGACATCAGGATGCTTTATTCTATCCTGTATATAAAAGAATCAGTATATTTAACAAAATTTTAGTAGATAAATGGGCTATAAGATGTGTGCGACTACTATGTCATACTCGTTTTATATTTGCAGAAATGAACTAAATGATATTTTAATGTTTTTATAAATCTCATTATTTCACAGGCTTAATAAGAGATTTAGCTAAATAAAATGTTTAGAACATTGTAAACACCCAGTAAACATTAGCTGCTCTTATTAATATTAATGGTCTTATTAGATTTAAATTTGCGAAGCTAAATCTAATCCTTTTATCACTATTTTTATTTATAGCAATTGCTTATCACTACTATTATTATGCTTATTACAGTACAGATTATCTTTACCAAATGGCTCCTAAAATTAGATAGAAGAATTTAAATAAATAAGTTAAATACTACTTTCTTTTTTTTTTTTTTTTTTTTTTTTTAAGATGGAGTTTCGCTCTGGTCGCCCAGGCTGGAGTGCAATGGCAAGATCTCAGCTCACTGCAACCTCTGCCTCCTGGGGGTTCAATCACCTCTCCTGCCTCAGCCTGCCGAGTACCTGGGATTACAGGCCACCACCACCACACCCAGCTAATTTTTGTACTTTTAGTAAAGACGAGGTTTCACCATGTTGGCCAGGCTGGTCTTGCACTCCTGACCTTAGGTGATCCCCCGATCTTGGCCTCTCAGAGTGCTGGGGTTACAGGCATAAGCCACCGCGCCTGGCCAAATACTAATTCCTTAATGTGTGCCCCAACTTCAAACAAACTTGAATTTCTATGAAAAATCCTAGTTTTATGAGAATAATTTATTTCTCTGTAGAGGGAGAAATTGTATTTGATCATATGCACATTATGAGTCAAATATTTTGAGTATAATCATAAATATGCTACAGAACTAGAAAGTAAAGGTTATACAGACCACAGGGTGATATGGAGTTTCCTGTAGTTTTCCTAAGGGGAGATGATCAAAGAAGCCAGAGATGATTTATAACTAGCCTCTGTGGTATGCTAAACAGAGAAGCTAAAGCATGTGATCGAGAAGTTGATGGGGTTTCCTGATGGAATATGCTCTGAAATGACCTTATTACGTGCACAACTAAGCCAGTGTTAATGTGTGCATCAGTGAGAGAGTTAGAAAATCTTCTTAACGAGGGTGAATGGGTTCAAAAGGCTATTTGAGGCTTTGGGGTGGTTTTTTTCTTCTTATTTTTGTTTTAAGCTTGAATTCCCTCTGAGGGTATACTCCAGTCCAGAAAGTTCAAGGGTAAGAGAGCTCAAGCAGAAAGTAATAGCCTTATTAGGACAAAGAATTAAGGGGTTAGATTTTGGGATTACTAAAGCAGCTAGAAATTCAGGGAGGGTATACCAGAAAGATGTTTTAGAAGGAGCTGCTCCAAAATCTGTATAGAAAATCATCTTAATTCTTATCTGACTCCAGAAATGTGTGTATGCAGGTAATGAATCCAAGGAATACAGTTGAAAGCAACAACTAAGAGACTGTAAGGGTTGAGCAGAATTAGTAAAAGCCATCCTTCGTGCTTTGTCCAAGTGCTTTGGAGAGGGTTTTGATAAATCCCTCTAGCTTTCCACTGAAATTCCAGAAGCACCATGATTTAGGAGTAAGAACATTCTAAGTCTAAGGAAAAATTTAAATAGTGCTCAAAAGCCTAAACTCAAGTTACCGCAGGACCAAGACAATCCTTCCATAATTTAACTGCTCACTAGAACCACATCCAGCATTCTACAAAAGAAGATAAAAGAACATCAGATCTTTCAATGTATGATTCAGAATATGAGCACAGAACAAAATACTGCTAGGAATTCAGAAAAGAAGAAAAATATGACCTATAGTCAAGAGAAAATTAGTAAAAATAGATCTCTATATATCCTAAATGTTGAAATAAGAAGACAAGAACTTTCAAGTAACTACGTCAAACACGTTAAAAAATTTGCAGAAAAAGTTAGTCAAGAATTAGCAGAAAAATATGAGGAATGTCAAACTGATTAAAAAAGCAAAGCCTTAATAACTAAACGAAGCCTGGAAGTAAAACATGTGATAGCTGAAATTAAAAAAAAAAGAAAATAGTAGTAACGATGGTAATGGTTAATTACACAATGTATAAAAAAGAATTTGTGAACAGGAAGTCAAAGTAATCAAAACTAATCAAAAGAAAAGTGATTTTTAAAACCGGCAGAATTTTGATGAATTATAAAATAGTATTAAACAGTGTAATACACATGGAATTCAGGTTTCATAAAGGAGTAAAAGAGAAAATAGTGCAAGCAAATATATTTCAAAAAATATTGAGTGAAATGTTCCCAGTGTTATTAAAACCACTAATCTATAGCTCAGTGAAGGACAAGCAGGATAAATACAGACGACATGGTATGGCTCTGTGTCCCCCCTGCTCCCCCGGCCAAATCTCACATTGAATTGTAATAATCCCCACACATCAAAAGCAAGGCCAGGTGGAGGTAATTGAATCGTGGGGGTGGATTCCTCGATACTGCTCTTGTGACAGTGAGTAAGTCTTAAGAGACATGGTGGTTTTATAAATGGGAGTTTCCCTGCACAAGCTCTCTTGCCTCTCACCGCATAAGACATGACTTTACTTCTCCTTTGTTTTCTGCCATGTTTGTGAGGCCTCCCCAGCCATGTGAAACTGTGAGTCCATTAAACCTCTTTCCTTTATAAATTACCCAGTCTCAGGTATGTCTTTATTAGCAGGGTGAGAATGAACTAATACAATAGAGAAATAAAATGTTAATGAATTTAATAATCAGACTTCTGAAAACCAAAATAAAGAAAAAAATGTAAAAGCAGCTAGAGGAAAAGACATTTTGTACCATGAACAAGAATACAAATGTTGACTTATTTTTCATTATAGAGAGTCTTGAAAGTGGAATAGCATCTTTAAAGTGCTAAAAGTAAATCGCATATTAGTTTCCAGTGGCTATGGTAACAAATCAAAGTACACATAATGACTTAAAATAGCATAAATTTATTATCTTACACTTCCAGGTGTCAAAAATCTGAAATCAATTTCACTGGACTAATGTCAAAGTGCTGGTAGAGCTGGTTTCTTATGGAGGCTTTTGGAGGTAGATCCCTTTCCTTGCCTTTTTCAGCTTTTGCCTGTATTGCTTGGCTTGTAGCCCCTTCCTTCATCTTCAAAGCTACCACCTTGTCTATGCTTCCCTCAATATAGTCTTTTTCCCTCTCTCTAACTCCTCCTGTGTTCCTTATATAAGGATTTTCACAATTACTTTGGACCTATCAGTATCATTTAGGGAAATCTCTTATTTAAAAATTATTAACTTAATCATGTATGCAAAGTCTTATTTGATCTGTAAGGTAACATTCACAGATAACTGCATGCTCCAGGGTCCATCTGCATTGTGCAAGGGCTAGACTTACTAATTAGATGGATATGTGTCAGGGCCCACAACTTCTGCATCCATTAGTACTTTAAGGGAGGCACTGTTTTCAGCCATCTGACATGCAATTTGTTTTTGATCCACTCTCTTGACTGCAAGGGTGTGTTGACTGTTTTGCCTGCTATAACAAATTACCATAGACCAGTTTGCTTATAAACACCAGAAAAGTATTACTCACAATTCTGGAGGCTAAAAGGTCTAAGATCAAGTTGCTAAGAGACTTGATGTCTGTTGAGGAGCTGTTTATCATAGACAGTGACTTCTAGTTCCATTGTCACATGGTAGAAGGCACAAATGATCTTTAAACCTCTTATAAGGTAAGGATGCTAATCCCATTCATAGGGACTCTGCCCTCATGACACAATAACTTCCCAAAGTCTTCACCTCCTAATACCATCAGCTTGGGGGTTAGAATTTCAACTTACAAATGTAGGGGGAAGACAAACACTTAGCCCACAGAAGAAGGAAAGGATCTAGTTTTGAAAAATTATATTGGCCTTCTCCATGAGTGCTCTCACACTACCAGCCAAGGAACCAATGCAGGGGTTGCAGCAACTGTCAAGTATGTCAATTCCAAGCATATACTTTGGGAGTGGGAAAATGATCACTGATGTGCTTTATAAACCAAGTAATGCAATGTTCGCCCTAATTTTGGGTCAGGACTTAATTTATAGTCTGGCCACCAAGTGTTTCTCTCAAATAGAAGGGCCATGATGATGCTTCAGATCTTCGGTTATCAATGTAAGCTCAGACCACCACCTCATCCTGTGTCTAACAGTATGTGAAATGTCGTACTATTCTCCTTTCCCTGGTGTGATGTTAACTGATAAATGGCCACAGTCCCCTTTGGGGAAAGACTGGGAGAAATCGTACTCTATCTACTTGCCATGCCGTGGCAGGACCCTTTATTCAGGGGACTCAGATGCCTCTTTAGTAAATATGCTACAGGTCTTTAAACTGGCTCAAGTACAGAAATTTGCCAAAGAATCATGCCTTTTTTTTTTTTTAATTGAGGTGACTGTCCTCACCCTTCTGGACATCCTGTGTATTTTTTTTTTTTTTTTTTTTTTTTAGATGATGTCTCCCTCTGTCACCAGGCTGGAGTGCAGTGGCACGATCTTGGCTCATTGCAACCTCTGCCTCCAGGGTTCAAGCGATTCTCCTGCCTTAGCATCCCGAGTAGCTGGGACTACAGGTGCACACCACCACACCCAGCTCATCTTTGTATTTTTAGTAGAGATAGGGTTTCACCATGTTGGCCAGGATAGTCTCGAACTCCTGACCTCGTGATCCACCCACCTCAGCCTCCCAAAGTGTTGGAATTACAGGTGTGAGCCACTATGCCAGGCCTGTAATTATTTTCTAATGTTACAAGTTGAGTATTGTTTGTTGGCTACTCATCTATTTTGCCCTTAGAAACTCTGTGTGTTTTTAAACATCCCCATAAGTCTGTGTAGGTCAGGCCATTTGTCTTCCACTTCAACCCTACTCTCATTATGACAATTTTAACTATCTAAGTTCTGGAAGTTAAGTGTCACCACAGAGTTTTTATTATTTGGGGGCCCTAGTAACCCCATTTTGGTCAGTGAGCCAAGTTTTGCAATGACTTTGCTACTGTCAGTTGTGGCTTACCTAGGAGCCAGGAAGAGTAGTGGGGTAGATTCTAAGGCGGATACAGAAATGTTAGAAGTAAAAGCCTCTTCCTGGTCTTTTTTATAATGAGGATGTGCTAGATATTAATAGCAAAGTACGGGCCACTTCTGTAGGCTCAGAGTTTGACCTTTTAAAATTTTAATGGACACCCACTCAAGGTTCCCATTATTTTCTATCCAAAGTCTTAACCTTAGCATATCAGAACTGCATGGATTTAGTGTTTTTCTTCCTCCAGAGCTCAGTTACTCTCACTGTCAAACTGTGGGTGCTTGGTCCCAGTTTGACACTACCTAGTACCAAGATCTGTCTGTACTATACTGACCATCAGTGATGGTCAGTATCTATGTGAATAGATTGGTGATAAATAATTTTTATATAACCCTTATTTTCACATTTAATTTCTCAAACATCTCACAGTAAAAATAATTGTAGGTGATTTATTTTTAGGAAACAGATACTAAGATAGGGGTTTTAATATGTAAATATATAGCAGGGATCAACTTCCTGAGAAAAGGAAGAAGAAACAGAAATATTTTGCAACAGGGGAAGCCAAATTGTGATGCAGGCCTAATAAGGCTCAGCCAATCCAAAGGGCAGCTCTGAAGCATATTTGGCTCATCAGAGTTTCTGAATTGAGCTAAAATGGGCACATGTTTAAATCCCTTTTATCAGTCTTGGGATATAGGCCATCCACAGGAAGGATGTGTCCTTTTACCAGACAGCCCTCTGCAGCTGAATCAAACCCTGATGTATCAATGTCCTCTCTTAAAGAGGGATCTAGATGGCATATCTTTCAGGTCCACTACAACATAAAACACAGGTAAGGGAACACAGTGTCAAGCACTTGAATATGTCTTCAATAAGAATATATATTACTATTCAATGAGTCTATGAGAAAAATGCTCAACATGCTTAGTCATCAGAAAGACGCAAATTAAAAACACAGAAATAAGTGATTTCATACATAGAGTGGTAAAAAATAACAACTATGAAATACGGGACAAATGTTAAAGAGGATGTGGAGCAACTTGACTTGCAAGTGTTGATGGTGGGAGGTAAAAAGTAGAACCATTTTTAAAAATTGCTTGGAAATTTCTAGTAAAACAACATTCAATTACAGTTGACCCATGAATAACACAGGTCTGAACTGTATAGATCTAGTATACACAGATATTTTCAACCAAACTCTGAACTAAAATATAGGACTTGCATAGATGCTGATTACTGTGTACCAACGCCCTGAGTATACTGAGGGACAACTGTACCTATGTCCCAGGAATACCATTCCGATGTAATTTCTCAACAGAAATAAAAGTATGTAATCACAAAAAGCCTTACATAAGAATTTTCATAGTAGCAGTAATCATAACAGCCAAGAACTGGCAATAATCCAAATGCCCATCAAAAAATGAACAGATTAAAAACTGGTGGTATATTTATACAATGAAACACTATTAAGCAAAAGTTAAAAAAAAATTTAAAAACACTTAAAATTACAATCTACTGATATGCACAGCTACATAAATGAACTTTAGAAACATTGTGGTAAGCAAAAAGAATCCACACATAAAAGAGTGTATAAATATGATGCTAAAGTATGATGCTATTTAACAAAAAGTTAAAGAAGATGCAAAACTAACGTATAAGAAGAGAAGTCAAAACAGAGGTTGTCTTAGGATGTATAATTGGAAAGAGGCTCAAAGGTACTTTTCGGGTGGTTGGATGTTACATACATTAATATAGGTTTTGGTCATGCAAAGGTATGTATTTAACAAAATTTATCAATGTGTATACTTAAAAACCTTGTGCTATGTTGTATATAGATTATTTCCTAATTAAATAAAAATATTACCCTCCCTTCAAAAATGCTAACTGCAAGTAAAAAAATTATGCATCTTGAATAGATATAAATAAATTTTAGTAAGAAAATTATTACATACATACAGGCAAGCACAAAGATTAAGAATGCAAGGACTATGTGATATTAACTGTAATAAATTCAGTTCAAAAACAATTTAAAGCAAAGGACCCTATAAAATACAATAAAAAGGAATAAAAGAGCACAACACCAAATGGTGAATTTTGCAAACATTTAAGCATAATCATTATAATATATTAGTATACATTACAAAAAAGACAGGAACTTACAAAGAAAAGTTATAAAATTAAAATAGTAGTAAGAAAATGTTATTTCTAATATGCAGTCAATGACGGAACAATATACAAAAATGGAAAACAACCTACATTATGTAATTGGTAACTTAGATTTAATTGAGTTAATTTTTTTTTGCATTCCAGGACTTACGGAATGTTTACTATGAGTATTAAAAGTCACAAAAATACCATCACCTTCAACAACAAAACAGGCTAAAGCCAATTTCAAAAAGTAGGTATATAGCATAGTAGTGGGCTCTGAAACCAGGCTGATCACAAATTCCAGCTTACTAGCCAAGTGACTTAGGGCCAGTTACACAACCTCAGTTTCAGTTTCTTTACCTAATAATATAAATGAAGAAAATAATAATAGTCTCTACTTCATAACGCTGGAAATATTAAGCAATTTGATGAATATAAAACATTAAAAATGGTGCTTAGACTAAAGTAAACCCTCTGTCAACATTATCATTACTATTATTGCAGAGTACCCTATTTATGATGATGATTGATACAATTGCAGTCATAAAATCCTAGTAAGGAAGACTTCTGCCAATAATTGAAGCATAATGTGTTGAATCACAATTTTTTTCTATGTCTTTTACCACTCACAAATTTCCTTTAATGTAGTGCATTTTCTCAAGATTCCAGGGACAAGTGGGATAGGTCTAATGTGAACGTACTTCCAACCTGCAGGTCAGTGTTTTGACCATCTCTTGCTTTTATACCACTAATATAAGGTCAATGCAGCACATGCTTCTTAACTGCTAAGAATTCGAATCTACAAGATATTGAAAGGGGCAGCAAGAACCAAGTCGAGGTGACCGTCTAATGCAAACTGGCTTACTCTGTTGTGCTCTCAGAAAGGCAAATGAGAAACTCTAACATCTAACATTCCTTTAACAGGACACATCACTTTCAATTTTTCAGAGAAAATTAAGTCTCAGTGACTTAAATCTAAGTCATTGTCACAGAACTGAGCTGTGTGACATTGAGCAAATGACTTATTAGCTATGAGTCTCAGTGTCTTCATTTGTAATGATAAAGTAAACTTGAAAAACTTACCTCTAAGAGGCAATGAAATGGATGCTATAGGATCATTAATTGCTAACTATCCTTTCCCTTCTTCTCATCCTGTGAAAAGTTACCAGATTGCACCTGATATTCAGATATAAATGACCAATGCCAGGTTATTTCTGAAGACCAAATACTTACATTCAGAATAGATACTATAGGTACTAAATTTCTAAAGGGAAAAGGAGAAATGGCTTGGGAAATGGAGGCAGAAAAGCCACACCACGTCTGTCCTAGTCTAAAGAAGTGTTTAAGAGTACAGACTCTAGATTCAGAGGATTGAGGTCCCACTTTCTGCCTTTCAAATGTACAAGTCTGGTTAATTTATTGAAACTTTCTAATACAACAAACTTATCTGTGGACTAAAGATGATAATATGTCCTACTTATTAACTTTTGTGTGAAATAGAAAATGTAGTGAATAATTAGCAGAGGGTCTGGCAAGAGATAGATACTGAGATCTCTTAGGTATTATTAACAATGTATGTTTCCTTCCAGCTCTGCATACAAAACCAGACTACAGTAAAGGGACACTTGGTCTGTTCACAAAAATAATCGTCATCACTATTTCTCTCTGGCACTACCTAGAGAAAGAATTGCCAGTCAGCGATCTGGATCTCACATCTAGATTTAATCCCATGGAAGACAACATGAAAAGCTTCTTAATAAATGAGATAAGACCTGAATCTGGGTTTTACGTTTTTCTCTAATTCTACCAGGACATGGTAAATGCTAGCTAAATAAAAAAAAAAATGCAGTTGTGTTCTGGCAGTTTACAATTATCTTGCATTTTTATAGTGCCAATTTGCAAAGCACTTTCATTTACACCACATCACAAAACCGTTAAATTGCCCTTCAAAGGCAAGTCAGAGTAGGCATTCCTATTGCTGTGATACTAATGAAACTGAGTACCAGAGATAATAAAGAGAGATAACACCAACTGAGTCTTTATTAAATGTAAAGCATTGGTCTAAATATGTTACGTACATTAACTTGCTTAGTACTCCAGCACCCCTATGAAGAAGGTACTATTGTTATCTCCATTTTACAGATGAGAAAACTGAACCCTAGAGAAGTCAAGAAACTTAAGTGTAAAGTAAGGATTTTAAGCACAAGGAGTCTAGTCCCAGAGTTCAAGTGTTTAGCACTGAACCAGCAGCCAGCAGGACTACTGTGTTGAGAGGAAGTAGAAACAGTGCACTTTAATTACTTCCAACTCACTTGTTATGAAATTAGGAAAAACATTAGTAATAATAATAATACTGAGTAATGTCACTGGCAAATAATGACTCATTGCTGTCCCTTTACACAAATGATAATAAGCTAGGATATATCATACGAAGTACACATTTCAGCAACAACAGGGATTGCAACAGCAACAGTAGCAGACAATTAAATACCTGTGGAACTTCAGGGATTCAAAAAACATGAATAAGATTTAGGACTCCTTCGAGGAACATAAAAGAAGACATGAATAAATGGAAGGACATATTTTATGACTGGATAGCAGGAGTTGGAATTGTAAAAATGATATTTCTCTCTGAACTAATCAGTGAACCTAATGTGATGCAATAAAAAAGAAAAAAAAAATTTATTTTTTCCTGAAACTAGGTGATTTGATTCCAAAATTTATATGGGAAAATCTATACGTGACATTAGCATTTAAAGTTTGAAGGGAAAAAATTTAAGAGAAGACTAGCATATTACCTATCAAAATGAGTGATCAAACTCCAGCACTTAGAATAATTTTATATTTTAGTCCTCAAGAGAGACAGATCATTAGGATAGAACATCAAATTCTAAAACATTCCCAGCTAAGTATGAGAAGTGGAGAAAGAATGAATAGCATCAAAATTACTAGCTGCAATCTGTGGTGGGTGGCATAGGAAGGAGGGCTAAAAAATCCCCAAACTAAATAAATTAAACACCCTAACCCTAATATTTCTTATTGTTTCCTTCCTCTGTTTTTTTTTTTTCCTTTCTTTTTTGGTTGGAAACAAGGTGTTGCTCTGTCTTCCAGGCTGGACTACAGCTGTGCAATTACAGCTCACAGCAACCTTGAACTCAGATGTGCTCAAGTAATCCTCCTACCTTTGACTCCTGAGTAACTGAGCCTACAGGTGCATGCCTCTGTGTCTGGCTATTTTTTCTTTCTTTCTTTTTTTTTTTTTTTTTTGTAGAGATGGGGTCATGCTTGTTGTCCAGGCTGGCTGGCCTCAAACTCCTGGCCTCAGCCATCCTCCTGCCTCAGTCCCCCAAAGCACTGGGATCACAGATATGAGTCACTGTGCCCAACCCTTCTTTTGTTTTTTATGTGAAAAATAATAAATAAAATACTTAAGTATTAAGGAGCAAAATAATAAATGATATAAAAGAAAACATAAAATATCAATGAAAATATTGATGAGAAAGGCCTCTCTGAGTAATACAGCCAAAAAGCACAAAATGATAGATACACTGCTAAATTTGACTACATAAAACATTAATATATTCTGCATCCTCAAATGGACAAAATGTCAAGCCCAACACAAACATGACGTGTCAAAAGTTATTTTCCACATAGATGGTATATTAGTCTGTTCTCATGTTGCTATAAAGAACTGCCTGAGACTGGGTAATTTATAAACAAAAGAGGTTTAATTGACTCACAGTTCAACATGGCTGGGGAGGCCTCAGGAAACTTAATCATAGTAAAAGGGGAGGCAAAACACGTCCTTCTTCATAAGGCAGCAGAAAAGAGAAGAATTAGTGTCCAGTGAAGGGGAAGCCCCTTATAAAACAATCAGATCTTGTGAGAATTAACTCACTATTATGAGAACTGGATGGGGAAACCACACCCTTGATTCAATTATCTCTACCTGGTCTCTCCCATGACATGTGGGGATTATGGAAACTACAATTCAAGATGAGATTTGGTGGAGAGGGACACAGCCAAATCATATCAGATGGGAAAGGGCTAATTTACTTTAAAATCTATTACTAAAGTTTTAGATACTTAGAAAAATTAACTGAGGATCTCAAAAGTGAATTCATTAAAAAATAAATTAAAATGTCTTATAAATATGTCTAAGAATGTTAATAAACTTAAATAAATGCAAATTAAAACCCCAATATACCATTTTTAATTATCAGTGTGGTACATTTTCAAAAGTGCTATGATATACAGAACAGATTGTGATGATATACAAAATTGTTGATATACAGAAAGATGAGTATTTGGAGAATCACATTGCTGGCTATATTGCAAATTGTTGGAACCGCTTTGAAAGGGACTATGGCAAAATTAGGCAATATTTAAAATACACATTTATATAAATCCTTATATACTTACTGTTGCGGGAAGTCAGGGACCCCAAACGGAGGGACCGGCTGAAGCCATGGCAGAAGAACGTGGATTGTGAAGATTTTATGGACATTTATTAGTTCCCCAAATTAATACTTTTGTAATTTCTTATGCCTGTCTTTACTGCAGTCTCTAAACATAAATTGTAAAGATTTCATGGACACTTATCACTTCCCCAATCAACATACTTGTGATTTCCTATGCCTGTCTTTACTTTAATCTCTTAATCCTGTCAGCCGAGAAGGATGTATATCATCTCAGGACCCTGTAATAATTGCATTAACTACACAAATTGTACAGCGTGTGTGTTTGAGCAATATGAAATGTGGGCACCCTGAAAAAAGAACAGGATAACAGCAATTGTTCAGGGAATAAGAGAGTAAACCTTAAACTCTGACTGCTGGTGAGCTGGGCAGAACAGAGCCATATTTCTCTTCTTTCAAAAGCAAATGGGAGAAATATCGCTGAATTCTTTTTCTCAGCATGGAACGTCCCTGAGAAAGAGAATGTGCACCTAGGGGTAGGTCTCTGAACTGGCCCTCCCGGGGCGTACCTGTCTCTTATGGTCGAGATTGCAGAGGTGAAATAAACTCCAGTCTCCCATAGCGCTCCCAGGCTTATTAGGAAGAGGAAATTCCCACCTAATACATTTTGGTCAGACCGATTGATCTCAAAACGCTGTCTCCTGATAAGATGTTATCAATGACAATGGTGCCCAAAACTTCATTAGCAATTTTAATTTCGCCTCCATCCTGTGGCCTTGTGATCTCGCCCTGCCTCCACTTGCCTTGTGATATTCTATTACCCTGTTAAGTACTTGATGTCTGCGACCCACACCTATTCGTATACTCCCTCCCCTTTTGAAACTCCCTAATAAAAACTTGCTGGTTTTTGTGGCTTGTGGGGCATCACGGATCCTACCAACGTGTGATATCTCCCCCGGACGCCCAGCTTTAAAATTTCTCTCTTTTGTACTCTGTCCCTTTATTTCTCAAGCCAGCCGACGCTTAGGAAAATAGAAAAGAACCTACGTGATTATCGGGGCAGGTCCCCTGATAACTTACATAAACTCTTATACACTTATATAAACACACACTTAATATAAACTCTTATATTTAAGTGGCAATTCTGAAAATTAGTGATAAGAACCATAAGGCATCCAGCACATTTTCTGATCCATGTCAGGTGCTGCATTAAAGATGATCACAGGGAAGATGGCAGCTGTGTGTGCTGTTAATATCTTCATTTTTCAGATGAGAAAGTGAGAGGCAAACAGGTGTGAGCCTAACTTTAGGTCACAGCATTGGTGATGCTGGGTCCCTAAATTCAAATCCTAGTCTACTAGTTTCAAATTTCATACTGCGTATCTGATTTTAAGAGTATCATGAAATGTCGTGATTGTACGTGGTAAAAGTTAATTTATCAGTTATCTATTACTACACAACAAGTCACCTCAAAACTTAGTGGGATTTTTTCTCAAAATTCTGTGGACTGGCTGAACTCAGGCAATTATTCTGCTGGTCTTTTATGGGTTCACTGATGTAGCTATAGCATCTGGAGGCTCAACTGAGGCTAGAGGGTCTAGGATGGTCTTATGAACTTGTCTAGACTTAAGGTGCACTTTGGCTGGGCATCTCTCTCCATGTGGTAACTCATTATAGAGCAGTCTAGACCAGGCTCCTTAATATGTGACAGGTGAGTTCCAGGAAGGCAAGTACTGATGCACAAGTACTTATTTAGCTTCTGTTAATGTCACATTTGCTGAATTCCCATTGAACAAACTAAATTAAATAGTTAAACCCAGAATCAACAGAAAAAGGAATTATACAAGAAAGTGAATGGTTAAAGGCATCCTTCCTTAAGATGCATTAACGTACAACACACCACAATGCTATGAATGGGGCGCATGCATCAGATGAGGTTTTAATTGGTTTAGAACAAAGATCAGCACACTATGGACTGCTTTCATTTTTTTTTTTTAAGTATTGAAGTATAGCCATGACTGTTTTTCTGTGGAGGCTTTTGTGCTATAACAGCAGAGTTGAACAGTTGCAAGAGAGACCATTTGTCCAGCAAAGCCTGAGATATTTACTATCTGGCCCTTTATGGAGAAAGATTGTAGACCTAGGATGCCTAGCAGGCACTCCATTCATGCATCACATAGTTCTACACCAACTCTTTCTGCTTTAGCAACCTATTCCATTGCTAAAAATACTCTTCAGCCTCCCTTTCTTGGAAAACCATAACTTATTCTTGTTTTTCAATATATGAGCTCTATTGTTTTTAAATGTTACTACATCTTTATTTCACTAGACTTTAACCTTAAAGTAGTGTTAAATGTAAGTTATAATCACTGCAGTAGAGCCCTAAGGATGATACAATCACTTTACAACAAGGATGCCTATAGGCATTCCCTGTGGTGTAACACTGCGTGCTGTAATTCCGAATGAAACTTTTAACTTTGTAGCAATAAACAAATATAATGAGAGAGCACTTTGTTTGGAGATTCATTTTGATGTTTTGTATTAGGCTCCCTCTAAATAGCAATAAGGCTTTGGAAAATAAATTACTTTTTTCAATTTTGCTGTGGACCCTACAGACAAGATGCATTTAGAGGAGAGTTTATGAAATGCTCCAGGAGACTGAAATCCTCCCTTCTGCTCTCCTGGCATACTCTGTTGACAATATAGTGACTGGAAACTCTAAAAATATAGAAGTCATTTGTCTCTTTATGGAAACAGCTTACTCGAGTATCATATTACTTATTAAATCAACAGCTTCAATAAAGCACGTCACCCCACTCCACTACACATTACGATTTAGTAAGGATTAATGTTTGCTTGTCAGCTGTAAAAATTTTTCCTCATTCCTTTAACCTAAATGTGCCCTTTTATTTTAAACCATCTCTTTGCTGCTGTTGCTCCGTCTACCTAGAATGCTCTTCTCTTTCTAGTCACCTAATAAATAGCATCTGAAGACCTTTCTTATGCCTCACCTTTCCTTCAAATCCTTTTCTGGTTGCCCATGCAGTTACCTGTAAGGAAAGACAGCCTAGATGGGGCTCTGGCTCTGCAATTATCTCCATTTGATCTTGGGAAAGTTAATCTCTCTGATCCTCAGTTTTCTATCTAAAAAAAAAAAAAAACAGGAAAAATACTACCTTCCTTGTAAGACTATAAAGATAAAAAGATTATGTTCAAAATAACAACAGCAACAACAAAACATGGGCTTTGTGAAGGGCTAGAGTAGAAAAAAAATGTGAATTTTTAGCTCTCCCTTTTTCTTTTTTTTTTTTTTGTAATTGTATATCATTTGTCCACATGTCTACTTTAGTACCTATCTTTTTTAATGCAATAGTTATTTGTTAAAAAACTCTTCACATATTTCTAGGTTGTGGACATCATGATATAATAGATTACCATTTAACTTCTTCTTTAACTGACACTTTTCCAGGAAGGCATATTATGAATAGTAAATTGTATATGGAGGGAAGGAAGGAAAGAAGGAAGGAAGATAGTATAGAATCTGGAAAATGAAATTTGTGGATTATTAATGTAACTGCACATAAAGCCATGCCTGTTAAAAGAGTACAGTTGGCAAAGGAAACTCTATAACTGATCAATATTTTAAAGAGATAGATGAATAATTCTGAAGAAAATTTTAAATGACTTTCCAACCTTCCTAAAATTCTAGGACATAATCATTTATTTTGAAAGCTTTCTTCTCTTGCCATAGTTCAGTGCTTTAAAAAATAATATTTGGTGGAGTAGATGGAATAAATATTCGACCGATTGGCAGCAAAAATGGAAAAGTCATTCTTATTCAGTGAAGAATGTGGCAGAATAAAAGCTCAGACGGGGTAGACCTGGTCTTTAAAATGCAACCTGTCTGCTGTTTGAATTCCCAACCCCATTTGAATCCCCAATTTCCACAGCCCTTCCATCTGATTCTCCTGAGGGGCTTCCTGAGAAGTGACAAGTCTGGATTACTCAAAATATTGGCACCAGATCCATCTTCCGAGGAGGGGCCTCTGGTGTGTCTAGTTAACTTTCTGTACACCGAGTGTGAACACAGAGTTGCCCTCATTTGTCGTCTGCATTTTGGGTCCCTCTGCTTTTAAGTGAGGCCACATTTAGCTCACAAAACCAGTCAGTCCTCAATTTCTCTTGCTCTGCTGAGTTCTTTCTTCCATTTTATTACTGTTTGACCCAGTCCACATTACTCCCACTCCTCTTTGTGCAATTTTTAAGGAGTTAGATACCAGCCAAGCCTAACTGGGCATTGCCACCACCACCACTGCTATCTCTGCAGGCTTGTTGTATCTCAGGTATCTCAGCCTGATGTCGTCTGCTCGGCCATACCTGAGCCTGCAATCTCAGTCTCACACA
The DNA here is from genome assembly GCF_000001405.40 of Homo sapiens. Lineage (NCBI taxonomy): Eukaryota > Metazoa > Chordata > Mammalia > Primates > Hominidae > Homo > Homo sapiens. The sequence goes on from NC_000004.12 coordinate 11,983,513, forward strand.
GTCACTGTGGACTTCATTTAGCATCAATATAGTGACCATATGATTTGCTGTCCAAGCTGGGACACCTTCAAGAATAAAATAAATATTTAATAAGTTTGTCCAGACAATGTATGTAAAACAGGCCCATCTGGAAAAAAACAAGTATCTTCATCCTTGCTCAAGTTCACAGATCTGCCATCTCTGAGCCCTCTATTCTCCATTCTGGTCAGCTAGATATTATGTAGCTCACCTTCCAGTAGCTAACAAAAGCTATTATCTACACTTAAGAGCTTCTAGCCAGTTTTGAAGTGCACCAAACAAATCCCAGTTAGAAAAGCAGAATCTATACTCCTTTCAAACAGAGGGAAGTTACTGTAAGGAATTGGATACCTAGGTGATAGAATTGTTGACAGGCACACAGGAGGTGGTGAAGCAATTTAGAAATTAGGTAAGCTGCTACCACCCTCTAGAAGAAAAAATAAAAGAGAAGGCAATGTCTTCAGAGCTCAAGGTCCATGGCTTTGCCCAGTGAAAATTAGAATCAAGGGGAGTCTGCCGAACGGGTCCCAAAATTATAGAGGACAGATTTCTTGCAAGAGAAAAAACTTGAAGAAGAAAAAAATGGAAGAAACAAATGCCCTTACTTCTATGTTCTTACTGCCCTCCAGTCTCCTGCCTATGCTTCCGCTGGGTGAATCATAAAAATTCCAGCTTCCAAGAAAGCCCATAAAAAGCCATCTATTGAGGTCAGCTTGGCTATAAGGAGCAGAACAGAGCTAATGACAAATTTCAGAATCAACAGATGACTGCAGCACAATAATTTCATCAAATCCACATAAATGTGTACCTCTTTTGTAGACTGTATAAATCATGTGTGAACAACCTGCTTGCATTTCATTGACACTCATAGAGACCACATATGAATGTAATTGGAACTACTGTGTTTGAGTCAATTTTCTTGCAAACACTAAGTTAGAAAAACTCGTTGCTATTAGCATTCAATGCATGACAAATAACAATATGATAGAACAAGGACAAGGACAAGGGAAAATAACAATGACCTGGCCAAATCACTCAACTAATGCTTCTACCAAGGGAGCATCAATCCAACATGACTGATTACCTCAAAGAAGTTCTCTGCAGAGAATATTGATCAGAAAATCTCTCAGGCAGAACTCACCCCAGATTGCATCCAGCTCCTCAGTGAAGACCATCCAGGGAGACCAACTGCTGCCATCATCCAAGAATTTAGAGATTCTCAGTCGCTGCAGGGAAAGGCATGAATCTGTGCCATGACAAGATTTGGGCATACTTAAATTCTGGGGAAGTTTTGTTTTAATGATGTGTAGCAACGGTGGCATATATTAAATTCATTGACTTTGGAGTAAGAAAGACCAGGATTTGTGAGCCTAACTTCTTAAGTTATTAGCAGCTTGACCCTTAGTCAAATTTTGTAAATTCATATCACTATTACCTATCACATAAGATTCCTGCAATTGTATACTGAAATTACAGTTAGAGAAGGCCCACCACATAGTCAGGTCTATAAATGTTAGCTGCTATTATAATTTTCTTTATTATTTTTAGTCATTCTTCTATTAATGGAAATTGGCTGTCCCCAAATCTGCTGAAATTGCCGTTTGCACTGAATCCTTGAAGGTGGGAAGACAGGCTAAATAAAGGATATCAAAAATAGACAGTCAGACATCTGAATAAGATAAAACTAAACAAAAGAAAAAACGTTCTTTTTAAAAATGATGACAAAATTCAGTAATACTCCTTAGCTTGAATTACAGAAAGCAATGAGGTGGGAAATGTCAAATTCTTTCTAAAAGAAAAGAGAAAAAATAGACCAATGATACCATAACTCTTTTTTCTTATGCCAGCTTCTTCTGAAGCTTGCATAAGTGTTTTTGTCTTTTTCTTCTTTTAAACCTCTCATTTTTGTTAAATTGTAATAAACTTTTTTCTACACACTTACCAAATACTCTGCTCATTTAGGCTAATATCTGTAACTGCGTTACAGTCCTGAAATGCTAGTGACATGTACCTTATGATTGAGTAAGAGAGATATTATGTGGGCAGGGAAGAGGAGAAGATGGGGGATTACTTTGTTTGACCTCCCTTGTCTTCACTTCCCTCAGATCTTTTGCTATTTTTTACACTTAACTGATAAATATCAACAGTATTTTCTATTTATCCCTCATTCTTTCCAGGGAGAGTCAATTAAAACTATTCGAAATGACTTCAAAATGCCCCATTCTCCTTGCCATAATGTATGTGGTTATGAAATTGAAAAAAAATAACATAATAGGATAATAAAACTGATTGAATATTATGTTTCATTTGTATGGTAAAGGAGATTAGACTATCAACAAACTGCAGGTGAGTTAAATGGATGTAGAATTGATAGTTTAAGAGCATTTTCTTTAATGTCTGTTCTTTCATTTACTGTATAATCTTTGACAAGTCTATCCATATTTTCAGGTCTTAATCATCTATAAAATTAGACATTTAGCTAGAAAATCTCTGAATTTTTTTAGTACTAACAATTTAATGATATTACATGTGTAATGACACTTGCTATATATATATATATATAGACATTTATATGTGTGTGTGTGTGTGTGTGTGTGTGCATGTATATATAAGAGTGCATCTTCACTGGGGTGGTGGATACATAAGCCAACACAGAAGATAAAATTGCACAGAATCAAATGCATGCATACTCATATATGCATGTGTGTGTAAACACACATACAAGTAAAACCGGGACTATATGAATAACGTTAATGGATTATATCAATGTCACTAACCCGTTTGTGATATTATAGTATAGTTTTGCAAGACGTTATTGGAGAATCTAAGCAAAGAGTAAAGGGGAAATCTGTATTTTTCCTACAACTCATGTGACTCAAACATTATTTCAATATAAAGTTTAAGATGAAAGAACTGCTAGAATAATAAGTGCATTTTGAAAAGTCTGATGATAGAGAGTCAAAATAGAAATACCAGTGGACTTTTGACATACTAGCAGTAACCACTTAGACTATTAAATTAATAAATACATTATATTTACAATAGGATCACACCTCTAATACCTAGAAAGACATCCAACGAAAGCTGCACAAGATCTATACACTGAAAAATAACAACAAATACCTAAATAAATGGAGAAGTATACCGTGTTTATGGATTGAAAGACAGTATTTTTATGATGTTCATAATCATCAAATTGATGCCAATTAAAAGCAGCCTCTTTTCAAGAAATCAACATTAAAATTATCATTAAAATGTTTATGGAATTGCATATAATGTAGAATAGGCAAAACAATCTTAAAAAAGATAAAAACTGTGCAGCACCTGCACAACCTGATTTCAATAATTACTATAAACCTAACACATATAAATTAATGTACCATTAGTGAGGACGTAGGCATATGGCAATAGTGAGTCACTGACATGATGATGAGCCTATTCACAGTGTGACAGAAAAGAATGTAGAGAAATAGACCCACCCACATCTAATCAATACATTTTTTAATCAAGGTCTGAGTTAATGGGGAAAGAAAATCTTTTAAGAAACAAAAACAAAAACAAAAAATAAAAAACAGTGCTGGAAAATAATGGGTATCCATTTGAAAAAAAAATGTACCTGAGCCCCTCTTCACTCCAAATACAAAGTTTAATTTTCAATAGATCAAAGTCCTAAATAAAACCTCTGGCCTTAAAATTTCTAAGAAAATAATTAGAGAAAACTACAGTCATAAACTTCATGGCAGGAAAAAATTTCTTAGTACCAAGAAAGCTATCTGTCTATGTATGTATCTATGTATGTATGTATCTATCTTTGTGTCTTTATGTCATTATTCATATATGATGAGTACATACACATATATCCCTTATATGGACATGTATTAGTTTTCATCTACTTCCAATAAAATATAACTAATTCATCAAAATTTTAAAATTCTGCTGAAATAAAACAGTGTTTATAAGTGAAAAAGAAAAAATATCTGACAGCTAACATCATACTCAGTGATAAAAGACTGAAAGTTTTTCCTCTGATATCAGGGACAAGTCCAGGATGCCTACTTTCAATGTTTTTATTCAACATAGTACTGAAGTTGTAGCCAGAGCAATTCAGCAAGAAAAATATAAAAGGCATCTAAATTGGAAAGGAGAAGTAAAATTATCTCTATTTACAGATGACATAATATAATATGTAGAAAACCCTAAATATCTCCTCCCCAAACTGTTAAAAGTAATATAGAAATTTAGTCAAGTTACAGCATAAAAAAATCAACACATAAAATCAATTGCTTTTCAATACTCTAAAAATGAGCTATCTGGAAAGCAAATCAAGATAACTTCATTTATAATAGCACCAAAATAATAAAATACTTCGGAAAAGTTTACCAAGGAAGAAAAATGCTTTCACACTGAAAACTGCAAAACATTTATGAAAGAAATAAAAAAGGTGGGGGGGGGTTGTCAGAAAGATGGTAGACTAGGTGATTACTCACTTATATCCCCCATAACAAGAAGTCTGCACACATCCACGGATAAAGTCTCTCTGTGGGAGCCTTGGGGTTAAGGTGCAATTCTGTGATATCCTGATGGAGCCCCAAACCTAAGAGGGTCATTTTGAGAGTACAGACCCACAACTAGGTGGCAGACCTGCTCATTTGGCTCTGGATTCAGACCCAGAAATAACCTCACTCGCCAAAATGCTTGCACATAGACTCAAGTTGAGTAGTCAAATCTGCTATCAGAACCATCTGTCAGGCCATCCAGGAAGAATCATGCACACTAGTGCCTTGGCAGACAAACCCACTGACATTGGTTTCCACTGTGGGTTTAAAAGTTATCATGTCGTTTGTCTCCAGCCCCACTCAGATATGGCCCGTCTAAGTACAGCTCAATCAAGGACCCAGAAAGACTCATTCATTTGTGCCACTGGGACAGGGTTGCTGGACTCTATCCCACAGCAGATCCTGAAGGAATTCTGTCTCTGTCTCAGACCCTCTCTGCCACAGCCTAAAAATTATCCCACTCACGGAGAGAACCCCTGGGACACATGCCAATCTGAGCCTCTGAGACAGATATGCCAGCTTCTGTCCACAATAGATCTTGAAGAGGCCCGGTCTCAGCTCTAGTCATTCTCTGCTGCAGCCAGGCAGTAATCCCAAAGGCACAGGAATCTGCTGGGAGACTCACCTGTCTATAACTTGATGCTTATCACTCACCAGACTTGCCACTCTCAGTCCCACACAGATCCTGAGGGAGCCCTGTCATGGCTCCAGCCCCTGCTTGCCACAGTCTGGGAGTACTCCCCTCAGAAATTTGCTGATATACTAGTACATTTCTGCCGTCTTTGTAGGCTATCTAGCTTCCAGTCCACAGCAGATTCTGAAGGGGTCGTGAAAACTCAATTCCAACCCCTCTTGGTTGCAGTCAGAGAGCAATCCAAATGGCAGAAAGAACCACTGGAAGGTGCAACACTCTATGCCAAGGGGATAGTCTTACTGAGCTCCATCTCAGATCTGATCCAGAAGGGGCCCTGTCTGGGTACTGACCCTTCTCTGTTGGAGTCCTGAAGTTATCTTGCCTATACAGGCAACTGCTAGAACACATGCATGGACCTGTTTGCTGGCCTCTCTCATAGCAGATCTTGAAGTGACCCTAAATCTCAGGTTCAGCCCCTTTCAGCTACAGTTTTGGAGCAATCTTGCTCTCATTGAGGTCTGCTTAGATTCTCACCCCTAGTACGACTGGAACAGACTTGCCAACACTGACTGCACCATCCGTTCTGAAGTAGTCTTGAAGCTCAGTTTCAGGCCCTCACAGATGGTTTGATAGCAGTTCTGACTACCCAGGGTCCCTCTGAGAGACATGCCTGTCTGAGTTCCCATGGTAGGCTTGCCAATTTCACTACCACAGTATATCTCAAATGGCCCTGGCTCTTGGTCATGGCCCCACTAGTTGGCACAGTGAAAGCAGCTCTGACCACCTGGAGACCCGGACTGAGGCCCATTGTGCATTGCTTCTATGGGGTAAAACCCTGACCTTGATCTCATTTTTTATCTTTAAATAGCCCTATAAACTGGCTACAGCCCTTCTTGACTGCTGTATAAGAGTAGGCCTGCTCACCCAGGAAACTACTAGGAGATATATATACCTATAATCTCAGCGACAGCCTTGAAAATCTCAGTCTCAGTTGTGGATTCTAAAACAATCTTGTGTTTCAGTTCCAGCCAATTTCAGTCATAGATGTGGAAGTGTGTCCAACTCAGAGACACATCAGTGATCCAACAAGAGCCCTCCAAGAAACCTGAAGGAAGCCATATCCATAAGCATTCATGGTTATCCGAAATATCTCTTAAAATCTCAGAGTGGATCATTATCCCACTGAAAGCACCCCACACAGATCAAGGGCCTGGAGACAGTCTGGTTCACCCAGGGACCAGATATGACTTACACCCACTAGAGCCCCTGGTAATGTTCACCAACTGTAGTCTCCACTGTCAATTCAACATCAGCCAAGACACATGAATGCAATCCCGCTGAATTGTAATTTCTGAGGCAATCCCATCAGCCTAGAGACCTAACAGAAGAGGACTTTAACCTGGAAAACCAGTCAATAAGACCAAAAAAGAGATTTGTTTGTTCAAGCACAGATACCAATGCAAGGCTATAGGAATAACTAGAATCAGACAACATAACTACCAAAGGAAACTTAAAAAGCTCTAATATCTAACCCCAAAGAAATGGAGATGTAAAAATTATCTGAAAAATAATTCAAAATAATACTTTCTAAAAAACCCAATGAGATCCTACAAGATACAGATAGGCATTGAAATCCAATTAGAAAAAATACTGCATGAGTAAAATAAAAAGTTAAAAAGGAAATAGAAACTATAAAATATAAACAGAAATTATGGTGCTAAAGACAATACCAGAACAGAAAAACTTCTAGTTTCAAAGGCAGATTCAATCATTCAGAAGGACAAATTAGTGCACTTGAAGATAGAATATTTTAAATTTGCCAATTAGAGGAACCAAAAAATAAAAATGGAAAATTAGTAAAGGAAGAATAAGGGATTTTTAGGACACCATCAAATGTATAAATATAGGAATTGTGAAAGCAGCAGAAAGAAAAGAGAAAAAAGAGACAGAAAGCTTATTAAAAAATACTGTCTGAAGGCCTGTCAAATACTTGGAGGGATATAGACATGTACTAAGAAGCTCAAAAAACCAATACAAAACAGATCAATTAAAAATGAATAACCAAGACATAATAATTACATGGTCAGAAGTCAAGGACAAAGAGAGAATCTTGAAAGAAGCAAGAAAGAAGAAAGTTGTCACATATAAAGGACCTTTTATAAGATCATTGGGAGATTTCTCAACAGAAAGCTGCAAACCAGGAGAAAGTGGAATGACATGGTCAAAGAGCTAAAATAAGATTTAAAATAATGTCAACCAAGAATGTTATAACAGCAACAGTATTTGTTAGAAATAAAAGAGAAATAAAGACATTCCAACAGAAACAAATGCTAAGGGAATTCAGCACCATAAAACCAGACATAAAAGGAATCATAAAGAGAGTTCCTTGAGTTTAAACAAAGAATATATATTATGGTTTGCATATGTCCCCAAAAAAGCTTTTGTTAGAATCTTAATCCTCAATGCAACGGTGTTGGGAAGTGTGACCTAATGGGAGTTTTTTAGGTCATGAATGCTCTACCTTGGTTAAGGAATTAATGTTGATTATAAAATATCTTGAAGCTGTAAGTTTTATCTCTTGATTTCTCTAGCACTCTCTTTGCCCTTAGCCATGGAATTATTTAGCAAGAAGACCCTCACCAGAAGTCAGCTTCTTGAACATGTGCTCCCAACCTCCAGAACCATTACTTAATACATTTATCTTCATAATAAATGACCTAATCTTTGGTATTCTGTTATAGCAGTATGAAGCAGACTAAAATAATAAGAATCAATATCAAAACACATAAAGTTATACAAGTAACTGGTAAAAGGTAGATATATAGTTAAATTCACAATAATCTAATAATTTAAAGGTTATGTGTAAATTGCTCTTAAATATAGTATAAGAGTTAAAAGACAAATGTATTTAAAAGAACTATAGCTATAAAATTGATTAATATATACACAAGATAAATAGGTATAAAGTATAAAATCAATAGCATAAATGTCGAGGGGGAAAGAAGAATAAGTGTAGAATGTCTGTATGTGATCTAAACTAGGCTATTGGCAGCTTCACTTAGGGTATTATAATTGTAAGATGTTTTATGTAAGCCTTATAATAAGCAAAAATAAAAATATTCTAGTAGATACACAAAAGAAAGTAATCAATACTCCTTTAAAATGTAACAAATCACAAATAAAGATGACATTGGAAGAAACAAAAGAACTATAAATTAGTAAAAATTTAATAGAATAACAGTACTAAGCCTCCACCTACCAATAATTATGTTAAATTTAAAAAGACTACATTCCCTAATCAAAATACATACGGTAGCTGGAAGAATTAAAAAAAAAAACCTTATTTGGCTTTAAGGCCACACTTAACTGAGAATAAAGAGATGAGGAAAAGATAAATCAGACAAATAATTACAAAAAAAAAAAAGCAGAGGTAAGCTAAAAACAGACTTTAGGGCAAAAATGGCAAAAAATCAACAAAGAAGATAATTATGTAATGATAATGAGGTCAGTTCATCAAGAGAATATACCAATTTTAAATATAAATGCACTAAACATTGGAGCACCTGAATATATAAAACAAATATTATGGGTTGACTACAGATGTTCCTTATCCAAAGTGATTTGGATCAGGAGTATTTCAGAATTCAAATATTTTCTTTTGAATTTTTCAATATTTACATCATATACTTACCAGTTGAGCACCCCAAATCAAAATATCTAAAGTTGAAAATGTTCTAATGGGCATTTGCTTTTAGCATTATGTTGGCATTCATACATTTTTTGATTTGGCAGTATTTTCAGTTTCAGATCTTCAGATCTGAGATGCTCAGGCTGCAATAGATCTGAAGGTAGAAATAGCAAGATAATAATGGTAGGCGATTTCAATACTCCACTTTCAATAATGAATAGATCATCCAGACATAAAATCAGTAACAAAAAACAGTGGACTTGAACACTTTTTAGACCAAATGGATTTAAGAAAGATATACAAAAACTTCTATTCTATAGCAGAAGAATACACATTCTTCCCAAGTGCACATGGAATGTTCTCTAACATAAGTCATTTATTAGGCCACATGACAAGCCTTAACAAATTTAATAAAATTGAAATCATATCAATTATATTTTTTGACCATAATAAAATGAAACTAGAATTTAGTAACAGAAGGAGAATTGAATTCACAAATATGTGAAAATTAAACAACACAATCCTGAACACCAGGCATATAAGAAGTAATCAAAGAAAATATCAGAAAATATCCTGGGACAAATGAAAATGAAAACACATCATATTAAACTTATGGGATGCTTCAAAAGCAGTTTTAAGAAGGAAGTTTACATCACTAAATATCTACATCAAAAAATAAGAGAGGTTTCTAATAAGCAACTTAACATCGAGCCTCAAGGAAAAAGAAAATAACTAAGCTGAACATCAGTACAAGAAGGGCTCAGAAGAAGACAGGAAAATGTGAGAAAGTTTGGAACTTCCTAGAGACTTGTTGAATGGCTTTGACCAAAACGTTGAATAGTGATATGGACAATGAAGTCCAATCTGAGGTAGTCTCAGATGAAGATGAGGAACTCGTTGGGAACTGGAGAGAAGGTCTTTCTTGCTATGCTTTTAGCAAAAAGAATGAAGGCATTTTGTCCCTGATCTAGAGATTTGTGGAACTTTGAACTTGAGAGAGATGATTTAGGGTATCTGGTAGAAAAAATATCTAAGCAGCAAAGTGTTCAAGAGGAAGCAGAGCATAAAAGTTTGAAAAATTTGCAGCCTGATGATGGGGATAGAAAAGAAAAAAACATTTTCTGGGGAGAAATTTAAGCTGGTTGCAGAAACTTGCGTAAGTCATGAGGAGCCAAATGACAATGGGGAATATGTCTCTAGGGTCTGTCAGAGACCCACGTGGCAACCCCTCCCATCACAGGCCCAGAGGCCTCGGGGGGGAAATGGTTTCGTGAGCAGGCCCCAGGAATCCCCTATTCTGTGCAGCCTGAGGAATTGGTGCCCTGGATCCCAGCTGCTTCAGGTCTAGCTGTGGCTAAAAGCAACCAACATACAGCTAGGGTCATTGCTTCAGAGGCTGTATGCCCCAAGCTTTGGCAGCTTCCACAGGGTGCTGAGCATGTGGGTGCACAGAAGTCAAGAATTGAAGCTTGGGAACCTCTGCATAGATTTCAGAGGATGTATGGGAATGCCAAGATGTCCCAGCGGAAGATTGCTGCAGGGATGGAGCCCTCATGGAGAACCTCTGCTAGGGAAGTGTAAAGGGGAAATGTGGAGTTGGAGCCCCCATACAGAGTCCCCACTAGGGCACTGCCTAGTGAAGCTGTGACAAGAGGGCCACCATACTTCAGACCCCAGAATGCTAGATCCACTGATGGCTTGCACTGTTCACCTGGAAAAGCCATAGACACTCAATGCCAGCCCATGAAAGCAGCTGGGAGGGGGGGTTTTACCCTGCAAAGCCACAAGGACAGAGCTGCCCAAGGCCATCAGAACCCACCTCTTGCATCAGCATGCCCTGCATGTAAGACATGGAGTCAAAGGAGTTCATTTTGGAACTTTAAGGTTTAATGACTGCCCTGTTAGATTTCAGACCTGTATGGGGCCTGTACCTCCTTTGTTTTGACCATTTTTTGCCATTTGAAATAAGTGTATTTACCCAGTGCCTGTACTCCCATTCTATCCAGAAAGTAATTAACTTAGTTTTGATTTTACAGGATCATAGGTGAAAGGGACTTGCCTTGTCTCAGATGAGACTTTGGACTTGACCTTTGGGTTAATGCTGGAATGAGTTAAGACTTTGTGGGACTGTTGGAAGGGCATAATTGTGTTTTGAAATGTGAGGACCTAAAATTTGGGAGGGCCTAGGGGCAGATTGATATGATTTCACTGAGTCCCCACCCAAATGTCACCTTGACTTGTAATCCCCATAATCCCCATGTATTAAGGGCAGGACCATGTGGAGGTAACTGAATCATGGGGGTGGTATCGCCTATGCTGTTCTTGTGATAATTAGTGAGTCTCACAAGATATGATGGTTTTATAAGCCTCTGACGTTTCTCTTCCCTGCACTCACTCCATCCCGTCACCTTGTGACAAAGATGCCTGCTTTTCCTTTGCCTTCCACCATAATTGTAAGTTTCCTGAGGCCTCCCAGCCATGTGGAATTTAAATCAATTAAACCTCTTTCCTCTATAAATTACCCAGCCTTGGGTATTTCTTCATAGCAGCATGAGAATGGACTAACACAAAAGATAATAGAAAAATGAGTAAAACTTAGAATTGTGTCTTTAAAGAGATAAACAAAAGTGATAAAACTTTAGCCAGACTTACTCAGACAGAAGAGAGAAGACTCAAATAAATAAAATAAAACATGAAAGAAGAGATATTACAACTGGTAACACAAAAATGTAAAGGATCATAAATGACTACTATGAACTGCGAAAATAAGAAATTCAAAATCAAAGCTGTTGGAATTTTAAGTTATTTTGAGTACTAAAGAAAAGTGACTATGGGTCCTTAGTCACATGGCAAGCAGCTATTCCTTGGCAACTGTAACTTAGGCAGCTGTAACTTTTGTTTCTATGATTATATGTTAGACTTATTTCTTGCTTCCCTACAATGTTTTGTGAAATGTAATTGGCTTAAGTGTGCCAAGAAAGACCCCTTCCCTCTTCACTGTTGATCTTCATTATAGGGTAACTTCCCTATTACCTCTCTCATACACAGACTTCATGATTATAACATTGTCTAAGATAGAATATTAAACATACTCTTTTAATTGGGAAATGCAGTAAAAACAAGCCATGTAAAATTGAAAAAAAAACTGTAACTAAGTTGTTGTAACTCATAAACCAGCCTTGTATTAAAAAATATGATAATTCAGCTGGGCGCCATGGCTCACACCTGTAATCCCAGCACTTTGAGAGGCTGAGGCAGGCAGATCACCTGAGGTCTGGAATTTGAGATGAGCCTGACCAACATGGAGAAACCTGTCTCTACTAAAAATACAAAATTAGCCAGGTGTGGCGCATGCCTGTAATCCCAGCTACTCGGGAGGCTGAGGCAGGAGAGTCGCTCGAACCTGGGAGTTGGAGGTTGCAGTGAGCCGAGATCACGCCACTGCATTCCAGCCTGAGCAACAAGAGCAAAACTCTGTCTCAAAAAAAAAAAAAAAAAAAAAGGATAATTCTGTTAAATTTCTTTTTATTTTTCCTATAGAAGCAAGATCTTACCTTTTAACTTTGGAGCACTAACCCTATTTCTCTGAAGTCTCTCTTTCCTAGATGGCTCTTCTCATCTTTTCACTTGACTAAATTATTTAAAACTAGATTTTGATACTTTTGACATTACCAGGTTAACTATACAATCTAACAAGCTTATTAAAAAGAAATAGAAAAACTAAACCCATCAAAAAATGAGTAAAGAGATTGAATTAAAAAAAAACAAAAACAAAAAAAAACAACTTCTTTTCAAAGAAAGGCTCAGGGCCAGAAGGCTTCGTGGTGGAATTCTACCAGATATTTAAATAAATAAAATCAATCATTCTCAAAACTTTTTTAAAAAGCTGAAATAGAGGAAATATTTCCAAAGTTATTTTATGAAGCCAGCATTACCCTGATACTGGGGGAAACTGCCCCCAATATTTCAACATAGGTTCTTTCTATTTTCCTTAAGTGTTGGCCAGCTGAGAAATAAAGAGTACAAAGAGAGGAATTTTACAGCTGGGCCACCCGGGTGACATCATATATTGGTAGGACTGTGATGCCCGGCTGAGTCTCAGACAAGCAAGTTTTTATTAACTGTTTCAAAAGGAGGGGGCAAAAGCAGAATTACTGACAAGGGTCCAACAATCACAAAGCAAAGGGCAAAAGCAGAACTACTGATAAGGGTCCATGTTCATCGGTGCACGTATTTTCTTGATAAACATCTTAAACAACAGAAAACAGGGTTCAAAAGCAGAGAACCGGTCTGACCACAAATCCAGGGTGGAGTTTTTTCCCCACCCTAGTAAGCCTGAGGGTACTGCAGGAGACCAGGGCGTATCTCAGTCCTTATCTCCACCACATAAGACAAACACTCCCAGAGTGGCCGTTTATAGACCTCCCCCCAGGAATGCATTCCTTTCCCAGGGTATTAATATTAACATTCCTTGCTTGCTAGGGAAAAGAATTTAGCAATCTCTCTCCTACTTGCATGTCCATTTACAGGCTCTCTGCAAGAAGAAAAATATGGCTCTTCTTGCCTGACCTGCAGGCAGTCAGACCTTATGGTTGTCTTCCCTTGTTCCCTAAAAATTGCTGTTATTCTGTTATTTTTCAAGGTGCACTGATTTCATATTGTTCAAACACACATGTTTTACAATCAATTTGTACAGTTAACACAATTATCACAGTGATGCTGAGGTGACGTACATCCTCAGCTTACGAAGATAACAGGATTAAGAGATTAAAGTAAAGACAGGCATAATAAATTATAAAAGTATTATTTAGTAACAGATAAATGTCCATGAAATCTTCACAATTTATGTTCCTCTGCCACAGCTCCAGCCGGTCCCTCCATTCAGGGTCCCTGACTTCCCACAACACCCTGATATCAAAGCCACTAGAAGAACAGAAAATTACAGTCCAGTATTTCTAATGATCATTTATTTCTGGGATGCAAAAATCTTTATATATATATATATATATGTTAGTAAATGTAATACAGAATAAGGCAAAAAACATGTAATCATCTCAACATATGCTACAAAACATAGGACAAAATTCAACATTCTTTGAGGATTAAAAAAAAAAACTTTAAAAATTTAGGCATAGAAGAAATTTACCTCAACACAACAACAAAACTAATGTATGATAAACTCACAGCTACCATCATACTCAATAGTGAAAATCTGTAATCATTTCCTCTAAGATGAGAAACAAAATAAGGATGTCTACTCTCATCACTTCTATTCAATCCCAAAATCTAGCCACAGAATTGACAAGAAAAACAAAAGGTATCTAAATTGAAAGAGACGAAGTAAAATTGTCTTCGGTTGCAGATGGCATGATTTTATATACAGAAAAATCAAGACTATCAAGAAAACGTTAGAATTGAGAAACAAAGTTGTAGAATACAATGCCAACACATAAAACTCAGTAGCATTTCTTTACACTAACAACAAACTATCTAAAAAATAAAAATAAAAAAATTCCATTCACAATAGTTTTATAAAAATAAACTATTTATGAGTAAACTTAACCAAGGAAATAGAAAACCTATATACTGAAAAGTATAAAACATTAATAACGACAAAAGTACACAGCACAAATAAATGGAAAATTATTTTGTGTTCAAGGATTAGAAGAATTACTATTAGTAACATGTCAAACCCCAAAAGACCTACAGATTCAATGCGTTTTCTATCAAAATGCCAATATTATGTTTTTGCACAAACAGAAAAAATAATTCTAACATTTTATGAAATGACAAAACACCCTGAAAAGTCAAAGAAATCTTGATAAAAAAGGAAAAGGCTGGAGGCATCCCATCACCTGACTTCAAAATCTATTACAAAGCTATAGTAATCAAGACACCATAATACTGGATAAAACAGACACATTGACCAATGGAATAGAATATAGATCCCAAAAATAGACCCATACATTTATGCTCATGTGAGTTTCAACATCAATTACAAGAACACATAATGGAGACATGTCAATCTCTTCAATAAATGGTACTGGGAAAACTAAATATTCACATGCAAAAGAATCAAATTGCACTCTTATTTTACAACATATGCAAAATCTAACTTAAAAGATATGAAAGACTTTTACATAAAAACTGAAATTGTAAAACAACTAGAGAAAAACAAAGTGTATATGTTCCACAACATTGATCTCTGGTAAAAGATTTCTCAGTTATAACCCCCAAAACACAGGCAACAACAACAAAAAAGAAACAAGTGGGATTACATCAAACTATAAAGCTGCCACACTGAAAAGGGCATAATTAATAGAGTGAAGAGACAAACCATGGATTGGGAGAACATATTTGCAAATAATACATCAGATAATGGACTAATTTTCCAAATATATAAGAACCCAAACAATGTGTCTTAGTCCACTTTGTGTTACTGTTAAGGAATTCTAAAGGCAGGGTAATTTATAAATAAAAGAAGATAATTTCACTCAAAATTTTTCAGGCTGCACAAAAGGCATGTCACCAGGATCTGCTTCTAGTGAGGGCCTTAAGCTGCTTCCACTCATAGAAAAAAGTAAAGGGGAGCTGGCTTATGCAGAGATCACATGGAAAGAGAGAAAGAAAGAGGGACTGTGCCAGACACTTTCAATTAATTTGTTCATAGAGTCAGCATGTGCAGACATCATGGGGCAAGAGAGGAAGCAAGAGGGAGGGGGTCACTGCCAGGCTCTCTGTAACAACCAGGTCTTTCAGAGACTAGTAAGGAGAGAACTCACTCACCTCTGAGGGAGAGCATTAATCTATTCATGAGGGATCGCTCCCTGAAACCCCAAAACCTACCATTAGATCCTCATCTCTAACACTGCGGATCAAATTTCAACATGAGATTTGGAGGAGACGAACATCCAAGCTATACCATTTTGAACCCGGTCCCCCAAATGTCATGTTCTTCTTATATTGCAAAAATACAATAATTCCTTCCCAATAGTCCCCAGAGTTATAACTCATTTCAGTATCCACTCAAAAGTCCAAAGTTGAAAGTCTCAACTGAGACTCAAGGTAAGTTTCTTCCAGCTATTAAGCCTGTAAAATATAAAACAAGTTATTTACTTCCAAGATACAATCCACTTGCTAGAGAGATTTTCATGACTAAATGGGGGTCCAGGTGGTAAGAGTCAAGGCCCCAAAGGCATTTCAGAATTCAGTGATGCTGTCCCTCCCATCCCAGGCTGGGTAATTTATGACGACCATCCAGGCATTGGGTAAGCATTTCCATTATATAAAGGAGAAATTGGCCAAAAGAAAGGGATAACAGTCCCTATACAGTTCTGAAGCCCGACAGGAAAGATGTTAAATCTTAAAGCTCCAAAATAATACATTTTTTTAACTTCATGCCCTGCATCTCATTCACACTGGTGCAAGGGTTGAACTCTGAAGGCCTTGAACAGCCCCGCCCCAATGGCTTTGCTAGACACAGTCACATGGCTGCTTCTATGGATTTGAATATGGTGCCTGCCTTTGGCTTTTCCAGGCTGAAGTTGCATGCTGCCACTGGCTCTGTAATTCTAGGATCCCCACGGCAGCCCTGTTACCACAGCTCTACTAGACTCTGCTCTAATAGAGGCTATCTCTTTCGGCTCTTTTCCTGTGGAAGGCTTCTTCCTGGGACCCCAGGCGTTTTGATACATCTTCTGAAATATAGGAGGAAGCCAGAAGCCTCTACCAATCTTGGATTTTTGGCACCTGCAGATGTTATACCACATGCAGGCCACCAAGACTAATTGCTTGAGTTCTTGGCAGGGGTGATCTGAACAGCATCTGGGATTGTTTGGGCCACTGCTAGAGCCTGAATGGCCAGAATGTGAGGAGCCGCATCCTGAGGTAGTACCTTGATTCTGCCCCTCAAAATGATTCTACCCTTCTAGGTCTCTGAGCCTGGGATGGGAGGGGCAGTATCAGTGAATTCTGAAGTGTCTTTGGGGCCTTGACTTTTACCACCTGGCCCCCCCAATTTAGTCATGCAAATCTCTCTAGCATGTGGATTCACCACAGCATCCTTGACTCCTCTCCTAAAAATGCTCTTTCCTTCTCTACCACATAACCAGGATGGAAAATTTTCAAATTTTTATACTGTGCTCCCCTTTCAATTATACATTCTATATTTTTGCGAGTCATCCACAGCCATATCTGATCATCAGCTGTTAAAAGTTTTGAATGCTTTGCTGCTTAGACATTTCTTCCTCCAGATACTGTAAGTCATTACTCTTTTTTTTTTTTTTTTTGAGACAGTGTCTCGCTCTGTCGCCCAGGCTGGAGTGCAGTGGCGTGATCTCTGCTCACTACAAGCTCCGCCTCCCGGGTTCACACCATTGTCCTGCCTCAGCCTCCCTAATAGCTGGGACTACAGGCGCCCGCCACTTCCCGCTATTTTTTTGTATTTTTAGTAAAGACGGGGTTTCACCATGTTAGCCAGGATGGTTCTCGATCTGCTGACCTCATCGTTACTCTTAAGTTTGGCCTTCCTCAAACCTTAGGGCATGGACACAATGCGGCCAACTTCTTTGCTAAGGGGAAACATGGATTACCTTTGCTCTAGTTGACACTAAGTTCCTCATTCTCTCCTAAGACCTCATCAGCATGGCCTTTACTGTCTGACTCTCTATCAGCATTTTGGTGCCAATCACTTAACCTCTAAGAAGTTTCAAACATACCCTCATTGTTTTGTCTTCTTACGAGCCCTCCACATCCTTCCAAACTCTGCCCATTACTCAGTTCCAAAACCGATTTCACATTTTCAAGTACCTTTATAGGAACATGCTCCTCTTGGTACCAATTCCTGATTCAGTATGTTTTGTGTTGGTATAAAGAAATACCTGAGGATGGTTAATTTATAAAGAAAATAAATTTGGCTCACTGTTCCGCAGCCTGTGCAAGAAGCATGGCACCAGTGTCTGCTTCTAGTGAGGGTTTCAGGCTGCTTCTATTCATAAGAATTTAGTGATCACATGAGGAGGAAGGAAGCAAGAGGGAGCGGGGAGCTGCCAGGCTCCAGTAACAACTCTCTCTTGGAGAAGCTAATGGAGTGAGAGAGAACTCACTCACGCATAGGGAGCACATTACTCTGTTCATGAGGGACCTGCCCCCACGACCAAAACACCTCCCGTTGGGCCCCACCTCCAACATTGGGGATCAAATTTCAACATGAGATTTGGAGGGGATAAACATCTAAACTACAGCAAAAGTCAATAACAAAAAGACACCCCATTTAGATAATGGGCAAGTGACATAAATAAACATTTCTTAAAAGACAACATACAAGTGGCCAATAGACATATGAAAAAATTTTTATCATCACCAACCATCAGAGAAACGCAAATTAAAACCACAAAGAGATATCAACTCACATCTGTTGAAAGGGCTATTATTTAGAAAATGAAAGATCATTTGTGACTAGGATGTGAAAAAATGAAAACACTTATGCACCAAGGGTGGGAGTATAAATTAGTAAAAGCTTTATGGAAAACAGTAGGGCGTTTCCTCAGAAAATTAAAAATAGAATTATTACATGATCAAGCAATATCACTTCTGGATTTATATTGAAAACAAAAAAGAAATCAGCATGCATAAGAGATACATGGATTACCATATTCATCGCAGCATTATCTGCAAAGCTAAGATATGGATGAAACCTAGATGTCTATTATTAAGTAAATGGATAAAGAAAATGTGGTATAGATATACCACAGAATACTATACAGCCTTAAAAACGAAAGAAATTCTGTCATTTGTGACAACATGAACATGGAGAACATTATGCTAATTAAATAAACCAGACACAGAAAGATAAATAATACATGATTTAAACTATTTGTGAAGTCTAAAAAGTTGAATATGTAGAAATAGAGAGTAAAGTGGTAGGTACAAGAGGCTGGGGGTGGGGGTGGATGGGGAAAGGGAAGATGTTGATGAAAGGGTACAAAATTTTAATTAGATGGAAGAAATAAGCTTTAGTGATCTATTGCACAAAATGGTGATTCTAATAATGGTACCTTTCCTGTTGAAAAACTGCTTAAAAAGTTGATTTTAAATGCTTTTACCACAAAAAGATAAGTATGTGAAGTGATGAATTTACTAATTAACTTGATGTAATCATCACACGGTGTGAATATATATCAGAACATTACATTTTATACCATAAATATATTATAACTCTTAATTTGTCAATAGAAAATAAAATAAAATTAATTTTACAAAAGAAATTAAAGAAGCCACAAATAAAGGGAAAGATATTTCATGTGGACAGACTTAATATTGTTAAGATGTCAATGCTATCTAAAACAATCTGCAGATGTAATGCAATCTCTGCCAAAATCTCAACAGCATTTTTTGCAGAAATAGAAAAATCTATCCTAACATTTATAGGGACTCTCAAAGTACTCCAAATAGCAAACACAATCTTGAAAAAGAACAAGGTCTTATATTCCCTGGTTTCAAAACTTATTAAATAATTGTCATATACCAAAGAGTGTGTGTTATGGCTAGGATGATTATATCTCCCCAAAAATTCCTATGTTGAAACCTTACTAATTTGGTGGTTTTAGGAAACGAAAATATTTGAGAAGTAATTAAGGTTAGGTGAGGTCATGCTGGTGGAGCCCTCATAAATGGGATTTGTGTTCTTGTAGGAATCCCAAGAGAACTTGCTTCCTTTCTCCACCATGGGAGTATATAGTGAGAAAATTGCAGTCTAGGAACTAGGAAACAGGCCCTCACTAGACACTGAAACTATTGTTAGTTTGATCTTGAAATTTCCAGACACCAGAACTGTGAGAAATGAACTTTTTGTCATTTAAGCTACCCACTTAATGATATTTTGTTAGAGCATCCCTAGCTGACTAAAATAGTGCAGTAATAGCATAAAGACAGACATGTAAACCAATGGAATAGAATAAAGAGACTAGGAGAAAACCCTTGCATATATGGTCAAATGATTTTCAACAAGGGATCCAAGATCATTTAGTGGGGAAAAGAGCAATCTTTTCAACTAATGGTGGTGGGAAAATTGTATTTCTACAAGCAAAATAATGAAATTGGAATCTTACCTTACACCATATATAAAAATCAACTCAAAATGAATTAAAGACCTAAATGTAAGATGTATAAAACCCTTAGACAAACACATGAGAAACGCTATATGATATTCGAATTGGCAGAGTTCTTAGATATGACATTAAAAGCATCAGAAAGACAATTAAAAAATGGGTAAATCTAATCTAGTCTTAAATTAAAAACTTCTTGCATCAAAGGACATTATTAACAGAATGAAAAACAACTTATAGAATGGCAGGAAATACTTGCAAATCATACATCTGGTAGGAAGTTAATATCCAAAATATATAATAAATGTCTGTAAATCAAGAACAATAAAAATGAATAACCAAATTTAAAAAAGGGTAAATGACTTAAATGGACATTTCTCCAAAGGAGGTATACAAAAGGTCTACAGACATAATGAAAAGATGCTCAACATCACTATAATCATCAGGGAAATGCAAATAAAAGCCACAATGATATGTCACCTCACACCCATCAGGATGGCTGCTATCAAAAAAAACAGAAAAGTGTGAAGACGTGAAGAAATTGCAACTCTTATTCATCACTAGTAGATGAAAAATAGTGCAGCTGCTGTGGAAAGCAGTATGGTGATTCCTCAAAAAATTCCAAATAAAATTACCATATGATTCAGCAATATTACTTCTGGGTATATATGCAAAATAATTGAAAGAAGAGTCTTGGCTGGGCGCGGTGGCTCACACCTGTAATCCCAGCACTTTGGGAGGCCGAGGTGGCTGGATCACGAGGTCACGAGATCAAGACCGTCCTGGCTAACACGGTGAAACCCCCGTCTCTCCTAAAAATACAAAATAGCTGGGCGTGGTGGCAGGTGCCTGTAGTCCCAGCTACTTGGGAGGCTGAGGCAGGAGAATGGCGTGAACCCGGGAGGCGGAGCTTGCAGTGAGCTGAGATCACGCCACTGCACTCCAGCCTGGGCGACAGAGTGAGACTCCATCTCAAAAAAAAAAAAAAAAAAGAAAGAAGGGTCTCAAAAGGATGTTTGTATACCTCTGTTAATAGAAGCACTATTCACAATAGCCAAGAGGTGGAAGCAACCCAACCCAAGTGTCCATAATGGGTGAGAGGATAAACAAAATGTATATATACACAGATATATACACACACATACGTATACACACATGCCTACATATGTAAATGTGTACATATATATAATGGAATAGTATTCAGCCATAAAAAAGAAGAAAATTCTGTTCCATGCTACCACATAGGTGAACGTTGAGGGCATTATGCAAAATAAAATAAGCCAGCCACAAAACGATAAGTACTGTAGGATTTCACTTACATGAGGTATATAGTCAAATTCATAGAAACAGAAAGTAGAATGGCAGTTACCAGTGGCTAGATGCAGTGAGAAATAGAGAATTATTTACCTGGTATAGAGTTTCAGATTTGCAAGATAAAAATGTGAAGATTGATAGTGCAACAATGTAAATACATTTAACAATAGTGAACTATACACTTAAAAATGGTTACAATGGGCCGGGTGCGGTAGCTGTCGCCTGTAATCCCAGCAGTTTGGGAGGCCAAGGTGGGCGGATCACCTGAGATCAGGGGTTCAAGACCAGCCTGGCCAACACAATGAATCCCCATCTCTACTAAAAATAAAAAAATTAGCTGGGTATGGTGGCAGGTGCCTGTAATCCCAGCTACTAGGGAGGCTGAGGCAGAAGAGTTGCTTAAACCCAGGAGGCAGAGGTTGCAGTGAGCCAAGTTCCTGCCTTTGCACTCTAGCCTGGGCAACAGGAGCAAAACTCTGTCTGAAAAAAAAGAAAAGGTTACAATGGTAAATTTTATATTCTATGCATTTTATCATAAATTTAAAACAACATAAAGCATAAAAAAAGAAAACCACAGACTGAGAAGATATCAATGGCATAATTCTGAGAAAAAACTTATAATAACTTTCACTGGATTATATGGAAAATTGATATAAATAAAAAATGACACAACTCAATAAAAATGGTCACATATTTTCAAAATGTACTTCACTAAAAAGGGTATAGGAATGCCCAATAAGCATGTTAAAAGAAAGTGCCTAACACAGTCAACAGAAAAGTGCAAATTTAAGCCAAAACAGGCTACTATTTCACACCTACTAGAATGCTGGCAAGGATGTGGAGCAGATTTTGTTTTACTCATACTGTTTTAAGGCCCACTCAGAGAAACAGCATGCTGTTCTTTGTTCTAAATTTGGAAGATAAATTTAATCTAATGGAAATCTTTTGTCAGATTAAAGCATCAGCTCACTTCAGTTTTCTACCTTCACCCTGGCAGCAGTTTCAAGGCTTAATTGATCTCATCCTTTCCTCAGTCCCTGCAGCTTTGATAACTAACTGCTCCTGCACAACTGTCTGGTTACCCAGCAGCCTCCCTTTCTGTCAACTTCCATCTGGATGCATTGCCCTCAGGTGCCCTGAGGATGAATGAGGAGGCTTTATTGGGTCATAGTCCTGGAACAGCCTTTAGTGTGTAGAGGGTGGGAATCAGTCATTTGTTTACTTACATCTATGGAAAAGTAGACCAGAATTAGGATCAAGACAGGCTCTGTGGATTGGCCATGTTATGGGTTTTTGTAAGTTGTACTCAACTCAGCCACAGAGAAAGGTAGAACATGAGAAATATTTATCTGTGCTAGAAACTCTGTAGGGCCTACACACACATTTCATTGAGTTTTAGCACAAGCCTATGAGATTGGTATTTCTACTGAATATCAGAGACCTTCAAATGCTTTTACTAAGCTCACCCAGCTAGTAAAGGTTTGAGCTGAGATTTAAGCATACTTCCTTGTGACTTCCCTACTATTGTGTATATTTATTTAAGACTCACAAGTGAGTTCAGCAAACTATCATGGTAAATGAATAGAAATAAAATCATCCAGACCCCAGAGGTAGATAGGAGTAAGTCAGGAACACATTAACTCCAGCTAAGGAACTGGAGAGGAAAAGAAGCAAAGGCAAGTAGACAAAGAACCATGCGGGCCTTGGAAATCAAGCAAAGTATTCAATATTTCCCCTGCATCACTCATCTGATACAATCCACTCATTGTTTTCACTTAACTGTTACTATTATGATGAAGACTCAGTACTTGTAGTTTAGCAAATCGCCATATACCTAATTCATTGTAGATGACCACAAATATTGAGTTCTGCCATTTATCACAGTCACCATGAAAGGGAGGTTTGAATCAGACTATGATGGCTTATTTAGGGATTTGTGAGAATCTCACCAGGGTTCAAGTAGCTTGTAATTTTTTTTTAATTATGTCTTTCTGCTTGAAAATACCAGAGCATAGTAATGCAGAGGATTTTGGGGGAGTGAGGGAGACTTAGTTCAGACACCTGATCTTTTTGAGAATTTTTAAAATTCAGATATAATTCACACAGTACAATATTTATCCTTTGAAAGTAATTCTGTGACTTTAATCACAAAGGTGATTAATCATCACCAGCATCTAATGTCAAAATGTATCACCTCTCAAAGAAACCCATTAACAGACACTCCCCATAACCCCTCTCCCCAGCCCATGGAAGTCATTAATCTACATTCTGTCACTATTTATTTGCATAACTGGACATTTCATATAGGTGAAATCAAATAATATATTGCCTTTTGTGTTTGATATCTTTCAATTAACATTTTCAAAGTTCATCCATGGCTAAATGATATTTGTTTGTATAAACACACCACATTTTATTTATTAATAAGCTGATGGACATTTGACTTGCTTCCACTTGTTGGCTACCATGAATAATGCTGCTGTGAACAATTGTGTACAAATTTTTATGTAGACGTGTTTTAATTTCTCTTGGTTACATATTCTAAGTGTATTTGTTGGGTCATGTGGAATCTCTAAGTTCATATTTTTGAGAAACTGCCAAACTAGATTTCAAAGAGCCTATACAAGTACCACCAGAGAAGTATGAGGGTGATTTTCTGCATCCTTATCAACACAAACGATTGTCTTTTTATTACAGCCATCCTAGTGAGTATGAAGTGGTGTCTCATTGTGGTTTGATTTGCTTTTCTTTAATACCTAATTATGTTTCATGTGTTTATTCAATATTAGTATATCATCCCTGGAGAAATATCTATTCAAATCGTTTGCCAATAAAAAATGGTGAAATTCACATGCCATAAAATTATCCATTGTAAAGTGAACGATTTATTGGCAGTTAGTATATTCAAAATGTTATGCCTCTATCTAGTTCCAAAAAGTTTCAAAACATTTTCATCATCCCGAAAGCATCCTCATACACATAAGGCAATTACACCCCATACTCTAGTCCACAGAGCACCAGGTAACCATTAACCCATTCTATTTTTATGGACTTACCTATTGTGTATATTTCATATAAATAGAATTATATAATATGTGACCTTTGGTGTCTGGCTCTGGTTTCTTCCACTTAACATGTTTTTTTTGACGTTCATGCTTGTTGAAGGACCTATTAGTATGGGGTTTCTTTCTATTGCTGAGTAATATTTAGTTGTATGCATATGCCAATTTTTTTTCATCCATTCATCCACTGATGGACATTAGGTTATTTCCATCTTTTGGCAAATATGAATAACACCATTATGAACATGTGCGTACATATATTTGTGTGGGTACCTACTTTGCATTCTTTAGGTGTCCATCTAGGAATGCAATTGTGTCTCATATGGTAATTTCATGTTTAACATATTGAGGAATCAACAGAAAGTTCTCTACAGTGGCTGAACTGGTTTATATTTCCACCAGCAATGTAGAAGCATCTAAATTTTCCACATCCCTGACAACACCGGATATTTAAATTTTTACAGCTATCCAATTGGGTGTGAAATATCTCATTGTTGTTTTGATTTGCATTTTCTTCATTATTAATGATGTTGAGCATCTTTTCATACACTTTTTGATTATTTGTATATCTTCTTTAAAGAAATCTCTACTCAAGACCTTGCCTGTCTGATTGAATTGCTTGTCTTTTAATTTTTAATTTTTAATGTTTGTGGGTACATAGTAGGTGTATGCATTTATGGGGTACATGAGATATTCGGTACAGGTGTCTTTTTGTTTTTGAATTGCAAGTGTTCTTTATGTATTTTGCATTTTAGATCCTTATCAGATACATGATTTTCAGATATTTTCTCTAATTCAGAAGGTTGTCTTTTCAATTTCTTATTAAAGTACTCTGATTCACAATAGTTTCAAATTTTTATGAAGCCCAATGTATCTATTTCTATCTTTTTTTGCTCATGCATTTGATGCCCGATTTGATGTCTGATTTGAGGTATTTCTTTTTCACAATGTGAGGTAGGTGTCCAACATCATTTTTTAAAATAATAATGTCTATCTAGTTTATCTAGTACCATTTGTTGAAGATACTATATTTTCTTCTCAAGATCCTACATAATCTCGACACCCTTATTTAAAAAGTTGGTGATAGATGTATGGGATTATTTCTGAACTCTCAATTATTGGTCTCTTACTTTATATCAATATCACACAGTTTTGATTAATGTAGCTTTGGAGTAAATATTAAAATCAGTTGGTATGAATCTCCTCTTTGTTTTTTCCTTCTCAATATTACTTAAAGATCAACTTTCCCATTTAGGCCAAAAAAAAAATAAAAAGCTGTTGATAGAGATTTCACTGAATCTATGAAATGCTTTAGGTAATATTAGTATTATAATATTAAAATCTTAATTCCATAAACACAGGGTATCTTTCCATTTATCTAGGTCTTCTTTAATTTATTTCAGTAATGTATTGTTTTCAATGTACATGTCTTTCACCTTTTGGGTAAAACTTTCCCTATGTATTTAATTCTGTTTGATGCTATCATACATCAGGTGAAGTTTTTGATATCATTGGCTTGCTCGTTGCTAATGTAGAGAAACACAACTGATTTCTTCATGTTGGCCTTGTACCCTGAAACTTTGCTGTATATGTTTATTAAATGTCATACTTTAAAAAATAGATTGCTTGGTATTTATTATGTATAGGATTATGTTATGCATGAAGAGATAGCTTTACTTCTTTCTTTCCAAATTTGAGGCTCATTCTTTTACTATTTTTTTTCTTATTTCCTTCCTTACTTCCCTCCTTCTTTGACCCTCTGCTCCTCCTCTCTCCCTCCTTCCATTCTTTCTTCCTTCCTTCTTTCCACAGATGCTAGGTCAGCTCCAAAAGAGATATCAATAACCTCACATCAAGTCCCTAAATTAAGGAAAATGTTTATTTAAAAAAAAAGATCTAATTATCTAATACCTTTATTAGGCTCAGTGGCACTTTCTTTGGAGAAAGTGCTATTTTTCTCCTTTATAAGAAACTTCATCTATTTTTAGCTCTGCCTTAAGCCTGGATTTCAGTGTATTGAGCCTTGCTTCAGAGAAGTATTTAGGTCACTTTATTTCCTGCCCACACACAACTACTTCTACTCCATTACAATTTTCTAGTAATTCTCTCTGCCTCTAGAGATATTTTTTCTAAGATTCAATCAGTTGAACTGCATTCTGCTACTTTGTAAAATCACATTTAAAGATATTGTCCACTTTGTTCTTCAGAACCCTTTGTCAAGAACTCATAGGATACCTTACCACTTGAGTTCAGTTCTAGAAAAAATAAATGTATCCAAAGACAAAACTGAACTGCTTTCTCTTTTTAGTAAATTCAAACAACTTGTTACTCTTATTGCCTAATGTGGCAAAACAATAGGGTCAACTTCACTACACAAATTTGTAATCTGCTCCACCTAGGTGTCCAGATACAACTACCCTAAGATTTGCTCAATGTGTTTTCTATTTGTTTTGTCTTGAAATATGTAATCTTCTAGAAATAGGTAAATACTAAAATTGCAAGTAACTGAAGGGACAGCCCAGTCTATCTTTATCATTTTACAGATGGAGAAACACATGCAGACATGGCTTCATCCAACTTTAAGCTTGAAATTTTACTGCATTTTTTTCTTTTTAAAATTTACACTCTACTTTGCTTATAAAATAGGAATAGGGTACTGGAGATATATGTGGATATATAAAGAATAAAAAAACTACCATTTATTGAGTAACAGGTAGGTTTCTAGATCCTTTATAAACATCATCTCTAATCCTTGTTACCAAATTGTACGAACTAGGAAACTAAACTCTAGAGGCTATATCTTTTTAAAAGGTCACAAAGTGTGTGGTTTGAACCATAATTTAAAACTAGACCCACCTGTATTTAAATGTTAACTTTTTTTTTAACTTATGTAATGTCATATAATAAAAGCACAATACAATAATTTTGTACTATTAACTTGGAATAAAACCTCAAATCAAGTATTACAACTATAGATGTGGGTTTTATCAACCTCCTTTCTCCCTTGGCAAATCTATGATAGAGGTTATACACGGTGAAATCATTTATAAAGCTTCTTTGTATTAAGACATTGAAAAATTGGCACCGATTTTACTAATGAGATAGGCAGTAGTCCACCTCTTTACTTTTTCTCTTTTAAAATGTTTTGAGTCCAGATACATTCAGATATGATGGCTGGAGGTGCAACAATCATATTATGACCATGGGGAGAAGGCAAGAGTAGATTGGCACTAAATTTTTGAGCTACTGACCCAAACCAATGGCTTCCTAACTTTGAATTTTATTTTACATGAAAAAAACAAAGACCTTGGTAACCAAGTTTTCTGGTGTGTATTTTAGGCTAAAATATTCTTTATTGATACATATTATCTCATCAGGCATTCATATATATATTATTATATATAGGACTTTAAAATATAAAATATGCATATTATAGGATTATAGTCAGATTACAAATTCATAGCACACTTTAGTTAATACTGTACCTGGATTTTTAAAATTAACTGGGTTAAGGAAAATCTTGAAGCATTTTCCAGTTGGCTGTTCTTCTGTCTCCTAGGATTTTTAGGCTATGTTCCCTGGATGTGCCACTACTGCAAATCATCAAGCATCATTTATATTGAAGAAATCTTGGTGATCTCAGAGGCAGTTGTTGCACTTTACAGAATAAGAGTACCATATAGATACACTACTAACAGTAAACTTAAACCACCATAATTTCTTGCTTGAACTACTGCAATAGTCAAGTAACTGACTTCCATTCGAACCCCCCTACAAAGTCTTATCTATACAGTAAACCATAATTTTTAAATAACTTATCAGATCAATGTCTCCTATCACCTATGCTTGAGGTGTTTCAATTGCATCACATTACATGCCCCAGAAAGCCCTGTATCTTGTGCCATTGCATCCCTCCTTCATTCATCAACCTTAAGCTACAGCTTTAGGTATTTCAAGATTTGTCCCATCTCAGGCTTTTGCACTTGTTGTTTTCACTGCATGGAATGTTCTCTTGGCTCTGCTCTTGACTGGATCTTCTGTATCCTCCAGTATTAGATTTTATTTTTTCCATTAGACGCCTTCCCTGAATAACTCTATGCTATTATGCCTCCCAGGATTCTGCTTATTTCTTTTTAAATACTTATCATCATCTTTAATTATTTCCCTCACTTCCCCGTTTATTTTTGTAGTTTTATACCCATGACTACAATGTAAATTCCACAAGGAAATATCTAGTCTCATTTCATAGTATTCTTAGTCCTAAGAATGGAGCCTGCACATAGGAGGCTGATATAGTTTGGCTGTGTCCCCCGTGTCATGGGAGGCACCAGGTGAAACTAGTTGAATCATGGGGACAGTTACCCCCATGTTGCTGTTCTCATGATAGTGAGTGTGTCCTCACGAGGTCTGACGGTTTTATAAGGGGCTTTTCCTCCTTTTGTGTAGCACTTGTCCGGGCTGCCACCATGTGAAGAAGGACATGTTTGCTTCATTCTGCCACAGTTTTAAGTTTCCTGAGGCTTCCCCAGTCATGCTGAACCATGAGTCAATTAAACCTCTTTCCTTTATAAATTATCCAGTCTTGGGTATATCTTTATTAGCAGGGTGAGGACAGACTAATACAGAGGTACTCAATAAATCATGGTTGAATAAATGATTATACCGTGACTGATATTAGCAAGCCAGTGAAATGGAGATCTCTAAAATGGAAACCACTTGGAATGCCACAGTGACTGCTGGAGCAACTTTTTCTTTTCTTTTTCTTTATTTTGAGACGGAGTCTTGCTCTGTCACCAGACTGGTGTGATCTCAGCTCACAGAGCCTCTGCCTCCCAGTCTCAAGTGATTCTCATGGCTCAGCCTCTTGAGTAGCTAGGACTTCAGTCATGTGCCACCACTCCCAGGCTAATTTTTGTATTTTTAGTAGAGATGGGGTTTCACCGTGTTGTTGGTCTCAAACTCCTGAGCTCAAACGATCTGCCCACCTCAGCCTCTCAAGGTGCTGGGATTGCAGGCATGAACCACCATACCCAGCTGCCAATTTTTCTTAATTATGAAAAAGGTAGAATTTTAAGCTCAATTTTAACTGGTCTGACAAAATAACTACTACCACATATTTTATTGCATTAATGAAATACTGTTCTTTATATGATTTTTTTATATTATCAAGTGTATGAGTTAGGGATTTCTGAAGCAGCACACCAATTATATAAAAATATATTTAGGAACATATATATTTATATATAAGATATATAATTTTATACATCTTATGTATAATTTGGATTCTCCACAGAACTGAATTCTCAACATGCCTTGGAGAAATACAAAGGAAAGACAAAATAACATAAGAAAAGCATCCAAAAATTATCAGTTAGGATCTAATGTGGTGTGATGGTTAACTTTGTGGGTCAACTTGGCTAGGCCATTATACCCAGATATTTATTATTATATAATTAAATATATAATTCATATATAAGCATATATATGTGTGTGTATATACATACACACACACACACACACACACACACATATATATATATATATATATATATATATGCAAGAGAGAGTTTAAGAAATTAGCCCATATGATTGATTACAATTACACATCTAAAAATTTCAGAGGATGCCAGTAAGGTAGGGACCCAGAAAAGAATAGCAGTTCAGTCTTTTCTGCTAAGACCTTCAAATAATTGGATGTGTCCCAAAATTTTCTGTATTCAATGTCTACTTATTTACATATTAATCTTATATAAATATAGCTTCACAACAACATCTAGAATAATGTTTGGCCAAGTATCTGGGTATAATGGCCTAGCCAAGTTGACATACATAATTAACCATCACACCAAGTTAGATTTTTAATGATAATTTTAAGATGCTTTTCTTATGTAATTTTGTCTTTCCTTCATACTTCTCCAAGTCATGTGAAAAATTCAGTTCTGTGGAGAATCCAAAATATTGGGGGATTTTTAAAGGAACAAGGCATAAAGAGAAGGTAGTAAATGAAAATATAATTAATTGATAATTTGATGCTACACTACAGCTAAATAATATTTCCAGCATATCTTTGCTAGTTGTTTTCCTTGCTCTGAGTTAGATCAGATGTGGGAAGAACAATTGTAGCATTATTCATTTTGGGCACATGTGGTGATTTCTATTCTGCCTTTTACTTTCTTATGACAAGTGATGGGAAACATCACTTATTTGTTAATATTGAAGAGAGAGTCAAAAATAAATTTTGATGAAAATATTGTCAAATACAGAATTTCAGTATTTTTTCATGATAAGCTATAAGGATCATCTTTAAAACACTGATTTAAGTATTTTCAATCCTATTTGATACTATTATTCACCGAGGTGCTGAAATTCATTGGATTTTTAAAATTAAATATCATTATTATTAGAAAAGAAGTTTGTGGACAGGCTTCTATAAGTTTCCAGATTAAGAGAAGAAACATCACATCTGATTATGTCCTAGAATGTAAGTCAAAGTTCATAAAGAAGCTGAAGATTAAATCAAGGCCAGCATATTGGCAGTTTGTAGGTAGCCCCTCACAATTTTTGTGAAGAGTATTATAGGTCTTCTTGAAGGATAAAGACCTTGTCTAACCTAACATATGAAAATATTCACACTGGTAAGTTCTACAGTGGGATTAAAGGTAAAACTCTCTTTGCAGAATTAAAATTAAGAAAATACATATGACTTTGTCCACGGAACAAATTGGAAAACACTGTCAAAAATGTTACAACTAGAGGATGAAAGTACATTATATTTAGGTTCAAAGTGACTTTCTAATTTTAGTGTTTTTCATTTGTACCCTTGGAGCAATGAGGCCCCGTGGAATATAACTTGGAAATGTAATACCAAGTAAACATTCTTAAAAATACATATGCTTAGAACTTCTAAATAAGGGGGGAAATTAAACCAACTCCCAGAAATACCTCCTCATCAGTCTCCTATAACAAGAAAACAGAAAATGGTTGAAGATTCAAGAAAACGGACCTTAATAAAAAGATCAACATGCAAAATTGAAATTAGTGCTGTTAGTGAACTCAACGTATAGATTTTTAGGCTAACAAGGGTGCAGCCTACTATGTGATGAGAGATGACTTTGCTGACGATGGTTGTCTGGCTGTGCCTAGGCTGTCTGTGAACTAGGACCACCTGGAAAAAGAAAGGTCTCCTTAGCAAAGATTCTTAAGGTTCTATATTCTCAAGAGTTCTATATGAACTCTTGGACTATCAAATTGATACTATGGATCCTTTCCCTCCTAAAAGTAATGTTAGAGCTGCACAAAGTAAATAACTAAGATAGCAAGGAAATTACAGTTACATTTACATATAACTATTAAAATATTAACATAAAACCAATGTGTAATATAGTAATATAGATGTTTGTTTATTAATGTATGAAATAACAATATCTAGTGGCAGGTATCATAAATAACATGATAGCAGAATAATAATGAATGTAAATAATCTTGAGATATCTGCAACATTTTTAATGTAATCTGAACTTATCTATAAATTATCTTAGTAGCAAAGTCATAAATACTGCATATATTACTGTGATTAGTTATCTAAGTTCATAATAGAAGGACAAGCTAAATTTAAATTAGAAGTTAGTGAAAACAAAATTTTTAAAAATAATTTTATTTCCAAAGTTACAAATTATTTGGAGGTCTGTGAAGCACAGGTTCAGAACTCTTACACAGTAGTTCAGAACCTTAGTTTAACATCAAAGTCACAGGGGAGTTTAAAAAAAAGAGAGAGAGAGTGATGCCAGCCAGATACTAGAATAAGAGGTATCAGGTATCTTCTTCCTATAGAATCACCAATTTATCAACTATTTATGAACCAGAATACCTTTGTGAGAACCCCAGAATCCAGTTAAGACATTACAGCACCCCAAAGAGCATGGGACCAAGAAGTGACATGGAAAAAGTAAAAAGGTAAGTTTCACTTTGCCAACATCTCATGCTTCCCCAAGTCAGCCTACTTTAGTGCCAAGAGAGATAATCTTGATCAGAGATTTGTCCAACAAGGAAAGGAAAGAGCAAGAGTTGCAACTAATACACTTTTTGGGGCACTATTCAAGAGACTTACTACTGACTTAACTCACCCAGGGTGGTTGGGGCCCCTTCATAGTTGGAATACATAGAGGTGGCTAAAATGGAGTGGAGAAAAAGGTGAATCTCAGTAGTCAAAAGTATATGTGTGCCCAATAGCCAGCACAGTCCCCTAGCACTGGTGCTGATCACAAGGGCTGGCACAAATTGCTATATGGCTCACATGAGTTAATGTGGTCTTCAGCAGTGGTGCCCCCAGCAGACAGCACAGTCATCAGCACCCAGCACTGATCACAGCTCTCAATGTCCACCACACTAACCTGCACATAATGCACCAGCCTTCATGGATCTCAACACCCATCAAGAACCTCAGCAAACAGCATTGCTGTCAGAAGTTGCCTCTGCTTTGCAGGATTGGGACAAAGCACACACTCTTGAGACATCTCTTTCAGAAATGAGAGAGAAAAGTTCAGCTTACACTCAAGCACCCAGAGCAACTTTGCAGAATTGAGTCAGGGCACAAAATTCTAAAACTTCGCCCTGGAGAAAGAGAAAGAAAAGTGAAACATGTCCTTTCATGAAAAAATATTTGAGAGGCTTCCAGAATTTCCACCCAGGCTGATTGATGATGATCTCTCCCTGTCAAAGCCAGTCAGGAAAAATTGAAAAAGGTGATTACTTCTTCAAATATGCAGACATCACTGTAAAACTACAAGGAACATGAAGAAGAAGGGAAATAGGACAACAACGAATGAAATAAATCTCCAGTAACTAAGCCTAAATAAATGCAGTCATTAATTGCTTGGCAAAGAATTTACAATATTCACCTTAAAGAAGCACAGCAAGCTAAAAAGCAGCACTGATAGAAAACTAAATTTAATAAGAAAAATGATACGTTAAAAAAATCAGAGTATCAACTAAGAGAGTTAAGTCATGAAAAACAGATAGAAACCAAAAAGACATTCTGAAGCTGAAGAATGTAACAACTGAAGTGAAAAATTCAATAGAGAGCTTAAACATCTGACTTGATCAAGCAGAATAATCAGTGAACTCAAAGAAAGATCACTTGAAATTATCTACTCAGAGTACAAAAAATAATAACAAAATAAAAATAAATAAGTGTGAAGAAAGCCTAAAGGACTTAAGGGACACCATCATTTGAAATGATAGACACATTATTGGAGTTCTAAAAGAAGAATAGAAAGATAAAGAGGCAGAAAACACATATAACAAAATAATAGCGGAAAACTTTCCAAATCTGTGGAAGGAAATGAACATCCAGATTCATAAAGCCGCCCAAAATCCAAATAGGACCCACCCAAAAAGGTCTACACTAAAACACGCTATAATCAAATTGTCAAAAGCCAAAGACAGAGATGATTTTGAAAGCAACAAAAGAAAAGTGGCTGAAAGTTCCCAAAGGACTTTGGTGAATTTCTCGGCAGAGACACTGTTGGCAAGAAAGAAGTGGAGTGGCATATTCAAAGTGCTGAAAGAAAAATAAATTCAACTAAGAATTCTATATCTGTAAAAATGCTCTTTTAAAAATGCAGGAGAAAAAAAATGCAGAGATAAAGACTTTCTCATACTACTAAAAGCTGAGGGAGTTTATCACCAGCAGGCCTGCTTTACAAGAAATGATAAAGGGAGATTTTCAAGTTGAAACAAGTGGACACTAAACAAAAAAAGAAAAGCATACGGAAGTATAAAACCCACTTCATACACGTAACTTTAAAGGCAAATGCTATATTACTGTGCTGTTGGTATGCAGACTACTCATAATTTTGGTAAAAAAATTGAAAGACAGAAATGTTAATAATATCAATAGTAACAAAAATTGTTAATGTATACATAACATGAAAATGTGTAATAGTTATCATCAATAACATAAAGTATGTGGAAAGAGAGAAGTAAAAGTGCAGATATGGCCAGGCGCTGTGGCTCACACCTGTAATCCCAGTACTTTGGGAGGCTTACGTGGGTGGATCAGAAGGTCAAGAGATCGAGAACATCCTGGCCAACATGGTGAAACACAGTTGCTACTAAAAACACAAAAATTAGCTGGGTGTGGTAGTGCGCACCTGTACTCCCAGCTACTCTGAAGACTGAGGCAAGATAATTGCTTGAACCCGGGAGGCAGAGGTTGCAGTGAGCCATGATCACACCACTGCACTCCAGCCTGGCAACAGAGTGAGACTCTGACTCAAAAAAAAAAAAAAAAAAAAAACAAAAAGTGCAGATATAACTGAAGTTAAGATATTATCTGCTTAAACTGGACTAGAATAACTAAAAATGTTTTACCTAATCCTCTTTGTGACCAAAAATTACAATAACATTTAGCAATTGTTATGATGCTCCTCAATAATGTATTATACCTACTGCTAATTTCACTCTCTCCCCTACTAGAATGTGAGCCTCAAAAGAGCAGAAATGTTCACCTGATTTGTTTGCTGATAAGTCTCTAGGACCTTGAATAGTGCTTGGAAAATAGTTGTCACTCAACAAAGATTTTCAAATTAATAAGTGAAAAATTTGAGAGAGGACAATTGCTTGACATAAAGAATGGTGTAACAATGGATTGAAGTAGAAGGAAACTGATGTGGTGCACACTTGGGAAATAGAACCACTGGGCTCTTATGATCCATCGTATGAGTTAAGGAAGTAGAAGAACTGCTAGATGACATTCAGATTTCTGGTATAAACAATGACTTAGGTGAAGATGGCATTTACTGAAAGAGGGGATGTTGTAGCACAAGCAGATAAGAGTAGAAATAAGATGATTCTAGAAGTCTTAGAAATGTTCATACAGCTATGTCTAGGGGACACCCAAGTGTTGATCAATAGAAGTAGAGTTTTATGTAAATTTTAATACTGAGAGAGAGAGGAAGAGAGACAGAGAGAGAGAGAGAGAGACATACAGAAGGGTGGGGTGGGATAGAGAGAGAGAGAGATAGGCTATCACAGAATAGAGAGTGGGGTGTAATTAGGGAAATTAAAGCCAATGGAGAAGATTATACAGTGGATAGTAGGGTGCTTGGTAAAGCATTGCTGAAAGAATGAAGAGAAGCAACTCTAGGATAAAATGATGAATAACAAAAACAGTTAAGGTAAGGAAACATAAAATAACTATGAAAATAAATTAATTGATGCCGCATAGTGGAGAATAAATCTTCAGCATTCCAGATGCAGAGTGAAAAGAGTGTTTGAAGAAAGAGTTGCTGATCAAATATTTTAGGTATATCAAGTATGTCAAAGTCTGAATATTTTCCAATAATTTTGGCAAGAATGATGATATTGGTAATATGCAAAGACAGTTTTAGCATAGTGTTAAAGATATTTTATTTACTTAAACAAAGCTTAGTTCTAAAAGTGAAGGCAGACATAAAGTGGTCAATGAATAGAAATGAGAAACTGAAGGACACTTTAATGATATGAGAGATAATTTAGTGTATTTAACTAAAAAGAAAAAAGCAAATGGAGATGGGCCATTAAAAGATAGAGAATAATGATTCTGAATGTGATTGGATGAGTTCCTAGGAAGATGGGTCATACAGACAAAATGATCATTGTAGAGAAGATGCTATTTCCTCCTGTGGGAAAGAAACAGGGTACCAAAACAGAGATATAGACCAATGGAACAGAACAGAGCCCTCGAAATAATGCCGCATATCTACAACCATCTGATCTTTGACAAACCTGACAAAAACAAGATATGGGGAAACGATTCTCTATTTAATAAATGGTGCTGGGAAAACTGGCTAGCCATATGTAGAAAGCTGAAACTGGATCCCTTCCTTACACCTTACACAAAAATTAATTCAAGATGGATTAAAGATTTAAATATTAGACCTAAAACCATAAAAACTCTAGAAGAAAACCTAGGCAATACCATTCAGGACATAGGCATGGGCAAGGACTTCATGTCTAAAACACCAAAAGCAATGGCAACAAAAGCCAAAATTGACAAATGGGATCTAATTAAACTAAAGAGCTTCTGCACAGCAAAAGAAACTCCCATCAGAGTGAACAGGCAACCTATAGAATGGGAGAACATTTTTGCAACCTACTCATCTGACAAAGGGCTAATATCCAGAATCTACAAAGAAGTCAAACAAGTTTACAAGAAAAAAACAAACAACCCAATCAAAAAGTAGGTGAAGGATATGAACAGACACTTCTCAAAAGAAGAGATTTATGCAGCCATAAGACACAAGAAAAAATGCTCATCATCACTGGCTATCAGAGAAATACAAATCAAAACCACAATGAGATACCATCTCACACCAGTTAGAATGGCAATCATTAAAAAGTCAGGAAACAACAGGTGCTGGAGAGGATGTGGAGAAATAGGAACACTTTTACACTGTTGGTGGGACTGTAAACTGGTTCAACCATTGTGGAAGTCAGTGTGGCGATTCCTCAGGGATCTAGAACTAGAAATACCATTTGACCCAGCAATCCCATTACTGGGTATATACCCAAAGGATTATAAATCATGCTGCTATAAAGACACATGCACACGTATGTTTATCGCAGCACTATTCACAATAGCAAAGGCTTGGAACCAACCGAAATGTCCAACAATGATAGACTGGATTAAGAAAATGTGGCACATATACACCATGGAATACTATGCAGCCATAAAAAATGATGAGTTCATGTCCTTTGTAGGGACATAGATGAAGCTGGAAACCATCATTCTCAGCAAATGATTGCAAGGACAGAAAACCAAACACTTCATGTTCTCACTCATAGGTGGGAATTGAACAATGAGAACACATGGACACAGGAAGGGGAACATCACACACCGGGGCCTGTTGTGGGGTGGAGGGATTTTGGGGAGGGATAGCATTTCGAGATATACCTAATGTTAAATGATGAGTTGCTGGGTGCAGCACACCAACATGG
Organism: Homo sapiens; assembly: GCF_000001405.40. NCBI lineage: Eukaryota > Metazoa > Chordata > Mammalia > Primates > Hominidae > Homo > Homo sapiens. The sequence continues at coordinate 12,020,868 of NC_000004.12, forward strand.
CACATGTATACATATGTAACTAATCTGCACTTTCTGTACATGTACCCTAAAACTTAAAGTATAATAAAAAAAAAAAGGAAAGGAAAAAAAAAGAAAGAGGGTGACAAGGATGTTTGTTTTGCAAGTATGCTAGCTGGAAGTTGAGAGAATTCCTGTCTGGTGTCTCTCTTTTCCTCTGTAAATGTAAAAAATGATGTATTTATTGTGAGAATGATGGAAGATATGTTGGAGTTGGAAATGAAGGGAAGAGTGGAAGACCTGAAAACAAAAATGCCTTGGTGAGTGTAAGACAGTGATGAGAGACATTGGGAAACTGAAGCCTGTGTGAATTAGTGTGTATTATCAATTTCATCTCATGGAAACCTACCCTTGCTCATTCATCTCAGGCTGCATTGACCTAAAGTTCTTTCCCATGCCATGTCCCTTTCCACTTCCAGTGTTTGGCCAAATATTTTCTTGTCCTGAGGATCATTAAAGGCTACCCTATGTAAATTAGAAACTGGTCTTTTGTTTTCCATAATAGTGTTCTTCTTTATTTCCTTCACATTTCTAATACTTGGCAACTATTGATTCACTTATAATTTTTACCTCTTTCACATAAATTTAAATGACATTCTAAAAAGAAGCCAGTTTATTCATTTTTCTCCACTTTAGCTCCAGTGTCTAGCACAGTGGTTGGCATGATGTAGGTGATTAAGTATTTGATGATCAGTGGAATAAATTGGATTTATGGTTGCATTAGCCAAAAAAAGCTGACTCTGAAAGATGTAATTATACAAAGAACAAAAATAGAAGAATTCAGAACTTAATTTTAGATGTAGAAAATTAAAAGTAAATGAAGTTAATCCAGGTAAATAAATATGAAAAATAACATTTGCAAACTGATAATATGTAAATTAAAAATAAATTCAAGATGTGTTTTTTAGGAAACTTTAATGAATTAAATGCAGTGTTGACTACTTGGATCTACAAAAGGGAAACAAGAGACTTTCAGGAAATGAGAAATAAGAGGAGATATAACAGCAGATAGTGTGGAGATTTCAATATCGTAAGGAAATAAAAAGTACCACTTTATGCTGTTAATTTTGAAAATCCCAGTGAAAAAGATCTTTTTCTCTCCCAGAAGATCCAAATTGCCCAAAGTGTCTCAATAACAAGTAGAAAAGCTGAATAGACAAATAATTATGAAAGAAGCTGTAGCTGTTTTCAAAGATTTTCTTCTTAAAATCGCTCCATGGGACTCCCAGGCAAAGCAAATAATTGAACATAATTGATCTGGGCTTCATCCCATTTCCCAATTGCTCATTGAAATGAATAATGGGTCATAAAAATAGAAATTTGCACCAGTATTATAAACCAGCAAAGAGTTGTCTCCATATTCTTAAAAAGGATTTTAAAAGTATATTAAGGAGGGAATATGAATAAGTAAAGGGTTTGTCAGAAAATAGCCACTGTAAAAGGGCAATGGGCCCGTAACAAGAAGAGTCGACACTGGTAGTCTAATTATCCCCTGGAAATAACCCAGGGGGAGGGATGAGGGCATGGCAAAAAGTGGGGTGCATATTTTGATGCCATTAAATGTACTGAGAAAAAGTCTTGATGCTGGAGCAACACCGGCAATGAGTTTGCCTGGGACATCCTCACCATATCTTGTTGGAGTGGGCAGCACTGTCTTACCTGGCCTCCAGCAAAGGTTTGGGGAGATTGTGCCTCAGTGCTCACCTGAAAAAGCAGCTGACTCAGCTCCTCTTCTGGGACTAGGGAAACTGGAAGATTCTCTGCAGATGAGGCTGCTGACTGTTCTAAAATGCGTAGACACACTCATAATCCAGATGCTGTTGGAGAAGTGAGGGAAATGGTTAGAAACTTGAAAGATTAATCATTTCCCTAAAGGTCCAGTAATTATATATCACATTATATCAGTTGGATTGGACTTGCATTCAGTGATTTTACCTCCTTGGTTACCAGCAGTTGGTAGCTCATGAAGACACCCAGACTCCTTTTAGAATATGAAGAAACTTGGTTTTCTATGCTTATGTATATTATAACATGCAAAAGCTTTTGTCTTTTTCACTCACATATGAAATTAAAATAAAGAGTTATAAAGAAACTACAGTATGAGCTTAGGAAATATTCATGAAAAACCATTTTTCTTTAGATGATTTTAAACTCATTAAAAATTATAATTGTTTCAGTGGATAGAAGAATCAATAGTTAAGAATGGTGAAGTGCTCAAGAAAAAGATGAGACATTATTTCAGAATTCTAGGAAAGAAATAGATAAATAAAAAATAAAAAAGATAAAAACATAGATCTGAATAAAGATTATGGAAAATGTTATCAAAAATAATGCAGGAGTACTCAAACATTAGAAAAGAGAAATATAATGATAGACACATGAGATGTTTAAAATATAAATGAATTGAAATCCATGCTAATAAACTGGAAAATCTTAAGAAAATGAATAATTTTCAGCACAATATTAATTTTGTAAACTGATTCAAGATAGGAAAAAATGAATAGATCAATGAAAGGGAGAACACTTAAGACTATCATATTACCTCGAAATGTCTGCTCCAGGCAGTGTTTTATAGGTGAGTGCTTTCAAACTTTCAAGTAACAAATTATTTGTAGGCTACATGAATTGTTTCTGATCATACAAAAAAAAAAAAAGGGAGGAAGGGGTTTGCAAGCACACTTTTGAGGCTAGATCAATTGGTGTAACTAAACTGACAAAGACATCATCAAAAAGAAAACTTCATTCTACTCTTACCTATGACTTTAAATAAGTAAACTTCAAATAAATACTTGTAAAATACAATAGGCAGTACATTTATTTAAAAAATAAAAATCTCCATGTTCAAGCTTAGTAGGACATTTAGGAACAAAGACATATTTTATAGTACAGATTCTTTAACTTAGTATATCATTTTACTTTGTCAAATTAGAAAAGAAATCAAGTAATCCTTTAGAAAGATTCTGAAACGGTGTTTTACAATATTCACATTCACTCCATAATTCATAATGATCTATAATAATCCATCACAAAAAAGTGACTTAGTTAATCACTATGAAATGTGATACAAGCAACATTTCTGTATGCAATGCAAGTAGAAAAATAAACAATTCTTGGACTTCAGAATTGTAAAGCTTGAATTTAAATGCATAGGATCTGAAGTCACACATAGAGCACAAAACTTGCCCCTGCCACTTACCAACTTTTAGGTTCTTAGGCTACTAAGCTTCTATGAGACCAAATGCAGCTTTATCACTTTCTGGCATTTCTGTGAAATTTGCAAATCTTGTCTATGTGTAGACAAATAGAAGTTTGTGTTTTAAAGCGAGTAAGCTTGGTTAAAAGATGTTTATAGTATTATATGTAACTCAAGGATATAGGTTTGAGCCTCACATAGCACTTACTATCATTATTACGATTATTATACTACAGGTTTTCTGACCATTATTTTGAATCAAGAGCTAAGGACCAATATTTGGGTTTATCGATCTAAGGATAACTTATTTGGAATGGCAATAACCTATTAAAATAAGTTGTGTTGTTAGAAAATAAAATAGTTCTGATAGTATCAAGTCATCCTGGAAAAAAGAAAGAGTTAGGAAACAAAAGACAAACTAAAATGAGAATAGTTTCTTAAGTATTCTCGTGCACTTTAGTTTTATTCGGAAATTTAACATGGGATTATCTCTACTGAGCATCTCAACACTGCATGGTTAGGCAGAATAAGCAGTTTTTTTTTTTTTTTTTTTTTTTTTTTTTGAGATGGAGTCTCCCTCTGTTGCCCAGGCTGGAGTGCAGGGGAGTGATCTCGGCTCACTGCAAGCTCCACCTCCCGGGTTCACACCATTCTTCTGCCTCAGCCTCCCGAGTAGCTGGGACTACAGGCACCCGCCACCACGCCCGGCTAATTTTTTGTTTTTTAGCAGAGACAGGGTTTCACCGTGTTAGCCAGGATGATCTCGATCTCCTGACCTCGTGATCCACCCGCCTCAGCCTCCCAAAGTGCTGGGATTACAGGCGTGAGCCATCACACCCAGCCAGAATAAGCATTTTTAGACCTGGATTTAGCTGAGAAAATTGAGACACAGAGAAATTACGTGACTGCTCTGAGATAGTGCAGTTAGAAATGGGCAGAACTGGAACTAGAACCTGCTCTTCTGAACCGTTTTCTAATTCTGAGAATCAACTTACGATTGGGTGCCTGTTGATGGCCACACCATCACATTACCCTCCAGGAGTCATCTGGAGTCAATACTGCACATTAAATGGGCATAGATTGTCATTTATAATGGTGGGAATAACCCCCTTTTCTCATTGTAATCACTACGATTTCTTCATAAAACACACTGTAAAAATGTAACCTCTTTTCCTTCTCTCAATTGCATTAAATCTGGTCCAAGACCCTGCCTGCCATATTGGCTGTGTATACAGGTCTCCCTCCCACAGGGGTTCCCAGTGAATTCCAGGAAGTATACATAGGTCAAAAAAAAAAAAAAAAGATCATATTGATTTTTCCCAAAAGTGAGTGACTTCTAGTGTTGTGTCCCCTTAAAAGATGTCCCCTTTTAGAATTGTGTCCCCTTAAAAGATGTTCAAGTCCTAACCTCTAGTACCTGTGAATGTAACCTTTTCTTAAAAAAGAGTCTCTTATAATGTAGCCAAATTAAGATGAGGTCATGCTGGAGTAGAATAGGCCCTTAATCTGATATGGCTGGTGTCTTTGTAAGAAGAGGAGACACAAATACACAGACACACAGGGAGAATGCTTTGTGTTAACAAAGGCAGAAATTGGAGTGAGAAGTGTACAAGCCAAGCAGCTCCAAGAATTGCCAGGAACCACCAGAAGCCAGAAGGCATGGGGCAAATTCTCCCATAGGGACTTCAGTGAGAGGATGACCCTGACAATCACACTTCTATCCTTCACAACTGTGAGACTGTAAATTTCTGTTGTTTTAAGCCACTTAGGTCGTGAAAATTTGTTACAGTAGGTCCTAGGAAACAAATACACCTGGTGCCCAATCGGATCACATCTCATTTCATCTTTGGGTTGCTTCTCACTTCTGCAAAATGCCGCATTCTCACAAGCTTTGCTCTCTTAGGGACCTAAGTCTTTCTCAGTGTCATCCTCCATTGGAAACTGACTCCATATCCTTCATCCTTAGCTGCTTAACCTGGCAGGAATTACACACTTCCTAGAGCCCAGTAACTTCAGTTTCACCTGCAAATATTTTCCTATAAGATGTGGGTAATGCAAGAGGCATTCATGCTACTCTTTATCCTGGAAATGGAATTCTCCACTACTGAATATAGGAGAGTCTTAAGAGCCTTCTATACTCATAAACAAGTTTCCTTTTATCCTTAAAAGCAATGGGTTGATTACTAAAGTCACTCTGGAGATAAACATCCATAGGCTAGAGCTTCAAAGGAGGAAGAGAAGTTGTTTGGTCCAATGGGGGCTTGGTAGGTGGGGAGATATTAACATTTCATTCCATTGTTTTGATACAGCTCCCAAGAATAAACAAATACCTTCCATTTAATTCAAATTCACTTTTTTTTTTTCCGAGATGGAGTTTCGCTCTTGTCACCCAGGCTGGAGTGCAGTGGCACGATCTTAACTCACTGCAACCTCCGCCTCCCAGGTTCAAGTGATTCTCCTGCCTCAGCCTCCTGAGTAGCTGGGATTACAGGCGTTAGCCACCACACCTGGCTAATTTTTGTAGTTTTAGTAGAGACGAGGTTTCACCATATTGTTCAGGCTGATCTCAAACTCCTGACCTCAAGTGATACGCCAGCCTTGGCCTCCCAAACTGCTAGGATTACGGCTCAAATTCACTTTTATCTGATTCCCTTTTTATATGACTTTAGGTAGGATTCTGAGAGCTATTCTCATAATGATGACTTTAACTGAGGAAGGTGGGTAAAACAAAACAAAACACGGAATTTGAACAGGGGAATGACATCATTTGACTCATATAGATTATGAAAAAGAGGCAGATGGTCATTGCTTAATAAACTTTTATTGCAAAAATGGATGCAGGAATAAAAACAGAAAAATACATGGATGGCCTGGTCTTTTCAGTTACTTGTTTTTGTTTTGCTCTGTCTTGTATTTCTTTCCTTTTTTTAATATTTTTTTATTTTTGAGAAATGGTCTTGCTTTGTCACCAGGCTGGAGTATATTGTGACTATTGTGACTAGGCTGGAGTGCAGTTGTTAGCTCACTGCAGCCTTGACTTCCCGGGCTCAACTGATCCTCCCTCCTCACCTCCCAAGTAGCTGGGACTACAGGTGCAGTTTAGTTCCTGTTTTTTTTTTTTTTTTTTTTGTTAGAGACGGAGTCTCTCTCTGTCACCCAGGCTGGAGTGCAGTGGCGCCATCTCGGCTGACTGCAACCTCCGCCTCCCGGGTTCACGCCATTCTCCTGCCTCAGCCTCCGGAGTAGCTGGGACTACAGGCACCCGCCACCACGCCTGGCTAATTTTTGTATTTTTAGTAGAGACAGGGTTTCACTGTGTTAGCCAGGATGGTCTCCAGCTCCTGACCTCGTCATCCGACCGCCTCGGCCTCCAAAGTGCTGGGATTACAGGCGTGAACCACCGCGCCCGGCCGCACTTTAGTTCATTTTTAAAAAATGTCTCCCTGCCAATATTACACAACCAAATCCATAGCTTGCCATTTAAGACTCTCAATCGTCTGGCTTACCTTTCGGCTTCAGCTTCAGGCAATTCTACCCACGCTCTTCACTCTGCAGCAGCCTGAGACTGCGTGCATTTATATACTCCTTTCACAGACTTTCCTTTCTCAGTGTGATTGCCATTAGCTAGAGAGTTTGTCTTCATCTCACTGATTTCCATCGATTGTTTAGGACTCACCTCAGGTGATATCAATTTCTGAAAGCTTGCTTGCTTCTCAACTTCCAAATCATGCCAAATGTAGCAGAGAAGAGGAAAAGATTGAGAATTCCAGGGTGAATTTTATTATGTTCTGTAGCACCTCTCAGAAAATCAAATGCTATTAATGAGATTAAATATTTTCCTTATGCTTATTAATATTTGTATTTCCTCTTTTAAAATTTTGATCTTTCTCTTTTATTATTTTGCAGCACATGCTAATTTCCATTGGCTCATAGAATTATTTATATAAAAATATACGTGCACCTAATCTTTCATACATACTCCAAATTTTTTCTGGTTTATAATTCATCACTTAACATATTTATAATATTTTTATTGTATAGAAAAGTTTAGTATAGTAAAATCGATGAATATTTTTCTCACAATATGTTTTACTTTAAGCTTTGAAATGCTTTTTAGTTTTTCTTTTTACATTAGCTTTTCACTCAATTTTGCATTTATGTTGTTGTATGTGGAAGGCACAATAATAATGTATAAAACTTTAAAAATGCATTGTAGATCTTATTGCACCAGCTGGGAAAAAAAATGCCAGGCTTTGGTTGTGCTTTAAAAGCTGTTTCATCATCGAACTTTGTTTCTATTCTTTCAGCACCTGAAAATAGCCCAAGATGAAATGAGCAATCCCAGATGCCTCAGCAGATTGTACCACTTTCATAAATTTTCTATTCGCTATCGTGGTAGATAACATTAATGCTACTTGAGCAGACTTAATTCACCAGCTTTACTGTCATGGGGCTACAGCTAGCCTCTCTGTGAAAAATTGTTATAAAGCATCTTAAAATGTGGTTCCCATACCCTGGACAACCACAATCAAACTCATTCACGATGCTTGTTAATCATGCAGATTTATGGGCCCCGGACAAAATTCCTGCAACACAATCTTTGCAATTTAGGATCACATCCTGTGAAGACTCAGATCCTAGGGTTCTCTAACTCTTACTCTGGATTCAATGAGACGAATGTGATTTTCGCTTTGATACTATTTCCAAAAGCTCAGCAATTAACCTGCCTCAAACCCCAAATAGCCTATGTCAGGGCTTGCCACCTATTTGCATCCTGGTGCTTGCTCTGTGCCACAAGAGTCATCAGAATGAAACTATTGTTCACCAGTAAGCTAGTACTGGAATTTGAAATTATTCCTAAGCAACTATTACAGCTCTCTGCATTACACTATGAGTTTTCTGTTTTTTTAAGTCCTCTGAAGACAATGCAATATTAAGAGTCTCACGAAGTTTCAAAAGAAGGCAACAACTTCTGAAGGGACTTGCTCTTATTTGAATGTGTGTCATCAGGCAATTATTTTGCACTTTCAGTTAAGTTATCAGACTTAACCATTATTTCAATCCTTTGTGATGTAATTTTTAATTATTTATTTAATTTTATTTTTATTTATTTATTTATTGAGACGGAGTCTTGCTCTGTCGCCCAGGCTGGAGTGCAGTGGCACAATCTCGGCTCACTGCAAGCTCCACCTCCCGGGTTCACGCCATTCTCCTGCCTCAGCCTCCCGAGTAGCTGGGACTACCTGCGCCTGCCATTTTGTATTTTTAGTAGAGACAGGGTTTCGCCATGTTAGCCAGGATGGTCTCCACCTCCTGACCTCGTGATCCGCCCGCCTGGGCCTTCCAAAGTGCTGGGATTATAGGCGTGAGCCACTGCCCCAGCCCAATTTTTTATTTCTGAAAAATGAGGACACCCAAGTTGAGGAAGATGGAGTTCCTCTACCAAATTCATAAATCAGCCAATGTCAGAGACAGGTGTCAAACCCAAGACATTTGGGCCCAGGCCTAAGGCACAGTCTCTTCAGTACAGCTGCCTGGCATGTACCATACGGGTCACTTTCCAGATAGGAAAATAATCTGCTATGAGTCAGGTGTTCAGATATCACGTAGATGCCAAAGATTAAGAGAGAGCAGGGGAATAACTGTGTTAAGCAGTCAGGATTGGAGATGTAACTATGTTGCTCTGGAGCCAGGTAGTTAGAGGCAGGTTAGATCCCTCCTGGAAGGCAAGCAGCTATGACTTGTCAACTGCATCCTTTATGGTCCTGATGCCACTTCGCTGCTCTACCCAGTGGATATTAACAAGCCATTTCTCTGTGTGTTGCCACCACGCTCAGGAATTCCAAAATCTCTCATTTGATAATTCTAAAAATATTGCCCCCAATTTAGCCTTATTAAAGAACTGAAAGCATTTTTACAATATAATAAATAATATTTGAGCACTATTTTATAGTTTAGTATAAAGAGTTTTCACATGTTACTTTAAAGATCTCACAACAACCTGATTAGGTCATTAATGCTCTCATTTATTTCCGTATTGTAGATGAAGTTGAAATTGAACACTACTGGGGTAACTTTTTCAAGGTCAATGAGGTGACATTAAGACTTCAGGTTGTGTCTCCCTGCCTCAAAGTCTTTGTTCTGTGTAATTTACAATACATGCCCTGTCATTTTTGCGGCAAACAGAGAGCTACAGTGTACCAACCAGTCCTTCAGTGATTGAAGGACTATTCTTATCTTTTTTAAAAGGTGAAAGGCTATGGTATTAGTATAATGATTTGAATGGAAGAAATGCAGCATGAAAGAGGGTTATTGCAGATATGGATAGTGAAGTGCATTATAGACACTCCTTACAGACAGCTGTGACCTTCAGCTAAGGCAAAACCATCACTATGATGTCAGAGTTATTCAGTAGAAATAACAGTAATGAAACTCAACACACAAAATCATCAGCAAACACAAACTGATGCTTTGAGTTAAGACAGGAGAACAGTGTGCCTACCCATCATTCAGAGGCTGCAGTGGAATGACACAGTTTAATTCAGGGATGAATCTCAAAATATTTTGATATTTCCATTGTTGTTTTTTTTTAAAAAATCACAATTTTAGTTTCTAGATTCATTTTGAATTCTGTTAAAAAATGATTTCCAACCCACAAATAATTTGAAAATGGCACTTGCTTCAGTAATAATACCTCATGTTTATAGCAGGGTTCCATAACTTACTATGAAAATTTACCAAAAATATATTTATTGATCTTCTCCATGATTTCTTGATATCATTGCTATAATACATGCGAAGAAATTGACATAGAAGGTCAGGTGAATTGTACAAGGTTTCCAGATAGTATGTTAGAAAGCTGGACTTGAATGAATGTCTTTTTGTTGAAGTCTAATGCTTTTCTCACTCTAATAGACTGTCTCAAAATCTTAGTCTAAAAACACTTAAAATATACTAGTTATGCCTTTTCATTTAAAGGAAATTATTCTGGACAGAAAAGATGAACATGAGGAGGAGTTATTCTTTCCCTTCTGCATGTTGTTATATTGAACATTTGTGAGATATATATACATATATCTCTCTCACAATATAAATATATATATTTACATTCCATTTCACTGTCTTATAAGTTTATGTCACAATTTTTACTCTATTCTGTTTACATTCATATTTCAGTTTGCTTTGTAGCCCATATTATTTTATATTTGGAAGCATGTTAAAATCAATATAGTTGGGCAATGGTTTCAAAGATGTGCTATAAGGAAATAAAATTAATTAATTAACTCTTTCAATACATCTGAGTCCCAGTTGCATGTGTGACAGTGAGAAGGAGGCAGCAGTGCTTCAGGCTCTTCTCTGAAGAGTCTCATTGTCCACCAGGGGAGGAGAGGTTCATGCTACAGAGCCACCATTAAAGTTTCATGGGGTTTCAGTTAAACCAACTACCTGCAGAGGAGAGTACTGGGCATGGGAGTTAGTCAGTTGGAGGGTGGGAGTCACATGGCCATGTGAATTGTATTCCAGACAGAAGAAACCATAGGAGAAAAAGAAGATAGAAAGAACAGAACATAGCAAAACATGTTTACTGGAACACCAGGACTCAGGGGTGACAGGAATGGAAAATATACTTGAAAAGGTAAGAATGGACCTAAATTTTGAAGGAGATGGGAATCCTGCCTAAGACATGTCCATTTGTTAGCAATAGGGAACCAATAGAGTTTTTTCAGCAGAACAATACAATGATAATCAGTGATCCCCAAATTAAATACCCAATTTTACAGAATTGTTGTTTATCATCAACTCAAGTTCAGGTTGTATGTTTGGGTTTCAAATCCAGGTTTCATTATAGGGAACCAAAATACTTAACTCCAATAAACATTTTATTCTTAAATGATGTAATAAGGGAATATGATAATGTTCTACTCTTTACGACAACATAAACATAAGCCAGCAATAGTTGCCAGAAAAAAAAGAGATTTAAACAAAAGTTCTATCTTTTGAATTCAGAGTATAATTTTTAATATCATGGGACCTACTTCTTTGTACCATATTTACTGTTTTATTGCTTCTTCTCTGTTAGACCATGAACTATTTTAGAGCAGAAAGCACATTCCATGTTTTTGTCAATCCAGGACTAACACAATCCTTGGTACCTAGAAGGTGCTCACTAAATATTGAGCATCTGTCACCATAATTCTGCTCTTTTAAAACCTATTAACCCCTCAACCCAAATGAGAGATATCTCTGAGGAACTTCGGTGTAGAGTAAATGAAGGAAAGAGCACTAACAGTGCATAGCATCTATGAGATTTTAAATGTGTGTGATGAAATAGATGAATTGGTAGTATACTATTGGTGCCTACAATACAGATAGTGTCCAATTTATTGTGTGTGTATGAGTGCATGTTTCTGATTTGGTATTCACTTACTCATCTCATGATGGTGGAGTTTAGGACAGATTAAATGTATTCTTTTCTGCATTTTCTATTTTTTTCTACAATTGGCAGGTAATAGTTTCATATTAAGAAAAGTGATGGCACAGGAAAAAAAAAAGTCTTTGTTTTTTCTAGAAAGCTTTTAAACTTTTTAATGAATAACAAATCTTTGAATAAGAAGAGACAACACCTTAAAACAATAGGAGAAAGTTCATTATTTTTTTCTAACCATGAATGAAGGTGAATCCAAGGGGTAGCTAGGACCAGGAGGCTTTCAGTGTGCTGTGTGGAAAGTAATGAGACAGGGTGAATACATTCTTTATATAGTTTTCAATGCTAAGAGTCAGGAAAAACAGAAAGCAGATTGTCACAAATATAAATTATTCATCGAAGATACAGAGTGAAAGAAAGAGGGTTTCAGAGTCATCGTTCCTAGTCCCCTCTCTGTGGAGGAAAGGTAATTCTTGGTATTGAACAGATTCTCCCCTGAGGAGATAATTGAGTCATCAGGGGAAGATGGGGAACTAATGGGGATTCAGATTCAAGGAAGTTTATTAGAAGTGCTTTCAAACTATGAAATGTTCAATTTAAGGATGGAGGTAGCTAACTTGCCACTCACTTAATTACAAAAATCATGCAAGATGAACTTGGAAGTGGTGGGTAAGACAGCTCTAGGCAAGCAAAGACAGTGCCAAGTAAGAATAAAGATATGGAATATGTAATTAAATTGTGGGAGGGTGACAGATGCTATCAGGCTTCCACTTGTTACAAGGTAAACAAAAGAATAATGCAATAATAAATATAAAATATAAAATGTAAAATTGCTTTTTTGTCCTCAGCAAATGGAGAGTCATCTGAAGCAATATCTGCCTTTTATTTACTTTTTGATGTTTCTTGGTTATATAACTATTTCTTTTTTTGGGTTTATAAAGGATTGAGCAGCAGGGTGGTTAGAACTGAACACATTGTAATGTTATTGTTGAAAAATAGAAACAGTTTACAAAGTAAAAGACAATTTAGCTGGTGAGAGGGGAAAATATCTTCCTAAACTAATGTTATAACAAATGAAATTTGATGACTTTCACTCTTCTGTGATGGAGTTTGCACATCGAATGAGTAGGCTGTGCTGAAATGTTAAACCAAAGTCTCACTGACTTTAAGCTCTCTTTAACTGGCTCTTTAAGGAGCTGGAGGAAAATAAATTCAAATTCAAAAATAAATGAAATTTGAAGCCTGCCATTGGGTTTTAAGGCATAGAAAATAAGTTGTTGTTGTTTTTGTTTTTCCCCAGAAGAAGTCAAAAATATATAAATTCACTCAGCAAAATTTTTCACATGATTACTGGCAGCAAGGCGTAGTGAACAAAGTTGGGATTTAGATTCAGACAAATCAATACAAATCCTCTGTTACAAATCCTGGCTCTGTCACTTACCAGTTCGGGAACTAAAATAATTGTTTAATGTCTCTCAACCTTTTTCTGTAATTTGCAAAGGGTGAATACCAAAAACCCACAGACAAATTTATGGGGATTAAATAAAATAGCCCATGTCTAGAATCTAGTAGAGTTCAATCACTCAAAATCATACGGTAATATTTATACATAGTCTTATTATTCCTAGACACTTAGTTCATCTTTATTCCCTTTTGTGGGTCATAGTTAAAAATAGGAAAAATAAATTAGTCTATACATGAAAAAATAAGACAAACTTAGCCACTTTCTGATCAACTTGATTATCACTTCGAATTCACTTTTCTATATGGCAGGTATGCACAACTAACAGGGCAGACAATCCAGTCAACAAAGGAAATAACAAGGGATTAAGATTTCCTAGACTGGTGCACCTTTATCTTAAAAATGTTCTGGACATCAGATAAACACACCTCAACACCTCCTTTTTTTAACTTTTAAGTTCAGGGGTACATGTGCAGGTTTGTTATATAGGTAAGCTTGTGTCATGGGGATTTGTTGTATAGATTGTTTTGTTACCCCAGTATTAAGCTTAGTTTCCATTCATTATTTTTCCTGATCCTCTCCCTCCTTCCACCCTCCACCCCTGAAAAGGTCCCTGTGTGTGTTGTTCCCCTCTATGTGTCCATGTGTTCTCATCAATTAGCTCTCACTTGTGAGAGCCTGTTGTATTTGGTTTTCTGTTCCCGTGTTAGTTTGCTGAGGATAATGGCCTCAAGCTCCTTCCATGTCCCCGCAAAGGACACGATCTTGTTCTTTTTTATGGCTGCATGGTATTCTGTGGTGTATATGTACCACATTTTCTTCATCCAGTCTATCATTGATGGGCATTCATGTTGATTCTATGTCTTTGCTATTGAGCACACTTCATTCCTTTTCATCCTGTGACATTTCTTTATTGCCCCAAACATTGCCGCAGCCTACAACTCAATCCTTCCTACATTTTTTAATACCCTATCTTTAATTAAAATAACTACCTGTAAAAGCATTGAAAAAATACAGAGAACCCTAAGAAATAAAATTTTAAGTGATTTCATAGGCAGAAATCACCACTGTATACATTATTATATATTTCTATGCAATTATTATATTCTACACTTTTTTCAACAAAACCTAATTTCACAGGGATTTTTTTTGATAAGTGACATTTTTCACTTATCAATGTTAACTACATTTTCCTTAATGCATATATATTCTTTGATAAGATAGTTTTAATAAATACATAGCTTTCTGAATGAAAATGCAGCACATTGCCTTTGAACTCAATTGTGCCTAAATTCCTGCACCCTGCCTTGGCAGTTGAGCCTGTCCATGAGCCCTGTACCCAGATAAACTATTTTTGTTTAAATTGTTTCTGTTGTGACCTTCTCTCTGTGTTCTTCCTGTGATCTGTCCTCATACTGCTCTCTTAGTGACCACACTCCTTCCTAGCCTGTTGTCTATACAGCTCTACTTTTGATGACCCCTACCTAGGAAAGAATGTCCTGGTTTGCTATAAGCATCTATTTCCCCCTCACTCCAGTCTCCTTGAGAAAGGACTTCTCAAGTACCAAACGTTCATAATATTTTAATTCTGCTGTAGGTAGTCTGCTAGAGAGGGAGAGAAAACATTTTTAGAGACATAGAATTATGCCTTACCTTCTGACTCTGCAAATAATGCCAATTTCATCTGGAAATCCCATATAACCGCCCCAATTATGATTAGCCTAGCCTCTACAACACCACTATCTACACCAGTGGTTCTAAACTGGAGCTGGTTTTGTCCCTCAAAGGGACATTGGGCAAAGGACATTGTCAAAGGACATTGGGCAAAATGTAAAAATGTTTTTCATCGCACAACTATAAGCAAAGGATTCTACTGGTATCCAGTAGGTAGAGGCCAAGGGTACTGCTAAACATCCTAAAATGTACAGGACATCCCCAGGCCCAGGGCAAAAACATTACCTAGGCCAAGGTGTCAACAATACCAAGGTTGAAAAACCCCGATCTGCATACCAAATTAAATATCTCTTATTTTATTGTGTTATACACATATTTATTCCTTTGTTACATTTCCAACAATAGAAAAAAATAGAAACAGGATACTAAATATTCTCATTTTGATACAATGAACTTCTTCAGAAAACTTCTTTAGACCTCTTGGACTATTTCTAACCTTTCAGACTATTTTTATTACAAAAATAGTCAATTTTTATGACAATTTCTCCTGAGGACTAGCATATCGATTGGTAAACAAGGAACCACCTGGATGTGGATGTACTGGCAATATACTTTGTACTGAGAAATGACCACTCTAGTAATCTACGTCTATTATCTCATTTAATTCTTAAAATGACCCTGAGATGTAGGTGTTTCAGCTACTATTGCTGTGCAGAAAATTCTACCAAAAACTTAGAGACCTAAAAACAACCAATTTATTTGATTAACAAATTTGTGAGTTTGAAATTATGGAACAGTTTCATGTAGGGAAGGCTCGTGTTTGAGATTGATCATGTGATCACAGCCAACTGTTGGCTGCAGCTGCTGTTACCAGAAAAGCAGAGGGTCTGGGTCTCCAAGGTCGTGAACCTGCATGGCTAGCCATTGGTGCTGGCTGTCAGGCTGGAGACACAACTGGGGTGTGAACCTATATATCTCCTCTCCAGGATGTTGGCCTCAGGGTAGTTGATGTTGGCCCAGACCTTGCACTGTGGCTGGTTTTTCCAGAGTGAGTTTCCAAGAGGACAAAGAGAAAGCTTCCTGCCCTTTTCCGCCCTTGCCTCAGAAGTTATGCAGCATCACTTCTGCTTCATTGTTCTGGTTACAAAGGAGATACTAAGCCTGGCCCAGATTCAAGAAGAGTAGACACAGAAACTGTTCTTTAGTGGAATGAATGCCAAAGAATTCACAGGTATATTTTTAAAACATCACAGTAGAAGTACCATTACCCTATTTTATATATGGATAAAGACTTAAAAACCAAATTAAGACAGGGACAGTGAAACCTAAATTCCCCCAGTGAATCTCAGATGAAGGCTCAGTCCAACCACTTCCTGAGCTAATGCTAGTAAAGGCAAGTAAAGTAATGGCAGACTGTGACAATTTGCCTTGAGGACTGGTACCCCATACACTCTGAGAGCCTCTGAGAAGCATTTACCCCACTCTGTTAGTCAGATCACAACCCCCAGACTTCGGTTAGAGGTCCTGATTACTTTCTTGCCTCTTCATGGGACAGGAGTTTGACTCTAAAGTACAATTTGTTTGTTAGAGATTCTAGAAAGCTAAATACTTTTTCTAGTACACTGCCCCTTTCTGATCCTATTCTCTTTCTGGTGAGCTTCGAGTGTGCTAAAACCTGTATGAAAATTGCAAAATTATACAATATAATTAACATTCCCCAACAGTGCTTATATAGAACATTTGTAGGCCATGTAATGTTAAAAGGCATTACATAAGAAAAGTATTCTGAGGTCAAATGAGTTTGAAAATTTCTCAGTATTTAAGGGTGGTGTTTTTTATGGGAGGTCTTAGGGCTATAAACATGCTGATACACTATTCACTCCACAGCAGGTGTGCAATCACCCAACTTGGCAAGATAATTTCATTATGGAAACATTTATTTTAATAGAAAACTTCTTAATATCTTACACTGCATTCACGTTCCCTGAAAAAATTGGGGGTAAATATTGCTGTGGTTGACATTGCACAAATAATGTGATCAGCCCTAAATTTGAAGCACAAGCCTAGTTGAGTGATTTTGAACAGATTGTGGATTTTTCTTTACTTTACTTTTCTTCTTAAATAGAGATGGGGTATCTCACCATATTGCCCAGGCTGATCTCAAACACATGGCTCAAGTGATCCATCCCCTGAGGCCTCCCAAAGTGCTGGGATTACAGGCATGGGCCACTGCACCCAGCCCAGACTGTGGTTTTTTGAGACTTAACTTTAGTGTATCTAAAATGGACGTACTATGTAAGATTATCCCGAAAGTCCCATGAGAGGATAAAAAGGCCCGTTACAGATTTGGCACATAGAAAATGAAAAGGTACGTTTCTTTTTTAAAATTTGTGGTTGAAGTTTTGGGGAAATTTTGATAGTATTGTTGCTAAGAACCCAATGATGGTCATATCCTAACCAATAATGACTCTTACCCAGCTTTTTTTCTAAGAGAATTGGTATTAAGAAAAAACAAAACAAAACAAAACAGAGTGAGTTTCAAAGGATGACATTTTCCAACCGTGGCAAGCACTGAATATTTCAAAGCAGAGTTCTGGAAACAGACTATCTGGAGTGAAAGGTGATATGGTTTGTCCCTGTGCCCCCACCCAAATATCATCTTGAATTGTAATCCCCATAATCCACACGTGTTGAGGACAGGACCTGTTGGGAGGTGATGGGATTACGGGATGGTTTCCCTCATGCTGATCTTGTGATGGTGAGTGAGTTCTCATGAGATCTGATGGTTTTATCAAGGGCTTTTCCCCTTTTTCCTTGGCACTTCTTGCTGCTGCCAAGTGAAGAAAGACGTTTGCTTCCCCTTCTGCCATGACTGTAAATTTCCTGAGGCCACCCCAGCCATGCTGAACTCTGAGTCAATTAAACCTCTTTCCTCTATAAATTAGCCAGTCTTGGGAAGTCTTTATAGCAGGATGACAATGGACTAAAATGGCAAATTGGTACTGGGAGTGGGCTGCTGCTATAAATATACCCAAAAATTTGGAAGCAACTGTGGAACTGGGTAACAGACAGAGGTTGAAACAGGTTGGAGGGCTCAGAAGAAGACAGGAAGATGTGGGAAGGTTTGGAACTTCCTAGAGACTTGTTGAATAGTTTTGACCAAAATGCTGATAATGATGTGGACAATAAAGTCCAGGCTCAGGTGGTCTCAGATGGAGATGAGGAAATTCTTGGGAACTAGAGAAAAGGTCACTCTTGCTATGCTTTAGCAAAAAGACTGGCAGCATTTTGCCCCTTCCCTAGAGATCTGTGGAACTTTGAACTTGAGAGAAATGATTTGAAATTGGAATTTATGTTTTAAAGGGAAGCAGAGCATAAAAGTTTGGAAAATTTGCAGCCTGATGATTTAGTTAAAAAGAAAACCCCATTTGCTGGAGAAAAACTCAAGCCAGCTATAGAAATTTGCATAAGTAATAGGGAGCCAAGTGTTAATCTCCAAGACAATGGGAAAATTGTCTCTAGGATATGACAGACATCTACACGGCACCCACTCTAATCACCGTTCCAGAGGCCTAGGAGGAAAAAAAATGGTTTCATGGGCCGAATCCAAGGCCTTGCTGCTTTGTGCAGTCTCAGGACTTGGTACCCTGCATCCCAGTCACAGCTAAAAGGGACCAACATACAGTTCAGGCAGTTGCTTCAGAGGATGCAAGCCCCAAGTCTTAGTGGCTTTTACATGGGTTGGACCTACAGGTGCACAGAAGTAAAAAATTGAGGTTTGAGAACCTCCAACTAGACTTCACAGGATGTATGGAAACACTAGGATGTTCAGGCAGAAGTTTGCTGCTGGGGTGGAGCCCTCATGGAGAACTTCCACTAGGGGAGTTCAGAAGGGAAATGTGGTGTTGCAGTACCCACACAGAGTCCCCACTGGGGCACTGCCTAGTGAAACTGTGAGAAGAAGGCCATTGTACTCCAGACTCCAGAATGGTAGAACCACTGACAGCTTGCACCATGTGCCTGGAAAGTCACAGACACTCAATGCCAGCCTATGAAAGCTGCTGGGAGGGGGACTGTACCCTGCAAAGTCACAGGGCTGCAGCTGTCCAAGGGTGTGGGAGCCTACCTCTTGCATCATTGTGACCTGGAAGTGAGACATGGAGTCAAAAGAGATTATTTTGGAGCTTTAAGATTTAACGACTACCCCACCTGGTTTCGGACTTGCCCCATCTGGTTTCAGAATTGCATGGGGCCCATAGCCCCTTTGTTTTGGCCAATTTCTTCCATTTGGAATGGGAACATTTACCCAATTCCTGTACCCCATTGTGTCTTGGAAGTAGCCAACTTGCTTTTGATTTTACAGACTCATAGGCAGAAGGGGTTTGCCTTGTCTCAGATGAGACTCTGGACTTTGGACTTTTGAGTTAATGTTGGAATGAATTAAGACTTTGGGGGACTGCTAGTAAGGCATGATTGGTTTTGAAATGTGAACAGACATGAGATTTTGGAGAGGACAGGGGCAGAATGATATGGTTTGGCTCTGTGTCCCTACCCAACTGTCATCTTGAATTGTGATCCTCATAATCCCCATGTGTTGAAGGCAGGACCTGATAGGAGGTGATTGGTTCAAAGTGGCAGTTTACCCCATGTTGTTCTCATGATAGTGAGTGAGTTCTCATGAGATCTGATGGTTCTATAGGGGGTTCTTCCCCATTCACTTGTTCACTCTCTTTTCTGCCACTTCTTGCATGTAAGTCACGCTTTCATTCTCTCTTGCCTTCTGCTGTGATTGTAAGTTTCCTGCGGCCTGCCCAGCCATGCAGAGCTGTGAGTCAATTAAACCTCTTTTCTTTATAAATTACCCAGTATCAGATATGTCTTTATAGCAGTATGACAATGGAGTAATTCAAATGGCTTAGTTATAAAGATATAATTTGTTTCCCTACCTATTAAAGATCCTCATTCACATACCTCAGAGAAATCTTGAAGCCAGCCAAGCCAATAATAGTGGAAGAGAAAGAGTAAGAGATAAAGAGAGGCCAAAATCCTCAATCTGATTCTACCTTCCCATTACTACAATAAAAACTGGAGAAACAGAAAATGGTTGTAAAGAAACTTCTACTTTGTCAATGAATTTTTTATCACACCAGCTACCATCCCCAGCATGGTGGCTGAAATCCACTCAAAATGAGGAAAAAGGCAAAAGGAGCAACAAAGGCAGATAGGATTTGAATGTCCAAGACCCTAAAGTGAAGTGAAACATACTGAGGTGGGCCCCTCATTGTATACACCTTTCCCTCAGAGAAATTTTCTGCTTCTTAAGCTGTAGAATAATAGATCTACCAGAAAGTAGTGGCTCCACTGTAAACGTGTTAGACATGGTGCTAGAGAGGCAAGATCTTGACTTCTTGGCTACCAAGATGAACAAACTTTGAAAGGCCAAGATTTCAGAGAAAACAAGAGAGATGAGCCCACATTCTGGCATTGTTTATACCCTCAGGGCATTTTCCTGTTTTTGAGTGGAGTTAGGTAAGAAATGAAGAAGTCAAAACGGCAGAAATTGGCAGTCATATATTATAAACCGATCAGAACTCTAAGTAGTACATAGGACTATGCCAGATAGGACCATGTTGTAAGCCCCAAAGTTTTAGTTGAGGCAACTGAAATAGACCAGGCTTTCTCAATACTAAAATCTATCCCAAAAATGATCTCAGTCTCCCATTGAGCCAAGGTGATATATCCTGTAGTCTCACTCTATGTTAGAAGAAGATAAGTCCTCTACAGATAAAGACATCATCTTTAGTCTCTAACAATTTTTATTTCTGATATCAAGATGGAAGTGAATTTTATCAATTCAATAAAATCAATGGGTGTGACAAGAGACAAGATAAAATAGAAAACAAACAAATAATTATTCAGTGGAAAACAAACAAAAAACAATATGAAAAATCCACTGGAGACCCAGGTATTGAAGATATTAGGCACGGGCTTTAAAATCACTGTAAGTAATATGTTCAGGAAAATATGTTTAAAATAGAGCATTTTACAAAACAACTAAACTCTAATAAGAAAAAGAATAAAAAGAAAAAAGAGAGATATAGAAAGAGAAGAAAGATATGGAGGATTTGTCTGTCCATGTACTCTTCCAGTATTCTGCCTACCACCTGATGGGAGGAGAAACACAATAAAACAGATAATAGAGAAGTATTAACCCATTTATGCCTGAGAATGCAATTTTTTGAATTTTTGCAATCAGACCTTGGTGATGACCTTGAGCAGTAAGATGTAAATAACTCCCACATGCTTAGTGTTCCAATAATGGAACACTAGGCATTAAAAGTGTTAATATTTCTGCCCTACAGCAAACATGCCCTAAATAATGTTCTTCTCTTCCACTAGGTGGCAGTGAAGGATGGAAGCCGTGAGCTTGGGGTGGGAAGTAGGGCAGTGTACACTCACCTAGTCTCACGCTGTTTCCACACACAGCTTCATTTTTAAACTTTTGTTTCCTTTTCAAGTTGC
Source organism: Homo sapiens (assembly GCF_000001405.40). Classification (NCBI taxonomy): domain Eukaryota; kingdom Metazoa; phylum Chordata; class Mammalia; order Primates; family Hominidae; genus Homo; species Homo sapiens. Next base: position 12,042,162 of record NC_000004.12, read on the forward strand.
ACACTTTAATTTTTATCATAGGATGGAAAATATTACTGCCAAGTTCCATTACCTGTATCAGGCCACCCCTAGATTTGAGTGTGCTGGGTGTTATGGACTTCCATGGGCCCTCTTGATGGCCAGCCCCCAACCCTCCATCACTTCTCACCGCCCTGCCCCATACTGCTTTCACTTCCTTCCACATCCCTCATATATGATCTGTTGGTGGAAAGGTAAATTATTACAGCCGTTGTAGAAAACAAATGAGGACTCGTAGTTCTCAGGAAGTTCGAGCAGCTTTCCCAGGTTCCCGCCACTAGGAAACCTGGGGACAATGAAGGAAGTGGCCAGAAAAGACAGGGGTCTGAAGGCAGTGCCAGCTCACACTGCATCTTATGTCCACATCTTTTTGGCCAAGAGAATAACACAAACGAACAAATGCAGTTCTGAGGCTCATGCTCTGAGGCAGAGAATGGAGAATTATTGAATTCAAGCTCATGGCCTTCAAGTAGAAAATCTGAACCATATTTCATATTCGAAGGAGACATTTCTCTACTTGGAAATTTAAGCCTCCCAGGAAATCAATCAGAAAGCTGAAAGGTCCTTTCTGAAGGTAACGTGCTCCACAGGAGTCATGAGAAAGGTAATGGCTTCGCGAATTAACGTCATACATAAAAATTCAGCTAACACACACGGAGGAGGTGAGGATAATTCTCTAAAATAGGTAACATATATGATGCAAAAGAAGATTAAGGGAGGACTGTAGTTTCTATTGCTCTAAAAGATTTTTTAAACAATCAGAACAGCATGGAACTAAGAAGAGAAAAATCACACCAGACATCGTTCTGAAACATTATCTCTGTGGGACAGAGAAATTAACATCATGAAGTGCACAGGGGAAAATGAATTGGATGTACGTGTTCTCCAACTACACCAATGTGATCTCAGTTATCCACAGGATAAATTCTTATATAGAAATAACTCAGGAATAGAGACGTCAGTGGAGCTATTATGTAAGATGATTTTGCAAAAAACTGAACAGTGTTCCACTAATTGTCCAAGCTATTTTTAACAGTTTTATTTTTCACTTGAGAAAAATAATTGTAGTGATTGATTTTTTTATCTCAGAATCTAATTCCAATTTTATATTAGTGGATCTCCAATTGTGTGTGATATTAGAGGTTTGCAGTATGCAGCCTCCAGATATGGACACAGAAGGGGCATTATCCTTACTCTTTAAGGCTCTTAACAGCCAGCCAGGGACAGATACCCTGGCTTCATTCAATCACTGTTCCTATCTGGAACTTTAGTCTTTGAGTCAGTGGTGCAAAGATGTGAGATTCATAGGAAATGATTAGAGAAATGTCCATTTTCTTTTTCCAGCATTGGTGTTCACTCACTGCAGAAATATGCATGGCAAGAGTATCATTCTTGTTAGAATTTTCTGGCTAAAGATAGTTAGCTGTTGCATTTCCTGCATCTTGGCTCTGTGTAGCTGATTTTTGTCTCTCTTAGCCTCCAAGACCATTATTTATTATTATTATTATTTGAGACAAGATCTCACTCTGTCACCTAAGCTGGAGTGCTGTGGCATGAACATGGCTCACTGCAGCCTAGACTTCCTGGGATCAAGTGATCTGCCTGCCTCAGTCTCTTGAGTAGCTGGAACTATAGGTGCACATCACCACACTCGACTAATTTTTAAATTTGTCTGTAGAGATGAGCTCTTATTCTGTTGCCCAGGCTGATCTAAACCTCCTGGGCTCAAGTGATCCTCCTGCTTGGCCTCCCAAAGTGCTGGGATTACAAGCATGAGCCACCACACCTGGCCAACACCATTCTTCCAGCTCTGAGCCAATTCATAGTTTGGATTAAGGATGCCAGATTTTATCTCTCTTTCATTCTCAAGTCATAAGTGACACAGAAATAAACATACATGGTACAAAATTTAATCTGTATGAAAGGGTAAACAGTGACATTTTAACACTTGTTTTCTCCCATTGCTAAATTACTAGTTTCTTTAGCCAGGAACAAAACGGTTAGTACTTATATCTAATAAATATTTGCTTCTTTTGCTTTTGATTTTGATAATCCTTTGTTGCTGCAACAATGGTATACCTTGTGGTGCACATGGAGAGTACAACTAAAAGAAAAATTTCAAGAAATGATCTTTTTGGAGAAAAGATTCTATACATTTTAAGTTTTGATAGAACATTTGAAAAAAAATTGGTGTTTTGATAAATATTACCAAAAAATGCGATGGCATCAATTTACTTTTCTCCAAAAATGTATGAGAATGCATACTTCCTTTCATCATCGACAATATTATGTGATATTGAACCCATTACTTGTGTTATTACCTATAAGTTTGTGTATACCCTTATTATTTTAATTCAATTTTTATTTGCTTCACTTTTGTTTTACTTTTACTTGACCTTTTAATGAATAAATTGGAGTATATTTTATTCATTAAAAGATCAAGTAAAAGTAAAGTAAAACAATAAAATAAAATAATAATGGTCTACACAAACGTATAGGTAATAACGCAAGTAATAGTTTCAATATCACAAAATATTGTCGATGATGAAAGGGAGTATGCATTCTCATACATTTATTAATTGATGTAAGTTTTTTATGTGCTAAGAAATTTGTCTTAATGGATGTTCTAAATATGGTAACAAATTCAAATTGTTAGTTGTGTTTTGACTTTAATTTTATAATCTATTTCTGTTCTATAAGACAATGAATTTTAAAATGTCTCTGGTTATTATATAAAAATATTTCCTTATTTTTATTCCTAAAATTATATTTTAAAATTTTTATATTGATTAATCCAGTCTGTATGTTTCCTTCGAAGAAGCATTCTAGCGGATTCTGGCCCAACTGCCAAATGATGGACAATATTTTTTTAGCTAATTATTTTTTGTGTGGCATCTTTAACTCACTTCGCCACCTGCTTGGTCAGCCAGAAGCACCACAGAATGTCTTTTGAGAATAGTCTTAAACCAAAGAATGAGAGCAGTGGGTATAAAAATACAGAAGCCCTCTTATTCCTCCATTGTGGGAGGAAGGCAGTAACTCAAACTTGGTTGCACTACATAGTGTTTCAACGTTTCACAATGGAGTGAAGCTTCAATTACCCCTTTGATTGTTTCTTTTTCCTTCTTCAGTTCACCTTCCCACCCTGCTACTAAGGTTTTCTTTACCTCATAACTAAACTAATTTCATTTGATTCTTTGTTTCAGGGTCTGTTAGACTCTATTAGTCAGCAGCCTACATTCCTGGCAGGGAGATTTTAGTGGCATGCAATACTATTCATTACTGTCATCCCCTTGACTATTTTTTATTTTAGTTCTCTGCTTTCATTTATAATTTCATAATGTAATCTCATATTCTAAACAATTTATTGTTTATTTCATGTTTTTGAACTGCATATAAACGGAATCATACATTTTCTGGTTTATGCTCTTTATTGTTTACCATTGTGTTCTTCACATTGCATCAGTGTTATTGTGTGTAATGTAGATTACGTTTATTTCTCAGAAGATTCTGTTGAATAGATATATCAAGATTCACTTGTCCATAATTCTGTTGATGGGAATGTACGTTGTTTCTACTTTTTTAAATAATGCTTTTGACCATTACAAACTGTGTTGCAAGGAATTTTTCACAAATGTTTTACAAAGTATCTAATAAACGTTTTATTGTATGTATATCTAAATGTTTATCTAGTGTATTATCTCAGCCAGTGAAAGCTAGATTATGTTGCCATTCTGCTCATGTTCCATTGGCCAAAAGTAATCACATGGCCAATATCAAGATCAAAAGGGCAAGAAGTAATGTCCTTTTCCTGAAACCACTCAATTTTGCATTTTCCTGATTAATAAAGGGCTAGAGAATGTTCAATGTATTTAATACTTTTTTGCAATAATTCATATAATTACCTTTTTCATTATGTGCTTTTATCACTCTTGCTCATTTTTCTTTTTTATGTTGTTGCCATTTTAATAGTTTTAATTTGTTAAAATTGCCAATTTTTGCTCACAACTGAATATTTTATGTGGTGACTTTTTTTTTTTTTTTTTTGAGATGGAGTCTTGCTGTGTCTCCAGGCTGGAGTACAGTGGCACGATCTCAGCTCCCTGAAACCTCTGCCTCCCGGTTCAAGTGATTCTCCTGCCTCAGCCTCCCAAGTAGCTGGGATGACAGGCACACGCCACCACACCCAGCTAATTTTTGTATTTTTAGTGGAGACAGGGTTTCATCATGTTGGCCAGGCTGGTCTCAATCTCCTGACCTTGTGATCTGCCTGGTTGGCCTCCCAAAGTGCTGGGATTACAGGCATAAGCCACTGCACCCGGCCCTTTTTATTGTTTCTAGGAGTATGGTTTTTGTTTTCTTGGTTTTTTTTTTTTTAATAATATCCTTAGATATGGCAAATAGCAATTCTTTATATAACAGAATATTTATTTATTTATTTATTTATTTATTTTGTGTGGCTCAATTCATCAATAATTCCCATTACTTCTGCTTCATAAGTGCAGTTTGACAAAAACTTTACCTTCTTCAAAAATTGCTAATATGATAAACTGATTATGTATCCTGAAGGATCATCTCAACAGAAAATAACTTATTCAAGAAAAAGAACTGTAATTTGTTAAAGGAACTCAACCACAACAAAATATGAAAAAAGCAAAAGCAAAAATGAGCTGAAACCATAATAAGAAAGGAGGATTCAGGTATTTCTGATGGTGAACGACAGTTGATGCTGCATTTAAAAAGCTAATTCCTGGGCCAGCTGCAAGATGGGTGAGGTGAAACTGAGATTCCTAAATTAAGCTAGGGGATCTCAAGGACAACTCCAATCATCCCAAGTTGGTTGAACCTCCTGACACTGGCAGAAACAAAGCTTCTCTGGAGAAAACATTCCAAATAAAAGCACATTAAGACTCTCATAGATTAAAATAAAGTACATTTGAGTTTGCAGTCAAATATCATCCAAGTGCATAATGTGAATTAGCTTGCAATCCATGAATAAGACAGCAAAAATAACAAGCCTCAGATTTAATTTTCTTTGGAATTTATCAAAATTGTCAGATTTAAAATAGAGAATAACCATGCAAGAAATAGTAAGTAAATAAAATATGTAGTCACAAGAGATTAAAAAAAAAAAAAAACAATCAGGACTTTCTCTTTTGGGTAGGAGGGAGTTCAAAACAGGATATGGTTATTCCTGTCTGGAATCAGCAAAATACAGAAAGACAACTAGAAAAGTAGAAAAAGGTATTCCTTTCTACAAAAACTAGTAAAATACAGAAAGTGTCTATTTGAAGGCAGCAGGAATCTTCTGGAATAGTGCGAACTGGGGAGACTAAGACTCAAGAGCGTGGGGAAGTCTTGAATAAGTGATTTGACTTGTACAGACATTCTGAAAAGCATCTCTTGAGGCTGAACTTGGAAAATAGCAAGAAAATCTTGGGTTTGCACTCACCAATGTTTACTTCTGGGTGACAGAAACACCAGCAGAGTATTTTACTGGGACTTGGGAAGACTAAAAGACATGGCTGATTTCCTTGAGTAAAATTAGAGAATTCTAGAACTACACAAGATGACAGACTAAAGTTTTAAGCAGAAGGTTTGTAAATATCAAAGCAGAAATATTCAAAAAGATCTTAAGATTAGTATCTTCTAGAGTAGAAGTAAACCAGAAATAGAGTAACTCTTATTGGGCTTGATTCAGCAAAGCCCCCAGTTGAATTGAGGTGACCAGTCCCAAATTTGTCTATTAAGCAGAGAAAAGGTTGCACATTTTTTGGAGAAAAATACAATTATAACCTAATGCTTACCTACAAAGGGAGAAAACAGGTGATGTAAACCATTAAGAGAATGTAATTCAGTTGTCCAGTTAAGTGGTCATAAGCATTCAATAAGAGAATGAAAACATTTGAAGATAGCTTGTATTTTTATGACTTTTGTCTTATGGTTTCGGTTACTTTTGTGTTCATAGTTTTTGTACAGACAAGAAATTTCACTAGGCACAAAGCATTACAAAAATATAGTATCCCTCATTTATTGAGCATTTACCATGTGGGGTGATTTACAGTCATTAGATCTTTTAACCTTAACGAAATTCCCATAAAAATAGATTTGCCCTCTACCTTTCCCCCATTTTGGTGATAGTGAGAGTGAAAAGTTGGGGAGAGTATAACTTTCCATGGATCTATCAAAAGATTTGAAACCAACAATTTTTATTCAGCTTTTATTTTAGAATCAAGGGATACATATGCAGGTTTGTTACAAAGGTATATTGTGAGATGTGGAGAAAATCAATATTTTTAAATCCAAAGTTGACACTAAGATGCTTCTCAGATAAGTAACACTAACACTGTGGCATCTGCATTTCTTTAAGGTATTACTCAGTAAAATATTTAAGAAATACTTGCATCTTTAATTTTAATATGAATCAACCACATCGACTGCATTTCTTGTTTTGTTTTATTTTAATTAAATATAATGTATCTTACTAGGTGATCAAATTACTAGAACACAGATTTGGGGATTCATGTTGCACTGCTATGCACAATTTAAAAATTATGGAATGCATTCTTTCTCATTATTCAGATAATACTGAAAGAAATATAAACTTATGGAAGTAAGACTTCGCCAATTCACAAGGTCAGTCCTAGGCACTCATCACTTTAGTACATTAGCAAGAATGGAAGAATGTCTCTGAGAATTTGGGCTCAAAACAGATCGGAAACTTCCTTATGGGAAAGAATGTGGTGTTGTGATACCAGGCTGTGGTTGTAATATAGAGCCATGGTCTAATGTAAACAGCTCCAAAGACTGGCTTATTGAACTATTTGAATATGACCATTTTTTGATTTACATATGCGTGGAAACGAACGAGTATGTCCAGGCAAAGTAACTGATATCAATTCATATATATACATACTTGTACAAACATCTATCCATACATACATGCACACATACACACATTTAACAGGAAAGCATTTTGAAATCAGTCATTTTGTTTAACATGGCAATGTAGCCTAATAATCTGGAGCTAAGTTTCTTGCCTGAGCATTTATTTTCACTGATATTAAGATGTAAGGCCGAAGTACATGATAACATAGATATTTAATAACATTTATACAATTATCTCTGCTAGAAATGATGCTGATAAAATGGCAACCTGGTGGACTAGGCAAGGAGAGGGCGAGGGCCTGTGCAAGAAAAAATATATTAATCTTCCTGCACTATTAAGATATTTGAGATATCAAAGGAAGCTTCAGTAAGTCCTGTTATCACTGGGAATTTTCAGGTTATTTGGGAGATATGGCAAAACAAAACTTGAGGCTTGATATGGTTTACATATTTGTGCCCTTTAAATCTCATGTTGAAATGTAATCCCTAGTGTTAGAGGTGGAGGCTGGTGGGAGGTGTTTGGGTCATGGGGGGTGGATTCCTTATGAAAATCTTGGTGCCATCCTTGCAGTAATAAGTGAGTTCTCACTCTGAGTTCACACAAGGTCTGACTGTTTAAAAGAGTTTGACACCTCTCCTTTCTTATGGTCTCACTTTCACCTTGTGACAGTCCCCTCTCCTTCTACCATGATTGTAAGTTTCATGAGGCCCTTACCAGAAGCAGATGCTGGAGCCATACTTGTACAGCTTGCAGAACAATGAGCCAATTAAATCTCTTTTCTTCATAAATTACTCAGCCTCAGGCATTCTTTTATAGCAATTCAAGAATGAAATAACACAGAAAATTGATACCAGGAGTTGGGCATTGCTATAAAGATACCTGAAAATGTGGAAGCAAGTATGGAATTGGGTAATGGGCAGAGGTTGGAAGAGTTTGGAGGCCTTAGAAGAAGACAGGAAGATAAGGGAAAGTTTAGAGCTTCTCAGAAATTTGTTAAGTGGTTGTGACCCAAGTGTTGATAGAAATATGTACAGAGAAGAAGGCCAAGTTGATGAGGTTGCAGATGGAAGAGAGGAAGTTAATGGAAACTGGAGCAAAAATCCCCATGTTATGCCCTAGAAAGCAGCTTGGATGCATTGAGTCCATGTCCTAGGGCTCCATGGAAGTTTGAAATTAAGAGTGGATGACGTAGGGTATCTGGCAGAAGAAATTTCTAAGCAGTGAAGCACTCAAGGTGTGGTCTGGCTGCTCCTAACAGCCTACATCAGAAACAGGAGCAAAAAATGATTTAAAGTTGCATCTGATATTTAGAAGGAAAGCAGAGTATAAAAATTTGGAAAATATGCAGCCTGGCCCTGTGGTAGGAATAGAATCTAAGTAGGATGCAGAGCAACCACTTGCTAGAGAGATTAGCATGACTAAAGAGGAGGCAGGTGCTAATTTCCAAGACAATGGGATAAAGGCCTGGAAGGCATTTCAGAGAACTTCAAGGTGGCCTCTCTCATCACAGGCCCAGAGACCTAGGATAGAATAATGGTTTTGTGAACCAGGAACAGGGCATCACTGCCCTGCACCACCTCAGGAGGCTACTCTTCCCATCCCAGCTGTTCCAGCTTCAGCCTGAAGGTGTAAGCTGTAAGCCTTATTGGCTTCCACATGGTGTTAAGCCTGCAGGCATGTAGAATGCAATAGTGAAGGAAACTTAGCAGTGTCCACCTAGATTTCAGAGGATATATGGAAAAGCCTAGATGCCCAGACAAAAGCTTGCTGTAGGTGCAGAGTCCCCACAAAGATACTCCACTAGGGCAGTGCTGAGGGGAAGTATGGGATTGGAGCCCCCATAGAGAGTCCCCACTTGGTCACTGCCTAGTGAAGCCGTGGGAAAGGGGAACACTGTCCTTCAGCCCCGAGAATGGTAGAGACAATGGCAGCTTGCAACTCCAGTGTTGAAAAGCCACAGACACTCCACTCCAACCAATTAGAGCAGCCACAGGGACTGAACCATGAAAAGCCACAGAGGTGGAGCTGCCCAAGACCTTGGGAGCCCATCACTTGCACCAGTATGCCCTGAATATGGGACATGGAGCCAAGGATTATTCTGGAGCTTTAAGATTTGATGAGTTTCTGACTTGCATGGGGCCTGTTACCCCTTTCTTTTGTTCAATTTCTTCCTTTTGGAATGAAAACGTCACCCAATGCCTGTATCACCATTCTTTCTTGGAAGTAAATAACTTGGTTTTGATTTTACAGGCTCATAGGTAGAAGGAAAATACTTTGAGTCTCAGGAGACTTTGGAATTTGGACTTGATAATGGAATAAGTTAAGACTTTGGGGGACTATTGGGAAGAGATGATTATATTTTGCAATGTAGGGGCCAGAGGTGGAATGATATGGTTTGCATACTTGTCCCTTCAAAATCACAAGTTAAAATGCAATCCCCAGTGTTGGAGATGGCATCTGGTGGGATGTGTTTTGGTTATGAAAGATTTACAAATAGTAATCACATGGAAACAATTCAAGTGCCCATCAGTGATAGACTGGATAAAGAAATGCTGTACATATATATGATGAAATACTATACAGCCATAAAAAGGAATGAGAGCATGCCCTTTGCAGGGAAGCTGGAAGCTTCATTCTCAGCAAACTAACATAGGAACAGAAAACCAAACGCTGCATGCTCTCACTGGTAAGCGGGAGTTGAACAATGTTAACACATGGACACAGGGAGGGGAACAACACACACCAGGGCCAATCAGGGGGTGGGGGTTGAGGGAAGGGAGAGCATTAGGACAAATAGCTAACGCATGTGGGGCTTAAAATTTAGATGATGGGTTGATGGGTGCAGCAAACCACCATGGCACACATATACCTATGTAACAAACCTACACTTTCTGCACATGTATCCCAGAACCTAAAGTGAAATTAAAAAAAAAAAAAGTGTGACATAATTTAAAGAGCTAAGAGTAAAAGACAGAAGAAATCAGTATATCAGCGCTGCTACATGCAGGCTGTGAAACCTTTGGAAATCAGGCAACTTCTGCCAAAAAGTAATGGAGATTAGTGGTTTAGTTGCAAAGAGATGGTCTTGGAACCAGGAAAACTGTTCAGCTCCTGTCTTCATGTATTCTCCAATTTCGCTTGTGTGCAGTAGTAATAATAATGGTGTCTACTTCATTGGATTATATGATGATACAAATTAATTAATTCATATAAAGCCTTTAAATAGAGTATACTTTTCTAGTAGGCAGAAAATATTAAGTAAATACTAACTATATTACTGGGTTCTCAAATATAAACTTCTCATTAATCCCAATAATTGCTCTACTCAAAGAGTAGTTCAGAAAATCCAATCATATGATGACTTTGAATGCCTTGTAGTCTCAGAGAATCACAATTTATTGGGATTACAAGCATGCTTACATCTATTCTGCATTAATAGATGCTGCATAACTAGATGCAAGCATAGTTACATCTATTCTGCATTAATAAGTGATAAAGTAGGAACCGGAACTCTGGTTTCTATTTCTTATATTAAATATATCAATTTTTACTTCAGTAAAAATAGGCACTCCTACCGTAAAATTCTTACTCTGAATTGCGTCAAGTTGATCCAGCAGTATTTCCACAGAATTTTTTTTTTTTTTTTTTTTGGAAAACTCCTATGTGTGGTCTGAGAACCTCTGTTTCTGAATAATGTAGGAGCATCAAGGTATTTCTTAAAGCATCTTGGTCACACGTTGTGGCAGTGCAGGGCCACTTGGGAATTCCTGATCATTGCTAACATGAAGCAGGTGTGTGGCCCATGTCAGCTGCTGTGCTCATCATTTCCTATTTATTAGCTCATTTATTTTACCCAAAACCACATTGAATATTCTTCTTATTATGCAACTGAGGAAATACTGTATGATTATATAAATAATTAGCTTCAAATCATATATTTTTGGGCCATGGATTGAGGTCAAATTTGTCTAGATCCAAACCTACTTCTTGAAAATTTTCTCCTTGGAAACACAGAACCAAGCACATAATTATCTTCCCTATTTATCTTTTCTGCAAACTACAAATTATAACAGTACTTATCTCAATGATTTGTTTCAAGAATTAAACGAATAAACGTATGTAAAGTAATCCGAATGAAAGAAAGGACTTAGTAAACTCTTGCTTTGCCTTTTTGCCCTTCTTTTTACTTTGAAACAAACTTGATATTCTATGAAATTTACAAGAATGGAACAAAAACTTTTGTTTACTGAGATATTTGGGGACAATATGTTGATATGCCCCAATGCTTTCTTGTGTATTTCTTACAAAGGAGGAATTCTCCTACGTAATCCAACATGACCATAAACATCAGGAAATTAACATTGGCACATTACTGCCCTCTAATCCTCAGACCCCATTCAAGTTTTACCAGTTATTATAACAATATCCTTTATGACAAAAGAATGCAGTCCAGATTTACCCATTGTATGTAGTTGTCATTTCTTTTTGGTTTTCTTTGATGCAAAACAATTTCTCAACCTTCTTTGACTTTCATAACCTCAACACATCTGAAGACTACAGGACATTTCTTTGAGGTTTTGCTGTTGTTTATTAGAGTGTCTGTGATTTGGGATTCTGTGATGTTGCCTCAGGATTAGTTTCCATTTATGCATCTTTAACAAGCAAATCACAGATCTAATGCTATGTTCATCTCACTGCAGCCTATTGGATGATACAGTTTTGATTTTCCCCATTACTGGTGATGTTCACTTTGATCATTTAACAAATGTGATCTCTGCCAATCTTCTCTGCTGGAAAGTTATTTTTTAAAAGTTTCCTTTGAATGGATATGTATTTTGGGGGAGTTGCTTGGAGTTGATAAAATATCACATCCTCAATTTATGTATTTATTTACTACAGTATAAACAAATAGATCATTCTTAATCTATTCAATAGATTAGCATCTATTAAGAATGAGTGATATTTAAATGTTCCCAGATTTGCCTACTGGGAGTCTCTTCTGTGTCCTTTTCACATGGGTCCTTATCATTCTTGGAGTGAATTCTTATTTTTGGCACAATGAGATGTTCTGATTCATCTTGTACTTTCCCTGTCTTAACTCTGGAATCAGTCATTTTTCTAAGAAGCTCTGTTTTTTTTTAGTGGAGAATTATATCTGGAAATTAAGCTCAGGATATGTGCTCACTCCCTGCTCTTGAATATAGCTGTTCTCAGGCACTTGCGGTGGGCAGATCAAGGGGATATATGCATGCATCAAAGCACTCACATCGACATCTGCATCCATGTATCCATCTGAAAAGTTCACACCGGTACCTGCAATTCCATCCCAACACCTTAGGATTCATCTCAGTGTTTACTCTCGGTGAGCTACAGCCTTATCTAATGTTGAGAAGCCTAAATCCCATTTTCCTTAATATATTCACTCATTCAATTAAACACCTTGTATGTAAACACTCTCCCAACACCCCTGCTAGATTCTCTCACCCCTTGCAGACAGCCTCATTCCCCTGTATAGTCTCCAACACTGCACACAGTAGGTCGTCTCTTCTTACAATGACATCCTCACTCTTGCTAGGCTGAGTCTACAACACCCCAAGGCACCTGCCCTCCCAATGCAAACAGTAGCTTCACAATCCTGAGGTTTTGACACTTCACTCTGGTCACCAGGCTTGGCAGGCCCCACCTCTACCTGTGGTCGTCCAGCTCTGATAGACAGCCCTGGCCATAACTTCATCCTTCCATACCCCTCCATCAACCTCAACCCCCAAATGCCTACCTTGCTTGGACACATCTAATTGATTTTGAACTGAAGTGATTAAAAAGAGATATACGGAGAAGGAGGAAAAGAAATAGAATGAAAAAGGAGGAAAAAAGAGGGAAGACGCCATATTAGTTTTTAATTGTTATTATTATTAATTACCTAATGTTCTCTTTTCTGATATAAAAATCTGGTTTTAGAGATCAATTTGTCAATTATGTCTCAATGTGAGCTTAATTAATCCCCAGGATTTAGCTCATTTCTGCTTAAAGGGATGTTGTGAGATAGATTTTATTGTTAAAAATGAACAAACTGATGTTAAAAAGACTGTGTCTTTCCCTCTTTCCCAATGTCGCATGGTTTGTAAGTGGGTATGTCATGTTTTCAGCATTAAATCTCATCGAAATAATGAAAGACAGAGTCTTCTGCAAAAACTATCCTTGTTAGTTTGTAAGGGGGCAAGACAGAAAGGCAGGAAGAGGTGATGTTACTAGAGAGTAATTTCTTCTTAGTTCTTGAAAGCATAATTGAATCATCGCTCACTTCCGAAAAAGAGCCAGAAATGGGTCCCACTCCTTCTTTTAATACCCTGGCTCTATGAAGTCAGGAAGCATGTGCATCCTTATATCTTCCTAAATTCAAAACCATGATTAAAATGAAGAGTTGGATTTTTGGATCATATGGTAGTCATATTTTTAATTTTTTGAGGAATTCTCCATATTGTTTTTCCACGGTGGCTGTACCATTTAGCATTCCCACCAACAGTGTACAAGGGTTCCCATTTCTCCACATTCTCACCAACACTTGTCTTTTGCTTTTGCTTTTTTAAATGATAACCATCCTAAAATGGTGTGAGGTGGTATCTAATTGTAGTTTTAATTTGCCTTTTTTTCTGACAAGTTACATTAAATCTCTTCTCATATACCTATTGGTTATTTTTATGTCTTCTTGGAGAAATGCCTACTCAAGTCCTTCGCCCACCTTTTAGTCACATTATTAGTGTTTTTTTTTTTTAATTTATTTGTGTGTTTCTTTGTTTTGCTATTGAGTTGTAGGAGTACATATTTTAGAAATTAATCCCTTATTAAATATATGGTTTGCAAATATTTTCTCCCATTCTGGAGGTTTGCTTTTCATTCTGTTGACTGTTTCCTTCACTGTGAAGAAGCTTTTTAATTTGATGTACCTCCACTTGTCTAGTTTTGTTTTACTTGCCTGTGATTTTGTTGTCATATCCATCAAATCATTGTGAAAACTGATTATTTAGTTGGTCTTTTCCTCTATGATTTCTTTTAGAAATTTTACAGTTTCAGGTCTTATATTTAAATCTTTAATCTACTTCTTTTGATTTTTGCCAATTTTGTTATACAAATGTCCAATTTCATTCTGTTGCATGTGAATATCCAATTCTTCCAACACAATTTTTTGAAGAGACTATTCTTATCCCTGTGAAATCAGATCTCAAATAGGTATTAGAACTCCTGTGTTCATTGCAGCACCATTCCCAAAGCCAAGATCGTCTCTATCTCTTGACCTCGTGACCTGCCCGACTCAGCCTCCCAAAGTGTTGGGATTACAGGCGTGAGCCACCGCGACTGGCCCGTGTATACATACAAGGGAATATTGATGAACCTTAAAAAAGGGAAGAAATTCTGCAATATATGGCAACATAGCTGAACTTTAAAGCACATTTTGCTAAGTGAAATAAGCTATTATAGAAGGACAAATACTGCATGATTCCACTTACATAAATACCTAAAATTGTCAAAATGTTAGAAGTAAAGAATAGAATGGTGCTGGACAGAAGCTGGAGGCAGGGGGAAATAAGGAGTTGCTAATCAATAGATATAAAATTTCAGTTTTCCAAGATGAATAAGTTTTGGTGATCTGCTATATAACATTGTGCAGATAACAATATCATAAAATCTCTTCAGAGAGTAAATCTCATGTTAAGTGTGCTTATTGCAATAAAATTAAAAATAAAACCAAGAAGGGAGGAAGTGCATAAAATATGACTCAAGAGAACTGTGTTTCAGAAAAGGCTCTACCACTACTGTCTAATTATTTGATCTCAGGAAAATGGGCAACTCTGATGAAAATCTTGTGAATAATAAGATAAAAGTATATATGAAACCAATAAGGCACTCAAGAAAATATATAGCTTTAATATTAAAATGTATTTAAATTAGTATGGGCTCATTAAAACTGGGACATGCTGTCATAATGATAGATGTCTTGTAGTGTAGCAAATTGATTAAGAACATAAACTTGAAAGTCGGAATTGAGTTCAAATCTAGTTTATACCACATAATATATATGTGATCTTCAGCGCATTACACAAAACACTCAAGACCCACTTTTCTCCATCTGGAAAATAATTTGACATTCCTAAATCATAGGACAGGTAAAAAGCTAAAATGTACCTGACAAATTGTAAGCAGGTAATATAATAAGCACATAATAAGTATTAGCACACTTTTAGTTTTATTTATCCTAAAGTGAAACTTTGTTCCTTTACTATTTTTCTAAGGATTAGAAAATCTACAAACTATTTCTACTTTGCAATGCCCAGATTCAAAATTTCCGTAGAGTCATCAATTTGCATCTATCAATTAGTACAGATATTCATAAATCCAGTAAAGCCACATTGTGTTTGAAGTTTTTTAACATAAAGAAAACTAATGATAAATGCTAAGGGCAAACATAGGGATCAACCTGGACTTTATAAAAAGTCTGCTTATCCATCCCACAAAGCAATTGGCTTCTCACTAAGTTATCTTTCCCTCTACAACCCTCTAACCTTGAAACAAAGCAATCCATAAACAAATGAGCAAAAAGCTTAGACACATGCCTAAGAGATT
This sequence comes from Homo sapiens, assembly GCF_000001405.40. Taxonomy (NCBI): domain Eukaryota; kingdom Metazoa; phylum Chordata; class Mammalia; order Primates; family Hominidae; genus Homo; species Homo sapiens. Next base: position 12,057,688 of record NC_000004.12, read on the forward strand.
CAATGCTTTATTTTTCTCAGACTTTGCAGAAAGGGTATGGATTTTGCTAAAAAGATTGTGTGTTGACTCTTAAAGGATCCTGTAAGCTTTGGATTAGTAAATCAGTATGCACTGAGTGAATGAAGAGAGAGAGAACTTTAGTCCAAAGAGCTGATTTTTTGAAACATAACCAAAGTATATCAAAGAAAGTATATTCTTGATGACTATAGCACATTTTAAAGTGACAACATTCAAATGGAATTTAAAACTCAAGGAATTCATTTTCAAGGGCTCTCTCCTCTGCTTTTAGAACAAAAAAAGTTTTGCATTTATTGATCCACCGTGTACTTACAACAAAAAAACCAACTTTTATTGAAAATCTGCTATGTGCTTAGGAGCCTAAGTGGATGGCAACAGTATTAATCAGAATAGAGAATTCAGATGAGCAGTTTTGGAGAATGGAGAAGGAAATAATAGGCACATAAGAAATAATGGCAAAAATAAAATCACTACTAATAAATACTGTAATTTGAACCAGGTACTGTATTATCCTAGTACTCTGCACTGCTCTAGAAATAGTGTGCTTTATCTCATTAAGCATTCGCCTATATTTTTTTCTGGCTCAGTGTTTGGTACTACTGTCTACCTAGTTGTCCAAGCAAAAATCCTGGACATCATTTTTGCTTTCTTTCACTAATCCAAAACCATTGATTATCAAGTCCTACTCACGATCACTCTTCAATATCTCTCCAGGTAGTAAATTATCTCTCTCTACATTTTTACTTTCTTTATCACAGCCACCACTACCCCTCACAATAACATAACAACTGCTTTCTAGGTTATATGATCCCGAGTCTTCTCTCTATGTATCCACACCTTTGCCATGGCCTCATGGTGAGCCGAATGTTTTTTCTTCACCCTTTGTCACTGTGATATCCATAATAATTGGTAAATGTGAATTGATGAGTCTCTGGAACTTTTGAATCTGGGCATTGTAAAGTGGAAATAGTGAGTCAGTAGATTTTCTAATTCTTAGAAAAATGTTACATTGGAATAACCAATATAAATTTCTGTCATAATGGAAATATTCATCTCTTTGTGATTAAATGTAGAATTAATTACCTGGCAATGAAACACTTGAAATGTGTCTATTGCAGCTATAGGGATTGTATTATAAATGTTATTTACTCTTAATGAATTAAAATTTAAGTATAAATAGCCATATGTAGTAAGTGGCTACTATATTGGAGGGAGCAGTAGTCTGTGAGATATCATTAATTTTCTTTTGCTCTTTAGCATCTCTGCTATCTCTGAGCAAACATGCCCAGCTTGCCCGCTGGCCTAAGAAGAATGAGAAACACATGGATTGGAACCACTCACGCTGGGACCAGCCTAGATCAGCTGCCCTCCAACTGACCTGAAGCTACATTAAAGAGAATGTATCACTGCTATTTTAAGTAGCAAAGCTTGGAGGTAATTTGTTATGCAGCAAATCTTACTAACACACTGGTCTTGATTGTTACTTACTTCTCACTTCTTCACATCAAAATAAATGCATTTTTTTTTCAAACTGTAAATCTTGTCTCACTACTCTATTCCTTAACATTCAAGGGCTCTCCGCTATTCTTAATGTGAATTCCTAGGTTTGTGATAATGCCTCTACTTCCTTCAGTAGTCTCATAGTTTTGCCTTCATGTTAAAAGCCATCTCAACTTCTATCACTTTCTGTACTTTATTTTTAGCTCATTTAACTCTAATTCTTTAAGTCTCAGTATAAATTTACCTTTGGAAAGCATTGACTGGCCATTTCCCTTTGGGATTAGGCTTCCCTTCTTTCTGTTCTTATGGCACCATTGAGTCATCCCTTTAGAAACTCTCATTTTCTGCATTACAATTGATTTTTTATACTTGTCTCTCTTTCCCAGTATGCCATTAATTCCTTGAGAGACAGAACTGTTGATGATAGTAATTCCTATTCTAGAAGAGTGTCAAGTACATAGTATGTGCATAATACATTAATTCTGAATAAATTAACTACCATGTAAATATTAGAATAAAGCTGAAATTCTAGTAATTGAAATTATAAATCTTATCTCTCCTAAATTATAGTTATTTCCCATCATTCCAGACTTCAGTGCAAGAATACAAGAAAACACACAGAGTTTTAAAACATAATAAAATTTTATGCAAACCTATATTTTATTATTAGACTTTGATGATATACACCTGGGCCTGACATAGACTCAGTCACTGAGGGTATGAAGGAAAATGAGTTTTGAAATCTGAATGCGTGGATTTTTTTTGTCTCTCACTAATTAAGTGATTTTGAAAATTAATTTGAGCCTCAGTTTCTTCATCTGAAACACAGACTCATAATTTCTCTTTCAGAGCACTTATATGATATTTAAAATGGAAAATGTAAAATAAATTCCTGGCTCCATACATGACAATAGGTAGGTATTCCAGATATTTGCATTTGCTGATTTTCTCCCTTTGACAGTGGTAAAAGAAGATTGTTTTCCTATTTTTCTTATGTGTGTGTACTTTTCTCTGAAATCATCAGCCTCTCAACTGCTTCTGTTCAATTTTATATTTTTGCTCAGAGTCAGAAGAACCAAGTTACTGTCTGCAAATATTTGGAACTTCTAATAAAGCAATGCATACTATTTTTGGAAATATGGAAAGATATCCGCAAAATGTTCCACCTATTTTATCCTTGACATTACAATCTTTTCTCTCTCCCTTTCACTCTTATCATAGTAACTCTCTGCTTGCTCCTCTCCTTTACCCACAGAAGAATTCCCAAGTAGAATGTCTGGGTTTGGCCTCCAGTACTCTTAGAATTCTAGACTTATAAATATTTACACTTATATATAAATATTGTTGTTTTTTATCATTTTCAGTTATAGAATATTGCTGCAGTTGTTCTTTAAACAAGTATAAGATTTGAAATCCAAACCCCTAGGAATGATTTCTGGATCTATGCTATGTGTATCTACTGGGTGCATTTTTTAATGGTTGACATTTGAGCTTCAGTTTCTCCATCTGCTACAATGAGAATAATAACGTCTAACTCAGAGATTGTTCTGATAGCTAAATGAGAGAATATTTATAGAAATACCCAATATTTTGCCAAGTACTCAATGGACCATGAATATGAGTGGAATCTTATTTCTGATGCACTTACTTATGGTACAGAAGAGCACTCTGTCCTAACTGCAGATCTAATTCCATCCATCACCCAATACAAACATCTGAGTCTTGATATTTTGGAGAAATATGAATTATCAGTGGATCCCGTTACACATTTTATAAAATTCAGAAGTCTGGCTTAAGTCATACAATTTATATAGGAAGATGAATAACCTCTTAGAAATAGCGAGAGGTGAAAGTTTTATTCCTTCTTATTATCTCCTAGTATAATATGACTTACATATACATATGTAATTGTGTATCATACATGTACAGTTATGTACCACATAACATTTTAGTCAATAACAAACTGCGTATATGACAGTGGTCCCATAACATTATAATACTATATTTTTACTTTACCTCCACTATGTTTAGATATACAAATATTTACCATTGTGTTACAATTGTCTACTGTATTCAGTGCAGTGACATGCTGTTAAGGTTCGTAACCTGAGAGCAACAGGCTAAACCATACAGCCTAGGTTTGTAGTAGCAATACCATCTAGACCTGTGTAAATATACCCTATGATGTTCGTACGATGGTGCATTTCTCAGAATGCATCCTGGTCATTAAGCAATGCATGACTGTATGAGTGAGTGTGTTGTCAAGATTCAAATACATGCACTAAATGTACACATCTTTCTTTCTGTTTATAGACTAACATGCTACCAGATTTAACATCACTACTTCTTAAAGCAATGTGTTTGAAAGCATGTATGCAGTCCTGGGGGTTCTTCTGAATTTTAACCCATTCTGCTATTGCATAGCAGAAACCTCACTGAAGGTGAACTCCCACGCTTGCCTTGTGTCAGACTCAACTCTGGACCCCTTGATTCTATATCTAATTTATATTGTACCTATGCCACCTTGGGTTCTTCTGTATTCTGATCTCCTTTTTTTTGTTTTGTTTTTTTCCAGTTTCTTATTTTACCTCTCTTCAGGGTAGACACTTGGCTCACTGGTGACACTGTTGGAGAAAGTACTACTGGGGAAAATATTCAACATATCAGTTTACACTATCTTTGCAATATGAAAATTCTCCCTCCAGACAAAGGGCTAATATCCAGAATCTACAATGAACTCAACAAATTTACAAGAAAAAAACAAACAGCCCCATCAACAAGTGGGCGAAGGATATGAACAGACACTTCTCAAAAGAAGACATTTATGCAGCAAAAAAAAACATGAAAAAATGCTCATCATCACTGGCCATAAGAGAAATGCAAATCAAAACCACAATGAGATACCATCTCACACCAGTTAGAATGGCAATCATTAAAAAGTCAGGAAAAAACAGGTGCTGGAGAGGATGTGGAGAAATAGGAACACTTTTACACTGTTGGTGGGACTGTAAACTAGTTCAACCATTGTGGAAGTCAGTGTGGCGATTCCTCAGGGATCTAGAACTAGAAATACCATTTGACCCAGCAATCCCATTACTGAGTATATACCCAAAGGATTATAAATCATGCTGCTATAAAGACACATGCACAAGTATGTTTATTGCGGCACTATTCACAATAGCAAAGACTTGCAACCAACCCAAATGTCCAACGACGATAGACTGGATTAAGAAAATGTGGCACATATACACCATGGAATACTATGCGGCCATAAAAAATGATGAGTTCATGTCCTTTGTAGTGACATGGATGAAGCTGGAAACCATCATTCTCAGCAAACTATTGCAAGCACAAAAAACCAAACACTGCATGTTCTCACTCATAGGTGGGAATTGAACAATGAGAACACATGGACACAGGAAGGGGAACATCACACACCGGGGCCTGTTGTGGGGTGGGGGGAGGGGGAAGGGACAGCATTAGGAGATATACCTAATGTTAAATGACGAGTTGCTGGGTGCAGCACACCAACATGGCACATGTATACATACATAACTAACCTGCATGTTGTGCACACGTACCCTAAAACTTAAAGTATAATAAAATAAATAAATAAATAAATAAATAAGAAAATGCAATCCTCTAGGCCTAGCCTTTTTTCTTCTCTTATCTACCTGACGGACCTTTCACAAGACACAACAGCTTCCTATCTGTTCATAAGTAAGCCTATCAAGTTAATTTCACCCACTTCTTTTACTTGCAACTATAACGTATTGGGTATATTAAGCATGTGTTTGGTAGCAGAGATTCTAAAATATATTCTCAGTGTGTAAACTACATTTTATGGCAATATCTATATTTGTTATTAATTTAGATATTATAGCTATTTTATTAATTGTAAAATATAATTAAATTATAACTAATAATAAAGCAAATAGAAGGGCCTATTATGAAAACTTACTTATCCTTCTCTCCTTCATTACCTAACCATTCTCTACCTTCCATTTCTTCTTTCTTCCACAAATACTGTAATGTACAAATTTGTGTTTTACGTCACGTCAAATTATTGGTTCTGTGATTAAAAGTAATTTATACTACATAACTATGTGGATTTATGCATTTGATTTAAATAGATAATATCAAATAATGAGTAATATTCACTTTAGAGGGAAAAGTATGCCTTGGTTCTCCTGTAAGCCATAATATCTCTTTGGTAGTTCACATCTCAGCTGTTCACACTGAGGACCACATTATCTGCCCTTCACTTGAAACCAATAAACTTTCAGCCCACAATATTCTGATATTTGAAATCTATGACTGAGTAAGAATTTGGAAACAGACGTTCAAATTTTGAAAATATAGAATCCAGATAGTTTCATGTCACTATCTTATAGTTGCACCTCCACGATATCTCAGATGCTCATGTGAGGAGGCCAGGTTGTTCATTATGATTACTCCTGTCTGTCTTTTGGGTCCTCTGTTTTTGTCTCTTTGCCAGCACATGCATACATTGCAGCCAATTCAGCTAAGTGGCATCTTCCTAACTTCCTTTTTTCCTACTCTTTCTCCAGTTTTCTTGTCTCAAACTTAGAATTCATAGGATCCTAACCCCATCATACTGTCTTCTCTGAATAACCCAGATTCAAAGCGCCCTGAAGGAAAGCCATCTTTGGAAACTTCTAATCTCATGCTGTAAGAAGCAGTTTATTTTTAACCTATGGGACAGTTGTAAGCTGAAGAATAGTCTATGAAGTAAACAACTGCCCTGATAGGGTCTACTGTTCACAACCATGAAGGAAGTTATTTTATTACCCTATATGAACATTCAATTTACATAATGCTATGCTTTTTGTTGAGTCTGTTTCTCCTGGTCAGAACAAACTTCTTCTCTTCTTCAAATAGTATTACTCTAAAAGAACCTATTTTTATCTGTATGCCCCCAACAGACTAAGTTTCACAAGAAGCAGGAAAACATCTTTATTCTGTTTTGTACTCCTAGTTCTTAGCATGTTGCTTGGCACATTTGAAATGCTCAATGAACAGAGGTATGCTGAAAGTAATGGGACTGAAGCATGGAATCACTTTGCTTACAAATCAGCCTCGCTTCTTAGACTCTGGAAACCCCTCTGAGTCAGGAGCCCTATCACAGTTACGGTGAGTTTTCAAGGCCTAGCTAAATGCCTGTCACATGTAGGGTTTTGATAAATATTTTAAATTTTTAAATAAATTTTTAAATAAATTAATGAATAAATGCACACATGAGGAAAATCTGATAAATCAACATATGTACTCTGAAAGCTTAAAGAGCACAAAGGATGATATAATTTAAGTAACTGTTAATTTATGGGCCATTTCTCCCAGCATCATTTGAACGCCAATAGAGACAGGGTTTTGTAAACTCGGTTTAGTGTCAGGAGACCTAGTAAGTGCAACTATCCCCAGTCAGTCCATGGTTAAGAGCACAGCATCTTCCCTTTACAGCCGCCCTCTGTCAATAGAAGACTCTATGCTTTTCAAGATAGTAACATTTTCTTGAAACATTCAATTTCTGACCTTCTCATAAAGGAAAAAAAAGTCTTTTTCTAGGACAAATATTTGATAGCTTGTTTGGATTACAAATAGATCTTGAAAAAGCGCTGAACAAAAATTTTACTGAAAACAGGGGGTCATTTTCCTAGTCAAGGGAAGAAGTGAGCCTATCATTTTCTTCAAATGTATCCCTCAATGGGAAAAAACAATTAGCTTTGTTGAGTAAATTACACACTGGAAAATGATGAAGCAATTTTTTTTTTTTTTTTTTTTTTTGATGGAGTCTCGCTCTGTCTCCCAGGCTGGAGTGCAGTGGTGCCATCTTGGCTCACTGCAAGCTCCGCCTCCCGGGTTCACGCCATTCTCCTGCCTCAGCCTCCCGAGTAGCTGGGACTACAGGTGCCTAACATCACGCCCGGCTAATTTTTTGAGTTTTTAGTAGAGATGGGGTTTCACCATGTTAGCCAGGTTGGTCTCGATCTCCTGACCTCGTGCTGGGATTACAGGTGTGAGCCACCGCGCCTGGCCTGAAGGATTTTTTTTGAGCTATTCAAAGACCTTTGGCTCCTAGAAGATTTAGGTCATTTTTGTCTATTCATTTTATCGTCCACTTCTATTTTAATATCTAATATGCCATGTCCTTCTTCAGAACTAGCATATCATCTCTCATGAATTTAGCAACTGCATCTAATGCCTTTAAAAGTATACATAGACTATGCATATATAAATATACACCTGTGTATATTTATACATGCACACTTGTGTATTTTTATATGTATATGTACATACACACACACACACACACACACACATATATGTATATACTTAAAATACAAGTTGCTACCCAAACACCATATACTTAAAATATAAGTTGTTACCCAAACAACATAGAATGTGTGCATAGTTGTAATGGGCATATTGTTATTCCATTTATTTCAGTGAGTTACTCAGTTACCACAAATTGAGATTCAGGCAAAGTTAAGTGAAGTCAGTTACTTTTAAAGTAGACAAATGAAATTCTAGTTGTGAATCACTTTGCTTTCAAAGTAATTGTTTGGTTTAATGATACTTTCTCATACACTTCTACCTCAATAAGTATGTAAATAAATAATATAACATAAATAATGAAAAATAAATATTTTCAGAAGATTTCACTTATATAGACAAAGACTACCTTTCTGTGCATGTCTTACCAAAATTCTTACCAAGTCAATTTCTTTGACTATGGATATGCAAAATAATCCAAACCCCAAACAGATTAAAGCAGACAACAACAATATTAAAATATCAAAACACTTATGCATAAGGGAGAACATATGGTACATAGAGTTGCTAATCATTTTAAAATATTAACATTTTCTGTCCTCTCTACTTATCCAGTTCCTACCTATAATCCAAAGCCCTTCCTGTGTAACCTTCACCTGAATAAACTCTCTGATTGCCTAGTCATGTTATTTTGAATCTTTTTAAATTTCTTCTATTTTGTGACCATTGGCTCTCGTTTTTCAAATGAAATAGTGCATTAGTCCAGGACACGTGAAAAGTTGGACTGGTTGTAAAAAGAAGACAAGATTAGACTCTGGTCCCTTAACTGACCCCCTTGCACATTTTAGAGAGAAAAAAGAGAAACTTGTTTTTTTTCTGTCTAAAAAGTTAGCCTTAAATCCAAAGGCAATTGTAAGCAACTTTAGGATTTGTAACTTTGAATGTTACTAAAAGTTGATCAGAATTTAAAATCTGAATATAGTAGAAGCTTCATAATCTTTGCTGTGTAACTGATTTTAAAAAAATGAGACCCAGATTTTTTTCATTTATTTATTTTAAATTGACACATAATATTGTATTATTTATAATGTACAATATGAAGTATATGCATTGTGGAGCAAATAATCTAGTTAATTAACATATGCATTACTTCCCATCATTATTTTTTACAGTGAGAATACTTCACATCCACTCTCTTAGCATTTTTTCAGACTACAAAGTATTATTAACTATAGCCTCCATGATGTGCAACCGATCTCTCAAACTCATTCTATCTAACTGAAATTATGTATCCCTTGACCAATCTACAGTTACTCTTATTGTATTTTCTCACTATCCCTGTGAAATTGTTATCATCATTCCATTATATAAATGAAGAAATAATCTCACATAAGGTTAAAGCAGACAACTATTTTTTTCCTGACATTTGATAACTTATAGAAGATTGGTATACTTTTGAAAGTCTCTGGAAAAGGGTATAAATCATTCTTGCTATAAAACTTGGAAGGTAAAATGAGGCACCCATATTAATTAAAATTGGTTTGGGCCTCAGAGGCTCTGCCTTCCCCCTCCTAGGTACTATATCATTTAAGCCACTAATGAAATTGTTTTCATGTGATGACTGTCATTTAACAGAATATAGTCCCAGTTTATTAGGTAGCAATATCTTCTTATTTACTTTGATGCTAACATATTTTACTAAAGCAGGGATACCTTGAAAAGAACACTGAATTTCGGCTTCAGAATTGAAAAGGAATTGTCTGTGGGAAAGGTTCTGTTCGGATCCACATGCTTGATTTTTAACATGTCTGCTCTGTTAAGAAAGAGCAATCATGTTGCTTGTTGATGCAAAAGATTAGTTCCAGGATCACATTTTTATGCATTAAGCATCTGGATTATGACAGGGCAAATCTTTGAAGAGTAGTTGTTACAGCAAATTAGGCAATGTGGTTACATGAAAAGGATACCAGGCATTGACCCTCATCCTGGAATTGCCATGAGCTATTTGTAGGTCCTTGAGAGAGTCAGTCCATCTACCAGTTCTCTCTTCTGCAAAATAGGAGGGTGGATTTGATATTCTCTGAAGGTCTTTATGGTCATGTGTCTAATGATCCATTTTAGTGACAACTCAAAAGAAATAAGTACACTACCACCTGGTCACTATTCCTTAACATATTTAATAATTGCATTGTTTATTGAAATTATAGTTTTAAGCCCGGTAGAATTCTGCGTACCTATTTTTATTTGATTAACAATAGCTGACTTATGAAATATAGTCCTGTCTGCATCCTTTATTTCTTATAGATACGCTTCCTTCAGGGAGTTTTTGGGTTTACCTTAAAACATTAATAGATGACAAGCTCCTACAGGGTAAGTAACAGTTTTGTAAATATTTGTACTCAAAATGACTTGGATAATGCCTGGCTCATCGCAGCAACTCTGCTTTAGATTTTAAAAATAGTCTTAGTGTGGCCATAACAATCAACTTGAGAAATTTTAGAAAAAGGAAAAAGAGGAAGAGGAAAAGGAGAAAAAGGAGGAGAAGAACGGGGGTGTGTGGGGGAGTTGGAGGTGTGGAGAGGGAGGAAAAACAAAAGAAAGCACTTCAGCCTTTTGCATTTTGGTTTGGGAAATATTTCCTGCTCCTCTCAACTGTCTGTGTTGGCGCCTTCCCTTGGGTTTTCTTTTGGTGTCCATTTCCCTTGGAGATTGGCTTTTCTTTTCAGTGTCTAATCCAGTTTGTATATGGAAATACATTTTAGGCTGGGCATCCTTGCTTTCTCCTGGCATACCCTCTTACTATGTTACTTCTGATAATGATTTTTTTTTGGTAATTAAACCCAATATCAATTGATAATGGCTTCTTGATTGCAGGTCCCACATTCGTGAATGATGGTAGCCACCCGCTACTCCTTGCCCAGCTCTCTAGGTTCTCCATGAAATGAGTCATCAGTCCTGTCAGAGAAAATAAAAACCATTCTAGGGCTGAGTCAGGAGGACCCCTTGATCCTAGCGGTTTCATGCAAGCCTGGGCAACATAGCAAGGCCCTATCTCAAAATAAGAAAGCAAAAAATGAAACAGAATTGTGAGGTAGAGAATTACCCCAGGATGAGAAATTCAGGAATGAAGAATGGAACATGGCTAACAAAGAAAGACTCTCTTAGGAGGTCAAATTTAAGCTAAGCTCTTAATGATGAGAAGGATTCATTCTCAGAAAATCTAGGGGCAAAGAACTATCAACAGAGGGAAGAAAGAATGAGGACCTAGGTACTGAGAGAGGTATGTGCTTGGAACATAAGGAGGATAAAAAGAAAACGAGCGCACCAAATTACAGCAGGCAAAAGGAAGACAGTTTAAAGCTCAATGAAAGGTACAGGCAAAGGCCAGCCCATAGAGGGCTTTAAAGGAATTAGATGGTCTTTGGGTTTTACTAAAAGTATAATGGAAAATTTGACAATACTGAATCTTAAGAGAAAGACTGAGAACTGAGAGCCTCAAGGAATTTTGTGTCAGTTATTTATTGGGGTCACAGGATAGTCACTGGTTGATATCCCACCTCTGCCATAGAATATATTGACATTCAAGAATAAACTCAATTTATTGTTTTTCATTAAATTGTAGATTACAACTGTATAAACTTGTGTAAATATATAATTTGGCTCTGTGGACTGATTCTTCTTCCTCATCTGTGAGCCGCAGAATTGACACAGGACAAGTTCTGGTGAATCCTTGGAAAACTCTCAGACACCAGAATTCTTCATCTGTTCTTTAGTGAATGGATATTGTGGTATGAGTTTAAAGGCCATGAGCATGGGAGACATGGGCAGGCTTAAACTGTGTGGTATAAATCTGTCTGTGACAGGAGATTTTCCTAAGATAATCTTAGGTAATAGGTATTCACAGATGGAAATGAAGGGGCATTGGAGAATTTTCTAGCAGGAGCTGTCCTTGAGAGGGAGTCTCAGACAGTATCATAGGGACTCTGCATTTTCTCCCCATGTCAATCTCTCCTATTTTCTCATCACAACTTCAAGAGAATATTGACTAGGTTTTGATGTTAGTTTTGATTAACCATGTTTCCAGATATACACATTAAAATTATCTTCCCTCGTTGGATGTTTCTTATATTAGTTTTATTTTGTTTTTAGCTTAGCTCATGAGTTTGTGATAGGCTGAATAACAGACCCCAAAGATGTTTACGTTATAATATCTGTAACCTGTGAGTATATTACCTTACACGGCAAAAGGGACTTTGCAGATGTGATTATGTTAAGAATCTCGAAATCTAGAGAATGTGTTCCAGGGAGCTGCAGGGTAGTAATAGCTAAGAGGGAAGAAATAGAGAAGGCAAAAGACTGAAGATCAGGTATCAAAATGAAATTCAATCCAGGGGAATAACAAAAGAGAAGTAGACTCTCTGTTCTGAGACCACAAATGGAGTTCATTGGTAAAGAGTTTTTTAGCATATCTATCTTGTTTGCATATATTAAAATAAATTTAGTGATGATGAGAATCTTAGCAGCAGATAGCATAGTATTTGGCTCTTCAAAACCCATGCAGATTTCACTACTTAGCCATCTTGATGTTGCAACTCAACATGCACAGATACCCACTGGATTAAATGATGTACATTTCTTCTGTATTTACACTAATAAAAGTTTGTTAATAACTAAATTAATAAAATATGGTATGGAGTCATATTGGATAATCCTATTATTAACCAAATGCCTGGTTATAGCATTAACAAACCATGCATGAAACTGCTGACCTTCCAAACAAAAATGAGATATTAACCTAAAGGTGAAACTGATAGATTAAGCCATTTCTGGAATAATTTAGTGGCTGAACCATAATATTTAGATCAAAGAATGAAATCTGATTCTATCCAATTTTAGTGGATATGTATGAGTTCATGGTCAATACCAATTAAAAATAAACACTCCACACAACTTAATCTCTTTTTCAATGGGTCAGGCATTCATTTCACTGAGTTGTTAGTACCAGCAATTCAATTAAAGGAAGAAAAAGAAAGAACTATGCATTGCAATAAACTTTAGTATTTGAAATAGCTTAATAAAATGAACATAATCTCAAAAGTGTTTTTCTCCTTCAATGTGCAAGTTTTAATTACTCCATTTTGTATTAAAAAACTTGTTAAAAATGTCTAATTGCCACTTCCAACTGAATGACGTTCTATGATTGCTGGGTCTTGCCTGTCTGTAAAGCACTTTAGGCTTGTATTTATAGGTCTTACAGGAAAGAACTGCAGACAATTAAGAGTGGCAATTAGTCCTGAATGCCTAGATGTCAAGGGAGGAATACAACTCTTGGAGGGGAATACAGCTGCAGATATTGGGCTGATCTGTTAGGTCGCTATTGTAAAGCACAAAGCATTAGGTCAGCGTCCCATAAATAATATACCTTCCTTTTCTCTTTGAAAAGATCAGGTTTGAATAGCTATGAGAGTTGGAAATTATTCTGATATACCTTATAAGTAAGCAAGGGAAGGCTAAACATTTTAATAATTTTGTTCATGTTCTTATTTTTTTATTGCAAAGTAGGACAAAGTTAAACAAAATAAAAATGTCACCCACAATTTCATAATCCTAATACAGCAATGTATTTTCTTATAATAAAAATACATGCTCATTTTTGAATACTTGGGAATTTCAAAACCAAAAATAGGAAAATAATAAATTAAGTAGTTACACAATAATTAAGACCTGTTTGGGAAATATATTTAGGATTTTGAAGTGCTTCTTGATTTTTCATGAACTCCATGAAAGCACAGTAACATAGATTAAGGCAGTCACCACTCCAAAAAATGCTGGGGGACTCCACAGTGTGGGTCAAGGCCAAGGAAATAGCTACTACTCCTGAGGGTAGTTTCAGCAAACCAAGCAGGCATCCCCAGGCAGCAACACTGTGAATTCTGAATGTCCATCCATGCCTCTGATGGACAGCGGTGCGGAGAGCCAGGCAGTTATTGTGCATGAATGAATGCCCAAGTTCTTATGGAACTAACCAAGCATGCAGAGTTTCCTGACAAACAGGAAAACCAAGTTCAAAGCAGAAAACCAAGGATACAACTTAGCTGTGAAGCTGAACAAACTCTAAAAGAGAAAAGGTAAGGATAAAAAAATTAAAAAGCCCAAGTCTCAGAACCAGCTATTGAAAGATTAATTCTAAGCACTGTTGACTAGATATCCTGTGTCGAATGTGCTAAATGCATGGTGAGAATATGCATGGACAGCTCTGATCTGAAACACAGAATATTCTTAATGATTACAGGTGCCTCTTTCCCCCATGAGAAAGTAAACTCCATGAGGAAGAGTTTTGTCTATTTTATTTACTGTGGTATCTGTAATGATTAGAACAACGTCTGAAATAGTAGCAGCTACTCAATAATTATCGGCTTACATCATTAATTAATCAGGCTGGTACATGTAAGACTGTCACATCACTAGATTCCCAGCAAAGTGTTGAAAGGCAAATGAATATTCAACCTCAGGATGGGGTGCAACAGAGCAAGCAGCATGAGAGTTGAAATCAGCTGACCTGATTTCTCAGATCCACACTTCCATAGGTGGATAGTCATCGACACATTAATTAATTTATCTCAGCCTAAGCTTTCTCATTCATAAAAAAGAGCAATGGCTCTAGTTAGAAAGCTCTGAGTTCTGAGAATGCACCACTGCACTGCAGCCTGGCGACAGAGCGAGACTCCGTCAAAAAAGAGAGAAAACTCTGAATCCTATAACTGGTTATATCTCTGATGTTCTGAGGGGTCCTTAGACAATTTAATTAATCTTTGTTTTCTTGTGCCCCACTTTCCCCCTCTGTAAAATTTAGAGAGTAATCATATGCACCCTAAAGCATTTCGATCAAGAATAAATAAGCTGATTCATTTTAAAAACTTTGTGCGACTTGTATTATTATCTGTTGCGTATGGACACTAAGCTAATCCTAGTTCTTAATTGTATTAGTAATTGTATTTATAGTTTATTATATTATGGATAACACTTTATGCAGATGGACTCTAGGAGGGCCCTGTGCCTCTCCTTTGGAGTTCTCCACTTTCACATGATTATCATATTGTTGGTGCCCAGAAGGGTTGAAAGCACTTCGTGGGCAGAAACTGTATCCTCATTCCTCATTAATTTATCCTCCATAACAGTACAAAGCCTAGCACTCAAGAAACACTTAATAGATACTAATGAATTAGCAAAAGATTGTGAGAACATCAAAGGTGATGAGGAGTATAAAATATTTTTAAAATTAAGGCCTATAATAATATTTTATTTCATTATTATTTCTAGGACAACCTTTTTGGTGTTTGGAGTTTTCCAGACTAATGAGACTTTTTTTTTTTGTTCTCTTCTCTATTCTCTCAGCTGTGGTAATAGTAATAAGTGCATTCATTAAAGTTTGAAAGAAGTTGTATGGAAAAGAGGGGAAAAGTCTTTAGACAAAACAGAGTAAAGAATGCATTGCTTTATTCTCCAACTATAGAGCTCATCTAAAACAAACAGGGGAGCAAGGGCATAGATCAGGAGGTATCATGGTACAGTTTATTATTTGTTTATGTTATCAGGGCACATTTGGGGGACCTTACTATTCACTAGGTCGTAAGCTATGCAGTCTAGCTACAGAGAAGAAATGATATTCTTTAAAAGCTTGAAGAAATCACAAGGTAATGTAATGGCAGACATATGCAATTACATTTTAAGGTAAACGGTGTTCCAAAGACGGGGGATAAAGGAAAGGTGTGTCAGTCTGCCCAGGGAAAAGTTAGAAAACGTTTCATTCCGTAAGTGATGCTTAAGATTAAGTTAAAGAATGAGTATAAATTTGGGGGGTATCCAAATTGGGTCAGGTATCAAAGCCAATGAGCCAGAGTGAGCTGGCATCTGCAAAAATCACAAATGTGTGAAATTAGGTCACGAGTGAGGAATTATGCCTACTTCAATATCATTGGAGCATAAACGAGGTGAAGATGAGTGAAGTGAGTGATATGTACTATGTAGTGGAGAGATTCTAAAGTGTCTTTCAAGATAAGTTGATTGACTATTACAAGAGTAAGTGTGAGCATGAAGAATAAATTCATTTTGATTTTAAAAATTGTAGATGGTTGATGGAAGAAATGTAAGGGCTGATAAAGAAGGTATTTTTAGAAATTAGATATTTCAGGATATATAACCTAATACTTTTTAAATTTTTGTGGGTACATAGTATATACATACATATGACACATGAGATATTTTGACACAGGCATGCAATGCGTAATAATCACATCAAGATAAATGGGGTATTCATCACCTCATGCACTAATCCTGTGTGCTACAAACAAGTCAATTATATTATTTTAGTTATTTAAAAATATACAACGAAATTATTATTGACTATAGCCACCCTGTTATGCTATCAAATACTAAGTTTTATTCATTCTTTCTATTTTTAATACCCATCAACCATTCCCGCTTCTTTGCCACTCCCCAACACCACTGTTCCCAGCCACTCATAACCGTCCCTCTATTCTCTTCAAGACATATAAATCTTAATGAGATATTGACAGTGAAGATGCAGAAGAGATTTAAAAATATGCAGGAAACAGAACTGACAGGACATGGTAACTGGTTGAATACAGGAAACAGAACTTAGAAGATTGTTCTGTGTTAGCAATGAGATCATCTATAGGTAAAGATGTTATGAATCTTTCCTGGGGACTGACCTTCTACCTGATTCACTATTGTCAATATCTGCAATTTTTTGTTTGGTTGTTTTTTTTCATCCTTTAAGTTTTCACGCACTTTGGGAAAACTCTCTCTGTATGTAGACTTTTAAGGAAGCAATTCCTTACACCATCCCTCTATTCATGCTCTCATTGTGGAAAACCAGGAACTTCGTCCTCCTTCTACTCAGCCGTAATCAAAATTTGTTCTTTGGACTGTTAATCTTTAAACAGTATTAAGAAGACTGCAACAGTTATCAGGTGAGACTCATTGTAGTGCTTGTAGCAATAATGGAATGGTCCAAATTGTGCCTGTAATGTGGTATTTGGATATGGGTTTCTGCTTCTCCAACATGGAGATCCCTTGATTACTGTTCACATTTTCCAAGTTTTATCTTCCAGCCCGTCCATTCTTTGAGGTCCCAATATCCTTTTAACAAATTGTCTTTTTGATTAAAAGAACCCAAATTAATTTATCTTTCTTATGACCAAATCCCTAACTACTCTGGTCCCATTCCTTTCAGATAACCAAATGTGCTCCAATTTGCGGACACTTCTCTGTAATTGATGCCTATAATGTAATAGTCATTTAGCATACTGTTAATAGAGTAGAGTAAAACAAAGCCAATATTCTTCTTAACCATCAAGGGTTTTTTTAATTTTTGTTTTTGAGACGGGGTCTCACTCTGTCACCCAGGCTGCAGGGCAGTGGAACCATCTTGGCTCACTGCAAACTGCCTTTCAGGCTCAGGCAATCTTCCCACTTCAGCCTCCTGAGTAGCTGGGACTACAGGTGTATGCCACCACACCTGGCTAATTTTTGTATTTTTTTGTAGAGACAATCAAGTTTAACAATATCACAGCACAGATTCCAAATCAGTGTACAGTATTATCATTCCAGCTGCCTGCTATTAATGTTTCTTTTTTACTATCATTTTCATAGGACCTTAGTAATGCCTGAATTCTGTTTGTGGCCTTTATCTTTCTCCTTCCTTTGTCAATAGAATGCCTTTCCAGATGACCTCTTTAGATGTCTTCTCACAGCTATGTAGCCTCTGGTCATGTAACATAAAAAAATCTGATCTATAACACCTTCAAGATTGGGCACTGCTCCATAGGAATAACGTGTGCTTAAGATGGGGAAAATACACAAGTCTCTTCCTTCATACATTCTTGGGCTAGCCCAGCCCAGGGAAAACTAATTCGAAAACTAATGGCAGTACTGAAATCTGTATAAGTGATCAAGTGGTTATGAAAGGAGAAGTTCCCTGTTAAGCATAAACATCAGAGGCTTTTTGCCCCAACATCCCTAGAGAGATCTGGTATATCTTCTCATAATTATGAAATTTGGTGGACCAATATTTACTGAAGGCTGATTATGTACCAGACATAACCCTATATGCTGGGATTTAGCCATAAGAAAAACAGAGAAGGTACTATGATCATCCCCAAACAAGAGAACTGTTTTCTACACTTATGTAGAGACTCTGAAAGGGGTAAAAGCTATTTTTCAATGACAGAGCCTTTGAGGCTAGAGAATTAAAATGAGTGTTACTCTTATAAAAATCAGAGAAAACAAAACTTTTGTCACTCCTCTCTCCAAGAAGGCAGAAGTAGAGTTTCTCATCCTGGCTCTGCAAAGTCCTAGGAAGCACTGTGAGGGGAGGGTGACACTTCAGGTGACCGGGCATCATTCCCAGAATGACAAATGACAAATCTTCCACCCCTTCCAAAGGAAGTGTGAGTGGGGATAAATCAATGAGTATGTTTCAGAACTGTAGTTTCTAACACAGGATTTACCTTAGATATAATCACAGCTGCTGCACAAAGTTCCAGAAAAGGCTTGTTGAACTCATCTACAATGAACTGGCTCTAAGAGCAAAGGCCAATGCTCTGACCGTGCTAAATGTGTGTGTGTGTGTGTGTGTGTGTGTGTGTGTGTGTGTGTTGTGGAGGTGGTGATGACATATTTCTTGGCCACATTTAGACAGCTCAGCTCTGCTGTCAGCAAAGAGTAAGGCTGAAGGAGAGTATGAATACATAGAGATTTAGCTTCCTAGAAATAACTCGGGGGTTCTGATCATACCTTTCACATATGATTTCATCATTTTCTTTAATATGCCCTTTCTTGTGCCAGGCACTACATTAGCTATTTCATTGGCATTTCTTGTATTTTTTCATTTAATTATCACAACTATAGGGTAGTTACTAACTTGCATTTTCAGCTGAGTAAACTGAGGCATGAAGTGTCGTTGGTTTCTCTAAATCACACAATTAGTCAGAGACAAAGCAAGATTTCAGTTCAATTCTAACTCCAAAGTATATGTTCATTTCAGCATATCCTTAAGACTTATTTCAAAAGGAATATTGTTTTTTAGATAAAAGAAAAAGATTATATAGGTATTCATGAAGGACACAGACACATAAGCTCTGGTTCCTTATTTATACACACTTATTTGCATTTTTCAAACAGGGCTAGTTATTTATATTTAACTTCTCCCACTGGAGAAAAAAATCACATTTTGCCTTTTGTGCCAAGCTGCAGCGTCGGCTCATTTCATTACATTTTTGTCTTCTCAGAAAGACACTATGCAACTAGAATTTCATCTGTATCAATAGTCTGTTGCCAACTGTCGGAGATTGCTGACAGTAGATCAATTTTAATTTACAGCTGATCTTGAAAGGCCATCTAAATAGTGGTAATTAAGAAGCAAAATATGGGACTGGAAATGCAGCAAAATGTGGATAGTTTTAAACTAATGAACTGCTCCAAGCCCTTTCTCTACCAAGCCAAGATGTTCTGTGTGAAGTTTCTCTGCAGTATATATAATTATTTTTGTAGAGTTAAGGAAAATCATTAAGATACCAGTGCCAGATAAAACTATGCCTAAAATGCTATCCTTTATATTCTCCGCTTCCTTTTCATAATACTCCTCTCCCTTGTACCCCTTTCACTACTTGTATTCCCCATAGATGTAATCACATAGACTAGAGCCTCTGCCCACCACATTTGCCAGTGTACTCCCACATATAAAAGTCATCTGGGTTTATGGCTGGCACTTAATACCTATTCGTTTAAATCACTGAGTGACAAAATAACTAAAGGGAGAGACCCTTATTTACATTTGTAAAGGGATCTACCCATTCAGGGATGCATCGCTCAGTTTTTAAATGAAGCAGCAGTATTGAAATCATGTATGAGAATATTATGCCAGACTATACAACTCCCAGCATTTCAACCCCGGTTTTTGTAGCTAGCATGTGTATTGGTTCTTACTAACTCTAAACCTTGGGATGACCTGTACAGTCTGTCTCCACTCTGTCTGAATCTTCGACTCTACCCTCTTTTCTTCATTTTCTTGAGGCTTAACCCCTGATTAGTATTTATACTGGGTTTCCAAAAGAGAAAGATCTCTATTTTCACCATCTTGTAACTATCTCAATATACATCACCATTAGGCACTCAGTAAATCTTTCTTTTAATGGAAGTTCTGCCTTTCTCATGACAGACAGTGAAATGTTCTAGGACAGAGCCTTAGGGTTCAAATTCTAACTGCTTTTATCTTTTTTTTTTCCTGTTGCACTTCTCAACAATATATGAGGGAAGCTGTTTTGAAGTCATTCTTGCAGAAGAGCAGACTGAAGGGCAAGGGGTTGTAAATAGTTTCGAGTCTCACTTTTGGAGAGAATGTGACAACAGGAAATAAAACTGTAACCTTCTTGCACATAATGAAATTCAGTGCGTACCCACGCCTATCACAGTACCAGACATGTTATAGGAAATTAATGATAATGACCTTTATTTTTATGGTGTTATTTTCCTTAAGTAAATATGTCCATAAATAAGGTCATCCTAGTAGCCACTTTGTGGCCAGCAAACACTGAGCATGAGCCTTAAGTATCTCATCTATTTTGATGACAAAACATCTTTGCTCTTAGCCTCTTCATCTAAATATATAGCAAGATCTATCTTTTGTCTTGCTCTAAATACAAGTCATGTATATGTTTCTTAAATCTCATAATAGGTATGGCTTCTCTAGTCAACTTAGCATCGTTTGCGTGTATCGCTATTACTTTTCCCAACCAACACTTGCCATCTTGATAAAATACACTCACTCCTCATGCCAGCTCACATTCCCAGAATTAGCACATCAGGCCAGTAATGCTCAAAACGAGCACTTCATCCTTCTACACCCCACCGCAATGCCTCCCTCTTCAGCTAAACTTGACTGTTTTCCATCATGAGATATGCTTTCTTTTGTTCCTTATTTCATAGAATCACTCATTTACATCTCTCTTGTAATACCTAACTCTGTTATTTGCATACAAAGTTATTCTAATCATTAACAGGAAAATCTTTAAGGACAGGAGTCATGCTATATTATTCTGAATTTTTAATGCTAACACGTTGCTGGGTATAGATTCAAATGCTATAAATATTTTAAGTGAATGAATGATCTATAAGAAAATGGAATATTGGATGTACAGTGTGTTCTATGAAACATTTCCATTTTTCAGTCTTGGCTTGGAAAAATGTTGGTTTCATGTAAGTAGATTTAGTCCCAATTATTTTTAATTCTTATATATAGTTATTCAATTAATTCAATACTATATCTTGTAGCTCTCTTATGTGACCTATTTCATTTTCCTTTTTATTTGTATAACTTTACATTCACAACGTAAATTTTAAAAAGGTATTATAACTTGGATAAAAATCTTAATAATTTAAAAGTGAACTATTCCTCCCTCCACACCACCACCCTATGTGACCTGAAGAGCAAACAAAATGGAGTGAAACACCAAGTTATTTTTCCCCAAGATGCCTCTCTGGCATTGAAATGTTTTGAATTATTTATAATGTTTACTCAGAAGGAAAAAGACGTAGGATTTCAGTTCTTATAATGAGTAGAACAAAGTGCAAAGATCAAATAAAGTCAAAGAAAAAAATCAATAAATAATAAAAGAGTCATGTAAATTAGCATTTGTTTTTGGAAGGTTTTGCATTGTAAAGTCATAGATCATGTTTACAGAAGCTTTAGGAATGAATAAAAATCTTCTCACTGACTGCACATTATCTCATTTTCCTTTATTATAGTTACATGAACCAGTCAATACCTCGAAGTATTTGGAACATCACCTTCTCCAAGGTGGACTTAAGAATATTTTGCTGGAAATCAGAGTCTACTCACCTAAATAAGATGAATAAATATGTTTAGGCCAAATACCAAAGGTTACTTATACCTGAATTTAAGCTATACATAGAACATATAGCAGAAAGCATCATTATAAACCAGGTCTGGGACACTCATTTTGATAAATAAACTATCAAGTCAGATATCTAGAAACAACAGGAGCCAGAAAAATGATTACTCTCTCTCTACTGTCAAAAATAATGGTAAACAAAGTGTATGGTCATCTGGTACCAACCTATATTTTAGAATGTTTTAGAAAGTGCCAACACCCTGGAAAATGTCCAGTCATTGCATGAGCACCCAGGGGCAAGAAATGCATTATTTCTAAGCAGGAGATAATATTGTCTTGTCCCTTAACTTAAAAAGAAGCTTCTTTATGTTAAGGTAAAACCACGAAATGTGGTGGAGAGAATATGCAATCGAAAAAATCACAGAAATGGAAGTGGTGGTTTGGCTTGGCAATGTCCTGTTTGCATAATCTCAGACATAGCATGTAATGCTTTAAATAAATATATATATATACACACACACACACACATGCACACACACACACACATATATACACATATATATTTCGAGATAGAGTTTTGCTCTTGTCTCCCAGGCTGGAGTGCAGTGGCACCTCGGCTCACTGCAACCTCTGCCTCCAGAGTGCAAGCAATTCTCCTGCCTCAGCCTCCCAAGTAGCTGGGATTACAGACTCCCGCCACCACGCCCGGCTAATTTTTTGTATTTTTAGTAGAGACAGAGTTTCACCATGTTGGGCAGGCTGGTCTTGAACTTCTGACCTCAGGTGATCCACCCACCTCGACCTCCCAAAGTGCTGGAATTACAGGCGTGAGCCACTGCATCCAGCCAATGCTTTAAACATTTAATGCTCTTTATATAATTTAAATCTGTTCATTTATAAAACCCCAAATTTTTGAACTTATAAAATTCCATCTGCTCTTCCTACCTTAACAAAACTCAAATGCGATAATATATACAAAAGTATAACTTGTCCTATATAATGTTATTGCTTATATGTTGTTACCATCACTAATATTTTTTTATCTTTAAGAGTATAACTACCATTTATAGTTATAGTCCCATTTAGACTATAACTATATACCATTTGGATCTATAGAAGAAAATTCTGTTTATCTAACACTTCAGTAAAAATTGAACTTGAATTACATTATTGGAATATCCAAGAAAACAAAGAAAGCAGATGAGGAGAAAAAATAAAACAAAAGGAAGCACTAGAAGAAAACTAGACACAACAAGTAGACATGAAGAAAGAATGCTCTATTTGACTGTAGTATTAATATGAAGAAAACAAAATGAAAGTTTAAAATAATCAGAGAGGGAGGCAAACATAGCAATACAGAAAAAAAATAATGCATTTTATTTCTAGTTAGGTTTATCTGGGGTGAGTACACTTTGAAGTAGTTGGCACACCCCGGATGATTTGAAGCATAATCTCCACAAAAGTTACATGTTTAATCATCTGCAGGAAGAAAGTGCAGATAGGATTTAGTGATTCATAACCCTGCATTCTCCTTTTTTAATTTGCTGATGAAAAAAATTGAGAGGAATATTTAATGATGTGGTACATATTTTAATATATACGTGTGTGTTGATCTGAAGCCACATCTTTGACATAATGTCATTTTCCAGTTTTAATCCATGGGGATCCTCTAAGGTATTTCTGGAGGAATTTCTTACCTTAAAAGATAATATTTTCTGGAATGAAATAAATTTGTCTGCCTGCCCACTGAGAAAGATACTACTGATCGGTGATGGCTCTTCACCCATCTGGGAAATTCACAGTGATTTTAATGTCTGAGTGTCTGAGTGTGATGTTTCCAAGGATCAAATCCAAGATAAAATTTTGAATATATGAGGTCTTTGCATACCCTCAGTATTTCGTATGTATCATAGCATCCCATCTCCCTATACCTAGACAGAAAAAGTTACTCTTGCAGAAATGCTAATTTCTTATGCATAAAATTTTTAGTAACAGTCATAATTATAGGCATGTGAATAAAAATTAGCTATATGGTTCACAAATTAAGATGAATGAAAGAATAGCCAGAAAGTCTCCCATTCTCAAACTATCTATCAAGTATCGAGAAAAAATCCAGATTTATTTTCTCTTAAGGCATTGTCCACTCTGTTAAAAACTATCTACTCTAGAGACAACCTTTTTCAGACAGAACATATATAATATCTTTCCTAATTAAACATAGCATGTATAGAACACAGAATGGTGTCCAAGACATGGAGAAGGGGGATGGGTAGATGACTGGTTCAGTGATTACAAATATTGGGGATTATTACAAATAGTGGGGATTTATCCCAGCTCAATTATTCATATTTATTAACCTATGTCTCTGAGACTGTTTATACATTCTATAAATCTCAGAAAAGGTAACACTAATTTGTATACTGCCCAGTGGCCTATTATTAGAAATAAAAGACATTGTCTGTAGAATAAATGTGTAAATCGCAGATGCCTACTCAAATACTGGTTATTGTTTTTAAAATCAGTATGGAGGTGTTGACGGGGAGCAGGCAAAATCTGTAGATTGTGACTGCCTTCAGGAACTACTGCTGCATACCATTTGTCTTATTTTTTGGCTGGTCTGTGGGAGCCTTGAGTGTGGGGACCACATCTCAATTCTTTCAAATGTCCATTGAAGTTAGTAGAACACTCAACACTGTGTGTGTGCTGTATAAGAAACTATATAACACTTCAGGTTAAAATAACAGGAATAATCTGCTAATGAACATTACTCTTTTCTCAAAAAAGAGGCAAGCATTAAGCTAGAAGGTCATTTCTAGCTTAAAACATCTATAAAAATGATACCACAGTTGAGAGGGCACATTATTCCACCCTTAGAGACAGATTTCCTCCAGATGACAGGGCATTTGGGGCAATACAAAGAGCTTAATCCACCCCCTGAAACCCTAAGAGTCTAACTTGGATACATGTGGGCTTCAGATGAATGTATTTAACTCCATTTAGGGGTAGTCTTCATAGATCAGAAGTGAAATCAATGAAACACTAAATAAGAGATTAAATATGAAAATTCAATCAAATTTGATTGCATAACTCAATAAAATGTTAAAACTGAGCAGGTAACCAAAGTAAATCAGTAGATCTCTGTTGGACATGTTCAGCCATAATAGGCAATAAACATAATGGCCACTTATTTTTTCTTTTGTTTCATTTTAAAGAGGGAGTCTCACTCTGCCACCCAGGCTGGAGTGCAGTGATATAATCCTAGCTCACTGCAGCCCCAGACTCGAGCGGGTCTCAGCTTCCTAGTAGCTGGAACTACTTGTGCCTGTCACCGCATGCAGCTAATTTATTTTTTTTCTTTTGTGTACATACAGAAACTTGATTTGTAGCCCAGTCTGGTCTCAAACTCCTGGCTTCAAGTGATTCTCTCATCTCGGTCTACCAAAGTCCTGGGATTACATGTATGTATTAGTTCATTCTCATGCTGCAAATAAATACATACCCAAGACTGGATAATTTATAAAGGAAAGAGTTTTAATGGACTCACAGTTCCACATGGCTGGGAAGGCCTCACAATCATGGCGGAAGGCAAAAGAAGAGCAAAGGGACTTCTAACATGGCAGCAGACAAGGGAACTTGTGCAGGAGAACTCCCATTTATAAAGCCACCAGATCTCATGAGACTTATTCACCCTACCACTGAACAGTATGGGGAAACCACCCTCATGATTCAGTTATCTCCACATGGCCCTGCCCTTGACATGTGGGGATTCTGACAATTCAAGGTGAGATTTGGGTGGGGACGCAGCCAAACCATATCAAGGTGTGAGCCACCATGGCCAGGCAATAGACACTCATTGAGCATTTATTCTATGGCAGATATTCCACATATATTGTCTTTCTAAAAACAATCACACAAGAAAACTATAAATTAGATATTTCTCTTCCGAAATTACAGCTTTTGCAGGTGGAACTCAGAGAGTCTGAGTGACTTGACCAAGGTCAGATAGATAATAGACCAGGATTTAAACTCATGTCTGACATGTCAACATTTCTTGCTCTCTCACATTGGCAAATGGGTCAAATATATCATCAATTCCCATCCATTTTCCAATGTCCACATTCATATATTCATTTTCTTTCTAAAATGAGGAGTCACAGTTTGATGGCTTATAATATGGACCCTGAAACCAGATTGCCTGAATTGTATGATATCTCCACCAATTAATATCTGCTATGACCTAGTGCAAACTTCTTACTGTCTTTTTTGACAATTCCTCCTTTATTAAATAAAATAATAAGTATCAGCCTTATAGGGCTATTTTGGTAATTAAAGAAGTTGCTATATTACACACACACAAACACACAGACACAGAAAACATGCGCTATGTTATTTAAATTTCAGAAAGTTTTAATTACATGGGAACAAAGAGATCGTCTCAGCTCTGCAATCACATATTTTGCAGAAGAGAACTTTTTTTTTTTTTTTTTTGAGGCAGGGTCTCACTTTCTTGCCCAGGCTGGAGTGCAGTGGTGCAATCACAGCTCACTGGAGCCTTGGCAACTGGACTCAAGTGATCCACCTCAGCCTCCTGAGTAGCTGAGAGTACAGGAGTGTGCCAGAAAATTGAAGGTTTAAAATCCAAGTGATAACTAGCTTGCCTGTGATTGTACATAATGTGTATTAGACATCAAGTCTAAGTTCTTGTTCCATGAGACCCTCTTCCCTATCTTAATTCTATCCATCTGTCTCTGAGGGTTTAAGTCTCATCCGAACAAATACGTTAACTGAAAAGTGATTGTGAATGTTTGGAGAACAGAATGATAGCATTTCTCAGTTGACACCATATATAGGACATCTTCAATTTAAATTTTAACAGTTTGGCAAAAAGTGAAAAAAGTGCAGACTTTAAGTATCAAAGAACCTGAGATTGAGTTCAGATACTGCCAGGAATTTACTATGTGAAATTGAAGAAATTATGTCTAAGCTTCTTCAACTTATTAATAATAATATCTCCACATACCATTATTACTTTTAGCTTCATTGTATAAAGGAAAACACAAAGATAAGGAGTTGGCAAATGTCAAACAGCCCGGAAGTGATAGAATGAGTGTACAAAGCCTGGTGGCCCTACATACGCCAGGACCAATTTGTTTTTTGTTTCTTTCATTTTGTTTGTAATTGTGGTAAAATATATAAAGAATAAAATTGGCCATTTTAACCATTTTAAATGCACATTTCAGTGGCATTAATTACATTCAAAATGTTGTACAACAATTATTACTATTTCCAAAACATTTTCATCACCCAAACATAACTCGTTAAGCAATAAATCACCATTTTTCCCCAGCCCATGGTAATCTCTAACCTATTTTCCGTCTATGAATTAGCCCATTCTAGCATTCCATCTAAGTGTAATCACACAATATTTGTCCTTTCGTGTCTGGCTTATTTCACTTAGTGCAACGTTTTCAAGGCTTGTTCATGTTGTAGCATGTACCAGGGCTCTGTCTCCTTTTTATGGTTGTACAATATTCATTGTGTGATTAGTTACAGCTGCATTCTGAACCACGACAGAAAACTATAGTATATCATGTAAGGAGGTAATAATAGTTCTTAACTTTCAAGAAAGTTATAAAAGTTAAATAAGCTAGTGTAAGTAAAAAATATTCACAAAGCACAATATACATTTTAAATATTGTTTTTTCAAAGTCTATTCTTAAATTAAGACTTTTTTCCATCATAATATAGAAAAATACATCTGTCACTAATGGGAGATAAGACCTTGAATCGCAATATTTTAGGTAATCATATTTTTCATCCTTAACAGAGGGTAGAGGATAGTATTTGAGGGGGAAATCTGCTCGTTTTTCAAGAAATAGTCTAGTTTAAATCCTTAATCTTCTGGTAAATAATTTGTTGTTGTTGTTGTTGTTGTTTGTTTTTTTGAGATAGGGTCTTATTCTCTCTGCCAAGCTGGAGTACAGTGGTGTAATCACCGCTAACTGCAGCCTCAACCTCCCAGGCTCAAGCAATCCTCCCACCTCAGCCTCCCGAGTAGCTGGGATTATGGGCATGCACCACCATGCCCAGCTAATTTTTTCAGAGACAGGGTTTTCTATATTGCCCAGGCTGGTCTCAAACTCCTGAGATCAAGTGATCCCCCGACCTTGACCTCCCAAAGTGCTGAGATTATAGGTATGAGCCACCGTGCCCAGCATGCTAAAAATTTTTATTTTTATTTGGATTATTTACTTAATCTCGCTGAGCTTTATCTCCTAGCTATGCAAAGGTGGGGAAGGAATCGCTGATCTTTAAAGCACCATCATCGGTTTTAACATTGGGTTGCTTCATCTAAGGGATGACTAAGATGAACCATGTACATATTAATGTCTACAGACTAACTTTAGAAAGGAAATATTAATTATTTTGGAAATGGGTCCTATATCATACCACTTCTTGGAGAACATTGGGATAATTATCAGTACTCTTTTGAGAAAGAAGTGATTTTGGATTATTCCCAAATTGGGACTGCTGAGAATATCTGCAGCTTATGGCAATTAACTTAATTGAAGCACTTTAAGTACATTAATTAATTAATCTTCAAATTCCCCCTATAGAATGGAACATTAAGGAGGAAATCAATTTATCAACAAAAATTAAGAGATTATATGACTTGTTCAAGGCCATGCAGTAAGTCATGGTCCAGATTTGACTGGGATGGCAGGGCTTCTAAAGTCCAAGCTTAGCCATTAAGGATCTGTACAAAATAAGACTTTATTAATATTTCTGATAGAGGCTTCAACTACTTCATTGATGGTCTTGAGGCCTGTAACACTCACTTCTGAGTGCTTTTCTTGAATTTTATTTTCTACAGATGTCAGTCTTTTCTTCCTTCCTTCTCTCTTGTAGAGCCACAGGTTTCCACTGGTTAGGCTATCAGTTGGTGAGAGTATGCAGGGGAAAAAATCACTGCTTGGCTCCTACCCTTGGGAAGCTTACATTATAAGGAAAAAGACAATTACAAATAGAACATCATCACTGCTAAATGGAGATCGGTATGTAGAGGTTGACACACTAGGAAGAAAATTGCCTTTCAAAATAAGTGCTGATCAATAACTTCTATTGAGTTGCCAGTCACATGTGGCACATTCAGATTTAAGAAACTATGCCCTTGTATCAGATTAGCTCTATTCCTGGACTAAGTGTCCTCAATTATCTTGCCTTAGTTGCTTCATATATCTCCAACTTTTATCTTATGAAAGAGCTTCCTGGAAATTTCCATAAAAGTAAAATAAATGTATCACAACATGACTCACTAAAGCATTTCAAACTACATCTGCCTATTTGGGAAGCCAGAATGTGAAGATTTATACACTATGATTATCATTATCATCATCATCATTTTAAAATCTTTACTAAGAAATCATAACGTTCCTGATATTGTATACATGACCATTTCATGATGATGATTTTAGATGCTTCAAACGAAGTTATCTAGAAACAATATGGTAAAAGGACTTGCCACAGAGCTGAGGTTTTGACATTTTGGCTTTTGCATTGTTTCTCATACTCTGCCTGTTGTGCACACGTTTCCCCTGTGATTCATGAGGATCATTGCATGAACTCTGTTTAGCATCAAAGCCAATCAACCCAGGAATTTCACTGTTGCTATCATGCTTATGTCTTAATAACATTGGCATTGCATTTTGATTTTCTATATTGAGGAATCTTTTGACATATGAGAGTATCCATATACTGTCAGACAAACTCTTGTGAGTTATTGGACTGAATGATGGAAACACTAGAAAGAGGCCTAGGGGCTTTAGTTAAGATCTTTGGAAAAACTGGCTTGAGGATTCAGAAGTTAACTTCACTTCTGAATATGCAAAGTGAGCAGAAATGTGACACAAGAACAGGAGAAACCCAGACCATATTTACACCTAAGGGACCACTGCCTAGCCAAATGTTAGAGGAACAGAAAAGAGCAGGATACTGGTGAACACAGAGGAAAGGACTTTGACAATAAGACCATGAGACAACCATCCTTGATCAAAGCTTGGCAGGCTTTAAAGTACACACCTGGCCAGGTGAAACTAGTGTGAAAGAATCAAAGCTCTTAAGAGGATCACCGAGCTCTCTGGGGAAATGGAGATCTCTGCAAACTGAAGATGGCCACAGAGCTGCGTGTCTTTGGAGAACCTGGGTAAACCAGAGCTGATGGTCTGTGCTGGCCTATGGGGCTCTGCCTGCAGAAGGGCCCAGGGAAGTGAGTAGGAATCTTGGCTATTTCACAAATGCTGTCCCATGTGAGTCTCCTGGCAACACAAGGAGAGGAGTATGGTGGGGGATCATGATCTCCTTTTTACTGAAGAAAAGAATGGCTCAGAGAGCTAAAAGGAGTGAAGTTACCCAGCAAGGCTGTTCCAGACACAACACTAAAATCTGATCATCTTATTTTTAACCCAGGGCACTGTTTACCCCAAAAACAGTCCTCTCTCAAACCTTGTTCTCAATCATTCAGAATTATACCTCCCTTTTAGCATTTGTTATAACTCGAACTCAATTTTACCTGAGAAGTGGTGAGTTATTTCCAAGTCTCATACCATAACCATATTAGAACCTATAAAAATAATCATAATAATGATAATAAATGACAATGATAATAATAGCAGTTAAAATCTCTTGTGTACCATGTACCAGGCCCTAAGTATTTTACATGTATAGAGATTATTTAACTTAATCACAATAAGTGAGGAAATATATATTAGGATTATTTTCATTTCATAGATTGGGATGGTGAGACTCGTGCAGTATATTTTCATGTTCATGGACACAGTAAGAGATAGACCTAAAGTTTTGAACCTAGACTATTTTTGCATTAAAAGCAGGGATCAAACTGTACTTATTTTTGTTTTTTCAATGGTGTAAACCATGATTTGTTACTATATACTACCTTTTATGTCTTTATGTGCTCATAAAAGCTTGTGTAAGTGAAGCATAGCTTGATACTTCAACAGCACTGAGTTAATTGGGGAGACCAAACTCTGTAAGTTGACAAACAGAGGTTTAATGTACAATCTGAGTAAATATCTGCCTATATCTGGGTGTGGAAAAGGTGAAGACGAGTGAAGAAGACATACAGAGGAGAAAGAGCATACATTAAGTACCTTCTACGCATTAGGCAGGTTGGTCTGGCAGCAGGGAGGGGCAGGGTGAAGCAGACAAAAAGAGAAGTTGCAGCCTTGAACTACTTGACTCACTAAAGCATTAGTGGCTGGCTACTTGGCTTCATCTAAGGGACGAATGAGATAAACTATGCACATATTAATGTCTACAGACTAATACTGGCTGCACTGTGGTGATACGAGATGGGTGTACAAGTTAGAGCAAGGCTCCCACCAAAATACATCCTTACCTTCCCACAGGGACTGGGAAGCTGGAGTTATCCCCTTGAATGTTCCCTTTGGCTGGCTACTTGGCTTAGTTCTTTTTCTTATTAGACAAGATATGTAACTTTTCTGTGCCTCATCCTTTTCATTTATGCAATGAACATAACAATCAGTATCTCAGAATCATATGAAAATTAAACCAAGTAACATATGCACCAGCCTTTCGAATGCTCCACTATTTCTCTGTCCCAAGTCACATCATCACCACATTCACGTGAGGCTTGTTTTATCTGATTTTTGTTGATTGATTTTTCGCAGACATCTGAAAGGCAGTTGTGACTATCTCTGTTGTAGGGATGAAGTAAGTTAGCATTGTTAATTATACACACTGAGGGTCAGGAGCGGAAAAGAGTCCAGATTTGGCTGATTTCAAACCCCAAAGTCTTTCCATAATATGTTAAAATATACCCTCAGCAGAGCTTTCTAGGACTACTGTATAGAGCCTTTTAAGTAATCCAGAACTTACTGTCACCTCATCTTTAGTTTGGATTTCACTCTGCTACTTGTCAACTCTCTGTTTAAAGCCATTCAATAAGTAGGGCCAAAATTCCATGCCAAGGCTTAGATGGACCTTTGTTAACAGTCCTTTACTTACATTTTTAGCTTCAATTTCAGCCCCTTTTCCATTTGCATATTAATTGCATAAACACCCAGTGACTTATTTTTTCCCAAATGCACTAGCTATATTTTTGTCTCTGTATTTTGGAAGAGAGTTTTTACTAAGCTTAGAATAGATTCACATTCACCTAGGCTGCTTGTACGCCTACATGTCCTAAAAAATTTAATTCAATATTTCTAAAATTTACCAATTCAGAAACACAAACATTAAGCAAAACAAATAAACAGACAAGAAAAAAAAAACAAGAAGTCTTGTGAAAAACATATTTTTGGACCTGAACTAAGTAAATTTGAATCGGAACTTCCAGAAGAGGTCCCTGTAAGCCCTACTTTTTACAAGAACTTCAATCAATTTTAAGATCAGATAAGTTTTAGCACTACTTAAATGAAACAAAGTGTATGCTGCACTACAGTTTCCTGTTTGAAGTCTCTCGCTAATGTGTGGTGTCCTTTAAGAGTGTAATAGAACAAAACGAAAACTGGGGAGGAGCCAAGATGGCCGAATAGGAACAGCTCCGGTCTACAGCTCCCAGCGTGAGCGTGCAGAAGACGGGTGATTTCTGCATTTCCATCTGAGGTACCGGGTTCATCTCACTAGGGAGTGCCAGACAGTGGGCGCACGACAGCGGGTGCAGCGCACCATGCGCGAGCCGAAGGAGGGTGAGGCATTGCCTCACTCGGGAAGTGCAAGGGGTCAGGGAGTTCCCTTTCCTAGTCAAAGAAAGGGGTGACAGACGGCACCTGGAAAATCGGGTCACTCCCACCCAAATACTGCGCTTTCCTGACGGGCTTAAAAAACAGCGCATCAGGAGATTATATCCCGCACCTGGCTCAGAGGGTCCTACACCCACAGAGTCTCGCTGATTGCTAGAACAGCAGTCTGAGATCAAACTGCAAGGTGGCAGTGAGGCTGGGGGAGGGGCGCCCACCATTGCCCAGGCTTGCTTAGGTAAACAAAGCAGCCTGGAAGCTCGAACTGGGTGGAGCCCACCACAGCTCAAGGAGGCCTGCCTGCCTCTGTAGGCTCCACCTCTGGGGGCAGGGCACAGACAAACAAAAAGACAGCAGTAACCTCTGCAGACTTAAATGTCCCTGTCTGACAGCTTTGCAGAGAACAGCAGTTCTCCCAGCATGCAGCTGGAGATCTGAGAACGGGCAGACTGCCTCCTCAAGTGGGTCCCTGACCCCTGACCCCCAAGCAGCCTAACTGGGAGGCACCCCCCAGTAGGGGCAGACTGACACCTCACACAGCCAGATACTCCTCTGAGACAAAACTTCTAGAGGAACAATCAGACAGCAGCATTTGCGATTCACGACAATCCGCTGTTCTACAGACACCGCTGCTGATACCCAGGCAAACACGGTCTGGAGTGGACCTCTAGCAAACTCCAACAGACCTGCAGCTGAGGGTCCTGTCTGTTAGAAGGAAAACTAACAAACAGAAAGGACATCCATACCAAAAACCCATCTGTACATCACCATCATCAAAGACCAAAAGTAGATAAAACCACAAAGATGGGGAAAAAACAGAGCAGAAAAACTGGAAACTCTAAAAAGCAGAGCACCTCTTCCTCCAAAGGAACACAGTACCTCACCAGCAATGGAACAAAGCTGGATGGAGAATGACTTTGACGAGTTGAGAGAAGAAGGCTTCAGACGATCAAACTACTCCGAGCTACACGAGGAAATTCAAACCAAAGGAAAAGAAGTTAAGGACTTTGAAAAAAATTTAGACCAATGTATAACTAGAATAACCAATACAGAGAAGTGCTTAAAGGAGCTGATGGAGCTGAAAACCAAGGCTAGAGAACTGCATGAAGAATGCAGAAGCCTCAGGAGCCGATGCAATCAACTGGAAGAAAGGGTATCAGTGATGGAAGACGAAATTAATGAAATGAAGTGAGAAGGGACGTTTAGAGAAAAAAGAATAAAAAGAAATGAGCAAAGCCTACAAGAAATATGGGACTATGTGAAAAGACCAAATCTATGTCTGATTGGTGTACCTGAAAGTGACGGGGAGAATGGAACCAAGTTGGAAAACACTCTGCAGGATATTATCCAGGAGAACTTCCCCAATCTAGCAAGGCAGGCCAACATTCAGATTCAGGAAATACAGAGAAGGCCACAAAGATACTCCTCGAGAAGAGCAACTACAAGACACATAATTGTCAGATTCACCAAAGTTGAAATGAAGGAAAAAATGTTAAGGGCAGCCAGAGAGAAAGGTCGGGTTACCCTCAAAGGGAAGCCCATCAGACTAACAGCGGATCTCTCGGCAGAAACTCACAAGCCAGAAGAGATTGGGGACCAATATTCAACATTCTTAAAGAAAAGAATTTTCAACCCAGATTTCATATCCAGCCAAACTAAGCTTCATAAGTGAAGGAGAAATAAAGTCCTTACAGACAAGCAAACGCTGAGAGATTGTGTCACCACCAGGCCTGCCCTAAAAGAGCTCCTGACAGAAGCACTAAACGTGGAAAGGAACAACTGGTGCCAGCCGCTGCAAAATCATGCCAAAATGTAAAGACCATTGAGACTAGGAAGAAACTGCATCAACTAACAAGCAAAACAACCAGCTAACATCATAATGACAGGATCAAATTCACACATAACAATATTAACTTTAAATGTAAATGGACTAAATGCTCCAATTAAAAGACACAGACTGGCAAATTGGATAAAGAGTCAAGACCCATCAGTGTGTTGTATTCAGGAAACCCATCTCACGTGCAGAGACACACATAGGCTCAAAATAAAAGGATGGAGGAAGATCTACCAAGCCAATGGAAAACAAAAAAAGGCAGGGGTTGCAATCCTAGTCTCTGATAAAACAGACTTTAAACCAACAAAGATCAAAAGAGACAAAGAAGGCCATTACATAATGGTAAAGGGATCAATTCAACAAGAAGAGCTAACTATCCTAAATATATATGCACCTAATACAGGAGCACCCAGATTCATAAAGCAAGTCCTGAGTGACCTACAAAGAGACTTAGACTCCCACACAATAATAATGGGAGACTTTAACACCCCACTGTCAACATTAGACAGATCAACGAGACAGAAAGTTAACAAGGATACCCAGGAATTGAACACAGCTCTGCACCAAGTGGACCTAATAGACATCTACAGAACTCTCTACCCCAAATCAATAGAATACACATTTTTTTCAGCACCACACCCCACCTATTCCAAAATTGACCACATACTGGGAAGTAAAGCTCTCCTCATCAAATGTAAAAGATCAGAAATTATAACAAACTGTCTCTCAGACCACAGTGCAATCAAACTAGAACTCAGGATTAAGAAACTCACTCAAAACTACTCAACTACATGGAAACTGAACAACCTGCTCCTGAATGACTACTGGATACATAAAGAAATGAAGACAGAAATAAAGATGTTCTTTGAAACCAACGAGAACAAAGACACAACATACCAGAATCTTAGGGACACATTCAAAGCAGTGTGTAGAGGGAAATTTATAGCACTAAATGCCCAAAAAAGAAAGCAGGAAAGATCCAAAATTGACACCCTAACATCACAATTAAAAGAACTAGAAAAGCAAGAGCAAACACATTCAAAACCTAGCAGAAGGCAAGAAATAACTAAAAGAGCAGAACTGAAGGAAATAGGGACACAAAAAAACCTTCAAAAAATTAATGAATCCAGGAGCTGGTTTTTTGAAAGGATCAACAAAATTGATAGACCGCTAGCAAGACTAAAAGAGAAAAAAAGAGAAAAGAATCAAATAGACACAATAAAAAATGATAAAGGGGATATCACCACCGATCCCACAGAAATACAAACTACCATCAGAGAATACTACAAACACCTCTATGCAAATAAACTAGAAAATCTAGAAGAAATGGATAAATTCCTCGACACATACACTCTCCCAAGACTAAACCAGGAAGAAGTTGAATCTCTGAATAGACCAATAACAGGATCTGAAATTGTGGCAATAATCAATAGCTTACCAACCAAAAAGAGTCCAGGACAAGATGGATTCACAGCCGAATTCTACCAGAGGTACAAGGAGGAACTGGTACCATTCCTTCTGAAACTATTCCAATCAATAGAAAAAGAGGGAATCCTCCCTAACTCATTTTATGAGGCCAGCATCATCCTGATACCAAAGCTAGGCAGAGACACAACAAAAAAAGAGAATTTTAGACCAATATCCTTGATGAACATTGATGCAAAAATCCTCAATAAAATACTGGCAAACCAAATCCAGCAGCACATCAAAAAGCTTATCCACCATGATCAAGTGGGCTTCATCCCTGGGATGCAAGGCTGGTTCACTATATGCAAATCAATAAATATAATCCAGCATATAAACAGAACCAAAGACAAAAACCACATGATTATCTCAATAGATGCAGAAAAGGCCTTTGACAAAATTCAACAACCCTTCATGCTAAACACTCTCAATAAATTAGGTATTGATGGGATGTATCTCAAAATAATAAGAGCTGTCTATGACAAACTCACAGCCAATATCATACTGAATGGGCAAAAACTGGAAGCTTTCCCTTGAAAACTGGCACAAGACAGGGATACCCTCTCTCACCACTCCTATTCAACATAGTGTTGGAAGTTCTGGCCAGGGCAATTAGGCAGGAGAAGGAAATAATGGGTATTCAATTAGGAAAAGAGGAAGTCAAATTGTCCCTGTTTGCAGACCACATGATTGTATATCTAGAAAACCCCATTGTCTCAGCACAAAATCTCCTTAAGCTGATAAGTAACTTCAGCAAAGTCTCAGGATACAAAATCAATGTACAATAGTCACAAGCATTCTTATACACCAATAACAGACAAACAGAGATCCAAATCGTGAGTGAACTCCCATTCACAATTGCTTCAAAGAGAATAAAATACCTAGGAATCCAACTTACAAGGGATGTGAAGGACCTCTTCAAGGAGAACTACAAACCACTGCTCAAGGAAATAAAAGAGGATACAAACAAATGGAAGAACATTCCATGCTCATGAGTAGGAAGAATCAACATCGTGAAAATGGCCATACTGCCCAAGGTAAGTTATAGATTCAATGCCATCCCCATCAAGCTACCAATGACTTTCTTCACAGAATTGGAAAAAACTACTTTAAAGTACATATGGCACCAAAAAGGAGCTCGCGTCACCAAGTCAATCCTAAGCCAAAAGAACAAAGCTGGAGGCATCACACTACCTGACTTCAAACTATACTACAAGGCTACAGTAACCAAAACAGCACGGTACTGGTACCAAAACAGAGATATAGATCAATGGAACAGAACAGAGCCCTCAGAAATAACGCCGCTTATCTACAACTATCTGATCTTTGACAAACTTGAGAAAAACAAGCAATGGGGAAAGGATTCCCTATTTAATAAATGGTGCTGGGAAAACTGGCTAGCCATATGGAGAAAGCTGAAACTGGATCCCTTCCTTACACCTTATACAAAAATTAATTCAAGATGGATTAAAGACTTAAACGTTAGACCTAAAACCATAAAAACTCTAGAAGAAAACCTAGGCATTACCATTCAGGACATAGGCATGGGCAAGGACTTCATGTCTAAAACACCAAAAGCAATGGCAACCAAAGCCAAAATTGACAAATGGGATCTAATTAAACTAAAGAGCTTCTGCACAGCAAAAGAAACTACCATCAGAGTGAACAGGCAACCTACAAAATGGGAGAAAATTTTCACAACCTACTCATCTGACAAAGGGCTAATATCCAGAATCTACAATGAACTCAAACAAATTTACAAGAATAAAACAACCCCATCAAAAACTGGGTGAAGGACATGAACAGACACTTCTCAAAAGAAGAAATTTATGCAGCCAAAAAACACATGAAAAAATGCTCACCATCACTGGCCATCAGAGAAATGCAAATCAAAACCACAATGAGATACCATCTCACACCAGTTAGAATGGCAATCATTATAAAGTCAGGAAACAACAAGTGCTGGAGAGGATGTGGAGAAATAGGAACACTTTTACACTGTTGTTGGGACTGTAAACTAGTTCAACCACTGTGGAAGTCAGTGTGGCGATTCCTCAGGGATCTAGAACTAGAAATACCATTTGACCCAGCCATCCCATTACTGGGTATATACCCAAAGGACTATAAATCATGCTGCTATAAAGACACATGCACACGTATGTTTATTGTGGCACTATTCACAATAGCAAAGACTTGGAACCAACCCAAATGTCCAACAATGATAGACTGGATTAAGAAAATGTGGCACATATACACCATGGAATACTATGCAGCCATAAAAAATGATGAGTTCATGTCCTTTGTAGGGACATGGATGAAATTGGAAATCATTCTCGGTAAACTATCGCAAGGACAAAAAACCAAACACTGCATGTTCTCACTCATAGGTGGGAATTGAACAATGAGAACACATGGACACAGGAAGGGGAACATCACACTCTGGGGACTGCTGTGGGGTGGGGGGAGGTGGGAGGGATAGCATTAGGAGATATACATAATGCTAAATGAAGTGTTAATGGGTGCAGCACACCAGCATGGCACATGTATACATATGTAACTAACCTGCACATTGTGCACATGTACCCTAAAACTTAAAGTATAATAATAAAAAATAAAGAGTGTAATAGAACCTTATTCATCATTATATCCCTTATTCATCATTATATATGAACTTATATATATAAGTTCATTGCTTATAAAAGCCCAGGTCTTCAGAAATTATTTCCTGAATAAATGAATTCATGAAAGAATACCCTTGTACTTACATGATAAGCAGATATCTCAGACGACTTATGGAATCCTTGCAAGTCATAATAAGTAAGCATTCGAGATATTCTGTTGCTGATTTCTGATATTAGATTTTAAAAAAATTTACAGAACAATTTTTCTTAGATCAACAGAAATTCCTCTATTTAGAGAACGTTAACAACTCTGCAGCACCTGTTCAGGTTCAAATTGGTTTGAAGAAGTCTTGTCTGTACACAGTTATACAACAACCAAGATTCAATGTGGATATAGAAACTTAGATTTGATGTATTTAAATTCAATGTGAAGGACTTTCCTGGCATGAGTACTAAATGATTATGGAGAAGAAGAGTGGTAATAAATCAGCACACCAGAGAAAAGATAAAGACAACAGAGAGAAGAGATTCAGACCAATCTAATATTTCTGGAATTTATACTGTTATCACAAAGGAACTCTTCTATTCAGAGTTTTATGTATCCTCATTCCTTTCAGAATGTATTCCATACTTCTCATTATGGCATATTAGGTCTTCCAAGTCTGGTCCCATCAACTCTACAAGCTTCATTCTATTTCATTTTTATTACTCATCAAAAGAACTACTCATAGGAACCTCCGCTCTTCCCTCTCTGAACTGTTCCATGCCTTATGCTAAAGCAAAAAAACGTTGGGCACTAGTTAATGGTGATAAAGACAGATGTTATTTAGTGACCATTACTATGGAATACAAGAATGTCTAGTATAAACTGAGCTCAAATTTGCCAAAAGGAAAAGCAGGAGACATTTTAAAAGCTGAGGTACACTAAAGCAGAGGCACTGGAGGGCACAGAGTAGCAGTTTTATTCTTGTGAACAGCTCATATGGGTTTGCTAATTGGCACACATTCGGGGGGGAAACACATTGGCTGCACTGTCATGATACGAGATGGTTGTAAAGTTAGAGCAAGGCTCCCACCAAAATATGTCCTCACCTTCCCACAGGGACTGGGAAGCTGGAGTTATCCCCTTGAATGTTCTCATTTCAAAGAGACGGCTTTGGGGTCCTTGAGAAATCAGTTCTGGGTGATAAAAGAGTTACTTCTAAAAGAAGCAGAAAAGGGGTTTATACTTGCAAGCTTTCTAAAGTAACAGTTAAGGGACCTATAGGCCTATCATCAGGTTTTGCCTGGAATAAACACCCGATTATCCTAGTAGCTTTGAGCTTCCTTTGACAGGTATTTTAAAGGGGCCTGTAGCAACTAAGGCCACAGCCTTAAGGTGCTGCATAGTGTGCTTGAGTTTGGTTAAGTCTCTTAGTACAGGAGCTTGGATGGAGTCAATAAATGCTATGAGTTTTTGCAGTTTTTACTTGCTCCTGGGATACTCTTCACTTCCATTTTCTCTAAAGAGAGTATCAGGCCTTTCTATGGTTGTGTCTACATTATCAAGTGAAGTGTTTGAAAGATGCCTGTGAGACAAAAGAAATAATTAATTAGAATGTCCCCTAATGTTCACAGAGTATACAAAATATCTTCATGTCCATTAATAATGGTGTTAATTGCTGTTATTAAATACCTTCTGCATGCCACATGATTTACTTGCATTATCTCATATAATTCTCACAACCACTCTTTTGAGATAGTCATTGAATCTTTATCTTGCAAATAAAGAATATGAGAGTCAGAGGCACAAATTTTGTTGTCCAAGGGCATTCATTTAGAACTCTAGAGTTGAGAATCTTTAATATGTACCTTCATAGCATTATTCTCAGAAAGTCACAATGCCGTTCCACATGCTATATACAACCCATTTGCTGCTAGAAAAGGAGTTGGTTTTACATTTTACAAATGACATAACCCAGACTTAACGTACGCAGTATTCCCAAGATTTACATAGCTAAATAGTAAAGATATAGTGACTCAAACTGATGCATTTCTAAACTCCAGAAACTTTAAGTGTTAAATACACCATTTCTTTGCAATAATTTCAACCGAGTTAAAGAACATCTAAACCGTATGTAACCTTTTATCATTTTTATGCTTATGACTGTGTGCTAATGGAAAATGTAAATTTCCTGGCAATTTACAGCAGATTTTACATTAGTGGCACTGTTCTCATAGTCCTGTTATCTCAGTTTGTCTTAAACATTTATTACTAATTTGACACCAGTGATATTCTAATTAAAGTTCTTTCTCTAACATGAAATAGAGTATTATATAAAGCAGAAAGAATGTTTTCATTCCATTTAGATTGCCAGATATTTCATGGGTGGTTTACAATAAATGTTGGAAGCAATTTTGTTTATTTGTTTAGGAAATCATCATTTCCATCATTCTTACTCCATATTACAACCCTGTATTTCCTTAGCTAATTTTCGTGTTTCATTAGAAGCTCTTTCATGCAAAGAGTTTTCGTTTAGGCACAATTGTTAATTAAAGTGAGTATTGAAATTGCTTAATTGCCTGAAAAAAGATGTTATATTTTTCCAAGCATGACCTATGCTATTGGCAGAAAGATTATTAAAACTTTCATATTTAAGGAAAAAAAAGCAGGGTTTGAGGATAAAATTAGGTCATTCTGAACTCTTTTTACATAATCAGAATCTAAATAAGCTCCATTCAGTCACTGACCCCTGTTGATTCTTCTTCCTAAATACACATTACAAATGTCTTTTTCTTTTTTTCATCTATCCCCACTTTCTCCGCTCTAGGTCACTGGCTTATTTTCAAACTGAACAATAAAACTGTTAGAAGTTTAAACAGATTATTGATGCCTATATCCAACTCCAGCCATTCTGATTACATTGATATAGTGTGGGACTGGAGAATTTGCAGTTGTAACCAGTTTTGGGGTGATGTTGATGCTGTTGGTCTAAGGATCAAACTTGGAGAATCACTGTTCTCATTTCTTGCTAATGAGCATCTGTACCATGGAACAGCAACATTAACATTACTTGTTAGAAATACAGAATTTGGGTCCCCATCCTAGACCTACTGAATAATAATCTGCACCTTCACAACATCCCCAGGGGACTCAAGTGCACAAGACAGTGTGAGCAGCACTCAAATTAGCACCTTAGTACTCTGTCATCTTGGCTACTCATTAGTTTCTTTGCCTTTTATTCCTCCCCATCCCCAAACAGATCTTCACATTCCTTCCTAACATGCATATACAGTCATAACAATGATCACAGGACTAAGCTGATGAACACATGTCTATTTCTTCCTAGGTTAACTTTTAAACTCCTTTCTTTGTCATGCAAGGTCTGCCTTCTTCCACTGGCTCCCCAAACCTCAAGTCCTGAGGGTTCATTCCATGAATACAGCCTTCTGTACTCTGATGTTTTTCATAAGCTCTTCCCTCTGCAAGGAAAAGTCTCCTGGCCATTGCCAAAGACCTATGTGCTATAGCAGCCTGGTTGAGAAAAGCAACCATACAATATTTTAAGTAAGATGATGGTAGAGTCGAAAGAAAACAAATTTCAGCAAAAATCAGAGCTATCTTATGAATCTGAGTTCTGTTCCTTCCTGGATTTACATCCTTGTAAATTCAATGAAATTCAATTGACTTTCTTTCCCTTTTCTTTTAGTAATCTACACAAAGGAGTTAATGACATAACTATTTTAAATGAGATGGTATTCATAAAATATTGGCAGCTACCTGACCCGCATATAGTGGTTACCTAATGAGTGTCAGTGTATCCCATCACTCAAAAGAGAACTAGATACACAATAAGTGCTTAAACATGCAAATGTGTTTGATGCACTGCCGATCAAAGGAGAGTGCATAAAAGCAAGAGTAAGACACCAGACCTACAGAGTATTTTGTTAAGCTGTCTTTTTTAACCATGGATATTTAAAATATCCCTTAGTGAACCTTTGCACTGACCCAATACTTTTTTTCTTACTAAAAAAAGAAAAAAGAAAAATGACTGAATTAAGGAAGATTCTTTACTAGGAGCCAAAAAAAAAAAAAAAACCCACAAAAACAAGTAGAGGGAAAAAAAGGAACACCCCTTGAATTATTTTTTGAGAAATCTGCAGAACACTTAAAATATTTTATATTTCACATTAAATATTCCATTTATATCAGAAAAGTTCATAAGTCCCAGTGAATATGCCTGCAATTAAAACATTTAACTGAAGAAAAAGGGTATATTTTGGCTGCTGAAATTTAAAGTTGCTTAATTTTTGATTATATAATGTTACCTTGGACTCCCACAAAGACCTGCCCTACTTTAGAAATATTGTATTGTACTAAAGACTTTTAATCCCAGCTCTCAAATTCTAAATAATATATAAGCGTTGCTTAAAAACGGTAAAATAAAAAATGAATCATCCCATTTTAATAGTCCACATGAATAGTTATTGGATCAATAGTTCATAGTATACAACTGCAATTAAATGTACTCAATAATTCAGTAAAATGTTCATATTTTATACTTTAAAGTCATTGAGGTAATAAAATGTAACCTCTAAGATCATTCTTCAGTTATAATGAAGCATATATACAAAAATACATATGTATTCTTTCTAACTCTTCAAATATATTTGATTGTTTTACTTTAAAAATTCTTGTTTAGAAAAATAATGTTTAACCCTTT
The DNA here is from genome assembly GCF_000001405.40 of Homo sapiens. NCBI lineage: Eukaryota > Metazoa > Chordata > Mammalia > Primates > Hominidae > Homo > Homo sapiens. Next base: position 12,100,834 of record NC_000004.12, read on the forward strand.
TATAGGCTACAGTCAATTTTCAAAATCTTGATTCTCAGCATAGTAAAATATTTAGATACATTTAGAATTTTAAGGTAGAAACATGTAGAAAAATGTTGAATATAGTTTACAGCTAGATATTTTGGCATCAAAGGCAAACAATTTCAAATTTAGTTGATAACCAGTTTATGTTAAAAGATAGAAATTGCTTTTCCTTTCAAACATTTGAGCGCATATTGCTGGCCTTGGATGAGATGAAGTCACTATATGCTTATTCTCACAGACCCAAGCAGGAAATGTAGGCTCGAAGCTATGTCTTGAGTGAACAGTTACTCAGTGTTGTGTTGTGGAGTCTGGCCTGTGGGCAAGCAGCATTAGAAACTCCTGAGTGCTAGTTAGAAAGCCAGAATCTCAGACTTGACCCAGTCCTTTTGAATTGGAATCTGCATTTTGACTGAAGCCTCACTGTTTTGAATGCACAACATTTGGGAAATCACTGCTGAATAGCATGGACCTTAACCACTCAAACTCCAGATTCATTCTGCCTGCACCAAGTTTTGGGTCCATTGCTTTGCAATGCCTTGCAACATATAAAGGATCCATAACTAATAACTGCTATTATTTGATCAGTGAAGAGAGGGCAGTTCTCTTCTCATGTCACAAAAGTCATTCAGAATCTATAAGAAACTTAAACAAATTAACAAGCAAAAGACAAACAACGTCACTAAAAAATGAGCAAAGGACATGACCTGACACTTCTCAAAAGAAGACATACATATGGCCAATAAGCATATGAAAAAGTGTTCAACATCAGTAATCATTAGAGAAACACAAATCTCCACACCATCTCACACCAGTAAGAATGGCTATTATTAAAAAGTCAAAACATAACCGATGCTGGGGAGGTTGCTGAGAATAGGAATCCTTATACACTGCTGGTGGGAATGTAAACTATTTCAGCCACTGTGCAACGCAGTTTGGAGATTTCTAAAAGAACTTAAACCAGAATTACTATTCCACCCAGGAATCCCAGCAATATATACTAGTTATATGCCTATACAAATATAAATCATTCTACCATAAAGGCACATGCACATGTATATTTACTGCAGCACTATAAATGACAGCAAAGAAAGAGAATCAACCTAAATACCCATCAATGGATTGGATAGACAAAATGTGGTACAAATACATAATGGAATACTACACAGCCATAAAAAAGAATTAAATTCCGTCCTGCGCAGCAACACAGATGCAGCAGGAGGCCGTTGTCTTAAGCAAATTCACACAGGAATAGAAAACCAAATATGGATGTTCTCTCTTATAAGTAGGAGCTAAACATTGAGTACACATGGACACAAAGAAGGGAAGAGACACTGAGGCTTACATGAGGGTGGACGTTAAGAGGAGGGTCAAGAAGAGCAAGCTCCCTATTAGGTACTCTGCTTGTTATATGGGTGACAAAATAATCTGTACACCAAAACCCCATGACACACAACTTACCCATATAACAAACCTGTACGTGTAACCCATGAACCTGAAATAAAAGTTGGAAAGGGAAAAGAAGAAAAAAACAAAGCCACCTGTGGCCTCAGAGAATGTATCTTTAACTTTGGCTCAGGAAACCTGGATTTGATGCTCAGCTTTGTGACTTTCCACCTGTTTACCTCAGGTCCACAATTCAAGTTCTCATAATTTCCAATTCCTAACCAGTAAAACCAGAATATTAACACGCCAGGGTTAATGTTAAGATCTAATGAAGGAATAATACAGAATCACTTTGTAAACTTTAGAATTCTGCATATATATTAGCTGTTAATATGGCAGCACAGTTGATAAACTAATGTGCGTTCTGTTGACATGGGGTGGGGTGCCCCATCCATATTCCATCATGAGACTCCTCTTCTCTAAATCCTTTTGAGGATCAAATCCAAATGCCTTGCCATAGTCCTCAAGATTCCTCCATGAATGGAGCCCTGGATCTCTCATCTTGTACCCATTTTCCCTTTTCTCACACTCCTACAGCCAGATTTGTCTTGAAGATTTTCCATGAAGACAGCAATTTTGTACTCGCTGTCCCTTGTTTTGCCACTGTCTAAGAGTGAAATGTACTCCCCTCAGATATCAATATGGCCTCTTCATTCAGGTCTCTCTGAAAATGATATATCCTCAGTCAAGGTTTCTATGATCTCTGAAATCAAGCACTTCACTCGCTACCACACTTTATCCACTTACTCTACTTCTTTACATTTCACTAAATTTATTGCTACCTAACATTATAATTCAAAGTTCAATCAGGAAAGCAGAGAACTCTACTTATTTTAAGAAGAGGAATTTTAATGAGGAAATGCATGCAAAACCATTGGAAGGTCTGGGAGAACAAAGATTAGACAAAGCCTTAAACGACTTTCAGGAAATTTAGAAGGACTGAAATTGCAAAGAAGGTGCCAGCAAAACCACAAGATTGTGCATGCATAGGAGATAGCCTGGTCGCTGCTGCAAACTCCACCTTAGCTGTCTGCCCAACTGACTGCCTCAACTTCCATGGGTGATTATTTTCCTTTCATCTACTTTTCCGGTTATCTACTCTCCAGATCTTCCGTAAGTGCCTATTATTGGTGGATAGAAAAAATAGAAATAATATCTGGCATGCAAATATACTTTTCTGTCTTCCCTGCTGAAACATAAGCTCCATGAGAACGAGGACTTCATCTATTTTTGTTTTGCTATGGTCTAAAAGAAGAATAGCAGCAAAAAAATCAGTAGGCACTCAAAGAACAAAATTTTATTGAATGAATGAGTGAGCAAGTGAATGGAAGGACCCTAAAGCTGGAATCTCCATCATTATCTATGCCTTATTCTTTGGTTGGTGTGCAAGCCGTGCAAGGCAGAGAAACAACTGCCCAGGGAGTTTGCTGTCCCTATTCCCACCCTGAAAGTACCTCCAAGCGCTCATATCTTCACACATTTCTCCCAGGTTCCTGGGAGAATTATACCAATGCTAGCAGGACACTGGACTGAGTCAAAAGACTTAGACTTCTAGTCTGGTCTACATCTTTGGTTACTGGAGAGAACTTAGAGAACACATTTTACTTCTTTGAGCCTCATTTCGTTCTCTGAAAAATGATGATGATGAATGCTGCCTGTTTAGTTCACGGTTTATCAGAAGGGTCATTTGAAATGATGTATTTTGCTATTCATTCATTCATTCATAAAACCTTTACCAGGCACTTACTTTATTCCAGGAACATTAGAAAAGACTGGGTATATCAAAGTGTGTAGAACATCAGCCTCGAGCCTGAGACACTCATTACTGCATAAGCAGAGTTCATGAGCCTATGTAAACAATCAGTGAAATAAAGCTGACAAGAGTAGGAATAGTAAGAACACACTCAAAGTGGTGTGAGAGTGCAGAAGATCAGGGAATTACTTCCACTAAAGGAGTCAGCAATGTAATTTGTGGTGGAATTTCAGCAGGGTCTCCAGGGATATGTCTAGTTTTGTCAAGGGGTAAACCAGAAGCAGTTGTGTGCTGCTATAAAAGTTTTAAAAATAAAGATAAAATGTTTGAAATTGGGTAAACAGTATAGTTCTCCAAAGGCACTGGTGAATGTCTAACAATGTACATCTCTGTGAAAAGGTTTGTGTGTGTGTGTGTGTGTGTATGTATGTGTTATGTAGCACAGTGAACGCAATCCCTAACTAAGAGATAGACTGCTTGGATTTAAAAATCTGGTTCTACCACTTATTAGTGTGTGACTTTTCGCCACAGACTTAACTTGTCTGGGCATTTTCCTCATCCGTAAATTTGGGGTAATAATAGTATGTGCCATACAAAGCTGAGAATATTATCTGAGTTGACCCACACAAATTTCTTTTAATACTGTCTGACTGTCGAAGAGAGTAAACACACAACTAACCCAGCTATTATTACAGTAACTACTGGCCTACCATTATTATTATTGATATAATTTATTTGTCTATAAAATCTGTTCTGCCCAGTCTGAGGGCTTGGGATTAATAACCGTCTGAAATAACAGCTTCAGTCCACACCAGTCTGTTATATTATCTTTCTCAGTAAATTGTCACCACTCAGGGCCAGATGTTAACACAGCCTCAATCCAGCCCTGTGTATACCCCTGGCCTGGGCCAGCTGTGCTGGGTTCCCTTCACTAATCCACACGGCTCAAATTTGTGAGAATCCCTGCTGAAAACTTTCTCTTCTGGCCCTGCCATGTGCTTATAAGGTCTTTGGCAAGTTCTGTTTGAAATGTTTTGGTCAGCTCAGCTCGGATAATTGCATGCAATGATATATGGGAAAGGGACCTGGAGAGCATGTTATCCAGCATCTTCACTTCACAGATGGCAAATCTGAGGACCAGAGAGAGAAGGAGACTTGCCCGAGGTCACAGAGTTAATTAATGGAAGGCATAAATCCAACACAAATCTGCCCAGTCCCAGACCAGTACTCTGTTCCACTACGTGTCCTGCTTAATTACATGCTGACCAAAGCAATGAAACATACCACAGCATTAAATATGTATTAGATTGACATCATTATGTTTTTTAATTCTGGTATCAGGAAACACTATCCTGTTGAACATGTTGGTTTTAAAACCCAGGTTTAACAGCAAGAGTGCATGGATTGAAGGAATCATAATGCACACATTAACAACAGTAATGGTGGGACTGACACTTATTATATGGCACATTACTGTTCACGAAATATTGCATATATGTTATTTTAATTGTTTTCTCTTCATTGTAAACAAATACAAATTTTGGCACTCAAAGGGGATTCTGTTACAGTCCTGTTTTCAGAGGAGACAGATCTTCCCTGTTTTTCTAGGCTCAGGCCAAAGACTGTCTTCAGTATGAAGTTTGTGCTTCTGTCACCACGCCAAAAGACAAACTTTATCTGAACTCTCATAACCTCCTGGTTAACTAGACTATACTCTCATCTTAAGTAGTGGAGGCTGGGTTATGTTTGTGTGTATGTGCGTGTGTGTGTGTGTGCGTGCATGTGCGCATGTGCATGTGTATTACATTGAGTAATTAAGAAAATTTCTATTGAATAGGTTCATTTGTGTGGGTAAAATTCACATACTGATATTGAGTAGGCATTTAATAAAGTTTCCAAAATACAACACTTGAAAATGTTTGTTTGTCAACCTATCCTCCCTTCTCTGTTCTCAATAAATTACCTTAAGACTCATCCCACTGATTAAGACAAAAACTATATGCAATTGTGGTATCATTGCCCCTCAACCATGACATGCAAACATTGCAAAATATGTCAGTGAAACTCTAAAAACACACATAGAATCTACTCACAGTTGTTTATCTCCACAAATATTGGCCCAGTGAAAACCTTCATTTCTTTTTTCTTTCTTTCTTTTTTTTCTTGTTTTAAGACAGGGTCTCACTCTGTTGCCTAGGCTGGAGTGCAGTGTTGCAATCATAGCTCACTGCAGCCTCAACCTCCCGGGCTCAAGTAATCCTCCCACCTCACCCTACCAAGTAGCTAGAACTACAAGCATGTACCACCATACCTAGCTAGAAAGTCCACTTCTTGTCTTATTTACTAGCCTCATAATTTCATGGTCACTTCCTATTATATGATATTTATTCACTTTTTTAACTTGTTTATGATAGTAAAATTACATTTTTACAGTTCTGAATTTTAAGAAGAGCATACAATCATATAACTACTACCATAATCAAAAAACCAAATAGTTTCACTACACCCCAAATTTTCCTCTTGTTGTACTTTTGTAGTAAATTCCTCCTCTGCTCCACAATTCTCAACAACCACTGATCTGTTTTCTGTTTCTATATTTTGCCTTTTCTAGGATATCATACAACTGGTGTTATATATTAAAGTCTGGATTTTCTCACTTAAGAAAACAGATTTCAGATTCATCCATGTTGTTTTGTGTATCAATAGTTTTGTTGCTTTTTATTGCTGAATAGTATTCATAGTAGACATGGGTCACAGTTTGTCTATCTATTCACCAGATGCAAGGTATTTGGATTACTTCCAACTGAAAATGATAGTGAATAAAGTCAATGCATACATTCACTTATGGGATTTTGTGTGAAAACAAGTTTGTATTTCTCTTTGGTAATTTCCTAGGAGTGAGATTCCTGGGTCGTATGATATTTATATGTTTAACTTCAGAATGGCTGTACCATTTTTGTGCTCACTAGACAATATACAGTATTCCAGTTGTTCTGTATTCTTGCTGAGACCAGGTAATTTAAAAATAATAGAAACTCATTTCTTACAGTTTTGGAGGATGGACATTCCAAGATCAAGGTATTCACAGGTTTGGTGTCTGATGAAGGCCCAGGTTTTGCATCCCAGATGGTAACTTGAATACTGTGTTCTTATGTGGTAGAACAAAAGAGGGTCTACTTAGGTTTCTCCAGCCCTTTTATAAAGTTCCCCATCCCATCTATGGCTAATCTCATGGCCTAATTACTTCCTAAAGACCCCACCTCTTAACACTGTTGCATTGCGGATTATGTCTCAACATAAATTTTAGAGGAGGCACAAACATCTAAACAACCACAATATAGTATGTAAAATAACTATATATACATATATGTCAATATATGATGTTGAACAGCATTTTATATCATAATATATATTATACAATGTTGAACATATTTTATGTGATTACAGGCAACCTGTATATATTCTTTGGTGAGATATTTTTCTCAAATCTTTCATCTATGTTTTAATTGGGTTATTCATTTTCTAATTATTGAGATTAAAAGTTTGTTATATATGTACTTTGTCAGCTATGAGTTTTGCAAATATTTCCTTCTGAGCCTTTGTCATGTCTACTTATTATTTTAGTGGGGCCTTTCAAAGAGTAGAAGTGTTACATCTTAATTATATTTACTTTTTTCTAGATCATGTTATTTATTTCATATTAAAGATATATGATTTGTGTTCTTTGCCTAAGACCACAACATTTTTTAGTTTTAGGTTTTACAGTAAAGTTAATGATCAATTTGTAGTTTTTTTGGTGTGTGAGATACATGATACAGATCATTTTTGGGGGCATATATGTCATATACATGATATATATCATGTGTATCATATATCATATCATACCATGATATATATCATGTGTATCATATATCATATCATACACATGATATATATCATGTGTATCATATATCATATCATACACATGATATATATCATGTGTATCACATATATCATACACATGATATATATCATGTGTATCACATATATCATACACATGATATATATCATGTGTATCACATATATCATACACATGATATATATCATGTGTATCACATATATCATACACATGATATATATCATGTGTATCACATATATCATACACATGATATATATCATGTGTATCACATATATCATACACATGATATATATCATGTGTATCATATGTTATATCATACACATGATATATATCATGTGTATCATATGTTATATCATACACATGATATATATCATGTGTATCATATGTTATATCATATACATGATATATATCATGTGTATCATGTTATATCATATATATGATATATATCATGTGTATCATATGTTATATCATATATATGATATATATCATGTGTATCATGTTATATCATATATATGATATATATCATGTGTATCATATGTTATATCATATATATGATATATATCATGTGTATCATGTTATATCATATATATGATATATATCATGTGTATCATGTTATATCATATATATGATATATATCATGTGTATCATATGTTATATCATATATATCATGTGTATCATATGTTATATCATATATATGATATATATCATGTGTATCATATATCGTATATATGATATATATCATGTGTATCATATCATATCATATATATCATATATATCATGTGTATCATATATCATATATATGATATATATCATGTGTATCATATATTATATCATATATATGATATATATCATGTGTATCATATGTATCATATATATGATATATATCATGTACATCATATATATGATATATATCATGTATATCATATATTATATCATATACATTATATATCATGTATATCTTATATCATATATATCATATATAGCATATGATATATCATATATCATATATAGCATGTATATCATATATTATATCATATATCATATATAGCATATATAGCATATGATATATCATATATATAATATACAGCATATATCATATATTATATCATATATAGCATATATCATATATATCATATATAGCATGTGATATATCATATATATCAGCATATATCATATATAGCAGCATATGACATATATATCATATATAGCATATGGTATATATCATATATAGCATATGGTATATATCATATATAGCATATGGTATATATCATATATAGCGCATATGATATATATCATATATAGCGCATATGATATATATCATATATAGCGCATATGATATATATCATATATAGCGCATATGATATATCATATATGGCATATATGATATATCATATATGCCATATATGATATATCATATATGGCATATATGATATATCATATATAGCATGTGATATATATCATATATAGCATGTGATATATATTATATCATATATAGCATGTGATATATATTATATCATATATAGCATGTGATATATATATATCATATATACCATATATTATATATCATATATAGCATATGATATACATTATATATCATATATAGCATATGATATATATTATATATCATATCACTTATATCATATATCTATATAACATATATATCATATATATCATGTCATATATCATATATCATATGTCATATATGATATATTATATGATATATATCATATATTATATCAGAGACAGTTTTAGTTTCTCTTTTCCAATTCATACCTTATTGATTGATTGATTGATTGGCCTTTTCTACTGTGTAGGACCTCCAATATTATATTGAATTAAAGAGGTAAGAGAAAACACCCTTCCTTCATTTCAATCTTAGATTGAAATGAATCTAAGAATCCTATGTTTTCTAAGTTTCTCGCTGAGCACTGCTCTACCAGCAGCCCACAAGGTTATATATATATATATATATATATATATATATATACATATACATATAAATATATACATACATTTTTATTCAAACTTTTTAGTTTTAATTTTGAATTTTTCTTGACTCATGGAATTTTTTAAGAAGTACATTTAACTTTTAAATATTTGGAAACTTTTCAGACATCTTTTTGTTACTGATTTCACTTATAATTCTGTTTTGGTAAAAAGCTATAAATTGGATGTTTTCTAGTATTTTAAATTCGTTGAATTTTGTGTTCCAGAACATAGTCTATCTTGACAAATGTTCAATTTTGTGAACATAGTTAAGTGCAAAATTGTGAACTTAAAATAAGTTATCTCTTGTTGCTTTTGATAGAGCCACCTATAAAAATCAAAGGGATTGAGTTCATTGTAAATATTGTTCAGATCTTCTATATCCTTCCTATTTTTCTATCTATTTTTGAATAATAACATTTCTAATGAAAATTGTTGGATTTGCTTCTTTATACTTTTAGTTTTATCAGATTTTACTTCACGTAATAACCTCTCTTGATAGGTTCATACACACAAATTTCATGTATTCTTGGCAAATTGGCTATTATATCACTATGTCATTTTTCTTTTTGTTCCCAGTAATTTATCTTGTTATAGAGTATAATATTTCTAACACTAAAATTTATGTTCAAATTTTGTTTTGACAAGTGCCTTTTTTCTTTTATTGTATCACATTTTCCTTCTGGTATAGGCTGAATGCTGAGTACTTCCAAAATTCATATGTTGAGATCTAATCAGCAATGAGATGGTATTTGGAGGTGACGCATTTGGGGGTGATTAGGTTATGAGGATGCAAACTTCATAAAGAGGGTTAGTTTCCTACAAGGCAGGCCCCACAGAACTCCTTTGCCTCCTTTGCCACATGAGGTTACAGCAAGAAGACTGCACTCTAGAACAGGAAATAGACCTTCACCAGACACTAAATCTGTGGGTTCCTTGATCTCTTCAACTTCCCAGTTTCCACAACTGTAAGAAAGAAATTTTGTTGTTAACAAGTCATTCATTCGGTCTGTGGTAGTTTGTTATGGCAGCCGAATGGACTAAGGTACTGTCTTTTAAAAACACTTATCTTATCTGTATCTTTATTATTAAAGTGAATTATTTTGTAGAAAGTCCACTGTTGGGTCTTGCATTTTTTCCAAGTTGGCAATCTATGGCTTTTGGTCACTGTATTTAGAAGAATTACATTTATTTCACTATCAATATGGTTGCATTTAGGTCTGCTATTTCATTATTAGTTTATATGTCTTTTGACTACTCCTATGTTTTCTTTTGAGAACTGTCATGTCTTTTGCCCACTTTTTAATGGGGTTATTTGTTTTTAGCTTGTTGTATTAACTTAGATAGAGAGAGAGAGATAAAGATTCTGGATACTAGACCTTTGTTGGATGCATAGTTTGTGAATATTTTTTCCCTTTCTGTGGGTTGGCTGTTTACTTGTTGATAGTTTCTTTTGCTGTGCAGAAGCTCTTTAGTTTAAGTCTCACTGTCAATTTTAGTTTTTGTTGCAATTGCTTTTGAGGACTTAGACATAAATTATTTCCCAAGGCTGATGTCCAGAATGGTGTTCCCTAGGTTTTCTCCTAGCATTTTTAGAGTTTGAGATCTTACATTTAAATTCTGTTAACTTTCACATATAATGAAAGATAGGGGTCCAGTTTTACTCTCCTGCATTTGACTGGCCAGCAATCAAAGCACTGTTTATTAAATAAGTTGTCGTTTCCCCATCACTAATTTTTGTCAACTTTGTTGAAGATCAGGTGGCTGTACGTATATGGCTTTATTTTTGGGTTCTCTAACCTGTGTCATTGGTCTATGTTTGTGTGTGTGTGTGTGTGTGTGTGTGTGTGTGTTTTGATTTGTTTTTGTACCAGTACCATGCTGTTTTGGTTACTATATCCTTATATTATAGTTCAAATTTGGATAATGTGATGCCTCTGATTTTGTTCATTTTGCTTGGGATTGCTGGGATATTCAGACTATTTCTTGATTCTATATGCATTTTATAATAGTTTTTTTCAAATTCTCTGAAGCAAATGACCTTGGTAGTTTGATAAGAATAGCATTGAATCTGTAGATTGTTTAGGAAGTGTGGCCATTTTAATGATACTGATTTTTACAGTCCATGAGCATAGAATGTTTTTATATTTGTTTCATCTATAAATTCTTTCACCAGTGTTTCATAGTTTTCCTTGTAGAGATCTTTTATCTCCTTGGTTAGATGTATTCCTAGGTATTTTTTGTGATTATTGTAAATGGTATTGTGTTGTTATTTTGGCTCCCACCTTGAACATTATTGGTTTATAGAAACGCTGTTGAATTTTGTACATTGATTTTGTATCCTGAAACTTTACTGAAGTAATTTACCATTTCCAGGAGCCTTTTGGCAGAATCTTTAGGGTTTTCTAGGTATAGAATCATACCATCAGTAAAGAGAGATAGTTTAACTTCTTTTCCTATTTTGATAGCTTCTATTTTTTTTTTCCTTTTGCCCAATTGCTCTGGCTAGAACTTACAGAACTATGGTGAATAGGAGTGGTGAGAGTGAACATCCTTGTCTTGTTATAGTTCTCAAGGGGAATGCTTCCAGATTTTGCTAATTCAGTATGATGTTGACTGTGGGTTTGTCATACATGGCTTTTATTATTTTGAGGTAAGTTCCTTTGATGCCTATTTTGTTGAGGGTTTTCATCATGAAGGGATGTTGGATTTTATCAAAGGCTCCTTCCTTGTCTATTGAGATGATTATGTAGTTTTGTTTTTAATTTTGTTTATGTAGTAAATCACATTCATTGATTTGTGTGTATTGAACCAACCTTGAATGCCAGAAATGAAACCTAATTTATTATAGTAAATTCATGTGCTGGTGGATACAAAATACTAGTTCACTAGTATTTTTGAGGATTTGTGTGTCTATGTTTACCAGGGTTATTGACTTGTAGTTTTCTTTTACTGTTGTGCCTTTGACAGGTTTTGGAATCAGGGTGAGGCCGGATTTATAAAATGAGTAAGGAGTCTCTCCTACTTGAAATTTTAGATTAGTTTCAGCAGAATTAGTACCAGCTCTTCTTTGTACATCTGGCAGAATTCTGTTACAAATCCATCTGGAATGTTTCTTTTTGGTTAATTTTTTTTATTATTGGTTCAATTTTGAAACTCAATATTGGTCTGTTCAGGGTTTTAGTTTCTCCCTGATTCCATCTTTGGATATTGTGTGTTTCCAGGAATTTATCAGTTTCCTCTAGATTTCCTAGTTTATGTGATACAAGTCTTCATAATAGTCTCTGAGGATGTTTTGTATTTCCATGGAATCAGTTGTGACATCACCTTCATTGTTTTTAATTGTGCTTATTTGGACCTTCTGTGTATTTTTATTTATTAATCTAGCTAGCAGTCTATTCATCTTCTTTGTCTTTTCAAAAAACCAATTCTTTATTTTGTTGTTTTTTAATATGTATTTTGGGTCTCAATTTCATTCAGTTCTACTCTGATTTGAGTTATTTATTTTCTTCTGCTAGCCTTGGGGTTAATTTGTGCTTGTTTTTCAAGTTCCTGTAGGTGTGATGTTAGATTGTTAATTTGAGATCTTTCTAACATTTGAGGTAAGCATTTAACACTATAAACTTTCCTATTAACACTGCTTTTGCTGCATCTCAGAGATTTTGGTATGTTGGATCTCTGTTTTCATTTATTTCAAAAAAATTGATTTCTGCCTTAATTTACTTGTTTACCCAAAAGTCATTCAGAAGCAACTTGTTTAATCTCCATGTAATTATGTGGTTTCAGGAGACCTTCTTGGTATTGATTTCTGTTTTATCACAGTGAGGTCCGAGAAGATGGTTGGTATGATTTTGATTTTTTTTTAATTTATTGAAACTTGCTTTGTGGCTTAGCATTTGCTCAATCTTGGAGTATGTTTCATGTGTAGATAAAAAGAATGTATATTCTGTAGTTTATGGAAGAAAGTGTTCTGTAGATGTCTATTAGCTCCAATTGATCAGGAGTCAAATTTAAATCTGGAATTCTTTGTTAGTTTTCTGCCTCAATGATCTGTCTACTGCTGTCAGTGGGGTGTTGAAGTCTGTCACTATTATGGTGTGGCTATGTCTCTTCATAGGTCTAGAAGTAGTTATTTTATAAATCTGAGTGCTCCAATGTTAGGTGCATATATATGTAGAAGAGTTAAGTCTTGTTGAATTGAATTGTTTATCAGATATAATGCCTTTCTTTGTATTTTATTTTTCTGTTGTTGGTTTAAAGTCTGTTTTATCTGAAATAAGAATAGTGACCCTTGCTTTTTCTTGTTTTCTGTTTGCTTGATAGGTTGTTCTTCAACCCTTTACTTTGAGACTATAGGTTTCATTACATGTGAGATGAGTCTCTTGAAGACAGCAGATGCATGGGTCTTATTTTTTAATCCAAAATGCAACTCTGTGCCTTTTAAATGGGGGCATTTAGACCATATACATGCACAATTAATATTGACACATTAGGTTTTAATTCTATCATTAAGTTTTGAGCTGGTTGCTTTGTAGTTTCCATTGTGTGATTGCCTTATAGAGTCTGTGGGCTATGTACTTAAGTGTGTTTTGTTGTAGCAGGTATTGTTCCTTCATGTCCTTGTTTAAAACTCACTGAACTCTTGAGAGGCTGGTCTATTGATAACAAATTCCCTTAGCACTTGCTTGTCTGGAAAATATTTTATTTCTCCTTCACTTATGAGGCCTAGTTTTGCAAAACATGAAATTCTTGGTTGGCATTTCTTTTCTTTAAAAATGCTGAAAAAGGCTCTCAATCTCTTCTGGTTTGTAAGGTTTCTTCTGAGAATTTCATGATTAGCTTGATAATTTTCCCTTAGTAGGTAATCTGACCTTTTTCTCTAGCTACTTATAGGGTTTTTAATTTAGCATTAACCTTGGACAGTCTGTTGACCATATGCCTTGGTAATGTTTATTTTGTATTGTATCTCTCAGACAGTCTCTGTATTTCTTGTGTCTTATCTACCTCTCTAACAAGATTAAATAAATTCTCCTGAATTATTCCTTCAAATATGTTTTTCATGTTGCTTACTTTTTCTCCTTCTGTCTCAGGAATGCCAATAATTCATAGCTTTGGTCACTATACATAATACCATGTTTCTCTAAAACTTTGCTCATTTGTTTGAAATTTCTTTTTTTTTTGTATATCTGACTGGATTAGTTCAAAAGACGGGTCTTCAAGCCCTGAAACTGTCTCTTCTGCTTGAAGTAGACATAGCAATGCTGCAATATAATCTATGCCCAGGAAAGGTGGAGTGGCTCAAGTTGCTGAACGAAGTAAGTGGGTACTTCATATGCTTAGAGATCTGCCTGGACATGAAGCATAGAGAGCTTTGCTTAGAAGTCTTCCCAAGGCCGGGCGCGGTGGCTCACGCCTGTAATCCCAGCACTTTGGGAGGCCGAGGCGGGTGGATCATGAGGTCAGGAGATTGAGACCATCCTGGCTAACAAGGTGAAACCCCGTCTCTACTAAAAATACAAAAAATTAGCCGGGCGCGGTGGCGGGCGCCTGTAGTCCCAGCTACTCGGGAGGCTGAGGCAGGAGAATGGCGTGAACCCGGGAAGCGGAGCTTGCAGTGAGCTGAGATTGCGCCACTGCAGTCCGTGGTCCGGCCTGGGCGACAGAGCGAGACTCCGTCTCAAAAAAAAAAAAAAAAAAAAAAAAAAAAGTCTTCCCAAATAAATATCAAAGTTTGTCAGTTTCCAAAAACTTGTTCCTCATTTCATCCCAAGACCTCATCAGGATCACCTTGAATGTCCATATTTCTAACAACAATATCTTCAGGGCAATCTAGGTTTTTACAACATACATCTCAAAACTCTTGCAGGCTCTACCCATTACCCAGTTCCAAAGACACTTCTACTTTTTAAAATATTTGTTATAACAGCACTCCACTTCTTGTACACCAGGATCTCTGCACAGGAATGATAGGGTAACTCAGGCTGCTAGTCTATGTGAGCAGGTTCTCTGAATACCTGGATACCTGCCTGAGTATGGAGCAAAGGGACCCACTGCACCAAAATCAATATACAGGAATGGTGAGGTGCATCGGGCTGCTGATTCCAGTGAGAGAGTGCTCTGCATGTTTGGAGAGATGGCTGGGTGTGGAGCAGAGAGGGCCCTTTTATACCACAGTCTTTGTATAAGAAGGGTGTGGCCTCTCAAGTTGCTAATCCAGGTAAGAGTGCATTGGAATGCCTGGAGTTCTGCCTGAGGGTGAAGCAGAGAGGGCCCCACTGCACTGTGATCTCAGGGAAGCAGGCTGGGGGAACCAGCAATAACACACACAAACAGGTCGCAGCTCGTCAAACAGGCTCTGGCTGCAAGTCTCATCACCCAGAAGGAACTGAAGCTGTAGTAGCTCTCCTTCTGCTCAAGGCTTGTGATGGGGGTGACCACAATTTCACCACCTTCTGCTGAGGTGCTTTCCACAGTTCTGGTGGTGAAGGCTCCTACCCTCTCCAGAGCCCAAAACTAAAATATCTGTGTGGCTATACTGCCAAGTTGACAAAAAATGGCTGAGTTTGTATTCACTTGGATTAGAAATGGTGCTTTCTCTCAGTCCTGGGTCTGGGAAAATGCTTGTAGCTTTTCCTGGTGTCTTTTCCTCTCAGTGCTTCTAATCCTCTCTCCAGGTTATCTCCACAGAGTGGGAGAAGCAAAGGGCTCTCCCTCAGCCTGCGTTGCTCAGATCTCCATGAAAAGTGAGTCACAGAGGGAGGTTCTCTGCCTCTCTCATGTACCAGGGCTTCATTTACTTGTATCAGCCAAATAATGTCATGGAGGTTGTTTGCCCATGTTCTTCTCTCTGGGATCTGGGGTGTCTTTATTCCTGTGGATTCTCTTTATCTTCTTAAATTAAAGCTCACAGAGTTGATTATCATGTTCTATCTTGATATTTCCATGTGGTTGAGGCATGCTGAAAGCCTATAATCCCACTGTGATTTTAAAGGCTAGTGGTAGGGCCCAATCATTGCAGCTTCTCACAAAAAATGATTAGGTTACTGATCATCATTTGAGAGAATCATGCTAAGCAACACTCAATAACTTAATTTAGTTCATTGTAGGAGGAGTTCCTCTATGTCGTGTACTATGTTTTTTTCATTTATCTCTGAACTTGTATGGAGGTTTTGTCATTATTACAGCTTGTTTTCCCTCCACATTTATGTGTTGAAGCCCTAACTTCAATGACGTCAGAACAAGATTGCACTTGAAAACAGAGTATGGCCTTTAAAGAGGTAATTAAATTTAAACAAGATTATCTAGGTAGGTCCTAATTTAATCTGACAGATATAATTTCATAAAAAGAAAGAAATTTAACACAAGAAGGGAGACACTAGGGATGTATGTGCACAGAAGGACTACCATGCAAAGAGGCAGGAAGAAGGCAGCAATCTGCAAGTTGAGAAGAGAGGCCTCAGAGAAAACCAACTCTGCCGGCACCATGATCCTATGCTTCCAGCCTTTAGAACTGTGAGAAAATAGATTTTTTGTTGTTTAAACAACCCAGTCTGTGGTATTTTGTTTTGGCAGCCATGGCAAACTACAGCAGATTTTAGTATTAAGAAGTAGAGTGCTGATAGAACAAATACTTTAAAACGTAGACGTGTCTTTGGAACTGCGTAATGGGTAGAGCCTGGAAGAGTTTTGAGATGCATGTTATCTCTTACCACCACTAGATTACCCTGAAGAAATTGTTAGGAATATGGACATTCAAAGTGATTCTGATGAGGCCTCAGAAGGTAATGAGGAATACGTTATTGGAAACTGACAAACTTTGATATTTAGTTTGGAAGACTTCTAAGCAAATGGTCGAAAGCTCAGCCTGGATTTTCTTTGCTGACTTTAGCAATATCAGAGGAATAAAGATAAACTGAATGAAATGTTAAGCAAAAAGGAACCAGAACTTGAAGATTTGTAAAATTCTTAGCCTATCCATATTGCAAAATAGTGAGAAATGTTATTCAGAGAACATCAATGGTTTGGTTGAAAAATTATTTTTATAAAGAGACTACAGGTGTAATTCAAGCATCTAATCAGGCATATTATCAGAAGCCAGAAAATAGAGATGGAGTTGTAGCAGCGGAAATGCTGCCAGCTTCATCTGAAGAGGATAAAAATGGAAGAAAATAAACAAAGACTGTCAGATTTGTGTGATTCTACATGACAGGCTAATAAAACTATTTGGCTTTGAACATGTGTTATCCTTCAATAAATGAAAAGAATGACCTCAAAGACAGGGTTCTTTCTTCCTCGATTCCAGAGGCTGAGTCTACCTTTGTTGGAGAATTCTAGCCCCCAGAACTTTGAAAAATTAATTATATGTTGCTTTAGCTACTCAATCCTTGGTATTCTGTTATGGAAGCCCTCCAAAAATAACAGGATGATGAATTCAATTTTGTGCTCACAAAAATTATGTCCAAGACTTGATCCCTGATGTCTGTGATTCTGATCTTATATCAAAATAGGGTCTTTGTAGGTGTCATTAAAGTAAGGATGGAAATGAAGTCATACTGGGTAGGACTTCAGTCTAACAACAGTTTCCTTATAAGAGACAGATAAGTAGCAAACACGGAGACACAGGAAATAAGGCCACATGAAGACAGAGGCAGAATTTGGAGAGTACACTGCCACAGCCAAGGGATGCCAGACACAAGAAAAAGCTGTGGAAGCCAAGGAGAAATTATCTCCTGTAAGCTTTGTAGGAACTGTGGCCTTGTCAGCTCTTGATTTTGGACTTATGACCTCCAGAACTTAGAGATAAATTTCTGTTGTTTTAAGCCACCCCACTTGTGGTAATTTGTTATGACAGGTCTAGGGAACTAAAACATATTGCCTGAGGTTACACAACCACTTGTGCAAGCTCATCTTTTGAATCATAGTCTGTCTGATGACAAAGACCTTGCTTTCACCACTACATCGTAGCTTCCTTTCAGTATTAGTTTCTATAAAAGAACTTAAATAACAGGAGGTTACTTCCCCTTTCATCATGCTCACATTTTCATTGATTTTATGTGTCATGCACAATGAAGAAAAGTGTGCGTGCAATAAATGAAAAACCACATGGTTTATTCTCAGGGGGCTGCCAGTCTGGTGGTGAGAACAGATGATAAATATGTATTCTGATAAACATGTAATTATCAATAATGATACTTACTTAAAGTAATCAACAGTAAACATAGTAAACATGGGACTGTGAATGGCATATTGATAGAGGATTTTTTTATATTGTCAAAAAATTAGAGTCATCTTTCAGTCTAAAATTAGCCTTTGAGTAGAAACTAACTTGACCTAATAGTCTAAATTAAAATTGGTTTGTATGGAGGGAGTAGTTCTGGAGGCACAGGTTAAGAACCATTTTTTTTTTTTAATTTTTTTTAGAAACTAGAAAAGACAAACCAAATGTCCCACCCTTAAAATATGTAAACACTTGCAACTAGGAGTTCAAACTCTGCATAAATACAACTTAATGATATTCATTCAGGTGGACAGTGTTCCAGGATGTGTATTTGATGTAAACCAGAAATACACACCATTAGATGCCTCTAAGATGCCCTTGGGATGCCCCCAGGGTAGGCAAGTTCTTGGTGTTCTCAGATCTATCTTCCTCATGGTTGCCAGAGTGATCGTTCTAAAGCAAAAATGTCACCAGGTTTTACCACTGATTAAAACTTCTGGCTGTTCACCCACAGAGTCCAATTCCTTTTCCTAACACAGAAGGGCCCTTGTGAACTTGCTCCTTGTTTTGTTTTGTTTTGTTTTTTCCCATCTAGCCACATCTCCAGCTACTTCTCATGTCATAATGTCCACTCCAGCTAAGCCAGGGTGTTTGTAATTACACACACCATCCTGTTTCAGCTCTCCTTGCCTCTGCTATATCCTCTCCTGTATTGCTTGTGATATCACCATCCCCAACGTTTACCTCCATTATATCTGGTCTCACTGTTTTATAATTACTTTTTAGAGTATGTTTTTCTTACTCAGATTAAAAGATCCTTAAGATTTGACTTAATATCCTACCATCAGGTACCAACAGAAGTGAGAGAAGCAGTGGTAAGTGACTTCTGAGCTTTGGCCTCAGTGTACCAGGCCTCCATAACTGTTTCAGTACTGACTGAGTGGTTAAGTTAAATATTAAAACCCAGCGCCCTTATACAAAGGCTGGGTTGTAACAAAAGCCCATCAGGAGTTTTTCCTAGGCCTCTCCTGGGCCTTAAATCATGACAAAATAATGAAGGAATTCTTAACAGGACCCATTTAGGGTTAAACAAGTTTCACTGGGGGTCTGAAGAAACTCCCCAGGCCTCCACAAACAAATTTATTGAGGGTCTGAGGGAACTCTTCAAACCTCCTGGATTTAGCAAGAGACAAGATAAGGGTAATCATTCCAGCACCTAGACCCATTTAGATTAAGTAAATTTACTGAGGCTCCAGAGGAAGGTCTTCAGGACTCAGACTTTAGTTATAGATTAAAAGAAATTAATCACTTATGTCTGTAGATGAATGCACAATTAGACATAGACATATACCTTAGAAGGTATATAAGCTCTGGAAAACTTTGTAATTTTGAATTGGTCTGGTGATAATTTCCAGGCCTTCTCCCTGTAACCAGTTACAGAAATAAAAACTCTCTTCCTCCTCAGTTCATGTGCATCTTGTTATTGGGCCACAGGAAATAGCAGCCCAACCGTCAGTTTGGTTCAGGAGTCCTGAAGCCCTAGATGCTCCATTAAACAGCCCAAGATAATGGCTAGTCATGTGTTTTGAAACCATATTTTATCATCTATTTGTAGCCAAGCTCCCAGATAATGGCAGCCACAACAGTGACCTTAGGAAAGCCCAATAAAACAATTTTCATTCTGAACCCAACCTGTATTGCTAAGACATAGAATTGAGAGAAATGGCAAAATAGTGGTTAAGTCACTAAATTTTGGTTGGGTTGGTTTATTACAGAGCAATACATAAGTGGTGCATGATCCTAGCTAGTTTAAGCAAAGAGTGCTTATTAAAACAACTAGGTAGTTCATAGAACCTCCAGGTAGGGCAGAGAAACAGCATTAGATGCTACCCATTCAGGAAAATAAAGCCAAGAATAGCACAGCTATAAACATCATTATGCTAGAAGACTGGGGTGGCACAAACACCACTGTCATCACCACCTGCCACTAATCAAATTCAGGACAGGATATGAAGAGCTCTCATCACAGCTGCCCTTTCTGACACCCTGTCGAGAAGAACACACTTCCCATTCATAGATACTGCTTCATGTCATTCTCCTCCTCATCAGCCTCTTGCATGAGTTCTGATTAGCTAAACCTACGTCACATTTACATATCTTCACAGTAAAGGAGTCTGAGGAAGCCAGAGGTGGTTGTTGTTTATTTGGCAATAGTTTCTCCCCTGAATGTGAAAAACTATCAAAATATGAAGCAGATTTTGAAAGACTCCATAAGCCAAGAAGAAAAGATGCAATGATGAAAGGTATCTACCATGCCCATTTTCACGTTTACTTCATACATGGGCTTCAGAATGACTAGACTATATTTCAAGAAATCTGAATTGTGGATGCTCTATGATTATTGTATTTTCTTATGCAAATTTCCATTTCTGAATCCACTGGCCATGTTAGCCATCATACCTCCTCCCTGATCCTTGACAAACCCTAAAAGCCGTTTCTATTCACCATGCTTCAACCTATCACATCAAGATCAAATGTATAGTTTACTGTGCACCAAAGTGATAAAAATAAGGTGCTAACGTCTGTACGTCTGTAAATTTATCTGAGATAACATCAGAAAGGTGTTATTTTGCTTTGAGTGGCAAGATTGCACAGTGACGATGCTCAGAGTCTTTCGAACTAGCCTCCTGAGGTTTAAATCCTAGTTCTTCTTCCTACAAGGCTGTGTGACCTTGGATAACTTATTTAAACTTTCTGTGGTCTAGTTTTTAGTCTATAAATTTAGGTTAATAACTATTAATACATGCATGCCCATGTGCATGCACACACACACACACACGTGTATATATATATATATATATATACAGTACACATACACAAAAATCTGCATACATGTGCACACATACACACATACATAAACACACATATACACACACATGCACACACATGTGTATGTGTATATATGTATATACATATAGTAAGACCTATGAAAGTGTTAACTATTAGCATTATCACTTATTATCAATAATCTTTAAATTCCTTTGTTTTAGAAAATGAGGGAGGCACTAAAGAATAAGAACTCAATTATGACTCTGCAAACAGATTTTTTATATTGCAACAGTAGATCTGATATGTAGGAGCTTTCTTACCAATTTCCCCCTCTGTAAAATGTACTTTTCTTATCAGAAATTAAATAAATTAAATGTTATGTGCTATCATTATATGCCTAGACCATAATAAGTAATCAATGCATGCCTGTGCAGAATACTTCTCTGAGTGGCTTTGGACCATCCCAGTTCTCCCCGCCTTCCTTACCCATGGTTCTTCAGAATAGCTGTGGAATGTGCTGGTAATGCAACACCCTAAGGAGGAACTAACTGAAATAGCTTCGGCCCTGTTCCTGTCCCTCCTAGGGAATGTAACATCTTGAGATAGAGGGAAATTGCCCAGGAGAGTCTGGGCTTTGTGCCTCTCTCACACAGGAGCAAGATGTCCTTCCAAGCTTTACCTAGGGAGTCTCATTACCTCTGAGGTATGTAATTGAAGATGGACTGCTTTTCAGAGGATCCAGTTGTGGTACAAGACACTCAAGACTGTATCCACCTTGGGAAGCTTTCTTGAGCTTTGAGCAACTGCTTCAGAGTGGATCCTAGGCTTCTTCTGTCCCTGTATGTAGTAAACGAGCTTTGTATGACTTGTTGTGTGTGAGTGTGTTCTGTTTCACCAAATTCAGATAAGTAGTTAACCAGTTCCAGTAAACCTGCTTCACAGTAAGTACTGGTGTTTATAGTCATACACATGTATATTGTTAAAAAAAAATTGTAGGAAGTATTTCCCCCAAGAAAGACATGACATTGCAAGCTTCTTTTATTTTCCAAATCATGCCATTTTATTTTTGCTGCAATTCTATTAAGTAGGCAGTGCATGAACATATAAACTCATCATAAACATGAGGAAACTGCAGATCAGAAAGGTAGCGTGGCTTCTGAAAGGTTGTATATGGTCATAATGATAAAGCACTGATCTCCTTATACTAAAGTTTATACCTTTTTGTATCCACCAGCCTACCTGGAGTAAACCTTTCCTTCCAGCAAAATTTAGAATCTAGTGTCCAGTGCGTACATGTAACAATTACTGAATTGCAGTCTGATTTTACATTGTTTCGAACTCAAATTGCATGTGATCCAATTCAATGAAGACTCAGGATCAACCAGCTGAGGGGCATTTATATGATAGCAACTGAAAGCCAAAAGGTTTAAGAACCCTGATTAAATCTTAGAACAATGATTTTCAAACTATGGTTCATCAAAATCATCTGGATGGGCTGTTAAATGTGTTGTGTGGCTCCATCTTTCAAGTTCAGATTCAGAGGCCTGTTGTGGAATAGGAGAATTTATATTTCCATCCAGTTCCCAGATGACAAAAATGCTGTTGGTACTGGGACCACCCTGTGAAAATCAGCCTGAGAAGCATCCAGGCCAGCTCAATCATTTCAAAAATAAGAGAACAAGTTGAGAATTGAGATGTATGGTAAAGGTTATATGGGAAATAGACTGAAATAAAAATTTGTATGGAGGAAACTTGTTGAGGATTGTTTTCAAAAACACTGAAGAAGTGAAAGAAAAACCCTAAGGAGGTGAATACAATGACATTGGGTAGAACAAGAAGTTGAACTGCAGTGATGTTGCAACATAGGCCTCAGCTTAGCCTGAAGAGGATGTGGAAACTGGCTTGAGCCTTCAGCATAATCTCCAATTGAGAAAAGGGTCTGTGCTGTTGCATACCCATTTATTATCCCCATATCAACCAGGTTTTGAGTGTGGAATACCCCCATTTTCCTGGCACATGGGAGAAGGAGTGGCTGGATCCCAGAGGGAGACTATCAATGGTGGGAAGAGGTAATGCATCAAAGATTGCATCACAGTCAGGAAATAGCTCTGAGGGCCCTTCCTGCAAGATACTAGGAAGAACATAGGAATTGGATTTGGAATGTTGAACAGATTGCCATGTCCGCCTGTGTGTCAGCTGTTTGAATTGAATAGTGGACACTAAAACTCTGAAAATAGTCTGATGAAATATATAATTAATTGAAGTTCTCTAGACTTGAGTTTGAATTGATGCTCTACCATTTATAAGCCATGTGGCACTGGGTTACTCAGTAAACCTTTCTGGCCTGTTTTCTGACTTGTCAGCAATATTTAATATTAGTGGTGATACACCTTTTTAAAAGGTAAAAAGCTTTAACATGTTTAGTAAATCTTAAATATTGATGTTATCTGATTGTTATTGGATAAAATTCTCTTATAAACTCACCAGCTGATAAAATTAAACCTCTATGAGGTCTCTCTTCTTCTAAACAGGATTTCAGCTGTCAAACATGTCCAAAAATATATATGACCAGGGCTAATCCAAAGAAATAAAGCAGCAAGAATGAAGAAGGTAAGGAAGCATGTGTTTTACCTTTTAAAAATGTAATGTTTTAGCAAAAGTACTATGTAAATAGTTTTATCAGTGCTTTATTACATTATTTAGTTCTGTGTAACAAATGATCACAGTTTCTGATGGTCAGGAATCCGAGAGGAGGTTAGCTAAACACTTCTGGCTCAGAAACTCTCCGCAGTTGAAGTCAAGATGTTGGCCAGGTCTCCAGTTACCTGAGGACTTGACTGGGTCAGAAGGACCCATATCCAAGGTGGCTCTTTCACATGACTATTGGCAGGAGACCTCAGTTCTTCAGATATTTAGCAACAGTACCATTTAAGTGTTCTTAAGACATCATTCCATAAAGAATGAACCAAGAAAGCAAGAAATAAGCTGCAATGTATTTTATGCCCCAGACTCAGAAGTCATACTTCATCATTTCCAAAATATCTTATTGATTACATAGGTGAGCCCTCTCAAGTGGAGGACACTACCAGGGAGGAAAGAACACTGGGAGAGACAGCTCAAAGGCTGACTATGAACAATGTTCAATGAAGGTATCCTTGGGTGGCCTAAGACCAGAGACATCTCATTCTGTCTAGAAATATTTGTCCCATTCTCAGACCGTCTGTCTATTGATGGGAAGAGAGGATACACAGAGCAAAGGATTGTACATCAACATCTAAGGAGAAACTGAATTGGAAGGAATCACTGGCAATAAAGAATTCTGCCTCGTATTGAATAGGAAATTTGGATTGTTGAAGAGAGTATCAATCCATATTGAACCTGCTTTTCTATATGAATTTTAAGTTAAAAAGAAAGGCTTCCTTACTTCCTTCATTCTTGCTGCTTTATTTCTTTGAATTAGCCCTAGTCATGTATATTTTTGGACATGTTTTCCAGCTGAAATCCTGTCTAGAAGAAGAGAGACTTCATAGAGGTTTAATTTTGTCAGCTGGTAAGTTTATAAGAGAATTTTATCCAATAACAATCTCAGATAACATCAATATTGAAGATTATCTCTTTTTGAATGTACTTGTCTTTTCTTTTGGACCACAGAGTGGCCTTTAATTTATAGCAAAGAGAGAGGCTGAGTTTTCAGAAGAGACATAATTTTAGAAAGAGGAAAAACAGTGTACATAAAAAATAGCTATTTGCCTCATTAATCATTTTTATTAAGAGTCTTCCTGTACTAAAATGAACAGCCTGTTAAGCGAGAAAAGTCTAAATGTCTAAATCTTACTTTAATGGTGATAAAACATATTATTCATAGTAACAACCCTAAGGTTATTTTTATGTGCATATAATGATTGTGCTGATCTGCTTTCGGGACATAATAATCCAGATTTTCCACTCAGCAAGGCATCTTATTCATGTAAATTTACTGCATATATTTGGAAATACATATCAGCAGTGAATACAATCTAAATTGCCAGGAATAATACTGAAAACATGGGCCTAAATTAGAAGAGAGGCTAAATATAAAGGTGGCTATAATAAATGTGCCTACCTATGACTGCTAAAGTAGGAGACAGAGCCCCAGATTCAAGTCAGAAAACCTGAGTTCTAGTTGCAAGCTCTCTTTTCAGTAACGGTGTGATTGTGACCTTGGAGAAAAATGTTTGACCCAGGTGTGTCCCTAGATTTTTCATCTCAGAGTAGTGGTGTTATTTCTACTAAACCTAGCTATACTGGGTATTATCTGTCAAAGTTAAACTCTTCTGGGGGAGATAAATATGTGAACTTTATTCACAACATAAATAACTTTTTCACCATATTCACAATTTTTTAATTGAAATCTGGTAAGTATCTGCTGTCTAGAATCTAATGACCTTGTCTAGAATCTAGGAATATAGTAGTGAGCAACCATATATATTACACTCTTGATATGCTTTGGGTTTGTGTCCCGCCCAAATCTCATGTCAAATTGGAGGAGGGGCCTGGAGGGAGGTGATTGAATCATGGGAGAGAACCTCTTCCTTGCTGTTCTCGTGATAGTGAGTGAGTTCTCAAGAGATCTGGTTGTTTGAAAGTGTGTGGAACTTTCCCCTTTTTTTCTCTCTCCTGCTCCACCATGGTAAGACATGCTTGCTTCCCCTTCTCCTTTCACCAAGATTGTGGGTTTCCTGAGGCCTCCCAGTCATAATTCCTGTTAAGCCTGCTGAACTGTGAGTCAATTAAACTTCCTTTCTTCATAAACTACCCAGTCTCAGCTAGTTCTTTATAGAAGTGTGAAAGAGACTAACACAACTATATACACTACACTATGTATATTACTATATATAGAGATAATTTAATCTTAAATAAATATAATGTAAATACATATATATGTTGTATGTACACTGTGTGTGTATGTGTGTATATATATAATATATATATATATATATACTATATAGAGTGCAATGGAGATATAGGTATAGATAGTATATAGAGTGCAATGGAGAAGTTAGAGAAATAATTCAGATTACTGGAACAAAATATTAAGAGTGTCATGACCTAGGGATTATGAAATCAATGAAAATATAAATAGGGCTCAGGAGAATCTAAGATGTTTAGGAAAAGCAGGAAGTCTCAAATCCCATCCTCAAAAAGCAACAGAATCAGTTAGCAGAGCATAGCTACTGTGAGAACCTTTCTGCATGTTCTACAAAACAACATCTTTTTCAAACTAGGGAGAATTGTTTTATCAAAATAATTGGTTGTGAATAACTTCCTAGATAAAAATTGTGAGAAATGGACCCAAAATATTAAAGTAGGTGTCTTTGGACACACAAGAATGAAGGGCACTGAGACAGAGCAAGAAACTACAATTCATCAAGACAGCCAAAGATAAGTAAATCACAAGATAGCTAAAAAGAAATAGAGCCCCTTTATATAAATAGGCCAAGGAAAGATTAAGGCAAATGTGCCAGGTACCTTTCATTTGCACAGTGCTCTATAGTGCACATTGCTACTCACCCTCTACTTGAAGCTTTTAACAATAAAATTCAGAGCATTTGCTCTCATTATGATTTGTGAAATGAGGATTTTGAGCCTTCCTGATATGAAACAGTAGCAGATGACACACAAGTCACAAGTTCTGTAGCAATTGAGCTCAACCTTAAAACATCATATTTTTCATATTTTCTACCTTTTCAACAGGTTCAGCTTATAGTTTCATTTTGTAACCATATAAAATTGGGGATAGTATCACTGTTAAACACATTGCCCACCTTTAGCCCTCAGTCCCATCCAAAGTTGTTAATTCCCTCCCTCCCTCTCTCCCTCCCTTCCTTCCTTCTTTCTTTCCTTACTTCCATCCTTCCTACCTTTCTTTCTCTCTTTCTTTCTTTCTTTCTTTGGAGATGGACTCTCGCTCTGTTGCCCAGGCTGGAGTGCAGTGGTGTGATCTCAGCTCACTGCAACCTCTGCCTCCCAAGTTCAAGCAATTCTCCTGCTTCAGCCTTCCGAGTAGCTGGGACTACAGGCACATGCCAGCACGCTTGGCTAATTTTTTGTATTTTCAGTAGAGATGGGGTTTCACCTTGTTAGCCAGGATGGTCTCCATCTCCTGATCTCGTGATCCACCCGCTTTAGCCTCCCAAAGTTCTGGGATTACAGGCATGAACCACTACGCCCGGCCTAATTTTTGTATTTTTAGTAGAGACGCGGTTTCACCATGTTGGTCAGGCTGGTTTCCAACCCTGACCTCAGGTTACCCGCCTGCCTCAGCCTCCCAAAGTGCTGGGATTACAATTGTGACAAAGTTGTTAATTTCTAGAAGGGGCTCATATCCTATAACAACTACTCTTTCAATAGTAAAACTTTGCGAATACACCTGCTAGTTTATGTGATGCCCTAGCAGTGAGAATTATGAAAACTGTGTCTTTCATGTGCATGTTTCCCACAGCTCTTTAGTGTGATACGCCATTTAATCATGGAGCTGTGATTATTGTCATGTTATAGATTCGAAATTTTGAGAAATAAATAAACGATGGTCAATTTAAGATATTAGGACCATATTTTGAATATATATCTGTGGGATTCTGTATTCTACACACTTAAGAATGATGTAAAGATTTTAGTTCAGTGTTTTTGTCTTTAACTATGATTGTTATAATTACATTTAAGTAATTAATGTGAAACAATGGAATACAAAAGATGCATATCATAAAAAAGTTTTTAATTTAAATTTTAACACTGTTATGTAACAGTTGAGTTGCTGTGGGCCATCATTTCTTCCTGAACCTCAGTTTACTCATTAAGTGGTAAAAATAATGGCAACTTCAAGATCTATTTTATGAATAAGTAAGATAAAGTATTTAAGATAGAGCATGAACACAGGTGCACAATCAATTGTAACTGATATGGTTTAGATGTTTGTTCCTTCTAAATCACATGTTGAAACATGATTCTCAGTTCTGGAGGTGAGGACTGGTGGGAGGTGAGTGAATCGTGGGGATGGATTTTTCATGAATGGTTTAGCACCATCCCTTTGGCAATAAGTGAGTTCTCTTTCAGTTAGTTCACACGATGTCTGGTTGTTTAAGGGTCTGAGACCTCTCTCTCCTCACTCTCTTGCTCCCACCCCTGCCATGAGATGCGCCTGCTCCTGTTTCACCCTCTGCCATGAGTAAAAGCTCCTGTGGCCTCACCAGAAACCAAGCCGAAGGTGGCATCATGCTTTCTGTATAATCTGCAGAATCTTGAGAAAATTAAATCTCTTTTACCTAGCCCCAAGTTTGTTTTTATAGCAATGCAAAATGGCCTAATATAGCAACTATTGTTATTTTTTAAGATGTATGAGCATTTACCTTTCATATGATTTTTATCTCTATTTTGCCAGGTATACCTGGGGGAAAACATCATAATGATGTGGTTAGACATCTGACCTTGAAGCTACACATCCTTCACTCAAATCCAGTTCCACTCTCTATTATCTAAATGACCTTGAACTCCATTTCATATCTATAAAATGAGATTAACTATAATTTCTTATGCATCAAATTTTTTTGATTATTGAAAAAGGCAATGCAGGAAAATGAAAAGATGCCCTATAGATAAAACTATAGGTAAAAATAATCATAAATGTTTGAAAATATACCAGTCTCATCTAACTGATGAAAGAATTATGATGAGATTAATAAGACTAAATGAAAGAGCCTAGATCTTGGGAATATCCAGCTGTAAGTAAAACCTATATTTGAGAGTGCCTCTATTGCTAGCCAGACATCAGTAAGATAGCAGAATATGGGATTTATGCACTTGTCAATTTCTTGCTAATCAAATTGACTTGATTATTGAACAAGGGAATATCAGTTTGAACAACTATCCACGCACAAAAATATAGTAACAAGAACTAAGGAATCCAGGTGAGAGATACAGTCCTTAAGTGGAAAAGAGAATTAAGAAAATACACATCGAAGAGAGAAGGAAGATCATTTTTTACATTACACATGATATCCCTTCTCCAAGCCTGGGCAGCATATTGTAGAGAATGATGCCCTTTGTGTGGAGAAAGGAGAGTGAAGTGAGCATCAAATCTTGTTGTGAAATCCAGCACCAGCCTCACCCCAATGAACCCTAGCACCAGGCAAATCCAATAGCCCCAGGCCCCAGGACTGTTCCAGCACCAGGCCAGCTCCTGTGGCTTCAGGCTATAGGTTAGCCCCTGTGGACTTAAGACCCAGGTCAGCCTCAGGGACTCAAAGGCTCAAGAACTGTCCCTACAGACCCAGGTCCCAGGCCTTCCCCTGCAGACCCAAGTGTCAGGCCCACCCCAACACCAGGCTAGCCCACATAACTCAGGCTGAAAGAATGCCTCAGCACAGATCTCTGTGGATTCAGGCTTAAGGCCAGCTCCTGTAAACATAGCCTCTTGACTAATCCCCACATACTTGGGTACATGGTCTATGTCTATATGGATGTATCCAGTTGCCAGGCTGACTCAAGCGAACCTGGGTTCTAGGCCAGCCCCTGTAACCCCAGAATTCAGGTCTGTACTCACAGACCCAACTACCAGGCCCACCCACACAGAACCAAGCTCCAAAACCACTCCAGTGGACCAGGCTCACCCCTACAGAGCCAGGCACCAGACTTGCTTCCTGAGTTTACCTGCAGCAAGCTTGACAGTAGACCTCAACAGTCAGCCTATCCATAATAATATCTATATAGGCTTACTGGTGACTGGTGACATTGTCTTTCCCTGACAAAGGCAATCTATAAATCATGGAAGAACGACTTACTTCTTCAAATGCACAGACAAAAATGTAAGGACTTAAGGATTATTAATAAAAAGAAAAATGCGACACCACCAAAGAAAGAAAATAAAACATGGGTAACCAGCCCTGAAGAAATGCATATCTATTAACTGTCTGACAAATAATTTAAAATAATAATTTTGGAAGCGTTCAGTGAGTTACAAGAAAACAGATCAACAAATAAATATTAGGAAAACAATATATGAATAAAATTATAAGTTCAACAAAGAGATATAAGCCATAAATAAAACCAAACAGAAGTTCTAGGGCTGAAGAACCTAATGACTGAAATAATCTTATAGAGTGCTTCAACATCAGATTCAATAAAGTGGAAAAAATTAGCAAGCTTAAAGAGTTTATTTGAAGTTGCCCAACTAGAGGAAAAACAACAAAATGAATGGAAAAGAGTTACGAAATTTTATGTAATGTACAGAACATGATAAAAATATCTAATTTATGCATTATGAAAGACATAGAAGGAGTAAAGAAAGATAAAGGTAAGAAAAGCATATTTAAAAAAATAATAAGCTTTCTGAATCTGGAGAGAGAAAAGAACATCCACATCCAGGAAGCAAAATATAAACCCCAAATATATTTGTACAAACAGATCTTCAATAAAACACACTATAATCAAATTATCAGAAGTAAAAGTCAGAGACAGTTTTGAAAATCGCAAGAGAAAATCAACTTATTACATACAAAGAAACATATGTAATACTATTGGCACATTTCTCAGCAGAGACCTTGAAGACCAAGAGAGATGGAATGACACATTTGAAGTTCTGGGAAAAAAACAAATAAAAAATTGCCAACAAGAATACTACGTCTGGAAAAGCTATTCTTTAGAAATGGAGAAATAAAGACATTCCAGGACAAACAAAAACTGAGGCAGTTCATCACCACTAGATCTATGTTACAAAACATGCTGAACACAATTCTTCTAGTTGAAACAAAATGAAGCTAACGAATAACAATAAAACATATAAAATTATAAAACTTAAGTAAGATAAGAGTATACTCAAATTTGGAATACTCTAACACTGTAATGCTGGTGCATAAATCACTTTTAACTATTATATAAAGTTTAGAAGACAAAATAACTACAGCTACAATAATTTGTTAATGGTTGCACAGTATACAATGATGTAAATTGTGATATTAATAATATAAAATATAAGGAGAGGAGAAGTTAATTTGTGGTATGTTCATATAGATTTGAAGTTATCTTAAAATTGACAATTATAAATATAAGTTTTTTAATTTCAACCTCATGGTGACCATAAAGAAGAAAACCTGTAGTAGATATACAAAAGAGAAAGAGAATCAAGGCATACCATTACAAAATCTTTCAAATCACAAAGAAAGACAATAAGAGAGAAAACAAGGACTACAAAACAGTACAAAAACAATAACGAAAATGGCAGTAGTCAGTCCTTAACTATCTATAATTACTTTAAAGGTAAATGGATTAAATTTTTTAACAAAAGATACAGAGTGGCTTCATGAATTAAAAGTAATAATAATAAGACCCAAGTGTATACCACCTATAAGAGATTCATTTAGACTTAAGGACAGACATAGGCTAAAAATGAAGAGATGGAAAAATTATTTTATACAAATGGTATCAAACAAAGAGTAGTATTGGCTACAAATATTAGGCAAATATACTTTGATTTGGTAACTACAGAAGCAACAAAGAAGGTCATTATATAATGATAATATG
Source organism: Homo sapiens (assembly GCF_000001405.40). Taxonomy (NCBI): domain Eukaryota; kingdom Metazoa; phylum Chordata; class Mammalia; order Primates; family Hominidae; genus Homo; species Homo sapiens. Next base: position 12,132,538 of record NC_000004.12, read on the forward strand.
GTCAATCATTGAGAGGCTATGTTAATTATAAATAGATAGGCATTCAATGTTGAAACATCTAATACTATAAAGCAAATGTTAATGGAACTGAAGGGAGAAATAAATAGCAATAAAATAATATTAGGGGACTTCAATACCCCACTGTCAACCATGAATAGATGATTCAAATAGAAAAATCAATAAATAGCAGACTCAAACAACATCTATAGATCAAATGGAACTAACAGACATATACAGAACATTTTATTCAAATAACAGCAGAATACACATTCTTTCCAAGTACACATAAAATATTCTTCTGGAGATAGTACATGTTAAAATATAAACAAGTCTTAAAATATTAAGAAGATTAAATTTATATATATATTTACTCTTAAGCACAATGTTGTGAAACTAAACATTAATAATAGAAGGAAAATTGGAAAATTCAGAAATATGTAAAAATTATATAACACATTTCTGGGCAATTAATGGTTTAAGGAAGAAATCAAAACGGAAATCAAAAAATATCTTGAGATATATGAAAATGAAAATACAACATACCACACCAATGGGATGCAGCAATGACATTCTAAAAGGATATGTCATAGCAATAAATTTATATGTTAAGAAAAAAATCTCTAATAAACAACATAACTTTACCACTCAGGGAAATAGACAAAGCAGGACAAACTTAAATTAGCAGAAGGAAAATAATAATAAAGACCAGAGCAGAAATAAGTGAAACAGAGACTATAATAACAATAGAAAATAATTAATGAATGGTTGATTTATTATAAATATGAACAATATTGACAAAATGATAGCTAGACTAAGAAAAACAAAAAGAGGAGACTCAAATCCATAAACAAAAAAGTAGACATAAAATTGTTACCACAGAAATGAAAAGGATTATAAGAGACTACAATGATCAATTATCAACCAAAACTTGAATATTCTAGAAGAAATGGAGAATTTTTTAGAAGCATTCAACCTATCAAGACTAAATCAGGAACAAATAGGAAATCTGAACAGGCCAATAATGAGTAATGAGATTTTATCAGAAAGCAGAACCTTCCAAGAAAGAAAAGCCTAGAATCTTATAGCTTCATTGGTAAATTCTGTCAAACACTTAAAGAAGAACTAACACCAATACATCACAAACTCTTCCAAAAAGTTGAATAAGTGGGATCACATCCAAACTTATTTTATGAGCCCAGCATTATTACAGTGACATGAAAACAACACAAGGACAAAACAAGAAAATAAAATTACAGGCCAGTATTCCAAATAAGATAGATGTTAACCATCTCAACAAAATACTAACAAACTGAATTGTACAGCATATTAAAAGAATCATACACTCTTATCAGGTGAAGTGTGTGGCTGGAATGCAAGGATGGTTTGACATAAGCAAATCAATAATGTGTTACACCATATTGATAGAATGAGTGATAAAAGCACATAATCATCTCAATAGATACAGAAAAGAATCATTTAACAAAATTCAACAATTTTTTATAATGAAAACTGTCAATAAATTAGGTATAAATGTGCCTCAACATAATAAAGATCATGTGTGGCAAGGCCACAGTGGATATCATAGCCTATAAGAACAACTGAATGCTTTTCTTTTAAGCTTAGAAGCAAGTTAAGGATTCCCACTCTCTACATTTCTATTCAATATAGTACTGAAAGTACTAGTAAGAGTAATTAAGAACAAGATGAAAATTAAAGAGCATCAAAATTTGAAAAAATAAAGTTGTAGATTTTTTGAAGAAAATTTTATTTTATATAAGAAACCCTAAAGGAAATAAAGAAAAAACATTAGAACTAATGAACTAATTCTGTAAAGTTGAAATATACAAAAATCATAAAAATCTGTGTATCTATACACTAACAACAAATTATCCAAAAGAAGTTAAGAAAATAATCCCACTTATAATTACATCAAAATATAGTAAAATACTTAGGAATACATTTAACCAAAGAGCTGAAAGATCTGTACACTGAAAACTATAAAACATAGATTAAAGATATTGAAGAAAGCACACATAAATAAAGAAGTTTACACACTGAAAGAATACTGTTAAAATGTCCATACTCCCTAAAGTGATCTACACATAAAATGAAATGCCCATCAAAATCTTAGAATCTCAGACCTTTTTTTTTTAAGAAATAGGAAAAAGACCGACAATTTTTATAAAATCACAAAAGACTCCAAATAGCCAGTGCAATTATGAATAAGAATAACAATGTTGGAGCCATGAAACTCCTGATTTCCAAATATATTACAAATTTATAGTAATCAAAACATCGTGATGCTTGTTTAAAATCAACATATAGACCATTAAAAGAGACCAATAGAGAGCCCAGAAATAAATTTATACAATTACAGTTGATTGATTCTCAACAAAGGTGCTAAAAACACACAATAGGGAAAAAATAGTCTCTTCAATAAATGGTATTGAAAGAACCTCACATTCACCCCCAAGAAAATTAAATTGGCCTGTAGTCCCAGCTATGTGGGAGGCTGAGGCAGGAGAATGGTGTGAACCTGGGAGGCGGAGCTTGCAGTGAGCCGAGATTGTGCCACTGCACTCCCGTCTGGGCAACAGAGCGAGACTCTGTCTCAAAAAAAAGAAAGAAAATTAAATTGGATTCTTATCACACATATATAAAAATAAACTCATAACAGTTTCAGGATTTGAATGAGTCTTGATTTGTATAACTGCTAGAAGAAAACAGAAAATGTAGGATAAAATCTTCTTGACATTGTTCTGGGCAATCTTTTTTTGTACATTATCCCCCAAACATGGGCAACAAATGTAAAAATAGCCCAATAGGATTAAATTAAGCTAAAAAGCTTCTGAAAGAAAAGGAAACAACAAAGTGAAAAGATACATACAGGAGGAAAGAAAATATTTGCAAACTATACATCTGATAAGGGTTTAATCTCTTTTTTTTTGTCCCCTGATTGCCCTGCCTTCCCCCACTTAAGGGTATAATTTTCAAAATATATAAGGAACTTAACTCAATAGCAAAAAAAAAAAAAAAAAAAAAAAAAAAAAACGAAAACCACAATTATAAAATGGGCAAAGTATTTGACTAGACATTTCTCAAAAGAAGATACACAAATAGTTAGCAGGTACACACACAAAAATCACTCAATATCACTATCACAATCAACTGGAAAATATAAATTAAAAGCACAATAAAATATCACCTCACAGTATTAATTTAATTAATTAAATTAAGATGTCTAGAATTTTAAAAAAAGTGTTGGAGAGAAACTTGAAATACTGGAGCCCTTGTTCACTGTTGGGATTGGAAACTGGTATAGCCATTAGGAAAGTCAATGTGGAGGTCCCTCAAAAAATTAAAAAGAGAACTATCATATAATCCAGCAATTCCACTACTAGGTATATATCCAAAGAATACACAATCAGTACCTAAAAAATTTCTACACCCCTATGTACACTGCAGCATTATTTTCAGCAGTCAAGATAAGGAATCAACCTAAGTCTCTATGGACAGATGAATGGATAGTGATAATGTGGTCTGTATATACAACAACAAATTATTTCACCTCTGGAAAGAAACAAATTCTATCATTTGTGACAACAAAGATGAGCCTGAAGGACACTACACTAAGTGGAAAAAGCCACAAAAAACAAATGCTGCATAATATTACTCATATATGGAATCTAAAAAAATCAAACTCATAGAAACAGAGACTGATATGGTGGCTACAAATGTTTGGGGAATGGGGCAAGTTGGGAGATGTTGGTCGGAGCATACAGTTTGAGTTCAGCAGGATCAATACGTTTCAGAGGTCCAACGCACAGCATGAGGACTATAGTTAATAATACTGTACTGTATACATGAAATTAGCTAAGAGAGCAGTTCTTAAATGTTCTTACCACCAATAAATAGGTAATTATGTGAGATAATGAGTATGTTGATTAGCTTTATTGTAGTCATTTTTACAATAAATAAGTATATAAAAATATCATGTTGTACAAAATAAATACATAAATTTTTTGTCAATTATGCCTCTGTAAAACTAAAGAAAAGTAAGTGGCTTTATTGACCCAAGACTGGTCTCAGTGAGTAACTCAGTTATTCTTTCTGATATTCCCTGCTTCACCTACACCTAAGAGCATTCTGTAGTTCATCCATCACAAGACACATGAACATTCTAAAGGAGAGTTTATGTCCCATCTGAAAGCTTTTGTGAGAACCTGTGTTGTGCCAAGCACTGTGCTTGGAGCCATGTATCCAAAAGAGAAAAAGACACAGTATCTATCCTTAAAGAGCTCTGGGTCCACCAGTGGGAGAAACGGGAGAACAAACAGTTACAAAGTCATGACATTTGTTCTCTTAAATAAAGCCACAGAAACTGCTGTTTTTCTATGTCAAAAACAGTTGACTATCAGCAATTTTAATATTTCAGCCTTATATATATGAGGTATATACTAGGGTCTATGGAGCAGATTGTTATAAATTATGACTAGAATTATTGTTCTTCTGGCACATATTTATAGAAAGCACTGTGGGGAACCACAGAAGTGAGCTTGAGTTAATCAAATATGAGAAAAGCAAGCTGTTGAACTGAATTCTATTCTAACTTCATAATGCAGTTGCAAAGAATTCATCACCAATAGGCCTACTCAGCCAACTTCCCTGGACACATGGAAAGACAGGAGAAGGTAAATATGAGTGTATGTGTGTATATGGAAGGGACTGAGGGCTGAGTTTACTGTGGTCGTGAATTCATCAATGTGGAAGTTCCATGTGATGTTGCTCCCAGTGAGAGCTGTATGTCTGTTGATTAATTTGCTTTCTGTAAAGGAGCTATTTTTGAAAACCCCTTGAGGAGTCAAAGTAAATGCAAATGAGTAGTTAGAAAAATCTAAGTGCCTGGGAAAAAAATAGGTGGAAGGGGTATTATTCTATTTTATGGGTGTTGATATGAATGCCAGCTGCTTGTCTGCATCCTGATAGCCTGTTGCCTTAAGGATTTTTAAATAGCTGTGAAACAATTTACTTTCACATCGATATGATTTTCAGGAAGTTTTATTCATTAAACATTTATTTGTTCGATATCAAAATCCATGGGGACATAATGAATATGCCTATGTATAAGCATGTATCACAGAGCTTTAGCTATTTAGGCAGAAAAAAATGTTTGTATAAGGAAGACTGTGTTTTCTATCTAGAGGAAACAGGGCAGGTTGCCAGGATGTGTGGATTTTAGCCATTAACACTAATAAAGGCACAGTAACCAACAGTTAGCAAACATCTGCTATGTGATGTCAAGTGCTGTGCTGGTAGGCTTATCTCTTTAACTCATATCAACTCTCTATAGCAAATGTGATCACTGCTTTTCAAATGATAAGTTTCAGATTATGTCTGTATTTCAACCCCATGCCATAGTGTTGGGTCATTTGTCTTTATAGTCTTTATTAAATGTTAGTTAAGTGAATAAGTGAGTGAGTAGGCTTGCAAAGAATAAATGAATGAATGAATGAATGCATAAAAGCTCAATTTTTAGTGAAGCAGAAGCCCACAGAGCCTGGAAAGAAAACCTGTTAACATTTTAATACTTTTCTTTGTCCAGTTGAGCTACATTTAATAATACCACCTTAATTGTTCCTGGGTTGATTTATATGGAATTACTCTGTTCCATTACCCACACTGTCCTTATAAACAACAGAAAGTTATTTCCCAGAGTTTGGAGACTGGCAAGTTCAAGATCAAGGTCCCAACAGACTTGGTGTCTGGGGAGTGCCGATTTCCTGGTTCACAGATGACTTCTCACTGTGTCCTCACATTGTGGAAGAGGCAAGGTTGCTCTCTAGGGCCTCTTTTATAAGGGTACTATTTCCATTTTTGAGGGCTATGCCCACAGGACCTAAACACTTTCCAGAAACCCCACCTCAAAAGTTCATCATGTTGGGAATTAGTTTTCTTCATATGAATTTTGGGGGAGATACAAAGTGTCTATAGCAATAGTATTTTAGAAGAAAAAGTCATAAAGGCTTGAACTAAGGTGGTATCAGCGAACAGACATGGCTAAGTCATTTGCAACTTTCCTTCATTTCTGATTTGCAAAGCAAATTTGTACACATCATCTCTTTGTATTCCCCCAACAAGCCTCAGAAGTTAAGATTTCTCACTTCCTCTTGAAAATGAGACACAAAGAAGTCACATAACTTTCCCAAGATCATGCAGCTAGATTGTAATTATGTAGCTTATAGCAGTAGTCTAATAATGCCCACTAAATGGAATGTTTGTGTCAAAATGAAGTTTCAGATCCTTGTCTCCCTATGTCAAAATTTTTTGTGTTTATTTGTGACATTTTTTATTAGATAATGAAGAGAGCATCTACCAGTCCAAGCAATGTGAAAAGGGAAGAAAAAGGTTTTAAGCACGAATGACTGGGGATGGGGAAAGGGACTAGAGAAAAATTAAAGGTGGTTAACATGAAAATAGGAGTATTTTAGGAAGAGAAGATTTATGAGTCCAATTCGAGTCTGGTTGATTTGGAGTCACCAATAAGCTATCCAGGTGAAGATATGTAATAGTGAGATAGAAATTCAGCCCATAAGATTATGGAAAAATAAATTGATAGTAATCACAATGACAAAATGAGGATTTCTGAAAAAAATTACATGAGATTTCCAAAAGCAAATGTATAAAAAAAGATAATTCGATAATTGTATTTATTACCATTTACTATTATCTGTTATTTATACTCAGAACATTAATGTTGGTGAAAGATTTAAATTCAGGGTGCTGTATGGATAAATTTGCGCTGTATGTGTATGCAAGTGGGTTTATATGAGTGTGTAACATCAGAAAGAACATTGTATTCAGTGTGATAAGTGACACTGTGTGGTATCAGTGGTTTGTATTTTATCTGAATTGGTTTCCTCCAAGAAGCTAAATTACTGCTTCACAAAAACCCAGAGATATAATGCCGCCCACTGAATTTCCTTCCAAGCTTTAAAAGTTGTCTCTTCTAGTGATAAAGTATGCCTCAGACATCCACAGATAACAATGATAATCTGCAGTAAGTTTTTTAGAGAAAGCCTCGACAAAAACTCAGAGAGTAATAGATAACACAAAGGATTTACAATTGCCAGGCCTGTGTTCTGTTAAGTCTATCACCCTGATTTGTTCCTGGGTTGATTTATATGGAATTACTCTCTTCCATTACTCACACTATCCTTTTAAACAACACTAAATTCTGAGGGGAAAAGTATTGCAACAAGAAATACATTAAAAGAATGAATGATCTCTTCACAATGAACTGGTGGATGGTTACTTAAAAGAGTTTATTTTAACATTTCTCATAAGGCAGATCAGGTGGTAATGAAATAGACTAAGTGTCCATCCATGGATGAATGTGTATATATGCACAGTGGAGTGCTATTCAGCCTTAAAAAAAGAAATAAAATATTCTGTAATTGGTGACAATATGTATGAACCTAGAAGACATTAAATAATTCAATCACAGAGACAAATGCAATATGATCTCACTTATATGTGTAATCTATAAAAGTCAAATTCATGAAAGTAGAGAATAGAACGGTGATTATCAGGGGCTGGAGGTGGGGGTGGATGACGAAAGGGGAGACATTGATTAAGGGGTACAAAGTTTCACTTAGATGGGAGAAATAAATTCTGGTGATCTATTGAATAGCATGGTACCTATAGTTAATAATGTGTTGTGTATTTCAAAATTACTATAGAAGAATATTTTAAATGTTCTCACCACAAATACCTAATAAATATTTGAGGAGATGGACATGCTAACTACCCCATTTGATAATTTCACAATGTACACATGTATCAAAACATCACACGGTACTCCATAAATATATACAATTATTATTTGTTAATAACATAAAACTTTTGAAAAGTGTTTATCTTAAGCATTTATCTATGCCTAGGCATCATTTACTCTGGGGTTGTCTCATGAATGCAGTGCTCTGGAAACTGTCCAATTTTCCTCTCTTAGCTGGAAGCTAACTTGACCTAGAAGACAGGGACAAAGAATGGGCGAGAGTGACTTAGTCTCTCGCCAGCTCTTATAAAGGAGGAAATTGGAGAGAAATGACAAAACACACCTCCTCAAAAAGATTATGAGAATTATCCCATTGGTGCATTATTTCCCAAAGTAGTATATTGTGTATACCTTGGTTCTACAATGTACACCCTTCCAAAAACGGCTCTTCTCTTTGGGTAGGTCTGAAACAACTGATTATTTTACTTCCTTTTGAGCTCTTCAAAACACATTAGCATATTAAAGTTGTAGAAAAGTCCTACAATAACAAAATCTATTTTACTTTGTTTAATCCAGTGATTCCCAAGTTTATTTGACCATGGAATTCATTTTTACCTTATTATGTATTAGTATATGGCAATTCTGCTGTGCACCAAATCATACTTTCAGAAACAAGACCAAGCTCTAGACTGGAGGTCCCTTCAAGGCAGAGGCTACTCCTCTTGCATTTCTGAATCTTGGCACAGTGCCATGTAAAAGGTATACACATCCAACAAATTAATTAGGAAGTAACCAATTTTGTAAATTTACCAATTGTGTTTTTAATATAAAACAAACTAATCTGTGTTTCACAAGAGGCTACAAAATTGCTGCAAATTTACAATCTACTTAAGCAATAAGATGATCAGAAAAGTATGTCTGGAAAATTTCATTATGAAGATAGTTGGAATTGTATTATAGAACAGAATTGAGAGTGGAGGGCACAGGGCTGAAAACACAGGGTTTTTAATCAGCATAAAGAGTAGCTCACTAGAGCCAAATAAGTCATGATTTGGAATTAATTCAGAACTGCTTTGCCCTCAATGTGTGGTTTCCTATGTGGATCCATATCATTAAAAAGTATCTTTAGCAATTGTCACCACTCACCAGTGGATGACATCTTTCAAAAATATTATATCCCTTTAGAAAGCAGAGGTGCCTGTTTATTTAATGTAAGCATACGTTCTTTGTTGAAAAAGTTAACCTGAGTGAATTCTTCTTCAGTATAAAGAGTTATTTGTGGTGCAATGGATATAAGAGTTATAAGACAACAAGAAGATAATGTACTTATTTGAATGTCAGTATGACCAATACCATCTTTGTCTACATTTTCTTCTGAAGTATCCTGAGTATGTGAGCTTTGAAAAATAAAGGAAAGGTACTAGGTGCAATGGATTTCACAGTAGCAAAGGACATAATCAAGGTAGCGCTGTCACTTGTCATTATCAACTGCATTCACAGAACAATATATTTTAGTCCAAAGTGATTTCAATGCAATATTTCCTATACATGGCCTCTGACATTCATATTATTGTTTGCTTATAACATATTTCAGTAGGCTTTTCTGCATCTATTCATCACCATCCCCTTTTCTCCTATTTTTTATTATTTTTTTTTCAGGATGACTTTATATTAAATATGTATGACCCTAAGAAATATGTACAGGAAGTATCTTAGGGGAATTAACATTTATTGAGTGTGTTACGTGGTTTGGGTGCTTTATTTAAAGTGTCTCATTTAATGCCCAGGAAATTGTATGAAAAGCTTAAAAGAGGATTAATACCTAGCGTAAGTTCAAATAACTACTCCATGGGAGCACTAGGAGTGACCATCATTCTAATTATTTAATAGACATACACTACTTATTGTACACATGCCTTCCTTTGAGAAAATAGTTCCTCATCCATTTGTAGCAATAACATAGATTCAGAGAGGTGCAGGTGAATCTAATTCTAACTCCTTAGATCCAGATGAAATGTTTTAGTATCCCAGTATTGAAGTATATGGAATGCACAAAGTTACTGATGTCTGTAATACCAACGCTTTAGAAGGCCAGGGCGGGAGATCACTTGAGGCTGGAGGTTCAAGACCAACTTGGGCAACACAGTGATACTTTGTCTCTACAAAAAATTTAAAACATTAGCCGGGTGTGTGGTGCCACCTCTAGTCACAGCTACTTTCGAGGCTGAGACAGAGGGATCACTTGAGCCCAGGAGTTTGAAGTTACAGTGAGCTACAATCAGGCTACTCAACACTCGCTTGGATGACAAAGGAGGATCCCGTCTCTAAAACAAGAACAGAAGCACATAGTTCAAGTGAGACACATGAACTGAACACAGTGAATCCGAGTTTACTCCTGGACACACAGGGAAAAAATGGCCTGTTTTTCTCTGGAAAGAATGAAACTGGAGAAATAAGTTTAAGGTGGGCTTAAAGCTGAGTGACGCTTCCTTGACATTATTTATTTTTTAAAAATCTGTCTGAAAATGAAATAAAAGCAAATAGAGTCAGGAAAAGAAGAGAAAGAAGAAACCATCATGTCAATGTCTGAAAAGATGAATCCACTTCTACCTGAAACTGGCTTTAACCATTAGACTTCCCAGTTATATCAGCCAATATTTTCCTCTTTTATTTAAACCTATTTGAACTGGGTTTCCCTCCATTGGATGTGAAGTAACTTGATGAATACAGATTGCTGAGCCAATGCCTCTTTTACAGTTTTTTTTTAAAAAAAATTCTCTTTTTAAATTTTAATGTTTGGAACACTTAATTTAACTTAAAACACATTAGCAGAGGGCCATAATGCAGAATGAGCCACAGAGCCACCATGGACATTCAGAGGTGATAAAGTACATGATCCTGGGCCTTTAAAAACTTATAAAACTGTTTTGTGAAAGAGAAACAGATAGGAAGGTAGACATCAATGATGTAAGGCAGAGTGTAAAGTTCTACACTATTAATTCAAAATGCCATGGGAATCACAGATAGGAAAAAGAATTCTACTTGGATATTGCTTATTTAAAAGAATGTTTTCTGAAAGGAGTAGGATTTTATCTGGGTTTTGTAGAATGAATATGATTCAAATACAGTTCAGAAAGTGATATTTCTGCTTGGTGAGGCATTAAAAAAAAGGCATGCAGGCTGAATAGTGCAGAACATGTTTAAAAAAATTAGGGTCTGGGCACAGTGGCGCACATCTGTAATCCCAGCACTTTGGGAGGCCAAGGCGGGCAGATCACCTGAGGTCGGGAGTTTGAGACCAGCCTGATCAACATGGAAAAACCCTGTCTCTACTAAAAATAAAAAATTAGCAGGGCATGGTGGCACATGCCTGTAATCCCAGCTACTCGGGAGAATTGCTTGAACCCGGGAGGCAGAGGTTGCAGCGAGCAGAGATCGCACCATTGCACTCCAGCCTGGACAACAAGAGCAAAACTGTCTCAAAACAAAACAAAACAAAACAAAACAAAAATTGGTGGGTCAATATGAATGAAATCTAGGATATTATACAAATGGTCATAGGAGCTTGGGAAAATACTTGTTTTTTTCTATAAACTGTGAATATCTGAGAATATGAAGTCAACAAATTTGACCTTTATTCAAATACATTGATTTAGATAAAATCATGCATAATAGGAATATAGGGATAAAAGAGAAAATTTGGATAAATGTATAGTCACCTTATAATTTTGTAAAATTTATAATTGGGGTGATGCTATTTTCCCGCCCTGAGATTTTCTTTATTTTGGATAGACCACCATGAGCATAACTCTCCCAGTTTCCCTCTGCCTTCAAAAGCTGAGAGGGAATGATTCATGTGACTAGTAACTTGAGAAGAGTAACTGGCTATAATCAACTAAGTTCCTTATTTCTTCTTTTGTAGTAAGATAGCCTCAGAGAAAGGACTTCTGTGACTCTTTATGCCCCAGCCCTTACCTTGCAGGCATTCTACCTGTGGAGACATGTCTCGTTCAGTGTTGCCTGTGACTGGAAAATTGAGTTCAGATAATACTGGGGTTTACTGAGTGTAGGTGGATATTTACAGGTATGTCCCCCATAAGCCCTTTTATCCACCTAGCTTTTATTAGCAGTAAAGATAAAATTTTTTCTTCTATCTTTCATTTCTTTGTTACATCTCTTAGTTTTTTTAATAACCTAAGTGGAGAATAGAGGTTTGTGGTACCTACAGATATTCACATTGGGTGGATGGACCAAAAAACTCAATAAATGAGACACAGAGAGAAAATAATGTTTGGAGAAAAATACCTGAGGAGTGATTGTGTTGGTGTGTCAGGTCTTCGGACTTTGGTCTTTGGTGGGTGGGCCAAACATTTTGATCTCGATGGTGGTGGAGACAGGTGCTAGACTAGGAAGATTTTTAAAGTTGTGTAATTGTCTTTTAACTGCAGAATCTTAGCCAGTGATCTTTAGCAGTCCATAGGCTATTTTGACCTTGATGGATGACTGAAGTTTTAGATGACTTTGTCCAAGGAAGATGGCTGTATCTTTAGAGGCATACCAGAGTGTGGGGATGCTCAGGTCTCAATAAAATCCCTGGGCTTCATAATTGGTCCTAGAAGACACAGCTACTCTAATAAATTTGGGCCACTCTGGCCTCAGTGAAATGGAGATGACTCAAATGAGATAATATCAGAGTTCCTTCTGCCTCAGCTTGGCTTTGAACTACATTTAGCTTACACAGGCAGGCAGTGGAGTACTCAACAAAGGTATAAGCTTAGCAACAGCAAGAGCATCAGCAGGCTTGGAAGGGGCCTTATGGTCAAGGCATACTATACAGGAAAAGTTTTCCTAAGCAGCACAGAAGAAAACATAGACATATGTGACTCAATCACTGGGGTAAGAATCTTTCTATAATAAATACAGGCCTTGCTGTTTTAAACTCCAAGGCAGCCAGCGAGTTCTGAGTGTACAAAAATGCACTAATGAAGTTATAGCTTTAAGTGTTCAGGCCAGGCCTAGGTAGGCGATGAATGACAATTCCATTAAAACTGAAAATGCCTAAGCTCATTAAAGTGGCATATTATATAATTGCAAAGATCTTGTTCTCATTTTAGCACTGAAGTACCAGAAACATAGGGCTCAAAAGAGAAAATCAAATTACAAATGGTATGCATATCTAGACCCTTACCCAAACCATTCCCTATCCTGAAAAATGATTAATAGATAAAGCAAAAATTAGGCATGAATTGAGGATTTATCTCAACCAAGTTGAAATATACTTGCTATGGATTTTGGACAACTGGAAAAAAGGGACAATATCTGAGTGACACAAAAGCAATAAAGCATTTGTTTTCTTTGTCCCCCATCTATCATGCTTTATTCAGATATCATTGAGTCTAAGCTATGGTATTTGTCAGTGATAAATAGAGGCTCTTGGACCATGATATTTTCTGGATAGCTGTTTTAAGAGTTGGACATTGGTTTCTAAATTCAGTGGATATAAATCCAATGCTTTGATACTCCTGAGTGTATCAGCATTTCACTTTTAGGGATTATTAAAAAATGATACTCATAAAAGCAGGTATTATATTAATATAACCATCAGGAATACCATTCCATGGAGAAAGAGCTCAGGTGGTAGTTGCTAAAGCAACCCCCGCCTTCCCACACACACCTAACCTATGTATTGACAATCTGGTACTCCTGCTAGCTAAAGCTGAAAAGAATAAAAAGTTAAAAATAATTAATTTTAGACTTTAAATTTTAACTCAACACAATTTGAGTTCAAACTTCAATAACTTCAGACTTACATTCTTGAACTTAAAGTGCAATGGGAAATAATCTTTCAACTTTAATTTCTGCTTGAGAATTTCACAATTAGAGGCAGTTTACATTTCAATTTCGCATATATCTATTTTTGGCATTTTACTGTCTGAGTATCATTGTGTATTGTATTACAGAATCTTAACTTTTCAACATTTTATTTTATGCAGAATTGTTGATAGGCTACATTGGACAATGCAGCTAGATTTAAGTTGGGATTGGAAATAGAGTAAGAAATGACTTTTTAGTGATGTGTAAAGTGACAGTGGAATTCATATAATTAATGTCCTGTCTGGCACTTTTCAGAGCCTTCTGGGGACAAAATGTAAGCTACAGAGCAGTGCTTTCAAAAAGGGATTTCCAAGGAGCAGTGGATGTCATTCTTATGTTAATTTTCCACTGATGAAAACCCATGGGCAGCAGTCCAGCAACCCAAGCCTTCTGAACAGGCTGGGTTCTGAAGGGGATGTTTTTCCTACCTCTCCACTTCTGCCATTCTTTTGTCTTATTTCTCAATTGTTCAGAGCTTGAGGAAGAAAGGCTAATGCCATTCATAGTGCAGTCTCAGATTCCAAAATTATTAATCAGATGAGTGTAATTTTTAGAATCAAATCTAATAATGCTGGAATCAAGGATTATTCTTTAAAAATAACAGAAAAATATTTTTAAGACATCACTTTACCAAAATGAGAGGAAAAGGAAATAATCTTTTATATTTTATTTGTAAATTAAAATTAAACAATGATGTTAAAGAAGTACACTGTAGTAGATCTGAGTTGCAGGCATTATGCAACCTTTTACAGACCTCCTGGGCCACTCAGTTGATCTGTTAGAGTCTCATCTATAAAATAGGAATGATAATATGAGACTGGGCTGAGATCAGCATATTGGATAAGATAGTGTTTTTAGGTATATTCAAGCTAAAAACCTACAGCTTGATTATGCATACATTATACCCATTAGTATCCTGAGTACGATTGTCTAAAAGAAATACCAACAGAATAACTAATTTAAAGCTTTCTAAAAGCCACATTAAGTAAGCAAAATAAAGCAGATAAAACTAATTTATTATATATTATTTGACTTGATATATTCAAAGCATTATTTTTAGTATTAAATTCTCATAAAAAGTATAATATTCTAGATTAGTTTTAAAATTGTCTCTAAAATATGACATGTATTTTATATCTCCAGAACATCTCAATTTGGACTAGACACACTTCAGGTGTTCATGGCCATATGTGGCTAATGGCTTCTGTATTAGCACATAGACAGAGAAATTAAGGCAGCTGTGGAAGAAAATTAGTACTAGTTTGATTGGAGCAACATAGGTAATATTCTCAAGTTGATGTCATGGTTTACAACTCCCATAGTCAATCATAAAGTGGCTAAATTATAGAACAGTCCTAAACTTTACATCTGGGTCAAACCTGAGAGGTCATATGATCTAACCCTTTTGATTTTAGTTGCAAGAATTATGCTCAGGAGAAAATATGTGACCCACCAATGTCACACAGGGAATTGGCAAAAGGGCTGAAACCAAAAGCAAGGCCTCTTATTTTCCAGCTATGGGCACACTGCACAAGATGGCTTTGCGGTGTCTCCCTTCTTTGGACCCAGTGAAAGCATTTAACTTACTTCTGAGTGACAAGAAAGAAAAGAAGCAGTAATAGTGTTTCCACTTAATGCTGGCTGCCTTATATGCTGTGTTAGTTCTCACATTGCTTTAAAGAAATACCTGAGACTGAGTAATTTATAAAGAAAAGAGGTTTAATTGGCTCACTGTTCTGCAGGCTCTGTGGGAAGCATGATGCTGGCATCTGCTCTGAATCTGGGGAGGCCTCAGGAAACTTTCAATCATGGTGGAAGAAGAAGGGGAAGCAGGCATAGATTACATGGCCAGAGCAGTAGAAAGAAAGAGAGAGGGGAGGTGTCACACATTTTTAGGCCATCAGAACTCATGAGAACTCACTCACTATGTAGTACCTATATAGGGGACGGTGCTAAATCATTCATGAGAACTGTGTCCCTATGGTCCAGTCACCTCCCACAATCCCCCCTCCTCCATCCATGGGGATCACAATTTGACATGAGATTTGGGCAGGAACACAGAACCAAACCATATCACATGCATTCACATATCTTAGTATTTTGTTCTGTTTTAATGACAAATTACCCTTTTAGAAATGAAAAACACTTGAGATTTTTTTTTTCCTCCTAAAATGGGTCATTCTACAGTGGATATTTTGTAGCAGAGGTAGCCTCACCTCATCCTCCTGGAAGGCAAACATGATAAATACCATACTTGTATAATTGAATAGAAATGCCTTTTCCATGTTCAGGTTTTAAAATCTTCCACCTGCCACCCTCAATATTCCATTACCATCAACTTCTGCATTTCATTTATCCTGCAGATTAGATTTGCAAATAAGAATTGCGGATTCTCTCTTCATTTTAAACCAGGCTTTTCAAGTACTGCATTATGTTCCATTGAGCCAGGTTTCAAGATGTGGAAATAAAACTCAATGAGAGATAGTCATAAACACTGTCTTTAACCTCTAGAATTATAGTGATATGTGGCATTACAGGAATTGGCAACATGACAGAAAGTCGTAAGATGGATTATGAGGTAAAACATCTGATGGAAGGAAAGAGTGTAATGGTGGGTTATATGAATGTAGTAAATGGTACTCCAGAAGAGATATGTGGGAACTCTGAGGTTTAATGCAGACAGGTGCCCTTAGCTGGGTCAACTGGGAAATGAAATCCTCAAATGACCAGAAGCCTCTTTCTAGCAACACCATAGTCTTAATGCGTGACCTTAGGCAAGTCACTTACCTGCACGGTCCTCACTTGCCTAGCTTTAAAATGATGCTCATAATCGATACATAACCAGATAATGCTTACAAAGAGCTCTGAGATTCTTGGATGAAAGGCCCTATTTACATGTAAAGTAGTGTTATCATTCAAATCCCCCCTCTGCTAAATACTCTGTAACAGGTGTATTAAAGGAGAGGAAATGAGGAAGGAGAAAAAGGAAAATTGGCTCCTGAAGGGATAGAAATCTGATTATCTCAAATTGACTCATTCTGAAAAGGGGGAAGAGGAGGGTAGATCTGCTGCATTTAACCATTTCCAAACAGACTTTACTTTGAATAAGCGAATAAACACAATGAGACCAATCTGTACATTTTCCAATCATGAGGGAAAAAAAATCTGAGATAAGTCCACTAAACTTCTGAGCATAATCCCCCTAAAAAACAGTTTCAAATACATGCATGTGGCTTCCATTAATATGTACCACTATAAAAATTTAAAATACATCTATTTCACCACTTATTGACACGTAATTTTATATATATATATATATATATATATATATATATATATATATATGCATACATGCAACTAAATTAACATTGATGTTATTGTCATTTGTTAATTGAACAGTGGTAGGGTCAATGACTATTTTCCCAATTTTATATCTTACTGATTCATAATGACATATATTTTTTCTTTTTAAAAAATTGTTGTGGGTACGTATTGGTGTATATATTTATGGGGTACATGAGATGTTTTGATACAGGCATTCAATGTGAAATAAGCACATCATGGAGAATGAGGCATCCATCCCCTCAAGCATTCATCCTTTGAGTTAAAACAATCCAATTACACCCTGAGTTATTTTAAAATGTACACTGAAGTTATAATCACCTATAATCACCCCATTGGGCTACACAATAGTAGGTCATATTCATTATTTCAAGCTATTTTTTTTGTACCCATTAAAAATCCTCATCTCCCCCCTATCCCCCAACTACCCTTCCCAGCCTCTGGTAACCATTCTTCTACTCTCTATGTCCATAAGTTTAATTCCTTTGATTTTTAGATTACACAAATAAGTGAGAACATGTCACATTTTACTTTCTGGGCCTGGCTTCTTTCACTTAACATAATAATCTCTGGTTCCATCCATGTTATTACAAATGACTGGATCTCATTCTTTTTTATGGCTGAGTAGTGCTCCATTGTGTATGTGTACATGTACCACATTTTCTGTATCCATTCATCTATTAATGGACACGTAGGTTGCTTCCAAATCTTACCTATTGGAAACAGTGCTACAACATAGGACTGCAGATATCTCTTTGATATACTGATTTTCTTTCTTTTGGTGTATACCCAGCAGAGGGATTTCTGGATCATATGGTAGCCCAATTTGTGTGTGTGTGTGTGTGTGTGTGTGTGTGTGTGTGTGTGTGTGTGTGTGTGTTTTGAGGTGGCTCCAAACTGTTATCCACAGTAGCTGTGCTAATTTACATTCCCACAAACAGGGTTCAAGGGTTCCCTTTCCTCTGCATCTTGGCCAGCATTTGTTATCGCCTGTGTTTTGAAAATAAGCTATTTTAACTGTGGTAAAATGATATCTTATTTTAGACTTTATTTTCATTTCTCTAATGATCAATGATCTTGTGCATCTTTTCATAGACCAATTGCCATTTATTTGTCTTCTTTTGAGAAATGTCTATTCAGATCTTTTGTCCGTTTCTGGATTGGATTATTAGATTTTTTCTTATAGAATTGTTTGAGCTCCTTTTGTATTCTAGTTATTAATCCCTTGTCAGATGGGTAGTTTGCAAATGTTTTCACCTGTTTTGTAGATTACCTTTTCACTTTGTTAGTTGTAGCCTTTGTTGTGCAGAGATTTTTAACTTAATGTGATCACATTTGTCCATCTTTGCTTTTGTTGCCTGTACTTGTGAAATATTGCTCAAGAAATGTTTGCCCAGACCGATGTCCTGGAGATCTTCCCCAATGCTTTCTTGTAGTCATTTTGTAGTTTGGGGTTTTAGGTTTAAGTTTTTAATCCATTTTTATTTGGTTTTTGTATATGGTGAGAGATAAGGCTCTAGTTTGTTTCTTCTCCATATAGATATCCAGTTTTCCCAGCACAATTTATTAAAGAGATTGCCTTTTTCTCATGTATGTTCTTGGCTAATTTATTGAAAATGGTTTCGCTGTAGGTATATTGATTTGTTTCTGGGTTCTCTATTCTGTTCCATGGTCTATGTATCTGTTTTTATGTCAGTACCATACTGGTTTGGTTACTACAGTTCTGTAATATAATTTGAAGTCATGTAATGCAATTCATCCAGTTTTGTTCTTTTTGCTTAGGATAGTTTTTGCTATTCTTGGTCTTTTGTAGTTCCATAAAAATCTTACGATTGTATTTTCTATTTCTGTGAAGAATGTCATTGATATTTTGATAGAGATTGCATTGAATCTGTAGAGTGCTTTGTGTAATATGGACATTTTAACAATATTGATTATTCCAAACCATGAACATAGAATATTTTTTCCATTATTTTGCGCCCTCTTCAATTTCTTTCAACCATGGTTTTCAGTTTTATTACAAAGATCTTTCACTTGTTTGGTTGAGTTAATTCTGAGGTATTTAATTTTATGTGTGGCTACTGTAAAAGGGATTACTTTTTTTTCTTCTTTACATTGTTTTCTGTTAGAATATAGAAATGCTACCGATTTTTGTATGTTGACTTTGTATCCTGCAACTTTATTAAATTTGTCTATCAGTTCTAACAGTTTTCTTATGGAGTCTTAAGTTTTTTTTCAAATATAAGATCACACCGTCTGCAAACAAGGATAATTTGACTTCTTCCTTTCCAATTTGGGTGTCTTTATATCTTTGATCATCTCCAGTACTATGTTGAATAACAGTAGTGACATAGGCATCCTTGTCATGTTCCCGATCTTAGAAGAAGGACTTTCAGTTTTTTCCATTCAGTATGATACTAGCTGTGGGTCTGTTGTATATAGCTTTTATTATACTGTGGTATGTTCCTACTATCCCCAGTTTTTTAGCTTTTATTATAAATGGATGATGAATTTTATCAAATGCTTTTCCAACAGCAATTAGAATGACTGTATAGTTTTTATCCTTCATTTCATTGATATAATGTATCAAACGGATTGATTTGTGTATGTTGAACCATGCTTGCATCCCAGGGATAAATCCCACCTGGTCATGATAAATGATCTTTCTAATGTATTTATTGCTGAATTTGGTTTGGTAGTACTTTGTTGAAGATTTTTACATAAATATTCATCAGAGATATTGGTCTGTAGTTATATTCTTTTTGTTGTTGTGTCTTCATCTGGATTAGAGATCAAGGTAATAGTGGCTTTATAGAATGCATTTGGAAGTATGTCCTCATCTTCTAGTTTTTACAATAGTGTGAGAAGAATTGATATTATTTCTTCTTTAAAAGTTTGGTGGAATTCATCAGTGAAGCCATCAGGTCCTGGGCTTTCCTTATTGGGAGACTTTTTAATATGGCTTTAATATTGTTACTTGTTCTTGATCTGTTCAGGTTTTGGATTTCTTCCTGGTTCAGTCTTCATAGGTTGTATGTGTCTAGGCATTTGTTAGTTTTTTTTATATTTTCCAATTTATTCACATGCAGTTGCTCATAGTATCCACTAACAAACCTTTACATTTCTGCAGTGTCAATTGTTTTGTCTCCTTTTTCATTTCTGATTTTATGTATCTGGATCTTCTCTTTTTTTTTTTTTTTTTTTTTTGTCTGTTTAAAGGTTTGTCAATTTTGTGTTACTTTCCAAAAAAACAGATTTTTGTTTTTGTTTTGTTCCATTTCTTCTTCTAATTTTAAAGTTGGTTTGCTCTTGCTTTTTTAGTTCTTTAAGATGCATCATTAGATGCATCCTTGAAGTTTGCCCTCTTTTTTGATGTAGACAGTTATAGCTATAAACTTCCCCTTTATTATTGCTTTTCCTGTATCCCACAGGTTTTGGTATGCTGTGTTTCCAATATCATATGTTTCAAGAAATTTTTCAATTTTCATCTTAATTTCTTCATAGACCCACTGGTCATTCAGGAGCATATTGTTTAATTTACATGTATTTGTATGAATATAATTCAAATTCTCTCATATCCAAAATTCTCTTGTTATCAGTTTCTAGTTTTATTCTATTGTGGTCAGAGGAGATGGCTGATATTATTTCAATGTAATATCATCAATATAATGTACTTCAATATAAGACGCTTTATATTACTTCAATGTTCTTTTCCTCTGTACATGGATCATTCTCAAGGTTACATCATATGTTAGCTCAGAAAACGAGTCCTAAAACCTTATTTGAATTGCTTCTACTTCCTGTTGCCTTGTAAAGAAGGTGCTAAGCTTTTCCTTCATCTTCTGCCATGATTGTAAGTTTTCTGAGGCCTCTCCAGGCATTCTGAACTGTAAGTCAATTAAACCTCTCTTTTTCAATTGAACATTATTTGAATGTTTTAAGACTTGTTTTGTGACCTAACATATGGTATGTCCTTGAGAATGAGCCATGTGCTGAAGAAAAGAATGTGTATTCTGCAGCTGTTGGAAGAAATGTTCTGTAAATATCTATTAGATCTATTTGGTCTATAGTGCAGATTAAGTATGATGTCTCTTTGTTTATATTCTGTCTGAAAGATCTGTTCAATGTTAGAAGTGGGCTGTTGAAGTCTCCAACTATTATTTTATGGGAGTCTGTCCTTTTAGCTCTAATAATATTTGCTTTATATATCTGAGTGATCCAGTTTTTGGTACATATATATTTAAAATTCTTATGTCCTCTTGCTGAATTGACCCTGTAATCATTATATAGTTACCTTATTTGTCTCTTCTTACAGCTTTTGTCTTGAAATCTACTTTGTCTGATATAAATATAGCTACTCCTGCTTTTTTTTGGTTTCCATTGGCATTTTTCATCCTTTTATTGTCAGTCTATGTGTGTCTTTATAAACAAGGTGTTTTTCTCATAGGCAACAGATCAATGAGTCTTGCTTTTTTCATCCATTCAGCCAGTCTAAGACTTTTGACTGGAAAGTGTAGTCCATTTAAACTCAATGTTATTACTGATAAGTAAGGACTTACTCTTCCCACTTTACTATTTGTTTTCTAGTTGTTTTGTGGTTCTCTTCCTTCTTTCTTTTTCTTCCTGTCTTCTTCTATTGAAGGTGTTCTTTTTTTCTGGTGATATAACTTAGTTTCTTGTTTTATATTTTTTGTGCACCCATTGTATGTTTTGTGGTTTGAGGTTATCATGAGGTACGCAAATGCTATCTAATAACTCATTATTTTAACCTGATAATAACTTAACATTGTTTGCATAAACATATGAACAAAAAGAAAACTAATAAAAACCCTATACTTTAACTTTATCCCCCTGCTTTTTAACTTTTGTTATTTCCACTTATTTCTTGTTGTTATATGTATTAAAAAGTTATAGTTATTATTTTTCATTGGTTTATTAGTCTTTCCACTTAGGATAAGAGTTTACATTCCACAGTTATGGTGTCATAATATTTTGTGTTTTTCTGTGTATTTATTATCACCAGTAAATTTTGTACCTTCAAGTGATTACTTATTATTACTATTATTCTTTTCTTTGTGATCAAGGTAAATTTAGTATTTCTTGTAGGACAAGTGATATGGTTTGACTCTGTGTCCCCACCTAAATCTCATCTCAAATTATAACCTCCACATGTTGAAGGAGGAACCTGGTTGGAGGCGATTGAATTATGGGGTGATTTTCCCCATGCTGTTCTCCTGACAGTAGGTGATTTCTCATGATATCTAATAGTTTTATAAGGGGCTCTCCCCTCTTCACTTGGCATTTCTGCCTGCTGCCTTGTGAAAAAGGTGCCTTACTTCTCCTTTGTCTTCTGCCATGATTTTAAGTTTGCTGAGGCCTCTCCAGGCATTCTGAACTGTAAGTCAATTAAATCTCTTTTCTTTATAAACTATCCAGTCCTGGGCAGTTCTTCATAGCAGTATGAAACTAGACTAATACACTAAATTGGCACTGGGAGTGGGGTACGGCTATAAAGACACACCAAAGTGGGGAATCAACCTTGGAACTGGGTAACAGGCAGATATTAGAACAGTTTGGAGGGGTCAGAAGAAGACAGGAAGATATGGGATAGTTTGAAACTTCCTAGAAACTTGCGGAATGATTATTATTATTATACCTTAAGTTCTGGGGTACATGTGCAGAATGTGCAGGTTTGTTACATAGGTATACACATGCCATGGTGGTTTGCTGCACCCATCAACCCATCATCTACATTAGGTATTTCTCCTAATGCTATCCTTCCCCTAGTCCCCAACCCCCTGACAGGCCCTGGTGTGTGATATTCCCCTCCCTGTGTCCATGTGTTCTCATTGTTCGATTCCCCCTTATGAGTGAGAACAGGTGGTGTTTGGTTTTCTGTTCTTGTGTTAGTTTGCTGAGAATTATGGTTTCCAGCTCAATACATGTCCTTGCAAAGGACATGAACTCATCCTTTTGTAAGGCTGCATACTATTCCATGGTGTATGTGTGCCACATTTTCTTTATCCAGTTTATCATTGATGGGCATTTGGGTTGGTTCCAAGTCTTTGCTATTGTGAATAGTGCCACAATAAACATACATGTGCATGTGTCTTCATAGCAGAATGATTTATAATTCTTTGGGTATATACCCAGCAATGGGATTGCTGGGTCAAATGGTATTTCTGGTTCTAGATCCTTGAGGAATCTCCACACTGTCTTCCACAATGGTTGAACTAATTTACACTCCCAGCAACTGTAAAAGTGTTCCATTTCTCCACACCCTCTCCGGCATCTGTTGTTTCCTGAATTTTTAATGATCACCATTCTAACTGGCATGAGATGGTATCTCAATGTGGTTTTGATTTGCATTTCTCTAATGACCAATGATGATGAGCTTTTTTTCCTATGTTTGTTGGCCACATAAATGTCTTCTTTTGAGAAGTGTCTGTTCATATCCTTCACCCACTTTTTGATGGAGTTGTTTGGTTTTTCCTTGTAAATTTGTTTAAGTTCTTTGTAGATTCTGGATATTAGCCCTTGGTCAGATGGATAGATTGCAAAACTTTTCTCCCATTCTATAGGTTGCCTGTTCACTCTGATGATAGTTTCTTTTGCTGTGCAAAGCTCTTTAGCTTAATTAGATCCCATTTGTCAATTTTGGCTTTTGTTGCCATGGCTTTTGGTGTTTCAGTTATGAAGTCTTTGCTCATGCCTATGTTCTGAATGGTATTGCCTCAGTTTTCTTCTAAGTTTTTTATGGTTTCAGGTCTCACGTTGAAGTCTTTCATCTATCTTTAGTTAATTTTTGTATAAGGTGTAAGGCAGGAGTCCAGTTTCAGTTTTCTGCATATGGCTAGCCAGTTTTCCTGACACCATTTATTAAAAGTGAATCCATTCCCCATTGCTTGTTTTTGTCAGGTTTGTCAAAGATAAGACGGTTGTAGATGTGTGGTATTATTTCTGAGTTCTCTATTCTGTTCCATTGATCTATATATCTGTTTTGGTACCATTATCATTCTGTTTTGGTTACTGTAGCCTTGTACTACAGTTTGAAATCAGGAAGCATGATGACTCAAACTTTGTTCTTTTTGCTTAGGATTGTCTTTTCTATGAGGGCTCTTTTTTGGTTCCATATGAAATTTAAAGTAGTTTTTTCCAATCCTGTGAAGAAAGTCACAGATGGGGATAGCATTGAATCAATAAATTACTTTGGGCAGTATGACCATTTTCACAATATTGATTCTTCCTATCCATGAGCATAGTATGTTTTTCCATTTGTTTGTGTCCTCTCTTATTTCCTTGAACAGTGGTTTTTAGTGCTCCTTAAAGAGGTCCTTCACATCCCTTGTAAGTTGTATTACTAGGTATTTAAGTCTCTTTGTAGCAATTGTGAATGGGAGCTCACTGATGATTTGGTTCTCTGTCTGTTATTGGTGTACAGAAATGCTTGTGACTTTTGCACATTGATTTTCTATCCTGAGACTTTGCTGAAGTTGCTTATCAGCTTTAGGAGATTTTGGGCTAAGACGATGGTGTTTTCTAATATATAATCACGTCATCTGTAAACAGATTTGACTTACTGTTTCCCTATGTGAATACTCTTTATTTCTTTCTCTTGACTGATTGTCCTGGCCACAACTTCCAATACTATGTTGAATAGGAGTGCTGAGAGAGGGCATCCTGGTCTTGTGCTGGTTTTCAAAGGGAATGCTTCCAGGTTTTGCCCATTCAGTATGATATTGGCTGTGGATTTGTGATACATAGCTATTATTATTTTGAGAAACGTTCCATGAATACCTAGTTTATTGAGAATTTTTAGCATGAAGGGCAGTTGGATTTTGTCAGAGGTCTTTTCTGCATTTATTGAGATAATCATGTGTTTTTTGTCATTCGTTCTGTTTATGTGATGGATTACATGTATCGGTGTGCATATGTTGAACCAGCCTTGCATCCCTGCAATGAAGCCAACTTGATCATGGTGGATAAGCTTTTTGATGTGATGCTGGATTCAGTTTGCCAGTATTTTGTTGAGGATTTTCACATCAATGTTCATCAGAAATTTTGGCCTGAAATTTTCTTTTGTTGTGTCTCTGCCTGGTTTTGGTATCAGAGTGATGCTGGCCCCATAAAATGAGTGAGGGAGGAGTACCTCTTTTTCTATTGTTTGGAATAGTTTCCAAAGGAATGTTATCAGCTCCTCTTTGTACCTCTGGTAGAATTTGGCTGTGAATTCGTCTGGTCCTGGCCTTTTTTTGGTTGGTAGGCTATTAATTACTGCCTCAATTTCAGTACTTGTTATTGATCTATTCAAGGATTTTACTTCTTCCTTGTTTAGATTTGGGAGGTTGTATGTGTCCAGGAATTTATCCATTTCTTCTAGAATTTTTAGTTTTTTCCATAGAGTTTTTTATAGTACTCTCTGATGGTAGTTTGTATTTCTGTAGGATCAGTGGTGATACCCCTTTATCATTTTGTTATTGCATCTCTTTGATTCTTCTCTCTTTTCTTCATTAGTCTGGCTAGTGGTCTATGTCTTTTGTTGATCTTTTCAAAAAACCAGCTCCTGGATTCATTGATTTTTTTTAAAGGGATTTTTGTGTCTCTATCTCCTTCAGTTCTGCTCTGATCTTAGTTATTTCTTGACTTCTGCCAGCTTTTGAATTTGTTTGCTCTTGCTTCCCTAGTTCTTTTAATTGTGATGGTAGGGTGTCAATTTTAGAGCTTTCCTGCTTTCTCTTGTGGGCATTTAGTGCTATAAATTTCCCTCTAGACACTGCTTTAAATGTGTCCCAGAGATTCTGGTACATTGTGTCTTTGTTCTCATTGGTTTCAAAGAACTTTTTTATTTTCGCCTTCATTTCGTTATTTACCCAGTAGTCATTCAGGAGCAGGTTGTTCAGTTTCCATGTAATCATGCAGTTTTGAGTGAGTTTTTTAATCCTGAGTTCTAATTTGATTGCACTGTGATCTGAGAGACTGTTTCTTATGATTTCCATTCTTTTGCATTTGCTGAGGAGTGTTTTACTTCCAATTATGTGGTCAATTTTAGAATAAGTGTGATGTAGTGCTGAGAAGAATGTATATTCTGCTGATTTGGGGTGGAGAGTTCTGTAGATGTCTATTAGATCCACTTGGTCCAGAGCCGACTTCAAGTCCCGAATATTCTCGCTAATTTTCTGTCTTGTTGATCTAATATTGACAGTGGGGTGTTAACGTCTACCACTATTACTCTGTGGGAGCCTGTGTCTCTTTGTAGGTCTCTAAGAACTTGCTTTATGAATCTGGGTGCTCCCGTATTGGGTAAATAAATATTTAGGATAGTTAGCTCTTCTTGTTGCATTGATTCCTTTACCATTATATAATGCCCTTCTTTGTCTCTTGATCTTTGTTGGTTTAAATTCTGTTTAATCAGCAACTAGCATTGCAACCCGTGCTTTTTTTTTTTTTTTTTTGCCTTCAATTTGCTTGGTAAATATTCCTCTATCCCTTTTTTTTGAGCCTATGTGTGTCTTTGCACATGAGATGGGTCTCCTGAATACAGAACACAGATGGGTCTTGACTTTTTATCCAATTTGCCCATCTGTGTCTTTTACTTGGGGAATTTAGCCCACTTACATTTAAGGGTAATGTTGTTATGTGTGAATTTGATCCTGTTGTTATGATGCTAGCTGGTATTTTGCTCGTTAGTTGATGCAGTTTCTTCATAGTGTCGACGGTCTTTACAATTTGGTATGTTTTTGCAGTGGCTTGTACTGGTTGTTCCTTTCCATGTTTAGTGCTCCCTTCAGGAGCTCTTGTAAAGCAGCCCAGTGGTGACAAAATCTCTTAACATTTGTTTGTTTGTAAAGAATTTTATTTATCCTTCACTTATGAAGCTTAGTTAGGCTGGATATGAAATTCTGGGTTGAAAATTCTTTTAAGAATGTGGAATAATGGCCCCCACTCTCTTCTGGCTTGTAGGGTTTCTGCAGAGAGATCTGCTGTTAGTCTGATGGGCTTGCCTTTGTGGGTGACCTGACTTTTCTCTCTGGCTGCCCTTAACATTTTTTCCTATATTTCACCCTTGGTGAATCTAACGATTATGTGTCTTGGAGTTGCTCTTCTCAAGGAGTATCTTTGTGATGTTCTCCGTATTTCCTGAATTTGAATATTGTCCTGTCTTGCTAGGTTGGGGAAGTTCTCCTGGATAATATCCTGAAGAGTGTTTTCCATCTTGGCCCATTCTCCCCATCACTTTCAGGTACACCAATCAAACATAAATGTGGTCTTTTCACATAGTGTCATGTTTCTTGGAGGCTTAGTTCATTCCTTTTCATTCATTTTTCTCTAATGTTGCCTTCTCACTTTATTTCATTAAGTTGATCTTCAATCTCTGATATCCTTTCTTCTGCTTGATCGATCTGGCTATTGATACTTGTGGATGCTTTATGAAGTTCTTGTGCTGTGATTTTCAGCTTCATCCGGTCATTTATGTTCTTCTCTAAACTGGTTATTCTGGTTAGCAATTCCTCTAACCTTTTTTCAAGGTTCTTAGCTTCCTTGCATTGGGTTAGAACATGCTCCTTTAGAGGGTGCTTGCTTCCCCTTTATCTTCCACCATAATTGTAAGTTTCCTGAGGTCTCCTAAGCCATCCAGAACTATGAGACAATTAAACCTCTTTTGTTTATCAATTACCCAGTCTCTGGTAGTTCTTTATAGCAGTTTGAAAATGGACTAATACAACAGTTCTGGTGGTAATGAAATCCCTCAACTTTGGCTGGTCTCAGAAACTCTTTATTTCTCCTTCATGTTTGAATAATATTTTTACTGGATATACTATTGTGGGGTAAAACTATTTTTTCTTTCTGTACTTTAAATATGTTATGTCACTCTCTTCTGGTCTGCAAGGTTTCCGCTAAATTGTCTGCTGCCAGACATATTAAAGCTCTATTGTATGTCATTTGTTACTTTCTCTTGATGCTTTTAGAATCTTTTCTTCGTCCTTGACCCTTGTGAGTATGATTATTAAATGCCTTGGGGCAGTCTTCTTTGAGGTAAATCTGCTTGGTGTTCTATAAGATTCTTGTACTTGAATATTGATATCTTTCTCTAGGTTTGAGTTCTTCGTTATTTATTTGAATATGCTATCTACAACTATCTTTTACTCTATCTCCTTTTCAAGGCCAATAACTCTGAGAACTTTTCTTTAGAGGCTATTTTCTAGATCCTATAGGCATGCTTCATTGGTTTTTATTCTTTGTTTCTTTTGTCACCTCTGACAGTGTATTTTCAAATAATCTGTTTTGAAGCTCACAAATTGCTCTTTCTGCTTGATCAATTCTGCTATTAAAGAACTCTGATGCATTGTTCAGTATGCCAATTGCATTTTTCAGCTCCAGAATTTCTGCTTGATTCTTATTATTTCAGTATCTTTCTCACATTTATATAATTCTGAATTCCTTCTCTGTGTTATCTTGAATTTCTTTGAATTTCCTCAACACAGCTATTTTCAGTTCTCTGTCTGAAAGTTCACATATCTGTTTCTCCAGGTTTGGTCCTTGGTAACTTATTTAGTTCATTTGGTGAGGTCATGTTTTTCTGGATGGTGTCTATGCTATCTGATGCTCTTTGGTGTCTGGGCGTTGAGGAGTTGGGTATTTACTGTTGTCTTCACTGTTTGGGCTTTTTTGCACCCATTCTTCTTAGGAAGGCTTTCCAGATACTTGAATGGACTTGGGTGTTGTGATCTATGCTGTGTCGGCTTTAGGGGACACCCCCAGCCCAGTAACACTGTGGTTCTTGCAGACTCATAGAGGTACTCCCTTGAAGGTCTTGGACAAGATCTGGGAGAATTTTCTGGATAACCAAGCAGAGACTCCTGTTCTCTTCCCTTACTTTCTCCCAAACAGAGTATCTCTCTCTGTTTTGAGCCACTTAAAGCTGGGAGTGGAGCAACACAAGCACCCCTATGGTCACCACCACTATGAGTGTGTGGGATCAGATCTGAAGCCAGCAAAACACTGGGTCTCACCCAAGGCCTGCTGTTACCATTCCCTGGCTATTGCCTATGTTTTCTCAAGGCCTTGGGGCTCTACAACCAGCAGGTGGCAAAGCCACCCAGATCCGAATCCTTCCCTTAAGAATGGTAAAATCCTCCAGGCTCTCGTTGGGTCCAGGAGTGCCATCCAGGAATCAGAGACTAAAGTCAAAAACTTAGAAATCTACCTGGTGTTCTATTGTACTGAGGCTGAGCTGCCACTCCTTCCCACCCTTCCCTCCCCTTTCCAAAGGCAGAGGAGCTTCGCCCTGTAGCCACCATCACATCAGGCCATGAGGAGTACTGCCAACTGCTGCCAATGTTCCCTTAAGGCCCAAAGCCTCTTAGGTCAGATTGTGGTGAATGCTGCCTGGCCTAAGACTCACCATTTATGGCACTGGGCTCCCCTCTGGCCCTTGGCAGGTCCAGAAATGCCATCCAAGTGTAAAGTCTTAGAATTGGGACTTTACTTGGTGCTCTACTGCTTGGTGCTCTACCCTCCTGTGGCTCTTCTGTCCTCTGAAGCCAGAAAATCTCAGAGGCTCACCCAAGGCCCTCGACATAGTACATGGGTATCCCTGATGGTTATTTAGTGCCCAAGGGCTCTTTAATTACCAAGTGATGAATTCCGCCAGGACTGGGTCTTTTCCTTCAAGCCAGTGGGTTCCCTTCTGGACCCAGGTGTGTCTAGAAATGTCTTCTTGGAGCTAGAGACTGAAACAGGGGTCTCATGACTTGGACCAGTGCCGTATCCAACTGTGGCTTGGCTGGTACCCAAGATGCAAGACAAAGTTCTCTCCACTCTTCCTTCTCCTTTCCTCTAGCAGAAAGAAGGGGCATCTTTTTTTGACTTACAAGCTGTATAGCCTGGAGTTAGGAGATAGGTGATGCCAGCATGCCCCTGGCTGCCTCAGCTGGTGTCACAGTATGTCACGTGCTGCTCCTATCCACTGTCTCTGAGCCCAGCTGAGCCCTAGGACCCGCCCAAGAGTTGTAGTCTTCATGGCCTGGACTGCCTTTTGTTTACCTGGAGACACAGAGCACTCTAGCTTTCAGTGGCAAGGTTTAGACAAACTCAAGATCAGACCACTGAGATTGGTGATTCCCCTCTGGCTAGGACTGGTTTAAATGCTCCTTCCCTGCGCAAACATCAGCTGAGTTTGGTCTTGTTTTCCTTTCTGCTCTAAAGGGAAAACCCTGAGTTCAATGCCTCACAATTGCTGTGTTCTCCCTCCTCAGTGCTCTGAGATGCATTGTGGGGATTGGGGAGGGGGGAGCGGTGTAGGCCATTCAAGACTGTGTTTTCTATCTCTTCAGTGCCTCTTTCAGCAATACAAATATAAAACCAGGTACTATGAGAGCTTACCTAATTTTGGTTCTTAAATGATGGTGTTTTTCTTTGTAGGTAATTGTTAAATTGGTGTCCTTGTGTGGCAGGGAGCAGGGGCAATCAGTGGAGCTTTCTATTCCACCATCTTGCTCTGCCTCCTCTCTGACAGCTTTTAATGAAACTGTCTGTGAAATAAATCACAAATATTTTGGGATGTACTTTAAAAATACCTGAGAATGAAGAGGAAGAGATGGGTAGGGTGCATAAACACTACATTTGGTATCTTAAGACACAGGTTATATTTCAAAGTTTTTCCAGAAAAAAAAAAATGTGCTGGATGAGGTCCAAAGAGCTTGAGACAATGCAATGTCAATATTTTATTTCTAGAATGAAAGGTTTCCACCTAGCATCTTGAGGATCTGTTCTAGGTCTTACATTCTGCCATTACTGGCTTTTTAGCATCCTCATTGTTGTTGTTAATTTATTTCATTCTCTTTTAACCTTTTATGCATATCTGCATATTAGCTTCTGCAATCCTTGTAATAAACCCACAAGGTAAGTGTTACTCCCCCTATTATTGCAGATGTGG
The DNA here is from genome assembly GCF_000001405.40 of Homo sapiens. Classification (NCBI taxonomy): domain Eukaryota; kingdom Metazoa; phylum Chordata; class Mammalia; order Primates; family Hominidae; genus Homo; species Homo sapiens. The sequence goes on from NC_000004.12 coordinate 12,163,464, forward strand.
ATACAAAACAGGAGGGTTATGTTACCTGGCAAGGTCACACTAGAGGAGCAGAGAGAAAAGAATTTTAGCTAGTTCCAAGTGATCCTTACTCATAGAATTATCCCACTGTACTAGACTACCTTTTAAAAACAGTGTTTTTCCACAGATTTCTCTCACTTCTGTGCATACCTATTTGGCACTCTTCACCTTGACACTTTTGTTAACTGTTTTGAAACAATGAAACGTGCATATAAAATTTGGTAGAATGAAAATTACTTCTTTGAGTGGCTTTCTGCAAAGATCTTGGCCTGTCTGAATAATTACTGTTGAAATTAATGTCATCCTGCTAACCCCTAAAAGCACCTGACATTCTATCTTTGTGACTAATTATTTTACAGAAGGTGCTTTAATTGCAGGATGTAGGAGGTACTTTCTATAAATGCTTAACATTACAAGGGGACATGATCTGCAATTTTCAGATCATTAAACTTGCTACCAGGAATAAACATGCTTTGGGGACCAATGACGTTTGTCAAAAGAAGCTCATGTGTTCTGTGGAGGGCAGGAGGCCAGGCCCAGGAAAAGCAGCCTGATCATTGTCCTATGCTGAGTGCTTTTAATTATTTATTAGAAGGAAGATATGGGCAATGCAGGCCTTCTCCAGAGACATGGCTATTCAAAGAAAAGGATATATAAAATCACTGAGTGAACTGAAATCGATGTCTAAAATAAATTCCCCAGGACAATTGCAGGTATTTTGCAACTACCACAAAATAAAAGCTGAGGAAGCTGGTTGAAGTTGGCCTGAGTCAGAATTGCAGTATGGTTATTTATTACTTATTTACTGCCTGTCTTGCCTACACTAACATAAGCTCTGTGAGAAGAAAGACCTTCCTCTCTACTTTGCTCCCAGCCATAACCTGTCATCTAGGGTGAAGTCTGGCACAAAATATGTTATTAAACTAATGAATAAAGTTCACTGGGTGGGAATAACCAAGATCTTGGTTTTAGACCTTGATCCAAAACTCCCTTGGGTAGGGATTATGGTAAGATTTTACGACCCCTAAGGACTATGCAATGACAACACTGACATTTTCAAAATGTGATTTGTGGACTGCAGTGTCCAGACAACAGGGGTAATAATTAAAATGCACCCTGTGTCATTCTACACTAGATTGACATGTTCAGGATATTTGGGGATAGGTTCTTAGAATCTCACCTGTAGATTCTTAAGCAGACCACCACTTCCAAGCCAACCACTGAACTCAAAGGCTGGATTTGTTTGCTCATTAATCTATTTTCTCAGTCAACATATTTTCAATCGCTTATTTAATCCATATTTACTGTTACTGTCTTAGTCCATTTGTTCGTTAGTGTCATTATAAAATAATACCTGAGGCTGGGTGACTTACAAGGAAATCAGGTTTATTTGGCTCATAATTCTGAAGGCTGTACTCGAAGAATGGCACCAGCATCTGCTTCTGGTGAGGGCCTCAGGCTGCTTCCATTCATAGCAGAAGGCAAAGGGAGCTGGTGTATGCAGGATCATATGGCAAGAGAACAAGCCAGAGAGAGATGGGGGAGGTACCAGGCTTTTTTTCCAGTTCTACAGGGAACTAAAAGGAGTGAGAACTCACTCAGTTCCCCACAAAGGAGGGCATTTATCTATTCATTAGGGATCTACCACCATGACCAAAATATTCCCCATTAGGTCCCACCTCCAACACTGGGTATCACATTTCAACATGAGATTTTAAGACACAAACACCCAAAGTATAGCAATTACTATGTGTCAGGGACTCCTCTGAATGCCAGTATATTCAGTCTATACCAAAAGAAGTTTCTGCTTCCATGGAATTTACAATTTTATGAGCAGATATACAACGCACAACACACACAGAAGCTGAATAAGTAAATATCCCAGAGATGGTTACTACTGAGTGTCAACTTGATTGGATTGAAAGATGCAAAGTATTGCTCCTGGGTACGTCTGTGAGGGAGTTTCCAAAGGAGATTAACATTTGAGTCAGTGGACTCGGAAAGGCAGATCCACCCTCAAGCTGGGTGAGCACAACCTAATCAGCTTCCAGTACGGCTAGGATAAAATCAGGCAGAGGAACACGGAAGGACTAGACTGGCTGAGTGTTCCAGCCTCCATCTTTCTCCCATACTGGATGCTTCCTGCCCTCAAACATCAGACTTCAAGTTCTTCAGCTTTTGGACTCTTGGGTTTACCCCATTGATTTGCCAGGGGCTCTCAGGCCTTTGGCCACAGACTGAAGGCTGCAGTGTCACCTTCCCTACTTTTGAGATGTTGGGACTTGGACTGGCTTCCTTGTTCCTCACATTGCACATGGTTTATTGTGGGACTCCACCTTGTGATGGTGTGAGTCATTACTCCCTAATTCCCTTTCATATATACAGCTATCTTTTAGTTCTGTCCCTCCAGAAAACCCTGACTAATACACCTATATAGTGAGAAATCTCTGTCCATGTCTTCTTTCTTTATTCTTGCCAAGCTCTCATTCTAACTCCACCTCAATGTCCACTGGTTTATTTCTTATATAAATTCATTAAGTTTCCTTATACTTATATAAGCAAATCCAAATATAGGTTCTTTTATTTTCATCCTACAGAAAAATGACAGAAAGTATTTTTTTTATTTATATAATTCTGCTCCTTGCTTTTTCTTGCCCTTTTCACTTGCCAGTGTATGTTGTAAATACAGCTGACCCTTGAACAATAGGTGATTGGGAGTGCCAAGCCCTTGTGCAGCTACAAATCTAAATATAACTTTTAACTTGTCAATTATTTAACTACTAATTGCCTACTGTTGACCAAAAGCCTTGCTGATAATAAACAGTTGGTTAACATATACTTTGTATGCTATATATACTACATACTGTATTTGTTCAATTATGTAAGCTAAAGAAAATATTAAGAAAATCAAAGGTACATTTAGAGACAGCAGTAAAGAAAAAGAAAGTCATAAGGAAGAAAAAATATATTTACTATTTATTAAGTGAAAGTGAGTAACCATAAAGGCCTTCATCCTTGTTGCCTTCATGTTGAGTAGGCTAAAGATGAGAAGAAAAAGGTGTTGGTCTTGTTGTCTCGGGGTGGCATAGGTGAATAAAAATTTGTGTCTAAGTGGACTCATACAGTTCAAACCTGTGTTGCTCAAGGGTCAACTGTATTTCCACTATCAGCCCATAAAGAGCTTCCTTGTTCTTTTTCATAGCCTCATGCCATGACATTATTCCATCAATTGTTCACCCAGTCCTCTATTAACAGATCCTCAACCTGCTCACAGCTTTTTTTTCTATTGCCAACAGGGCTACAGTGGATAAACTTGTTCATGCATCATTTCACAAAAGTTCATATGGACAATAAATACCCAAAGTGAATTTCTAGAGTGGCACTGTGTTGTGATTATTATTGATTTTTTTTTTTTTGTTTGAGACAGAGTCTTACTCTGTCACCCAGGCTGGAGTGCAATGGTGTGATCTCAGCTCACTGCAACCTCCACCTCCTGGGTTCAAACGTTTCTCCTACCTCAGGCTCCCGAGTATCTGGGATTACAGGCAGCCACCACCATACCTGGCTAATTTTTGTATTTTTAGTGGAGACAGGGTTTTGCAGTGTCAGCCAGGTTGGTCTCAAACTCCTGACCTCAGGTGATCTGCCTGCCTTGGCCTCCCAAAGTGCTGGGATTACAGGTGTTACCACGCCCAGCCTATTATTGATGTTTTTGATTGATTGTTTATTGGTTTCTTTGACTATTTTAAAAACAGAATCAAGTTGAGAAAGTTATTTACAAAGGGAAGGAACTAGCAAGAAGTGAAGATTCTCTCAGATAAAGAATTTAAAGGGCTAAAAAGAAATCAGCTTCCTGCAAAGGAGGAAATGGTAGGGAGACCAAAGTGATGACCCCAATAAGAAGTAGTAGTCCTTCTACCTTCACAGCAAAAGATCAGCAGAGTTCTCATCCAGTTCTTTTTCCTGCTTCTGTGGGTGTTGATGTTAGGTCACCTCTTAGTAATGAGGGGGTTGTTGCTAGGATGAGAAAGAAGCTTGAGCAAAGTGAAAAATGTTAAACTAGATACTGCGGACAAATTGAATTAGAAGATGAGGGAAACGCAAAAATATTCTTGGCAATGCTGTGGGACCAACTGGAATCGGAAAGTGTGTTGATGCCTACGCAGAGAACATCATCACAAATTCAAGTCCTGAAAATGTAGAATAACAATGGTCAACAGGTTTAAAGTAAGCTTTAGAAAAAAAAGAACACTAGCTCAATCCTCTTTTTTTGTTGTTCTCATTAACTGGAGAAAGCTTGAAACTATGAAAAGAACAGACACTTCCTGCTCCATCCTGGCCCTATCACTTCCAATACAAGTGATATTGGAGAAATCCATTAATTTCCAGAGTTCCAGGATTTTATCAGCTGATTGAGTGTTCTATGTACAAAATTCTAAAATATGTAAAAGACTAAATGAGCTTTGGGCCAAAGGCATACTTCTCTTGGGAAACTAATACAATTTTTATATATTTTATATATAAATATAAGTATATTTAAGTGCTTTTGGAAATGTAATATACTCTACATGCATTACCGTCACTAGCTCAGAATGGTTAATTCTTATCTGAAGTTATAAAATACATACAAGGATTTTCTTATAAATAGTTGGTTCTCCTGAAGGTAAAAATTTTTCTGATTATACCATGAGTCATGATTATCACAGAGTTTGGAAATAAATATGTGTTTATATTTTATGTATGCCTAGGTAGTTAAATAGATAGATGTGATTTATGTTATTTTTAAACAGAATTTTAACTTACAGAAAGAAGAGTACTTGTCTAAGTTATTACTATAGAACTTTTTTTACTTTTAAAGCAAGTACTTGACATCCACTAATCTATTATGTTTTATTATTTTTATTATACTCTGTGAAATAGAACATTTATAGATCTGTAATAGATGTAAATGTGTTTTGCATGAAGCAGTATACTTCATTCTAACAACTAATAATGAAGATGACTGTATTACTTTAAAAGTCTCATTATGACAATTAAATAATACTATATATGCTTATTCACATACATACATCCAGCACCTGGTCTCAAAATTAGCTGATGTTCAATATACCTCACCTCCAACATAAATTGATTCCATCAAATTAGGGAAACAAGCCAGGCATGGTAGCTCACGCCTATAATCCCAGCACTTTGAAAGGCCAAGACAAGAGGATCACTTGAGCCCAGTGGTTCAAGACCAGCCTGGCAATATAGTGGAATTCCATTTCTACAAAAATATTTTTAAAATTTGCCTGTATATTTTAAAAATTTGTGTGCATCTGTAGTCTCAGCTACTCAGGAGACTGAGGTGGGAGGATGGCCTGAGACTGGGTTATCAGGGCTGCAGTGAGCTGTAATCATACCACTGCACTCCAGCCTGGGTAACAGAGTGAAACCCTGTCTAAAAATTAAAAAAAAAAAAAAGAATTAGTGAAACAGTGGAAGAATGAGCAGAGGACATCTGACTTATATCTGGAGTGGAGTAGGAGAGGTAAGTCCACTGAGAAGCATTTATTGCAGAGATGACTTTTTATCTCTGGCCAGCTATACTGATTAGAATGATATGATTGATGAGTAGTTTCAGTCTGTTTTCTAGTTTCCATTAGAATGGGATTAGATAAAATAAATGGAAGTAATATGAAAGAGAAATGCCCTACCAAAGGGTCGCATGAAAGGAGTAGAAAGAAGAGGAAATAAAGAGAGGGAAGTCTGCTCCAACAGGTTTTCCATTTAAGAACAGCAAAATGTGTATGTGTGTGTGTGCATGTGTGTATTTCAAGGCAATTTAATTACTTCTCAAAACCTTACATTAGGCTGTGTAAGAATTTATTGTAGAGGGAATGGTGAATGCAATTTTTTCTCACAAGGTCTGGGTTGGGATTCTGGCAATTAAAGTGAGTTACCTCAAAGGCATGGTCAGCTCCTGAGGTGGAATGTAGTTGATACAAGTCATATACCAGTTTCTGGTGCACACTGAGAAGGCAATTTCAGAAGGTTTGAGTTTTTAAGGAACACAAAAGAGGCAATCACACAAATTCCAAGGAAGATTGAGCGCCACTTTGATGTTTGTGAAGAGCACGCGTCCTCTTACTGTGCTAAATGCAACCAGCAAAGCTCTGAATAAGCAAAAAGTTATCTATTGCCCATAAGGCGGAAGGCTGAAGGCTTCCCATAGCCACTACAGTAAAAAATGTATCAGAAATACCTCTACTTTTTTTAAAAAATAATAATTTCAAAGATAATATAATAGACCCCTCAAATGAATTATAATGGAATTCATTACAAAACCTTAAAAAAAAAAAAAAAAGCAACTCCATGGTTTAAAAGCCTGACAAAAAAAAATCACTGAAGGTTTTCCAAGACAGAGGTCATTTTGGCATTGATATATCTATTGTGGGGAATGTACATATTTCTTGAGTGTAAAAGTATAACTGTGCACCAACCACATACCAGGTTTTGGTAAGAACTGAGCATACAAAAATGAAGATATAACCCAGGCCCCAGAGGGAAAAAAATCATATTATGAGAGACTTACACAGATATAAAAAATGAATAGTAAAACACTCTAGGGTAGTGTAATGGAAATTTGTGCAAGGTCAAGACTCCGAGATGAAGGCAAAGGCATTGGCCAGCAAAAGAATTTCTTGAAAAATCCAATTTTAGAAAGATATACAGATATTTGCTGGAGATAATTGCTGGGCATAAAAATAAAATAATAGAAGTCATGTTTGCCAAAATGAATATTTATGTAACGTTTTACTGTAGTATATGATATAACATACCTGTAATATAACGTAATACAAATTATATATATATATATACATACATATATACACACACACACACACACACACAACACATATTTTTTTTCCAGCATTTGCTGTGATACATCCACTGAGCTAAATGCTTTGTTTTCCAGACGCAATCAGTAGCAGAAAGAAACCAGCATGTTAGATAGCTCAGCGTTTCAGGAACTGTCAGTAGTTCACACTGATGGGTATAATGGATATGTGCACATTTTGCACGGTGCAGGTATAGTGATAGACAAGCCTGCAGAAGGAGGCAGCAGACAGTCTCTGAAGTATATTCTATTACTTGCTAAGGCATTTGGTATTTTCAAGTAAGAGTCTTATCATTGTCCAGAAATATCAACTGCCTAAGCATCTCATGGACAGCTACCAGAAGGGTCAAGGACTTGCTGTCTTTTCCCAAGGTCACATGTTAGGCACATCCATTTTTGTGTGTTGTAGCAGAGGAGGAGTGGAGTTAGGATATGATGTACATCATGGAGTGTATATTTTTATAAACACTTCTGTGTGCATTTGTATAAACACACTTTTTCCACCAAAGTGTGTTAAATTATAAATATACTGGTGGATAATAAAATAATCTCAATGTGGAAGTTATAAAACCCAACCTCTCTATGCCATTTACAGCATCTTCAACATTTAATGACTCCCATTGCCTTGTTAGTGCATTTCCAGCCTTCCAGCCTGAAATTTAAACATTTCAATAGCCTGTCCTCATCTCAATCTTTCAAGTGAATTTTCTCCTGCTAAATTGCTTCTGATGATCCAAGATGTTTTCCTTCTTCAGAATCTTTGCTCAATTGAATTACCAGAATTCTACCAGTGGTTTTGGGAATTTCCAGCTGTGCAGTTTTGCATAAATGTTAAAGCCACTTTGCAATTCACCTTCCTCTGCTGCAATACAGGGAGAATAACCCCTGTTCCACCCACCTCACAGAAGTGCCTTTCTATCATTCACCCTAATAATATTTACTGTCCAATTATTATGGGTCAGGCACTGATCTAGGCACTGAAGATACAGTAGTGAAAAAAGGAGATGAAGGGTTCCACCTTGGTGGGACCTATAATTTAGTGGGTTGGGACAGAAAATAAAAATTACAAATGAATTAATTTTTATGCTACTAGAAGGGAACAAATGCTGTGAATTATGGTAAATTATGGAAAGAGAGAAAGGAATGACAAGAAATTATCATAAGTATCAAATTGATGCCATAATAAAAATATATTACGAGTGATACATAAATGTTATAACAAAAACTGCTACACTGGTATTCAGAGAGTGATCAAATGTGTCAGACACTACACTAAATGCCTTAGGCGTATTATTTTATTTAATTCTCCTAAGAAACTTAGGCATTATTGCTATTATCTCCGTTTTACGAATAAGAAAATAAAGATATAGAAAGGCATAGCATTGTAATAGTTGTCAAACATATACACGTATACTATTTATGCTAGTTGAAGAGAAAGTTAGTCGTACCCTCCAAAACTCACACACACAACCCCTACATGCACACATAAACAAATGTTAGCTACTCAAACAGGTGGATATGTTCCTCTGAGGCCCAATGACCAGTTTCAAGGATACTTGATATCATTTCATCTCATTTGGAAATTACTCATTGTCCTGATGTTTTTTAGGCTAGAGAATTTTAAGTAGAGTAAAATGTGGTTTAAAATAACACTAGAGAATAGGTGAGAGCAAACCAGAACTGTAGGAATCCTCTTTTCTGACAATGATTTTGCCCCTTGACAAGTAGGGGAGCTGAGATCTGCCCTCACCCTTCTGGTCCATTCTAGCTCAAGCCATCTATGGTTTTGTAGTTGCATTTTTCACGTGGTAAGTCAACTCTAAAGACAGAACAGGAGTGAAAAACGTGAGAATAGTGGACAAGAAAAGAGTGTGTGAAGAAATAAGTTGTATCAAATTATAACATTGGTCAAAAATGGCAGTACTCATAATCCTGAAGGTAAGCTGTATTGAGGCTGCTGAAGACCTAGAGTAGCTTTTATCCAGTTCTGTTATGGCTGGAGAACTTTTCTTACAATTTGAAAGGACATTTACAGAAGGACTTTTCCTGGAGAAGCCTGGCTAGTCACCAGAGATATCTGCCAATGACGCTGGTAATTTGCAAATGTCATCCATTTCCAGGGAATAGTTCTATAAACTAAGAAAGTTAGTAATACATCCAAAAATGAATGTGCTTCTGAGGAATAAGCCATGCTAATTCCTTACACAAGAAGGTTGCATATAAACCAGAATACCAAATTGCTAAATTAGTATTTATATTGAGAAATGTAATGTATCAAGTGGATTACATAACCAAGTTTGTTGGTCAGTGCATTTGTTCTGCATGGCAAATCTATTCCAGAAATAAAATCATAATCAGAAAGTTATTTTAAAACGAGCATGGAGAAAAAGCAGTGCCAGTCCAATCAGAACTGTGGATGCTACTGAGATATGATGGTTTACTGTGCACATTTCTACCACATGGTCAGATTTGCAGACATGGAGAGACAATTTATTTTTATAAAATATAATCTCTCTCTCCTGGACAGTGCTAAAGACAAATGGGAACATTTGTTTCAGTGGCTTTTCCTTCTGTGAGATTTCTGTTTTTACAGCCAATATTACCTCTCAGTCTTGGGGTGCTGTGTGTGTTTTATGAATGTTAATACAACTTCATTATTTATAAATTATATAGGCTTTTAGAAATGTACATTTTACAAATGCAGACTTTGATAGATATTCTAAGTGCATAGACAATAATAACAGCAAATATTATACTTCCTATATGTTAGGTATAGTTTAATTTGTTTACATTCATTCATTCATTTGTAAAAGTCTTATTGTTTTAGTAAGCTTAGAAGTAGTCACCAGCTTGGTCCCTTTTGCATATGATGAAACTGATGCTAGAACAGTTAGTAAATTGCTCAAATCTCCCTCTTCTTTAGAGATGGTGACTGCCTTTGAACCCACACTGTCTTGCACTAAATCTCTAAAATAGACTAATTGTCTTTTCTCTATGGCCGAGGTCATGCTGTGTTTTATTGTGTTGACATAATTCAAACAAGAACAATGAAGTAGGGGAACTTATTTTAAGTTAAAAATAGGAGAAGATACTAGAATTATTTGTTTCATTAATACATATTATTTATGATTAGTATCACTCACCTTCCCTAGCAAGTAAGAAGACCATCTCTCTCCTAGTCTAGTTACTCTTACGTAAACTTCACTCCTACGAAATGATCATTTCAGCCTCCTGCAAAGCCAAGACAGATTACATTCAATATTACTTCCTCCTCCTGTCAGCTCCTAACTTCCTTAGAGACTACAGTCAGGTGGGTGGTAGGTAACCTATCTTCTTTGAAATCTTCTCATGATTGGCGGCTCAGGATGATGCCACGGGTGAAACTTATCAGATTCCCAGAATAGCTGCCTTTAGGAGAAATTGTTTTTCCCTCTTTTCTGGATACTCATGCCTTCCTTCCATTTTATAATCAGAGCACAGCACTTCTACTGCATTAATGCCATAAATAGCTAATTGTTTTGCCCTATCATAGTTTCCTTGAGAAATGAATTAACACAACCTCATAGGCCTCATCAGTCTGAGAACTCTGTTTTATTAATAGAATGCACAGAATAAAGCCTTTGTATCTTTTTCAAAAATCTAACTATAAAATATACCAGTATAAATTGCAAAATTTTACACTTGGAACAATAATTTGGGCAAATTTTCCTTTCTTTACAAATTAAGAAAACGAGGTCCCAGGGCAGAGTGATTGTCCAAAATTGCTCAGTAAAAAGAGACAGAATCAGAACTATAAATCAGGGGTATTAAGTGTTTGTCTAAAACTACTGAATGGACACTAATATTTTGCAAAACGTTTGTTTTGTTTAGTTTTTTTTTTTTTCTAGTTTTTATTGAGAAGCTTTCTTGAGGGTATATCAAAATCCTTGACATCTGTTCATGGACTATGTGCAAAAAATACAGTACATCATACTTCTTAAGGAATTGAATAAAACATTACTTATCAATTTACTGAATTCTGAAATTTATACTTTGAGAGACATGAGATGTGTTGGTCACAATCTCTGATTTCCCCAGAAAACTCAAGTTCTTTCATTTCACAATGGCCTTGATGAGAAAAAATTTTCTGAAATGGATTAGGAACACAATGAAACCCCCAAGAACAGAGTGGAGCTTCTATACTAGAGTGGAGCTTAGAGTTGGAAGCGGTGAAGAAGATCCAAGCGGTTTTCTGACTTCCGTGGTTCATTTATATTCACTTCCAGGAAGCTGATAAGGTGAGTGGTAACAGGAGTTCTGGAGATAAATTCCAATTAGTATATGTTCCTTTCCTTGTAAAGGCAAATGTGTGCAAGGCAAGATAGAGAGAAAAAAGAAATCAAGTGTGAGTATCTTGGACCATTTGTGCCCTGTGTCCATTCTGTGTAGATTTCCTCCCAGCCTCCAAGCCTCTTAGAAAGTCGTCTATAGCTGATAAGTTCTGTCTCCAAAGTCCTCCCTTTACACTTCTCCTTTCAGTCAGACTTGGCTCCACCTACTCTACTGAACCTCCATTTGCTGAGGCCTGTAATAATTCTCACGCTCTTCATCAAAGAACCCTCACTGCTACCCGTTTAACTTGGGCTCTCAGCAATTTTAAGCATGTGGCAGGCATTTTCTCATAAACTCTGACTTTCTCTAGCTTTAAAACCACATGGTTTTCTTTCTATTCTTACCAACTCCTCCTTGGTCTTTACTGGTTCATTCTTCATTTCTAATGAGATGAGGGACTTTCTTGTAGCTAATATTAAACCGATTTATTACGCTATAATCTTTTCTGGAAAATAATCTTACCCTGAGTGTTATAGTTTGTATATTTTTGTTGTGATATTTCCAAATGTACACCCTATATTAAGTCTTTCCATCTTAGCTTTATAAATCCAAGCTCTTACGTGGATTATGCATTTGGATAACTGACAGGCATTTCAAAGCCAACACGTGAATAACTGAATTCAGTATATTCTCCCCAAATGGTATTCATTCTGTAGTGTTTTCGATCTCAGAACATTGGGTCATCTTTTCATGGGCTCCGTCAGAGAAGCAAGCTAGGTGCCATTCTGCATAGCTCCTGCTCTCTGACTTCCTTAAATTCCTGTAGTTTTCTAAATATTTCTCAAGACTTCATTTTTCACGATTACAATCTAAGTCCATTTCTGAACACACTGCTGTCTTCCAAGTTCGTTTGCTCTTGAAATGTCTTCTCTTTCTCATGTCTAAGAAACCTTTCTTCATTAAATTTGTGACTCCTTTCAAATATTACCTCATTGAGAAATCATTTTTTGACATTCTAGCTGGTTAGATGACTCTGCTTCTATAGTTTTATAGAACTATGCATACCAGATGGAAAGACATACAAACATGTCACAGTGTAAAGTTGCATGGGTTTTTTTTTTTTTGCTATTATCTAAATGTCTTATCTTTATATTATAAACAACAATCATGTTTGTATCTCCAATGCCAACTATAGTGACTGGCAAACAGCAGATGCTTAATACTTGTTGAAGAATGAAGGAATGAATTTCTGAGTGAAAGCAAGGTGATTTAATGCAGATATGGGGTAGACATCATCAAGAAAGTAAGAAACTTTGCTTACTGGCAAGCAATATCTATAGAAGGATGCTTGTGGTCAGGCATGGTGTTTCATGCCTGTAATCCCAGCACTTTGAGAGGCCAAGGTGGATGGATCACAAGGTCAGGAGATCGAGACATTCCTGGCCAACATGGTGAAATCCCGTCTCTACTAAAAATACAAAAATTAGATGGGAGCAGTGATGCACGCTTGTAATCCCAGCTACTTGGAAGGCTGAGTCAGGAGACTCGCTTGAACCCAGGAGGCAGAGGTTGCAGCGAGCCTAGATCGCACCACTGCACCGGAGCAGCCTGGTGACAGAGCAAAATTCTGTCAAAAAAAAAAAAAAAAAGAAGGATGCTTGTTTGCTCATTTATTTTGATTTGATTTGACTTGTTTTACTTTGTAATTTTAATAAGATATTTTAGGGCAAATAGAATGAGTTATAGAAAAAAGTAATACCAAGAAAGGGGAGAGGATAATTGCTGAATCAGGGACCCAAAGAAATTTTAAAAAGGATTTGAATCAATGATGAAATGAATGAGAATATTCATGAAAAATATAATGCAAAAAAAACCTCAGATCCAGCTCAAACTTTACCTCTTCCATTTAGATGGAATCTTTGTCATAGCCTTTATTATTTTTGTCTCAACTCATCAAATTTGTTTACTTGCACGTCCATCCTAACTATTGAAGTAAGAGATATTTTAGAGGGAAAAGGTGTTTTGTTCACCTTGGTGCTTTTAGAACAATGTCTGGCATCTTAAAGGACGACCAATATTAACATTGAATAAGTGATAAGTAATGAAGGTGTCAGAGGCGTTTGAACCAGAGTGACTCCATTTTGAGTGAGGGCTAGGAAAATGAGGCTGAGACTTTCTGGGCTGCATTCCCAGGAAATTAGGCATTCCTAGACTCTAGATATTTATGGTTAAGGGAACAAATTAATAATTTGACTAAAACAGACCCAGACTTGGGAGTGTCCAGATATCCCAATATCTGGAGAACAAAGGCTTTCCTAATTTTGCTTTAAAAATAATATCAGTTCTTGCAAAATACAGTAATTAAGAAAAATAATCTTGTAACACAAACTTTTGTAGCAGAGCACATCTCCCCAAGATCTATTTTTATCATATACACACACACAAGCATTGTACTTAGGGCAGACACGTTCCTCCTCTTACCTTCAGGAACATGCTATTCTGTCTATGGAGTAGTCATCCTTTCACCACTTTACTTTCTTAATCAACTTGCTTTTACTTTGTATTGCAGACTTGCCCTGAATTCTTTCTTGAGAGAGATCCAAGAACCCTCTCTTGGGGTCTGGATCAGGACCCCTTTCTAGGAACAAAGGGGCTGGTGTTCATTATCATATTAAGGCTGGAATGCAATAAGATTCAAAGTTGCATTGTATATTTAATGAATAGGTAAATTTGTTTCTAGAAATGTTAATCTTGAACTAAAATTTAATGAACACTTACTTGTCCCAAGTACTTATATGACTAACCACCTAAAAGTGTGCATGTACGTTAAACACTTTATTTCATAGCTGTACAAGTCCAGTCTCACACTGCTATAAGAATGCAACCTGAGACTGGGTAATTTATGAAGAAGGTTTAATTAACTCACAGTTCCACCTGGCTGGAGAGGCCACAGAAAATTTACAACCATGGTGGAAGGCAAAGGGGAGGCAAGGCTTGTCTTACGTGGCAGTAGGAGAGAGAGAGAGAATACAAGGGAAATTACCACTTTTAAACCATCAGATCTCATGAGAACACCCTCAGTATCATTAGAACATCATGGAGGAAACCACCACCATGATCCAATTGCTTCCCACCAGGTCCCTCCCTCAACACGTGGGGATTATAATTCCAGATGAGATTTGGGTGGGAACATAGAGCCAAACCATATCAGTAGCAGCTTAGATAGATCAAACAATTTAGGCTGGCTTTGATTCTGGGTATTTCTTGATCCCATGCTCTTCTCATTCTGTATGGATTCATTATTCCAGATAGGTTATGCTTATGCTGTGGTAACCAACGTAACACATACAAGTTTGTTTTCCACCCATTATAAGTCCAGTGTGGATTGAGCCACCCTCTATGGCAGCTATGTCTAGAGAGATGACTCACATAGGCATGCTACTTCCATCTTGTGATCCCATCCTGGCACACAGCCTCTGGTCAGCCAATCCCCAAAGTGAGGAAAGGAGAAGATAGAATGGTGAGGGGTTTTTCCCTGCCTCATCCCAGATTGGTGCAGATCACTTCCACTCACATTGTGTTATCCAAAAATGTCCTATAACTCTACCTAACCACAAAGAGTTGGTTCAGTTTATTTTGTGTGACTAGATGGAAATGACAACAAATAAAACTTGGTAAATCCACATCACATCCAATATAATACTAAGGTAAGAGACTTGGCTTTATGGGAATAGAGACACTGTTGGTAGGCCAGGCAGTTAATTAAACAAATATTTACTGCATCCCTACTGTGTGTCAGGCTGTTTCATTTGCTGAATATACAGCAGTGAATGAAACATAGAAGTTCCCCCACAGTCATGGAATTTCCACTCAAGAAGGAGAAGCAAACAAACAAACACAAACCCCAAAATGCAATCATTTTAAAAATTAAAGAAGTACAGGTAGGCGTTTGTACAGAATTATCATAGCATTATGTGACAGAAAGTTTCTCAGTAGCTAATTTAGTGTAGGTAGTCGGCAAACATCTTTGTGAGGAGGTGATATGTAAACAGAAATCTGAATGACGTGAAGGAGCAGCTACATAACGTTAGGAAGAGAGACATTCTAGACTGAGCAGAGTTATCTCAAAGACTGCTACAGAAATAAACTCTTGGTGGCAGCAAAACAGAAAGTAGGTCATAGTGGATAGAGCAGAATGAGAGAGAGAAGAATCATAGTATTAAATGTTGTTGTAGGAATAGGGAGAGATCAGCACTTGCATATTTTGAAGGAAAAACAAAGAGTTTTGAGTACAATGAGAAACCACTGGAGAATAGTAAGCAGTAGAGTGACACAATATGATTTATGTTGATTACTGGCACAGGTCAGTCTTCCAAACCTTATACATTCCTGAACCCTGAAAATAGAAGCTGAAGTGATAGACATCTGTGTGAGAGCCAAAGGCAATATCATAGTTGAAAGGTGCTAAGCCCCACTTGCTTTCAATGGGACTGTCAGAGAGAAATGTGCTGTTACTGAAAAATGCCAGAGTTGGCAAAATCTAGATTTGCATGAAAAGCTAAAAAAAAAAAAAAAAAGAAAAGAAAAAGAAAAAGAAAAAAACTGCAGGTGTGTAAAACGCTACTCTAGAATTAGGAAACTCAAGTGACTTAAGCTGGCAATTAAACTGGTGGCACACAGCCAGCCACCCGTCTGGTATACGGAGTCTCAGAATGCTTTTACACGGATGCTAGATTGAGTTGAAGTAAGCCAAGGTCGTGTGGATGCTTGATGCTGTGCTGGCCCAGTGTTGGAACAAGATGGAGAGCGGAAGGAGAAGTGGGAGGCATTGTGGGGAGACATGTTTATGATGTGCAGAAATGGCCACATTAGCCAGCAGAGGCGGATGGAAAATTCTTCTTCAGTTGAGCTGTCAGAACTGCTTCAGGAAAATAGCTATCACTGCAGATTATTTCATATGTAGATGTATGCAATGATGTAACAAGGAAAGTGGTTTTAGGGCATATATTTCAAACCTTGTTTTCTAGAGCCTTCAGGTTCAAAGAAAATACCTTCAGGAGCCACCACCATAGTCCTGGAGAGTAAGGAAAAGAAGTGGCATTCTAATACACAGGGGCTCTGTTCTAATTCATCCAAGGCTGTTCTTTATATTTTATGTATCAATAACATTGGAGTTGTAGGTGAACATTTATTTGGAAGAAATATTCCTACTGAAAAAGGCATATTTTCAACGTAACAAGAGCACAGTATTGAGAGGAATAAGGTTGAAACCATATAAATCACATACATCTGGTAGTATTTTATGCTACTTTATTTAATTCTCACATTTTATAGATGGCTACTCTAAACCTCAATTGACATTTGGGAAAATTGACAATGAAGAAGTTTAAATTCCTTGTTCAAGGTCACATAGCCATTAAATGGTAAAGATGAGACTCAAACTTGGATTTCTGATCCCAAGGGCCACACTTTCTTTTACTGTTACCCCATTAAGTCATGCATGATGGACCCACATCCACCATTCACTGACTTGTGATCTCTAGTAGGTACCATCTTCCCAGAATCTCATTTTTATCATTTATTAAAGAACAACAGAGCACTTAATGAAACCAACCTCATTATTTTGAGGTTCAAGTGATATAATATGCTTATGAGAAGAAACTAGCATGAGCTAAGTGCTAGACACTTTTACAGACGTTGGCTTATGTAATCATCCCAGAAATACAATGAGGGGACTGATGATGTCCTACTTTACAGATAAGGATATCAAGTCTAAGCCTAAACAGCCAGAAGTAGAGGGGGCTGCTGACATTTCAATGTGAGTCTCAGTCCATTCATGTGAACAGGGCTTCACCTAACTTTTATGGTGACTGAGTGAGAAATAAAAAAGGAAACCGATTTATCATACATTTAAAGAGTTGAACATCATAAACTAATAAACACATATATAATAAATTAATATATAACTTCTATATTGATAAATATACCTTCAAGCCAAAAACGTGTATAGCTTTTAGGTGACTGAAAGTCAAAGTCAGTCCAAAAATATCAAAAAAGACCAAATTTATTATTATTGTGCATGTCTGGGTGTTGTACTTATAAAAGAATGATGATTGGATGATTAGAGACAATATACACTTAATACATTACTATGTATTTACTTCATGATTTACCTTCATTTCATCAGCATTGCCATATTTTATAGTCAATATTTTTATATATATATTTTATATTTATAACTGTCCAGCTGACCAAAAATAAAATGTAAATGTACTCAGAGATTAGTAAATGTTAATATTTTATCCAAAATGTAAATTTCAACATATGTAAAATATAAACACTAGAATTATTCTATATCTATTCTCAATCACGATATTTTTCTTCACAAATATTCAAAACTGACAAACATCATAAAAGCTAAAATGCAAGTTTAATAATAAATATTAATTTCATATCAAAATTATTTTAGATCATCTTAAAATGCATTTTTATTAAATATTCTTATAAAATATAACTTCCTAATTTTCACATTCAATGTGTATCTACTCGCCAAATTAAGGAATCAATATCACACTTCATGCATGCTATGTCTAGACCAACAAGTATATAAATGTAAGAGTCATATGAATTATTGTAAATTACAGAATGTTCCTTAGTTGCTATGTATGACTACCATACGCAAGTAGCATGCTAATTAGTCAGTATGTCCATAGCAGGAATTGGAACATTACTCAAAGAGAAGATGGACACTAGCTCAACTGAAAAAAATGACACTTAAGTTATGTAAGAATATATTGTGTTCATGTTGAAGATTTGATCTGTGCGATTATTAATTTTATGTGTAAATCCCTGGACCCTTGAGTGTGCCAGGAAATGCCTAGATATCTGCTTAAATATTATTTCTGGTTATGTCTATACAGGGGTTTTCAGAAGAAACTGGCATTTGAATCACTGAACAGAGAAAGCAGATGGCCCTCCTTAATTTGAGTGGGCCTCATCCAATTCATCTAGGGCCTGCACAGAGCAAAAAGGTAGAGGAGGGTTGAATTTGCACTTGGTTTGACTGTTTGAGCCTTGATGCCCATCTTCTCCTGCCCTTGAACTGGAACTTACTACCAGCATGCCTGGTTCTTAGGGCTTGGACTGGTATTTACACCACAACCTTCCCTGAGTCTCCAGCTTGCAGACAGCAAGCAGATCATACAACTCCTTAGGCTCCACAGTCGTGTGAGATAAGTCCTTATACTATCTCTTTCTGTAAAAAAAAAAAAATATATATATATATATATATATATATATATACACACACACACATTTATATATATGTGCATATATATATATATATATATATATCCTATTTGTTCTGTTTCCTTGCAGAACCCTAATATAATTCATTAATTAATTTGTTCTCTTTTACCTGTACACTTCTGAAGCTGTATAACAGAAGAGGCATAACGCATGCAACTTTGACTTTTTGATGCAGTGTGTTATTTTTTGTTTGTTTATTTTTTACATATCTTGGGCCATTTGCTTGTTTTTGAGTATGCAAATGTAGAGATCCTCTCCTTGGGCTTTGCAGTGTTAATCCGAAGAGTGAATGTTTGACAATTAGAGTTACTGCTCCCACCAGGCCGGCCCTGAAAGCTGGACTGCAGGTGATTGAGGTGCTTACATATTATTGTTTGTGTGTATGTGTTTACCTATTTTTGTGATATGACTATATCTAAATCATGAATGTCCATCTAAACTCAAGTCAACAATTTTTTTTCTGTAAAGGGCCTAATAGTACATATATATGTATGTATGTGTGTATATATATATATATTTTGCTGTTGTAGTGCAATATTAGCCATAGACAGCATGTAGACAAATGAAGTAAGCATGGCCTTATTTGAATCATAGAAGGCCAAACTTGGCCCATGGGCTGTAATTCATTGACCTCTGCACTGAAGCATGGGATCCTAAAAGGAATTCTCCTTCCTAAGTTTAAGCAGGTTACTGCATGCAGATGTGCCTTGTAAACAAAACAGAAATTCATAAGCTGTTTAATTAAATAACTGGTTGGAATGATCTTTATTTTATTATTTTGCTGTTTGAGAACCGTGCTCAGTGACAAACTCAATTCACATAATCACCTTTTATCAGATAGCCAACTTGGTCAAGATTTGAACATATTGGGCTTATCATTAACAGTAAATTTCTATGAATATTAGGTGACCAGATATTCTCAAACTCTGCTACGGTGGTCTTCATTTCTTTCTTTTTGCTTGGTTTATCTATATTTGGGGTCAGAAGAACTACTGACTTTGGGCTGGCCCAGTTATCTTAGAACATTGATAACGACAATATCAAAACTATGACCAATAATAACAGTTCAACAACAAATGACCAAGAAGTACTAACAGTTAGCCAGACATTATTCTAACAGCTTTCCCTATGATAACTCATGTACTGAGACAAACTGCAGTTCTTAATTTTTAGTGAATATTTATAATCCATATATTCTTAAGAGCCAGCTCTGTGGAATAAGGGGCCTCATGGAGACTAAAGACCAGGTTCCAATTTATCCATTTGATACTTCTCAGCTACATAGACTCTCTGATTCCTTGCCTGTATCAAAGGGAAAAACTTTAATGCTGTACTGAGTAAAAAATGAGGAAAGGTTTGTAAAACACAGTTTTAGAAAAGTGTGAGTGGGGGCCAGTTGTGGTGGCTCACACCTGTAATCCCAGCACTTTGGGATGCTGAGTAGGGGGGATCACTTGAGGTCACGACTTCGAGACCAGTCTGTCCAGCATGGTGAAACCTCATCTCTACTAAAAATACAAAAATTAGCCAGGAGTAGTGGCTCATTCCTGTAATACCAGATACTCGGGAGGCTGAGGCAGGAGAATCACTTAAATGTGGTGGCAAGGTGGAGGTTGCAGATCACACAACTGCACACTGGGCGACAGAGAAGAGAGAAAAGAAAGAAACAAAAAGAAAGAAAAGAAAGGAAAAGAAAAGAAAGAAAAAGGAAAGAAAGGAAGGAAAAGAAAGAAAAAGAAAAGAAAGAAGGAGGAAAGAAGGGAAGGAAAGAAGGGAAGGAAGGAAGGAAGGAAGGAAGGACGTCATGACTGTTATCCCAGTTCCAATACTTTAGGAGGCTGAGGCAGGTGGATCACTTGAACACAGGAGTTCAAGACCAGCCTTGGCAACACAGAGAGGCCGTCCCTCTACAAAAAAAAAAAAATTTAAATTAGCCTGGTGCAGTGGCATGTAGCTTTGGCCTCAGCTACTCTGGAGGCTGAGGTGGGAGAATCACTTGAGCCCAGGCTGTTGAGCCCACAGTGAACCATGATTGCACCACTGTATTCCAGGCTGGGTAACAGAGTGAGACCTTGTCTCAAAAAAAAAGAAGATAAGTGTGATTACTATAAAAATATTTTAACTAAGATATATTTTCACTCTTTATCAGTATTACAGAAGAATAGGAACTGTAGCTTAAATAATTTTATAAATGTGTCTTTCTTCTTTTCTGCCTTCTCTTGCACTGAAAATAAAAAAAAAGGAACCCATTCACAATCCTCATGATCACAGAACCCAATCTATCTTACTTAAGCCTTCAACTGTAGACTTCGAGCTTTTATTTTTAAGCACGATTTGTTTCCTCTATTGTTTTTAAAATGTGGACTTTCAAGAGGTTTGGAATAAGCTTGCAACACATACTAACACTGGAAGTTAATACATGTTCAGTCCGTTCCAGGTTTGGAAACAATCCTTGCTGATTTGAAGGTAATATATGGTGCTTGTCACTGGAAATGCGTGTGCAGGTGCACTGTCTGCCGACAACGTGAAATTGGCATTAGCATTAATCACAGATTTGAATTTGGCAAATGCTGGATTTCACAGCAAATATAATCCAGTATTACTGCAAAAGGCAATTATAAAACTTCTCACTTTTTCTGAGCAACAAATTAGAATGTAATTAGAATCACGTGTGAGGGGTGTGTGTGCGCGCGTGCACGCACACACATGCGCACGAGTTTGTTTGTGTGCATGTGTGTAGGGGTGTGTGTGTGTGTAAGTTTAATGTCTCCTTTTTTCTCTTTATGGCACTCCAAACAAGCAATACCAGCAATTTAAATTTAGAGTTTTCTTTATATTATACAGATTCAGGATACACTCTTCATTCTTACATAGATTGCCTAAATATTCACAATACTAGAACCTCCTTACATGCATAAACAATGTTCATTTCTCCATATCTGTAGCTAACTCAGTCTCCACAAGAAGGATAATATCTTCCTATAATTAATACTTACTAGGATTTTTTTCTATAAACTCATAAAGTGAGCGCTGTGTAATTTTATAAACATTACTCTTGACATTGTGCTCCAAATAAATGCAATAATATCATACTTTTTATAACTCATCAGATTCCTCAAAAATGGCCATTAGAAAATACATCAAATGGCAAGATCAGAGGTTTATTCAAAATTCATCCATTCAAAAAGTACTTATTAAACATTTATTTTATGGAGAGCTGTAAGAAGCATAGCAGTGAATAAACAGAATGTCTGCATCTATGCAAGTCACAATCAATTTAAGTGTTCTAAAGATGTCTATAATAAAAGCTTAAGTACAGAAATCAAAATAGGGAAGCTGAATTTACAGAACTTTCTATGTGCTAGAAATAATTTGAAGTATTTTATGTACTTATGATTTTATTCCTTAAAACAACTGTATTGTGATTTTACAAAGATGAAACATGTACACAGAAGTCAAGTCACTTCTACATCTAATGTGCAAATGACTGAACCATATTTCTAGTCTAGGTGGTTTAACTAGAGTCCACACTATTTTGGCTACATTATATTGCATCACTCTTGGCTTTACTTGCTACAAAAATGTATGCCAGGCCTTCAGTCAGTTACATGACTTGAATATCTGTTTTTTATTATTGTTATTTTTCATGACTGAACTTTGAGTATGAGATGGCCGTGGAAAGTTCTAGGTGCTATTGCCTATCAGGTACACGAGATCTGGATATTCTTCTATTTTATTAATATAATATAGAACCATATGCTTTAGCAATCAACTGGGTGAAAGGCAAGGACTTCATCCTCATAAAAACTAATGAACAATAATTTCTGCCAAAAAACAGTTACCACACATTTTTCTGAGGGTCATCAGCATGTGGGATAGCAGGTCCAGAATTTCTCTCAGAAATCAGTTCTGGGTCAACTCTAAGACAGGAACAATTATTTGAACGAAGAATTGTCCAAGCAAGTATGGATAAGGCCAGCAGGGTAGTAAAAAACAAATAACAACTGTGCAGCAGAAAGCAAATACCTAATTTGAAGTTACAGAATATTCTAGTCACCTTAAAAAAGAATCTTATTGCAAAATGTGCTGAAAGAGAACAGACGAGTTCACTCATTTCTGAAGCTGAAAAAAATTTGCCACAAATTGTGATTTTTATCAGAGTGGATGATCATTAGCTATGCATCCTGAATGCATTTTAATAACAAGTCTGTTGGATACATTCCTCATTTAGGACAAAATTATGTCTTTGACATGTATAACATACTCTGACAGTAGACATGATTTCATCTGCTCCTGATATTTTTTGGGGGGAGGAAAAGAAGATTATCTGATTGTTGGATGTGGGCTAAGTACTTAGAAGCAACTGGTTCAGTTCCACTTTGACAGGGTTGGGAGGGAAGAATCCAGAAGCCAAAACAAAAACAAAAATCTGATTTTTTTTCTGGCTTCAGACATGAAATAAGCTTAAGTGGACAGGTTCTGCCCCTGCAAAGTGGTAAGCAGTTGAGAGCTGGAGATTTCTTGAGTTCATTCCATTTCATTACCACCATATCACTGAATGACAAACAGACAGAATGCTTATTTGGTAGCAGATTGTTGCCTCACATGTAAGCCAAAATCTCCAAACCAAGTTTAATTTGGTAATAAAGCTATGTGTGCGTAGTCTCCATCTGCTGCAGGGCAGGTTCTTAGTGTCGGTCAGGAAATAATTCAAGTGTGAGCCAGTGGTGGAAAAAAGCAGCTTTATTGACACTGCAGAGTTACAGCTCAGCAGCTGCTCCTTGAGTAACACAGCTAGCCTATAGGCAATGAGCTCAGAATAGCAGCTTACCAGATGTTGGCTAGCTGTATTTCTACCCACTTTTAATTGCATGCAAATTAAAGGGAAGGCTATTCAGAAATTTCTAGAAAATGGGCAGCTACTTGTTGATGTTGTCTTGGAAAGGGACAGTAACTTCCAGGTGTTGCCATGGCATTTGGAAACCATCATGGCGCTGGTGGGAGTGTCTGATGAAGATGGGCAGCGAGGGCAACGAGACATTGCTTTTCATGCCACTTGCTGGTTCTGTCTAGTTTCCTGTCTTGTCCAGGAAACAAGTGCTGCCCGTCACCTATCTCATAACTTCTTGACTCTTGTGTCTTTCAGTTACTTTCAATCTTTAGGTCAAAACAGGGTTATTATTTAATGAATTCCTTAGAATCCAATAAGAACTTCAGTCCTTTAAGTGGTTACATTTTAACAATTGCTAACCATGTGGCTCACACCAACTTTTTCACTAAGTAAGAAGAGTAAATAAAGCTTCACATTATTTATGTTAAAATTAATTTGAATAAATTGGGGAACTATTAATATACAATGAGGATTTGTGGGGTCAGGATCTAAGAAAGAAACAAGCTCATTTCAGTCTGCTTTTCCAATTGAGTTATTGCTGATTTCTAAAGAGAACTGAGAACTATTGAGGGTCTCACAGTCCGGAAAAAAAAAAAAAAAAAAAAAAAAAGAATTTAGAGTTTACCAGAGAGAGCCCTGGTAAAAACTGAGATCTGATTTGAGACCCAGAAGAGATAGTCTCAAAGTAATAAAACACCAGAAACATGTTAACATTCATAGAAATCGAAGCCCACCTCTGAATGATCTCAATTTCTGATATGACAAATATGATCAAAGACTACTCATGCCTTTTCTGCTTTACCTCCCCCTTCCCACCTTCCCAGCCTCTGGTAACCACCATTCTATTTCCTCCTTCCATGAGATCAACTGTTTTAGATCCTACATATGAGTGAGAGCATGCAATATTTGTCTTTCTGTGCCTGACTTGTTTCACTTAACATAATGTCCTCCAGTTATATCCATATTGCTGCAAATGACAAGATTTCATTCTCTTTGCGGCTGAATAGTATTCTATTCTGAATATATACCATGTTTTTAAAAAAGACCTCTACCCTTATTCTCCACTTCCAGATGAGAGCTAATTTAAATTGCCTCACTTTTTTTTTAAAGTGAGCTTTTCTGAAAAGAAATCTCAATGTTTCTGGTAAAAGAGATAATTATGCAGAGATTATTAAAACAACCAAACATACAAAGATGAAATGTGTAATTGAAAACAAATAGGAGCAAGACACAGGAAATCTGTTACCATGCACGTAGTTTAAAATATCAATGATTAATATACTAAAGTAATTAATAAAATAAATTGAGATGATTGACAGCCAACAATGAATAAATTAATCTTGCTAAATATATTAACCCACAAAATAAAATACTCAATATATTTCTATATATCACCAATTAACCCTTAAGAAAATGAAATGTAGAGAACTTTTAACAAGAAAGAAAAGACTTATAAAGTGAGCTATAATAAAATTAGAAACTTCCAATTTTTAAAATATGCCATAAGGAGGCAAAAAAGCAAGCCACACAGGGGAAATGATTTTCCAGCAATAGTAACTGGCATAGTTCTTGTTTGCAGAATATATGAAGATTTCTACAAATAACCTGTAAAGTGTAAACCATAATATAAGGATGCATAAAAAAACTTGATAAGTCACTTTACAAAAGAGAATATCCAAATAAAGCATTAAAAAATTTCTCAACCTCAGTAATCATAAATGCGATGCAAATTAAAACTATAATAAAATAATTCATACCACTACACAGTACCTGAATTGCCAAAATTAAAAATACTGTAAATGGTATTTTCAAGAATGTGGACCACGTAGAATTATCATATACTACAAGAGAATATTGTTATAACTATTTTTGAAAAGTGCTTGTCAGAATTTACTAAAGATAAACCTACATACCGGCACACAATATAATATAGCATTCAACCCAGCAACTACATTCCTAAGCATATACCCAACAGGGATGCTTACACACGTGTGCCGAAAAATACAAGATGGTTCATAATACTATTAAAAATAACCAAAACTGGGAAACACCCCAAAAATTCAACAATTGAGTAGATAAATTCACTACTATTTGTAAGGATAGTATACACCCATGAAAGTAAGTGAATTTCAAATAAACAATATAAATACTGCAAATACAATTTAGAGAAAAGATGCAATAGATACCATATTTTATGTTTCTATTTCTATAAACTTGAGAAATGGGTAAAAGCAATTTATGGTGTGAGAAACCAGAATAGTGGTTACACTTAGGAAAGAGAATGTGGTTATCTGGGGAAGAGAATAAGGAAAATAATTGAGAAGGAGTAAGAGGGAGTTTCTGGATGTTTCTGGACAAGTTTGCTGACTTGTACGATACTACGTGAATGTCCTTCTCTTTTGGTAATTTTTACAGCTACACACTTATGATTTGCAGATGTCTCCCAGTGCTTGTTATTTCTCAGTAGAAATACTTCCAAAGGTTGAAAAAAGCTTTAATGTTCAATTTAACAATATAAAAAACCATTCTTTATACATCTTTGACATTTTACCATTATTTTCTAGGTTACCCGAA
The DNA here is from genome assembly GCF_000001405.40 of Homo sapiens. Lineage (NCBI taxonomy): Eukaryota > Metazoa > Chordata > Mammalia > Primates > Hominidae > Homo > Homo sapiens. The sequence continues at coordinate 12,189,446 of NC_000004.12, forward strand.
ATCTTATTTTGCAGATACCCACTCTGAAAAGTATATGGAGATTTGCATTAAACTCATCCAGCTTAATCTCAACCAAATCATTGTCCGTGGAATTTGCAGTCAAGGAAGGATTGATACAGTGGCAGTTTCATGTTGGCTCTGAATGCTTTTGCCACAAGATGGTAAAGAGTATGACAATGTTAAATAATGGAATATTTAACTATAGATTATATAGAGGCAAATCAAATTGCAAAGAAGAATATCCATCTTTTGGAGAAAATTTACAAATGTTCTGGAAGATGACATATTTCTTAATGAATTTTTCAAACATAAAGTCTGTTATGTGAAGCCATTACTAGAGCCTTTTCTTTCAATGTCCAGTGTTCTGTAAAATTATGAACAGTTGAATTTGTTTTAAAAGTCTTCTTCAAATGCCCATATAGCGGATCCCTGCTACAGTGCCCAGATCTTGCACTTTCGGCCAGAGATACTCATTTCCTCACCTGCCAGGAGTATGCACTGAGTTACTCCTTGGAAATTGCCTATTGAAAAGGGAAGCTACTTTGCTCATAGTTCTATCTCACCACCTGTAGTAACCTGCCCAAAATAATGGGAGCAAAAGAAAAATTGCACCAGGCACGTAAAACAGCAAGAACGACTTTATCAAAGACTATTGCGATAGGGCAGAAAGATTAAGCTGAACTCCACTAAAAGGAGAGAGGAAATTTTTTAAGTACTAGGGAAGATAGTGAAAAAATGCTAGAGGATATCAGAGAGGAGGTTGATCACTGTGATTAAGTCATCTGTGTTTACTAGTTGGTGCTTATTAAAGTTAGGCTCCTCCCCTTCACAAAGACTGGGGGATACAAGTACTATCTTTCTTGATGATTGCATTTCTAAAGGAAGGCTCTCTGGTCCTTGGGAAAGACATTCCTGGGTGTAAAACTGGCAAGAGTTTGGGTAAAGATATATATCTCAAAGGAACATTAGAAGAGTTTATACTTACAAGATTCCCAAAGCAAATGCTCTAAGAAAAGGGAGGGCAGGTACCTATAGTCAGGAAGAAACCTGTCTCAAGTTTAGTCAAGCTGAGGGGAATGCTAAAGCCATCTTGGTGAGTAGTATGTGTAAGACTGGCCCCTGCTCCAACGTGGGATATCTCTGAAGGGCCATCTCTGTTCCAGAGACTCCATGGAATCAGATGTGTCCCCTGTTAAACTGCATATCAACCCAACATTTTCCTCTGCCTACTGCTGCTTCCCAATCTCTCATTTCTTGACAGGGGTAGCTCCTCAGAACACTCCTAAACAGTCTGCCTTGAGGAAAATTGCCTGAAAGCCTGCTTCCCAGGGAACCTCCCTGAACACAAAGCATCCACACCATTTTCACCAGAACAATTCCATTCATTGTTATAAAGTTAGATGTATAACACCTTATCAGAAAAGACCTCTACCCTTATTCTCTACTTCCAGATGAGAGCTAATTTAAATTGCCTTCTTCATTTCCACAACACTCCTGAACTTGGAACATTATTTCCTAATGCTTTTGTTTCTTTCTTTCCCACTAGCATAAACCTTTTGAATGAAATAAAGATACCATATTGATTTATCATTGTATTTTGCTAGTAATAATAACTGGATTTGGAATAATTATATTGCAAAGACAAATTAAACATTTTCTTAAAGTGAGTCATAATTCCACTAACCGTCTTCACCATGCAGCTAACTAGATACTTTTGTTTTAATTATGATTGAAAAGGTAAAATGTTCGTGTATTTTAAAGGATTTTTATTTGGTATCCAGTAAGGGTCATATCAGGAATAAATATGTGTTAGTATTTTAACTTAGGTGATGGGATAGCTGCCTTTAAAACAGCTGAATTTAAAAAAATATTCTACTTCAAAATTTTCATTACTTTTTAATCTTTTGAAACTAAGGCAGATCTTTTTAGCTCTCTTAAATATTCTTCAAACTGAATATTAAATTATTTTAAAATTAACAATCTGATTCTAATTTATTGTTAAATGTTAAAAAAGAAGAATATTTCAGAGATCCTCAAGTTGCATGTATAGAATTTGAATATTCTAATATGACTCTTTTTTTACCTTATATGTTTAGCTAAAAATAAAATTATCTCTGAAATAACTATGACAAAGGCAAGAAGTATGAAAAATAGATTAGATCATTTTTTCATGTCTTACAGAAAGTACTTAGCAGAAAAGGTATTTTAGACTGAATATTGTTATTCCTCCAAAACACATATGTTAAAATCCTAATTCCCATTGTGATGGTTTCAGGAGATACACCCTTTAAGGATAATTAGCTCATGAGGGTAAAATCTCATGACTGGGATTAGTGCCTTTTTCAAAGGACCCCCCAAAACTCTCTTGCTCTGTTTTTCACCACGAGGATGAAGATGCAAGGAAGATGGTTTCCTGCAACCGGGAAGACAGCCCTCACCAAAATATGACCACATTGGCACTCTGATCTCAGATTTCCACCTTCCAGAAATAAAATAGATACCCTTCTGTTTCTTATAAGCCACCCAGTCTATAATATTTTATTATGGCAGCACAAACTAAGATAGAAGGGTTAACTACAATAAAATAAAAAAGATTGATTCACCAAGTAAAAGCATCACAGGAGTAAATTATATTGATCAACGAATCAATTAATAACCTAAAAAATGTATGATGTATACAATTAAGGAAGTGATGATGTTAATTATGTTATTCCATGTTACGCTGCACTGGACACCTTGAACGTATTTACTTCATTTATATGGAAGTAAATATATATTTAATTCTCTATAAGTAAATATATTATTTCTTCTAAACAGAATATGAGTTAACTCAAATTCATATATTCGTTAAGTTTGAAGGTGTGAAACTAGTACTGAAACAACATTAAAATAATTATAACTAATATAATATTGTTATAAACAGAATGTTTATAACTAAATAATAACAAAATCACTAAGTATCTAACTTGTGGGATGCTATTAAAGTACTACTTAGAGTGAAATTTGTAGCCCTAATGGAAATTTTGAAAAACAGAAAATGTTAAAAATTAATGATCTAAGAAATACATTTAAAACATTAGTAGCAAAATAAGTAAAACAAACACAAATAATATGAGAAATGACATAATAAGACATTCACAAGAATACATAGAAAAGAAACAATGAAGAGAATCTGCAACTCAATAGCAGGTATTTTGAAAATACACATCTATGAAGACTTTGGTCAGCAAAAGAGAAAATGACACCACAAACAAATATAAGGAAGATATTGAGATTTATATTAATATATAATTTTAAAAACAAGAATAATTTCACAGTGCTTTGGAAAATTTAAATCAAAGGGACAATTGCCTAGAAAAAAAAAACTCACCAAACCTGGCTCAAAAATGAGTAAAAAACTAAAACACATCAGACTAATATGCATTTACAAACTAACATCAATAAATAAATAATTACTCATCTAACAAAATCAAAAGCATGTTTGAAAAATACTAATACTGATAGATGTTCATTAGGACACCTAAATATTAGTGAATATGCATATAGAAATCAACAAAAATACCTATGACATAAACTAAGGAGCAGACCAAAGCAAAAAATAAAAATAAATAAGGAGCTAGACTATGACAGAAATGACAAATGAAACATATCCCATTATATTACATAAATGGAACTAGTACTAGAACCACAGATTTTCCCACTAGATCTCTTTTAATTCCACACCAAAGTCAATTTACACTTCATTAAAAACTTAAATGTAAAGGAAAAATGGCAAAAGTCTTATGTAAAACATATTTTTATAATCTTTCATAAAGAATAATTTTTTACATAAACCATAAAAAATTATAACAAAAAAGATTAATATATTGGATCATATTAAGTTTTTTAAATGTTACAGAACAAAAGACAGCATAAACACCATAAAAAGTCATACCTCACATCTGGCATGTAACCAAAGGTTGAATCTAATATATTAAAAAAAAAATATATATATATATATAAATCAATTAAAGACAAATATCACAATAGAAAAATAGAAACTATAGAAAACTTATAGAGAATAAAATATAAATGGCCAAAAAAGAAAACAAAAACATCAAAACATGCTTATTCTCACTAAAAATTGTCAATATCCAAATTTGAAATAAATAAGATTTCATCTCTCACTGCTATAGTCAAAAAATTAAAATGCTAATATTTTAACCAAATATTTTGGCAAGGCTATAGAGAAATGGTGAGAGTATTATTGATAGTAATAAAAATTAGAACTTTTATGACTTTGGAAAGCTATTGATAAATGGCTGGTATCTTGTAGAATTATATAATCTCTAGATGAGTAGTATTTGTCTTGATTTGTGTGCTGGAAAAAACACTCACATATATGAAAAAGTAAGGATTGTTGCATTGAAGCAGTGATTTTAACAGCCAAAGTGGAATAAACTGTTTCTCAGTAAGAGAATAATTCAGTCAATCATGGTTTATTTATATAATCATATTCTATATAGCAGTTAAGATAAATTATATTCATATCTATTAATATGAATACATCTCAAAATCATAAAAGAGTGAATAAAGCAGTATGATTCCACTTATGTAAATTTTAAAGCACACAAAAACAACAAATATATTTATTTATTTTTTTGCTTCAGTTGGGTTCCCTGGAAGCAGACTCTGAGATGGAAGGTTGTGTGCAGAATATTCTGAGGGGAATTCCTTAGGAAAGTGTCGTATTCTCTTCTTGTGTTGCTAAAACGGAATGCCTGAGACTGGGTAATTTATAAAGAGAAGAGGTTTAATTGGCTCATCGTTCTGCAGGCTGTGCAGGAAACATGGCACTGGCACCTGCTCCTGGTGAGGCCTCAGGAAACTTTCAATCATGATGGAAGGCAAAGCAGGAACTGGTGTATCGCAGGCCCAGAGCAGAAGCAAGGGGTTGGGAAGTGCCACACTCTTTTAAACAACCTGATTTTACATGAACTCAGAGACAGAGCTTACTCATTACCATGAGGAGGACACCAAGCTATTCATGCAAAATTATTTGCCTCCATGGCCCAAATACCTCCCACCTCCCACAGGCTCTACCCTGAACATTGGAGATTACATTTCTACATGAGAGTTGTAGGGGACAAACTTCCAAACCATATCATTCTACCCCTGACTTCCCAAATCTCATGTCCTTCTCAGATTGGGAAATAAAATCATCTGTTCCCAATAATCCCTAAAAGACTTAACTTGTTCCAGCATCACCTCAATCAAAAGTCCAAAGTTGAATGTCTCATCTAAGACTTGAGGCATATTCTTTCCACCTATGAATCTGTAAGATCAAAACCAAGTTGTACGTTTCCCAGATACAATGGTAGTACAGGCATTGGGTAAACATTTCCATTCCAAAAGTAAGAAACTGACCAAAAGAATTAGGCGACAGACCCCACGTAATTCTGAAATCCAGCAAGACAAGCAGTAAATATTAAAGCTCCAAAATAATCTCCTTTGACATTATACGACACATTCTGGGCATACTGACTTTCTAGGCAGGTTTCCAAAGCCTGTGGAAGCTTTACACTTGTGGCTTTTTCATGCTGAAGTTGCAAGCTGCTGGTGGCTCTACCGTCCTGGTGTCTGGAGAGTCTCAGTTCTGTTCCCCCAGCTCCACTAGACAGTGCGATGGAAGGGACTCCATGTGAGGACTCCAACCCCACATTTCCCCTTGGCATTGCCCTAGTAGAGTCTCTCTGCTGGGGCTCTGCCCTAATGGCAGGCTTCTGCCTGGGCACCCAGGCTGTCTGATATATCCTCTGAAATCTAGGTGGAAGCTGCAAAGCTTCTTTCACTCTGCCATTCTGTGCACCTGCAGGCTTAACACCACATAGAAATCACTGAAGCTTATGGCTTGTGACATCTGGAGTGGTGTTCCAAGCTGTATCTGGGCCCCTTTGAGCTGAGGCTGAAGCCAGAGGGGCCAGGATGCAGGAGGCATCCTGAGACAGAGTAGGAAAGCAGCCCCTTGAGCCTGGCCCCTGAAACCTTTCAATCTTCCTCATTCTCCAAGCCTGTAATAGGAACGGCTACCTTAAATATACATCACACACTGGGGCCTGTTGTGGGGCGGGGGGGGAAGGGGGAGGGATAGCATTAGGAGATATACCTAATGTTAAATAATGAGTTAATGGGTGCAGCACACCAACATGGCACATGTATACATATGTAACTAACCTGCACGTTGTGCACATGTACCCTAAAACTTAAAGTATAATAAAAAATATATATATATTTCTAAAATGGCTTCAAGGTCTTTTTGCCATTGCCTTGGATATTAGCACCTGGCTCCGTTTTAGTCATGCTAATCACTGTAGCAAGTTGTTGCTCCACAGCCCACTCATATTTCTTTCCTGAAAATGTCTTTGCCTTTACTCCCACATGGCCAGGCTGCAATTTGTTTTTCAAATTTTTATACTCCCCTCCCCTTTTAAATATAAGTTCCAATTTTAAGTCATTTGTTTTCTCCCATATCTAATCATAGGCTGTTAGAAGCAGCCAGACCACATCTCGAATTCTCTGCTGTTTGAAAATTTCTTCCACTACATACCCTAAATCATCACTCTTTAGTTCAGCTTTCTACTAAGCCCTAGGATGTGGACGCAACACAACCAAGTTCTTTGACAGGGTGTAACATGGGTGACCTTTATTCCAGTTCCCAATAAGTTCCTCATTTACATCTGAGACATCATCAGCCTGGCCTTCCCTGTCCATATTTCTATCAGCATTTTGGTCACAACCACTTAACCAGCCTCTAAGAAGTTCCAAACCTCCCCCTGTTTTCCTGTCGTCTTCTGAGCCCCAAACTCTTCCAACCTCTGCCCATTATCCAGTTCCAAAGCTGTTTCTATATTTTCAGGTATCATTATAGCAATGCCTCCCTGCTCATTGCCAATTTTCTGTTTTAGTCCACTTTTTTGTTGCTATAAGGAAATACCTGAGGCTACATAATTTATAAAGAAAAGAGGTTTAATTGGCTTACGGTTATGCAGGCTGTACATGACAACTGGTACATAAGCATGACACTGGCATCTTCTCAGCTTCTGGTGAGGACTCAGGAAGTTTTCAACCATGAGAGAGGACAAAGGGATGCTGGTATATCACACGAAAAGAGCAGCAGCAAGGGGGGATGCAGTGCCATGCCCTTTTAAACAACCTTATTTCACATGAACTCAGAGCAAGAACTCACTTATTACCACAAGGAGGGCACCAAGCCATTCATGAGGAATCTGCCCCTGTGACTCAAACATCACCCACCAGGCCCCACCTCCAGCACTGGAGATTACATTTCAACATGAGATTTTTAGGGGATATACATCTAAACCATTTCAGGAAGTGTAGCCATGAGAAAGTAAGATAACAGATTTAGGCAAAGCTAGATGCTCAGTTGCAATATGGTTGTAACTGAGATTACATTTTAATCTACAGGGATGATATAGTTTGGCTGTGTCCACAACCAAATCTCATCTTGAAGTGTAGCTCCCAGAATTCCCAGATGCTGTGGGAGGGACCTGGTGGGAGGTAATTGCATAATGGGGGTGGGTCTTTCCCATGCTGTTCTTGTGATAGTGAATAAGTCTCAGAGATCTGATGGTTTTACAAAGGGGAGTTTCTCTACACAAGCTCTCTCTTGACTGCAGCCATGTAAGACGTGACTTTGCTCCTCATTTGCCTTCTGCCATGATTATGAGGACTCCCCAGCCATGTGGAACTGTGAGTCAATTAAACTTTTTTCCTTTATAAATTACCCAGTCTTGGGTATGTCTTATTAGCAGCACGAGAACAGACTAATACAAGGGATTTTTGAAGTTGGAATTCAGCATTACTCCACATTAGAGAAAAGGGACTTGACATAACATGTCTCTGAATTAGCAAACCTCTGGCCAAATTAGGGAAAGCCAATGCGCAATATCTGAAGGCAATGCTCAGCCAAGGACACAGCTATGAGCCATCACAAGCTGATATCAACAACTGATACATGCAAGAGACCTAAAGAGAGTCCCTTAATGGAGTACCACCATATATACATTACCACCATTTATATCTATGCAACAGAAGTACTACACATGCATATACATGTCAATGATGGACACTGACTTCAGCATAGTGGGTTCCTATGAGGAAGGAGGCACAGGAAGGGGAAAAATGATAAGTGGGCCTTTAGATAGATTTGCAATATTTTATTTAAAAAATAATATTGAAGTAAATAGAAAAAATATTTTATCTTACTGATGTGCCTTTGACAACTACATTACTTCAATATTTATGTATATTTGAAGTGTGGCTTTTTTCAATCTAGTCCAATTGCAGAGGGGTAAAATGATACTTAAAATTTTTTTCACGGTCAAAATTGATGAAATATCTATTTTTAATTAAGGAATCAGAAGATTTGGTCACAATATTATGATTGTTTTAAAATTAAAATTAAAATCCTGGTTGGTGAGCTACCTTTAAAAGTTGTTTAAACATATTTTCTAAAATTTATTTGAACTTAAGAGATACATAAATACACAAACACATATACATTTATGCATTAATCTATCTACAATCTTTATCAAGGCCACAACTTGAGTTTCAACATGCTGGATAACACCATCCAGTAAATGGATTAGTTGTGAGGTTAGTTGTGAAATCTTAGGAGCTTTGGGAATCCAACTCCAGCTCACCAGAGCTGCAAAGTTGGAACCACTGCTCAATGGATCTGGAAGTAAGAACATAAAACCAAAGAACATCAATCTCAAGGCTTAAAATACAGTGAAATTTGCCTTGTAAGTTTTGGATTTGTTTCAGCTTTGTCACCTTTTCCTTCTTTCCTATTTTTCCTTTTGGAAATTGCAGTACTTATTCTAAGCCTTCCCTGCAATTTTATTTTGTAAGAATATTGCTTCTGTGGTTTCAGAATTTCGCAGATTGAGAGAAATTTTGGCTCAGGGTAAATTGTATTTCCAGTCTCACCTATATATCATCTGATTTTGATGATGTTTAGATAAGGCTTTAGATTTCAGAGTTGGTGATGGAATGAATTAATACTTTTGGGACAGTTGGACAGAATGAACATATTTTGCATGTGAGAAGGACATGAATTTTGGAGGTTCAGGTATAAAATACTATTGACTCAGTTTTGTCCTTCCCCAAATTTATATGTTGAAGACCTCACCCTCCTATGTGATGGTATTTAGAGATGGGATCTTTGGAAGTTAATTAAGGTTAGATAAAATAATGAGGGTGGAAATCTCATAATAGGATTAGTGAAGAAGAAACGAAAATGAAAAAGAGGAAGAAGAAGAAGAAGAGGAAGAGAAAGAAAGAGAGAGAGAGAGGAGGGAGAGAGGAGGAGGGAGGGAGGGAGGGAATGATCTCATTCCTTGTTGTGAGGACACAGTGAGAAAGGGTCAATCTATAAGCCATAAAGTGAAATCTCACCCAAAATTGACCATGCTGACCTTGTACTTCCAGTATCCAGAATTATGAGCTAATTAATTTCTGTTGTTTAAGTCACCTATCTATAGCATTTTGTTATGTCAGGGCAAGCTGACCAAGACTACCAGAAACAAACATGGGAACGGGATTTTAGTATAAATAGTTTATTGGGGGGGATTCTAGCAAACATTGATAGGAAAACAGAAATGAGAGACAGGGAATGGAAGGCATCCAGTAACTGGGTTAGTTGTTAGGTCAGTTACCACTGTGGGTAAGTGAAATGTGAGCACACTGGGAAAATCTAGGCCCCAGATAGAATATGTCCTTCAAAGATATTTTACCTATGGGGCTATGGAGTAGAATATTTATATACATACTCCTGTCAATCATTTGTTGATGGTATCCCCAAGGAATATTAATTTGGAAGAATTTCTGGCTTCCCAAGCTGGTGGAGAAAAGGGCTCTGGAAATAAAAGTTCTTACACCAAGAAGTGAAAATGCGGCACCAGAAATTTTTGCTGGTATGCATGAAGATTGAGACTGCCAAAAGGATGTGGGTGGATAACTAAGGAGCTTTGCTCCATTTCTTTTGCACAACCACCTATCTACTGTGATTGCCACTCTGCTTTCTTTAAGAGAGGCAGGAACTTAGAAAACTACCCCTATTTTAAATCTATTTCACCCACATGTAGTTTACCATTTTTTGGTAATAGCTCAACTTTTATTAGTCTTTCCAAATGATTCAATTCTACTGTTGCATGACTGTGCATGCTACTTAATCATTAAATTCCGTAATTACAACAGCAAGCACACTTCATGTGAACGGGTTTGGAAAGAAAATCTTTGCTATTTGTAGGATTATAACTCAAGTCTGGCATCAGAGATGCACGGGCCTACTGCCTAGAAGCATTCAGTATGCAATGAGCATCAGTCAATATAAATTCCAGAGGGAGTGAAGACATTGGTTAATCCAGTGAGTCTGGTGAGTGGAGGTTAGTAAAAAGAACTCTTAGTCTCTAAGAACAGCTGTTGCATGGAAAATAAATGTTACTTTCTCCAGAGATACTAACTTTGATTGGAACTGGGGGAAGAACATCAACTTTGCTCAGTATCAGGTATGTTTTTCTCACAAGTACATTTTTCACAAAAACAGAACGGGTAAACTAGGAAAACTATAACTTACTGTAACTAGGGTATTCAAGCAAAATGTACTTCACAACTCAGTATGTGTCTGTTGGGGGTCATTACATTTCAGTATCATTTGTTAGTTTATGCTAAATGATCTCTGTAGGTTCTTCATTTCTTTATATTTTCAGATTCAAAATACAACCCAGTTGTTATTTGCCCTTAAAGCATCATTCAGCTCCACTGAGCTTTATTAGAGAACTATATTTACACTTTATGCTTCTTAGGAATGAACGTTCAGGCAAAAATCAAGTGTTTGTGTTAGCTGAGCCATTTTAGCATGAATCGCTCTACTTTCCTGCCAAAGTCAAAAGACTTAAAAAAATCCTAACATATTCCTGGGGAGAAGCTTTGTATAGTTTCCAAAAGAAGCTGGCTTATGTTGTTCAAAGACAGAATGTTGAATTTTTCCCTTCTTGTGCCTCTGATAAATTCTACCTTCAGTGAGAGAACAACTGTTTATTCATGTCAAGTTACTGAAGCAAGTGCCCTGATCTTTCCCTTTTGTTAGGAACGTTTTTGTAAATCATCACCTGAAATGTTTGGTTGACATTAAATTATTTCTTGTCTGTTGCTGGTGCTGCCAGATCAGTGTTCATGCACGGGTTTGTATTCTAGGGGCCCCATAACATAGCCCTTATATTCTTCCAGCAATATTGCCTCTCTTCTCCTGAATAAACTTCTGTCATTTCCCACCCCAGGTCTTTATTGTGCTGCTCCCTCGCTTCCAATTCCTTCTCACCCTGTTATTCTCAATTCACTCTGAAACACCTTGATTGTGTTCTAGTTCCTGGTTGTTCTCCGGCCTGGGTGAGCTCCTCTTCATCTTATTCCCTATAGCACCTTGCACAGGCCTCTATCATTTAGACATTGCTTGTAGGCCTCCACCTCTCCACTACTACAAAGAAATATATGCAATGGCATTAATCATGGTGAAAGAGAGTTAATGTCATAGGAAGTGGAAATGTATATAGCCCATCTTCCAATCTTACCACAGTTCCAGGATCTCAGGGAAGACTGAGTGGTTCCTGAACAAAAAAGGCAGTGTGACAGGCATGAATCTTTGAGAATATCATCATGTGTATCAAGACTTGTCTTGCTAATTCGTTCCCCAATGCACAGAGTTAAACAGCTTTAGCTTTGCCCATTTTATCTATATTCCAGAATGTAGGAAAATACTCTGTCCTAGTTTGATTAGCTCATCTGGTTAAAAATCTAGTATTTGGAAATCAAAGAAATAGACTTAGTTCATGAATACATCTATCATGGTTCCTTAATTCCACTCCAATATTCTGCATTCTCAGTTACCTCCTGCACATGAGCAACACAAAAAATAAGGTACGGTAGACTAATTGAGTTGTAGGAAAAATTCACATAAGCAGAGCCTATTGACAAATGTCAAGAAAATTTACATAAAACATACAGGATGTGGCCTGGTGCAGTGCCTCAGTTCTGTATTCCAGTACTTTGAGAGACCGAGGTGGGCTGATCGGGTGAGACCAGGAGTTGGAGACCAGCCTGGGCAACATGGTGAAGTCCCCTTTCAAACCAAAAAAAACCACAAAAATTTGCCGGGAATAGACGTGTACCCCTGTAGTCCCAGTTACTGGTGGGTAGGGGAGGTCTGAGGTGAGAAGATTAATTGAACCTGGGAGGTTAAGTGACAGAGTGTGAACCTGTCTCAAAAAAAAAAAAAAAAAAAAATTACGTAAATCAATAAAATATATAGGATTATATAAGACGATCAGAATAAATCTGATATTTTCAATAACTGTGCACATTGCAATATTTAATTTTTAGGCAATGTCTTATACACGTTATTTGGTATGAAACACTAGATGCTATTGTCTATGTGTTGTTTTGTTTTATTTTGTTTTTTTGAGACAGAGTCTCACTCTACCACCCAGGCTGGAGTGTGTGATCTTGGCTCACTGCAATCTCCACCTTCCAGGTTCAAGCGATAATCTTGCCTCAACCCCTTGAATAGCTGGGATTACAGGTTCACGCCACCACACCAAGCTAATTTTTGTATTTTTAATAGAGATGGGGTTTCACCATGTTGGCCAGGGGGACTTGAACTCCTGACCTCGTGATCCATCCACCTCAGCCTCCCAAAGTGCTGGGATTACAGGTGTGAGCCACCATGCCCTGCCTCTATGGTTGTCTTTTAAATTTCCTATATTAATAAATCTTTCAGAAAGTAATGTGCATGAAATCATTAAATATTACTTCATTTTATGTTGAGTTTATAATGTATATAATAAACTTAGAGCAAAAGTCCAAAAGATAATTTTAGAAACCCCCATTTAATATTAGTCAAATATCAAAATATAAGGAAATGATTATTATCAAGTATTTAGATTCCCATTTTTTAAAACAAAAATACCCTCTGAAACCCACCAATTTACTCAAAATATTCTACCCTTTTGGTTTTTACAATGTTCTGCAATAAGTATTACTATTTAGGATGACCTCCTTTGAGAAGTATAACATACCAGAGGACACAAATGTTACATTTGTTAGTATATGCTGTCCGACGAAGGAAAATAAAAGCATTTTAAATATGGAACAAACTCCACGGCATTCACTTAACTCATTCCCCTTACTCGTTGTTACTTGCCTTAGAGGAAATACTTACTTCAATAAATTTAGGTTTAACTCATCACACCATGGAGAATATAACAGTGTCTACCATGAAGAGCTATCATAAGAATCACATGACTTAATTTATATAAAGCTTTTAGCATAGCACCAATTAAAAATTATCAAAAAGTTATTCTTATGATTACCACATCCACTCATTCATTCAACTATTATCCCTTCATGTAATTTACTGAGCTTTCTGTGCTCATGTAGAGTTCAGTGAGGGTATAAAACAGTAATAAAACATGCAACTTTTCTTTTCTGTGGTGCTACCAGGTCAGCTTGGGCGGGTTCAGCTGTTTTAAACCGACTGCACTGGTGTTATGGTAGCTGTATGAGCTATATGCCTGCCATGGGAACACAGAGGAAGGAGCATCTACTTTATCCAACATATGAAGGGGAAGACTTTCCAAAGGCAACTCACGCTGGATAGGTCTTTGAAAGATGAATAGATTTCAACTGATGAAGGAGGAGGAAGACACCCTGATAACAGGCAAGGAACGGGAAGCCTATTTTGAAATTAGAAGTAGTCCTCTGTAGCTGGACCATAGGGTGCATTGGATTTTAGTTCTGACAAATTGACACCATCATTCACTTCGTGTGGGATGCTAAGGGGTCGTCTTAGTTTATGCCATGGAAAATGAGGAATCTGGAGAATGATGGGAGGTTTTGAAGAAGGAGAATAATCACCTACAAAAATAGATGTGAGAGAGATAATTCTGGCTTCAGCATCAAAGACAAATTGGAAAGATAAAAAATGGAGAAAGTGAGACTGTTTAAAGAGTCCAGATAAAATTATGTTGGCCAGAAAACTGCGAAAGAAGTTGGGATAAAGATAATGGATGGATGAGAGAGACTTTGTGGAGATTAATAGACACATCCATTTATTCAGGCTAATTCTGACATGAAGAGAAAGAGCAAAGGGATGCATTCATCAGGTACACATGAAGAACGTGAAGCTCAGGCGTGTTGAATACTTTTTTTCAAGGCCGAACACCTTACAGGAATCGTAGCTTATTCCCCTTGGGCTTTCTTACTCCCAGTGCTATGAGGTCCTCTCCCCACACTGTCCACTGCTTTTCTTTTGTCAGTGAAGATCTCATGTGCAACCACTCTAATTTTGTGAATGTTGCCTTTCTTGGTCCCCAGGATACATTGCTAATATTTGTTAATATTTAAAATGAACAGCCTGGATGTAAAGAAGCCGATCTCACTCACTTCTAGTTTACAGTATGCAGCACAAAGGGAGCAAGAGCACTGGGATAAGCTCTGTTCTCAACTCTACTATGTCATGCACGTAGATTAGCAGCAAAAATAGAAATGCACATTTAGTTCCTTATTCAGCAAAAACTGGAAAGCCACCAGATTATAGGAGCAGCAGAATACAAAGATTGACATTTTGACAAAGCCTTCTTTCAGAAATGAACACCCAAGAACGATGACTCAGGCAAATTATCTCTTAATCGCTGACCAGTTTTTAACTGGGTCAACCCCAAACAAGGACATAAATTGAATTGGATGGAACAAATGCTTGTTACCTGATTTGGTTTAGAAGGACTTGGCAGAATTGGGGTTCGATGACTAAAAAGATTTTGGGCTAGATACTGATACAAGTTTAATGACTCAAGTTATTAAATAAACATTTATAACTTAAGACATTATCTTGGGAAAATAAAATATTTTATAGATGAATATTAATTTTCCATTGTTCCATAACAATTTACCACAAGTGCTACAGCTTAACACAACACAAATATATTATCTCACAGTTCATGGTCGAGATTCCAAATACATAATTAGCTGGGTCCTCTGCCCTGGGTCTCACAAGGCTGAAATCAGAGTATGGGCTGAGGCTTTTCCAGGCTAACTGGTTGTTGGTAAAACTGAGTTCCTTTTGATTACAGAACAAAGGACTTTGGCTCTCCGAGGTTAGTCTCCATTCCCTGCCGTATGGCCCTCTTTATAATATGACAGGTTTATTCTTTAAGACTAGCAAGACTACATCTCTGCTGCTTCAGCTCTATCTGCTTTCTTTCATCTCTGACCTCTGGATCCTCTTTCATAGGTCTCACCTGATGAGATCAGACCCACCAGGGAAGCATCTATTTTGATTAATTTAAAATAAACTGATAAGAGGCCTTATCACATTTGTAAAACACCTTCACCTTTGCAACAGAAAATAATCTAAACACAGGAGGGGCATTCATACTTAGTTTCTTTCTTTACTTAAGGGAATATACAAAAGCATATACTAGGGTGAGGAAGCACTGAGGTCCATTTAGAATTCTGCCTACCACCATGCATTTCTAGGTAATGGTGAATAGATGCAGATGTGGAGTTGTCCAAGTAACACGCTATTTTGAGGCAGGATCTAGATTCTAACCTAGAATCTACTCCAGAATGTATTCCTGATTCTAAGCCAGCAAGTTTCCCTCGAAGATGTGAAGCTATTAATAACAATGTCTCACTGTCATGGGCTTCTATTCGTTATAAAACAAAATCAACAACACCTCCTGACACACAGCAAATGTTCAAGAGTTGGTGAATAAATGATCCAGTTGTAAGCGCTAGCTAAATTTCCAGCCACAAGGCTATAAGTAAGCTATTTAAAGAGAATAGAAACACACAAGGATGGTCAACAAATTGCCATGTAATTTTGAGGGATGTGCAATAAGGATAAAACTGATTAGAATTAATAGCAATTGAAGACCCGCTAAGTGGCATAAAAGAATACATATTATTAGATAATGAGGAAACATATCATTTCTAATTAACGTAGTAACCTAGCCAGGCTTACTCATTTGTTAAATGAGTAGATTGGGAAGCAGCAGGTAAATGGTAGAGAGAACTCCCAGATCTTGACATAATTGGCTCCGAAGTCCAGCACTATTTAGTATATCAAACTATATCTGAATTAGGACTAACCACGATTAATTAGGATGACATGGTAGAAAGTTTGGCTACTCTGAAGTGAATATCCAGGGGTCCAGAAAAAATATGTCAAAAGTTGTCATTCTGGTAACTTGCCAAGAGGTATGTGATATCAGGCCTGCTAGCTTGGGATTTCTTTCTTAATCTGAGAAAGAGACAAGAAATAGAAAGGTCCTATTTCTGTGGCTCTAAACCCAAAACATGGTGACCTGGAGAAGAATCTACCCACAGAAGTAAAATAGTTCTGGATAGCGTATAGTGAGTGTATTAGTTGTCTATTGCTGTGTAACAAATTAACACAAACTTGAGGGCCTTAAAAACACATACATTTATTGCCTAACAGTTTTGTGGCTCAGGTGAAATGGACACGGCTTGGTTGCGTCTTCTATTTTTGATCTCTCATAAGGCTCCAATTAGGATGCTGCTTAGCACTAGAGTTTCATCTAAAGACTTGACTGGGAAAGAATCTGCTTTCCAAGTTATATGACTTTTGGTAGCATTCATTTCTTCATGCACTACAGGATTGATGATTGGAACCCCTTGTGGGATTTTAGGATGAAAGATAAAATTTCCGTAGCTGGAGGATGTAGTCGTCCCTCTGTTCCCTTCCACACAGGCCTCTCCAACTTGGCGGTTTGCCTCATTCAAGCATGCACACCAAGAAGTCAACAGAGACAGTCTGTTAGCAAGATTGAAGTTGCAATTCTAAGTAATTAAATTGCAGAGGGGACATCCCATCGTCTTTGCTGTACCCTATTGATCAGAAGCAATCACTACATTGAGCCTACACTCAAAAAGAGAGGGATTTTATAGGGATGTATATACCAGGAGGTGGGGTTCATTTGAGGCCATTTTGAAGTTTGTCTGCACAAAAGTATAACATAAGGGTTGAGGATGTATACTTTCAGAGCCAACTCAGTGTGTCGAAGTCTTGGCTGCTTCATTCAATAAGTATGTGATATTTTTCATATTGGTAAAAATTTGTCTTTTTAAAAAATTTACTTATTTTTATTTATTTTAATTGACAAATAATTGTATATATTTATGGTGTACAATGTGATTTTTTTAATCTATGTATACATTGGAGAAAGGTCAAATAAAACTAAGGAACATATCCATCATTTCACTAATTTATCATTTTGTGTGGTAAGGATGTTAAAATCTATTTTTTAGCAGTTTAAAAATATACACTACATTATAACTAATTGTGGTCACCATACAGTATAGTAGATCACTAAAACTCATTTCTAGAGTCTAACTTAAACTATGTACTTTTTGATCAACATCTTTCTTTTCTCTATTCCTCTCTTCCCCCTACTCCAACCTCCTAGCCCCTAGTAATTACCTTTCTACTGTCTATTTATATGAGAGCAACTAAGATTCCACCTATAAGTGAGATTACACAGTATTTGTTTTTCTCTGCCTGGTCTATTGCACTTAGCATAATGTCCTCCAGTTCAATCCATGTTGTCACAAATGACAGAATTTCCTTCTTCATTAAGACTGTATTGCATTCCACTGAATATATATATCACATTTTTAAATCCATTTATTCATTGATGGACACATAGGTTGCTCCCATATTTGGGCTATTGTGATATTGTGGATGCTCCCTCTAACAAAATCTATCTTGTCAACATTTTACTTTTAATTAATAAAGCAATATCATGATCTTGCAATAAAAAATATCTCTAGTATTCACTTGTCATGTCAACTTAGGTGACTTACCATTTCTCTGCTCCCATTTTCTCATGCGTAAGTTGGTGATAGCAAAGGTAATATTGGAGGACATTAAGTGACGGGCACTGGCAGTGCTGTTGGTGTTCAAGACCCAGATCATTAAAGCTATTTCAAAAGAACTTCTTTGACCACCTGAGACACTGGTTGTCACTTCACCAATTTCTATTATTGCACCAATTACAGTTTGTTTATCTACGCCTTTTATTAGACTATCAACTGTGTGAAGGTTCATAGTTCAAGCTCCTTGCCCTGCCATATCTCAACACAGAGCTTGCTATGAGCCCTAGGCATTCAATAAATGCATGTTTAATGTTAATTATAGTCACAAGAAGGGCTTGAGAGTTAGAGAGTCACTGATTAAATAACAATTTATTTTCCATATTAAAATATAAAATCAGATTTCCTTACAATAGTTAGTTGTGATAGAATTACAGATGGGTTAGTAATTCAAGACATTTCCAAACAAGACTCTCTTGTAGCCTCCCGCTGAGGTCTTCTTGAAGTGGAGCCATATATTCTGCATCTTTGAAAACTGGCTTTTAGATAAACATCTTTTCAATGAAACAAGTGCTGGCATTAACGTTTCTCTAAGGATAATTTTTTCGATTGTCTTATTGCGTTTGCTAAATTATGAACATTTTAGGAAATGTCCTGATTTGATCTTTGTTCTAATCTATGTCCATTAGCCTTTTACTGAACTTATTCATTCCTGAACATGTTAAACATATACTACACTGAGAACAGTTTGTTTTCTCCTTATTCTGTGAGTACATTAAAGGTTCAATTTACAGTTTAAGGGAAAAATAAGTTAAAATTACCAGTAAGTGTGCCTTACTAATTTTATTTTAGATAGTAATAAATAACAAGGACCCATTCGGACTCTTCTAGAGCTGTGTTATTCCATCTTCTCTTGCTATAAAGAGTATCTGAGACTAGGTAATTTATAAATAAAAGAGGCTAATTTGGCTCACATTTCTGTAGGATGTAAAAGCATGGCACAAGCATCTTCTCAGCTTCTGCTGAGGCCTCAGGAAGCTCCCACTCCTGGCATAAGGTGAAGAGGAGCAGATGTGTCACATGGCAGGAGTAGCTGAGACTACAGGCGTGCGCCCACACACCTGGCTAATTTTTGTATTTTTAGTAGAGACAGGGTTTCAGCATGTTGGCCAGGTTGGTCTCAACCTCCTGACCTCAGGTGATCCACCCGCCTCAGCCTTTCAACGTGCTGGGATTACAGGCGTGAGCCACTGCACCCAGCCAGTGCCAGGCTCTTTTAAACAACCAGCTCTTGTGTGAAATAATGGAGTGAAAACTCACTTATTACCATGTGGAGGGCACCAAGCCATTCATAAGAGATCCAGCCCCAGGACCCAAACCCCTTCCACTAGGCCCCACTTTGAATACTGGGGATCACATTTCAACATGACATTTGGAGGAAACAGATACCTAAACTACATCAAAAGCTGAAACACATTTTTTAATAATAGAGGAAGTTTCTTAAAAAGAAAACTGCCTAAATTATATATGCAATGGTAACATATTGAATGAAAATTCCAGTCATTTCCCCGTTTCAAGGTGTATCAGACCAAATCTCTAATATGTGAATCCAGGTGGCAAACAAACATGCTAATTTTATGCTGAATGAATCTACCATGGCTTATAAATGGAGATTCCAGCAGTTTAAATTATATTCTTGTATGACACATCAATAGACACATGTATTTTTCATAGTCTATTTGGGCTGCTATAACAGAGTATCACAGACTGGCTAGTTTATAAACAACGAAATATATTTATCATAGTTCTGGAGACTGTCAAGTCCAAGACCAAGTTCTGGAAGATCTGATGTCTGCTGAGAGCTTGCTTTCTGCTTCATAGATGGCCAATTTTTTTTGCTGTGTCCTCACATGGCATAAAGGACGCAAGAGCTCTCTGGAGTCTCTTTTGTAAGGGTACTATCCCTTTTGGGCAGACCTATTCACCTCCCAAAGACCCCAGCTCCTAATATCATCACATTGGGGAGTGTTTTCACATGTGAATTTTCAGGGAACAAATATTCACCATATACCAACAGCAAACTGCTAAAATACAATCGGGGATATTTGTACATGCAAAATATTAAACAAATTACCCATAGTTTCTGTGGCTATAGTAACTTTCCAACTTGCTTTCAAACCTATAATATTTGTTTGTGGTGTATATTCTGCACTATGATTTGAGACTTATTTCTCAAACAAAACATAAGAATAATGTTTTCTTAATTAAAAACAAGAACATCAATAGTGGGGAAAAAAATCAGGTAAACACATATGAGCTCCTGACTTGCAGTATTCCATTTACATACAAAAAGAAATGTTAGTATTTCTATAAGTGTTTGCCTGGTTGTCTTTACAAAACTAAATCTGATACTCGGAGGACTTGAAACTTGATTCCCCTCTTCCTTGTCAAATGAAAACAGAAAAAGTCAATCATGCTGTAATTATAATTTATTGTATTCAAACTGAATTAAAATTTTCACGACAGTGTAAGTGGTATTCTAAAATTGTGTATCAAAAGCACAAAGAACTACAAAAATATAACTTGATAAATTATAAATATCTACATACTAAATTAAACTGTTATGTAACTTTGAAAAATGTACTAAGCAAAATAAAAATTTCTGAAGGCTTTAATATGCACAGCCGTCAATTTTACAAGTACATTGAAAATGTCAACTTCCTGTAATCGGATCATAGGTAATTTCTACCAACACTGAAACACTGAAAGTGTGAACCACTAAGAAACCCTGGATAATACTATTTTACACATATGTTTAAAGGAACCAGAAAGGAAACCAGACAGTAAGATTTATGGGGGCCACAATCCAGAAGGAGGAGAAATGTTGAATGTGAAACTGACTTTAAAAAGCTCTTTTCTCCTAACAGCAATGGTAGAATTCCAGAAAAAGCTACTAAAATACCAAGAAGCCAGGCAGATAGTTTGATAGCGTCTGTTCTGGACCGAATGTTTATATCCTGCCAAAATTACTATGTTGAAATAATCACGTCCAATTTGATGGTATTTGGAGATGAGGCCTCTGGGAGGTGATTAGGTCATGTGAGTACAGCTTTCATGGTGGGATTAGCGCCCTTATAAAAGGGACTCCAGAGAGGACTCTCACTCTCTTTCTGCCATGTGAAGATATAAGGAGAAGCCAACTGTCTGCAACTTGGAAGGAATTCTTCACCAGAACTACTGACCCAACCATGCTGGCACTCTGATCTTGAATTTCCAGCCTCCAGGACTGTATAAAATAAATTTCTGATGTTTAAGCCCCCCAACCTACGGTACTTTGTTACAGCAGCTTGAGCTGACTACAGCAGCCTCATTGGGTTATCGGGGAGGCAGAGAGAGGCTAGAATACTGGAGTCAGAGTCGGGGCAGGGGAGCTGGTTTTGGATCCACAAAGGCTGTATCCCAAAACTAAAGTAAGGAATAGACCAGCTCACACAAAGATTGAAGCCCAGCTGTCAATCACATCTGTCTCCACAATTAGATTAAGTTGATATTTCATGCTTGTGGCCACCTTCCATAGGAAAAAGCAAGTCCTCTCTGGAAGAGGATATTCACATGCTAAGCTTCAAATTGTCTCCAAAATATCTGTATTACATGTATAACTTTCAAAAAAAAATGTAAAGCAATAGTCATAGAAAAACAAGAAAATCAAAAGACCATAGACATATACTCACAGGATATTCTAATAACTTAAATCACAAAATCAAATAGACTTCCTGATAGATTAAACAATGATTAGACGCAAATTAGACGTAGGTGAAGGTCAACCAGATAGCTTAGGGTAGAACATATAGGACAGCATAAAATATATAGACTAAATTGGAAACAAAACATTTTAATATAGAAAATATTGTAAAATACATATTTAATACGGAGAAAATTTGTAAAGTATAAAATATGGTATCCCAGAAGGAAGAATGAGGAAATGAGAAGAAACAATATTTAAATAATTCATGCCCTGAATAATCTGAAATTGGCAGAAGACATAAAATATCTCAGATTCAGGAGGCAGTGGAAACATATCTGGAGAGGATATTCAAATAAGATAAATACAACAAAACCAAAAACCACACTAGGCATACAATAGAAAAACTGAAGAAAACCAAAGACAAAAACAAATTAAACGCAGATGGAAAACAAACCACCGAAGGCACTGTATTAGTCCGTTCTTACACTGCTAACAAAGGCACACCCAAGACTGGGTAATTTATAAAGGAAAGAGGTTTAATTGACTTACAATTCAGCATGACTGGGAAGGCCTCAGGAAATTTACAATCATGGTAGAAAGAGAAGTGGACATACGTTTCTTCACTTTCACTTGGTGACAGGGAGAAGAAGAATGAGAATCCGGTGAAGGGGGAAGGTATAAAACCTTCGGATATCGTGAGAACTTACTATCACAAGAATAGCATGGGGGAACCGCCCCCATGACTCAATTACCTCCCACTGTGTCAATCCTGGGGATTACGGGAACTACAATTCAAGATGAGATCCATGTGGGGACACAGCCAAACCGTATTAGTAATCAGAAAGAAAAAGAAATATTTCTTACCTTGAAAGGTATACAATTAAGACTGACAACTGACTTCAGAGATAAGCCAGAAAAATGATGAAATGTGATATACAATGTGCTGCAAGAAAATCACTGTTTACCTGGAAATCTATATCCAGTGAAAATATCTTAACAATAAATGAATGATAATGAGATAAACGTATGTTTAATCAAGCAAACAGACACCAAGAAAATCTGTTACCATTAGATTCACACCGAGAGGAATACTAAAGAATACCCTTCGGGCAAAGTCAAAATAATCTAAAATGGAAGACTGAAGATGCAGGAAGAAAATAAATATTAGGGCTTTATATATATATATATATTATATATAATATTATATTATGAATGTTTACATTCAAATAAATATTGACTAAATAATAATGTATGTGAACTTTCAAATCTCTTCATAGAATTAAAGTACAGGATAACACATAGGATAGGATAAAGAGGGAGTTTAATGAGGCTAAGGTGTTTCTTATATTTCTTATGTCTTTGTATTAAACTTTAATAAATCAAGAGTGTATGTAGTAATTTCTTGGGTAATTCCTAAAGTAAGATTAAAAGCAAATGAATAAGATTAGAGGATAAATGGAATAATCAAATATTCTAAAAATTGACACCCACATATTTAAATAACACAAAAAATAACAGCTTGTGAAACAAATAGAAGACATAAAGCAAGATGATAGTTTTAAACCAAACCACATTTTACATTAACTACAAACAGATTGAATGCTCTAGTTAAAAGCAAATACTTTAACCTGGTATCTCCCACACACATTGGTACCTACTGCTTACAAGAAAAACACATTCACTATAAGAATACAGAAAACCTGAATGAAATGCATTGCATGGATCTTGTTTAGATCATAAAAAAGACTTCGTAGAGGTTTTTTTTTTCAGGCAATTATGAAAATTTAATGTTAAATAGATATTAGATAATTGTGAGAAATGATTATTAATTTTGTTAATTGTGGTTCATTTCACGAAATGTAAGAAAACATTTCATGTTTTTTTCAAGATATGTGGTGAGTATATGGGGATAAAATGCCACGGGATCTGCACTTCAATGTTTTTCAAACATAAGAGTAACAAGTATAGATAAAGAAAACCATGTCAAAACGTTAATGATAATTATTTTAAAGTAAGCCATCATCAAAACATGAAAAATGGAAAATAAAAAAAAAAAGACACAATATGAGCTTAGGGTAGATGTCCAAATTGCCCTCTAGTTAAAATGTTAAATAAACATTGTGAAACGAGTTTCTACACAAGAGAAATGTGTAAAATGCTGGAAACTCTGTGACCGCTTCTCAGTCTCTCATTGAGGTAACTTTATTTATTTATTTATTTATTTGAGACGGAGTCTCACTCTGTCGCCCAGGCTGGAGTGCAGTGGCGCGATCTCGGTTCACTGCAACCTCCGCCTCCCGGGTTCACGCCATTCTCCTGCCTCAGCCTCCCAAGTAGCTG
Source organism: Homo sapiens (assembly GCF_000001405.40). Lineage (NCBI taxonomy): Eukaryota > Metazoa > Chordata > Mammalia > Primates > Hominidae > Homo > Homo sapiens. The sequence goes on from NC_000004.12 coordinate 12,213,483, forward strand.
GGATTACAGGCACCTGCCACCCCCAGCTAATTTTTTTTTTTTTTTGTATTTTTAGTATAGACGGGGTTTCACTGTGTTAGCCAGGATGTTCTTGATCTCCTGACCTCGTGATCCGCCCACCTCAGCCTCCCAAAGTGCTGGGATTACAGGCGTGAGCCACCGTGCCCAGCTCATTGAGGCAACTTCTAAAGGAAGTACCTAAGGAAAGAGACAATTGAATCCAAAGGGGATGGGAGGAAGGTCAAAAAGAATGGATAACCAAATAAATTGGGAAATTCAAGAACAAGAAAAGCAGAACATAGTAAATAAAGTGAAAGAAAGTACAAAATGAAAAACTGAACATCAAACAGTTAAATAGAAAACAAAAATACAGTAGAGATGAACAAGATTAAAGGCTAAAACTATTACTTCATAAATATATCAGCTGGTAACTGTAATATATGCACAAGTCTGATATTCATGATAGATAAAATTAATACATTGAAAAGCACCTCTCTTTCCCATTCCTGTTTTCCAAGAAGCTACAAGAAAACTTACGTTGTGTGTGTTTTATACAAATCATAGCACTGTTACTCTTTGTGTTTTGCTTTTTTTACTTGAGAAAGGATCTTAAGAGTGTTTTTCTTATCTAAACAGTAACGAAATTCTCACCTTGTTTTTGAAGCGTCATCCTGCATCTCAGGTGTGTATCATACATTACTTTGTTTGACTAGGTCTCAATTGGAACATGTAATTGATTTTGTTTCTCTATGCAAGATGTTGCTCTTAACAAACAATGCTGCAAAGAATTGTCTTCTACTTTAAAAACTTCTTACAGATGTGGATATCTATAGGGTACCTTTTAAAAATATAATTGTTCAGGGTAAAGGTATAGATACTTAGAAGTATGATTTGTCTTCCAGAGTGATTTTCACTATTTACAACCACATCAACAATAAGAATGTTTTGCACACTCTCATTAGCGCTAATACCAAGCATTTTAATATTGGCAACATGAAGATAAAAACTATATCTTGTGATTTTTCTCAGGACTGAGGGTAAACATTTTCTTTTACATATTTAAAAGCCACTTGTCTTTTTTGTGTACTATCTGTTTATGTTCTTTGCTCATTTTTAAATGGGTGCTGATCTTCCTCTTATTTCATTTTAAGTGCTCATTTACATACTAAATTAAACTAACTGGTCTGTAATTAAACTTCACTATGTGGAAGCATTCATATAATCTTTTTTTATTTGTCATTTGACTTTAATATTTATAGGGTTTTTAAATGCAGAATTTTCTCTTTTGGTTTATGTGTAGTGGTATTTACACTATTTTCTTTGACAACCTTTAGGATTTATGTTAGAATTTTTCACATCAAATGATTTTTTTAATTTTTTGGAACAAGTATTTTTTTTTCCTAATTTAAATCTTTTTCATGAGGTACAAAGTAAATATTCTAATTTTAAAACTTTTTCAGATGGCTATCCAGTTCTCTCAACAATTTTTAAACTATCTTTTTCTACAGCTTCACGGCAATTTATAATGACTAGACACTCTCATTACCTTTCTTCTTAAACATTTTTTTCTAACTATTCATAATTTTTTAAAAAAATTCCATTTGACCTTAAGGATTTGAATTACTTAGTTCCAATTGAATCTTGGTAGTATTTTTATCAGGATACAAAAATACATTCATTTGAAGGAGAACTGACATTTTTAAGATGCTGTGTCTTTATACCCAAAAATATAGTTTGCCTTTTTATCCCACTGAAGCATTTTTTTGTGTGTTCTTCAGAGGCATTTAAAAATGTATTTTCGTAGATCCTGCATAACTTTTTGTTACTATTCTAAATGGAAACTTTTATATTAGTCACATATTATATTTATTATAATATGATACTTCATTCATAGTATATTATAATGTTTTGAATTTCTTACTATCTATAACTGAGTTCTAAAAGAGTTTAAAGTCAATTAAAAAAAAAACAGAGACAGGGTCTTTTTCTGTCTCCCAGGCTGGAGTGCAGTGGCATGATCATGGTTCACTGCAGCCTTGACCTCCTGGGCTCAAGTGATCCTCCCACCTCAGTCTTCCTTCCGAGTGGCTGGGACTACAAGCATATGACACCAGGCCTGGCTGATTTTTAAAACTTTTTTTTTTTTGTAAAGACGAGGTCTCACTATATTCCCCAGGGTGGTCTCAAACTCCTGGGCTCAAGTGATCCTCCCATCTCAGCCTTCCAAAGTGCTGGGATTGCAGGTGCCAGTTGCTGTGCCCAGTCCCTTATCTGATTTTTAAAAAGTTAAAGTGTTATCACTTTATACCATTTTGTATTTGATTTTAAAAGTATATGTAAAGGGCTTTTGCAGTAACTTACAACTGTGGTGTGACGAAGTCCACGTTTTATGTTACTGTAACATCATGGTGCTTAGGTAACAGAGTCAGGGGAAGAAGGAAAGATGCAGATAATGTAAATGCTGATTTGAAGAAGAGCAGATCCCGTGGACAGCTTCTGAAACTGCTTTTGAGCAAGTACATCATCGTAGTTTCAAAGGCATCAGGCCTCAGTCAAAACTCTTACCATCAAAAAGAATGAGTTCATGTCCTTTACATGGACGTGGATGAAGCTGGAAACCATCATTCTCAGCAAACTAACACAGGAACAGAAAACCAAACACCGCATGTTCTCACTCATAGGTGGGAGTTGAACAATGAGAACACATGGACACAGGGAGGGGAACATCACACACCGGGGCCTGCCAGGGGGAGGGAGAGCATTAGGACAAATACCTAATGCATGCAAGACTTAAAACCTAGAGGACGGGTTGATAGGTGCAGCAAACCGCCATGGCACATGTATACCTATGTAATAAAGTTGCATGATCTGTACATGTATCCCAGAACTTAAAGTATAATAATAATTAAAAAAAGCTCTTACCAAAGCCATGGAATGCAGAAGAGAAGGGCATGATGGTTGGTTTGTATTAGGGACAGAACACTCATAAGAATCTGTGAACCACTCTGTGAATTTGCCATAAAGTAGATGAGGATGTTGCTGGGGCTGGAGATAATGAAGGCAGGTGGACCTGAGAGCTCAATAAAGTCTATTAGTGGTAGTATGACCTCATTTTTAGCCTTATCCTGGAGCAATGTGGTAATATATCACATATATTGTGTGCAAATATACACACATGCACACACATCACATATGTACACATGCGCACGCGCACACACACACACACACACACACACACACACACACACTACAGTTTTCTGGCATCCTGTTCCCTGTAGGATAAACTAAGAAGCAAAAACTCTCCTAGAATTAAGAGTAGAGTCTATTTCTTGGGTGTGGGAGGCACTGCTAGAGCCCTGCTTGTTTCCACAGCCCCTTTCACTACGCTCATACTTGCTTCCAACTGCAAATATCTGCATGCATTCTTAAGGTCTCCCTTTCTTTCCAAAATTGCAGATAGTCACTGTGCCTCTGAATGAAATTTTGGGGAAATTAATGACCCATGGGAGTAGTCATTAGCCCACGCCTATTAGGAGTTGGGGTAGAGATATTCCAGTTGATGTAGAAACATTCCTCATCCCTTGGGAAGAAGCAAATCTTAGGCGCAGCAATTCTTGAAGTTCCCCAGGGAAATTGCACTTCAGTTGCCCACTGTGATAGCTGGATTAATGATGTACCCTGAATTAGCTCCGGTTGCCATAAGAAAATACCACAGACTGGGTGGCTTAAACAACAGACATTTATTTTTTTCACAGTTCTTGAGCCAAGAAATCTGAAATCAAAGCGCCAGCAGGGATGGTTTCTGATGAAGCCACTCTTCCTGGCATGCAGACAGCCAGCTTCTTGCTGTGTCCTCACATGGCCTTTCCTCTGTGGACATGTACACACACACACACACACACACACACACACACACACACACACACACACAGAATGAGAGAGAGAGAGGTCTCTTTTTGGTCTCTTACTCTTTTTATAAAGACTAGTCCTGTAGTATAGAGCCCCACCCTTATGACCTCATTTAACTTTAATTTTCTTCTTAAAGGCCATGTCTCCAAGCACAGTCACGTCGGGAATCTGATTTTAACATATGAATTTTGGGGAACACAATTCCGTCTGTAACGTACCCTTTATTAGCTGTATTTCCTTCTCTGGATCATACTCTGAACATCAAAACCCTCTCCCCCAGAACAAAATCTACTTTCTCTAAAATCCTTTTCTAAAAGTGTCTATGGAAGAACTTATGCTAAAACACTGGCCACAGATGATTAAACAGTGACTAGGGTCAAGGTAGGGGTTTGGTCATAGGAAAAATGTAAGAACGAAAAGCTCATATACGAGTTACTGGACAGATTTCTTATTTTAATCTGTTTTATTTTCTACCTGTAGGTGTATCTATCTGTGTTTCTATGCATCTTCTTCCCATCTGTCTTTACAGGGTTACTTTTGCAAACATCAAAGCCACATAGAATTCTCCAAGATAGTTCCCTTCAAAAAGATTCGTTGTAAATAAATTATAGGCAGGAGGCTGAAGTTTCCAACTGTTATTAAGACTCCATTCAGAGTAACGTTTGATTTTTTTTTTCTGTTTTGATGGCAGCACCTCAGCAGGGTTCCAAGGCACCAATTTTTGCAGAGCCAAATCATTATTCAGGAGTCAGGTTTATAGAGAAGACACACCAAGAATGCTCAACTCTGAGTGGTGGCGTACCTTATTCCAATTAGGGTAAGAAGCACTCATTTCCCTCATGGCCATGTGGAGACAAAATTTCCCTAGGAGCAGAGGAAGAAAGAAGATAGAAGCCCAATGCACTGATGGTGAATTTCTGAGGAAACATTCTTCATGAATCTTACATATGAAGCTGTAAAGTGACATGTCTAATTAGGGCCTTGTGGCTGGAAATGAAAGAAAATGTTGAGTTCACATGAATCTTATTAGGACACCCTGAGGTCATGAGGCTCTAAAGTTTTCACAGTGAACTTTGCTGGGGAGTCCGTGAGCTAAAGCTCTGAAGAAAGAAATTTAAGGCATAAATCTGTTCATGAGTTATGTGATGCTCAGTCCTGTCATCTTCTTGGGCCTCAGTTTCCTTATATGTAATTGAGATTAATCTCTCCCAAAACTAGAAGATAAAACGTCAGATGGCACTCAGAGAAAAATAAAGAATGATCCATCTGAAATATTTAGATAAAGCTTCAGAAACTGGTTTGGTTACTGTTTGAAAATTAGTCTTTATGAGGAAGACTCATCACCTCTCTGGTATCATTCCCAATAATGTACAACCTCTATCTAATTATGAGAAAACTTTGAGCAAATCCAAAATGAGGGACATTTGACAAAATAACTGATAGATACTTTTCACATATCTCAAAGTCGTGAAAAGCAAGGAGAAACCGAAGAAATTGTCTCAGACAAAAAAAAAGCTGGGATATATGATATCTAAATTCAGTGTAGGATTCTGGATTAAATCCTAGAACGATAAGGGACATTAATGGAAAAATTGTTCAATTCAAATAAAGTCCATATTTTAGATTTATTTTTAAAGCAGCAATATAGGAACAACCCCCACATTCTGTCCCAATATAAGGACAAAACAATTAGTTTTGACCCCTAAATAGGGGCAAGTCATCAAGTGCTGTTCCTACAGTGTTAGAAGCTGCTGGACATTCATATTCTGCTACATAATTACTGTGAAGCTCTGGGCAGTTTATCCTCATTATTTGAACTCTTATGAGTTGAATATATTTATATTCATATTATGTATATGTTAATATATAGGTATAATTATATATATTCATGTTAATATATACAAATATTATTCATATCATATATGGATATAATTATATATAGTCATACTAATGCATATGAATATAGTTATATATTCATTAATATATACAATATAGTTATATATTCACATTAATACATATGTATATATATTATATGATATTTAAGACTGAGCATCAAATAACTTATATGTATATATATATTCAAGAATTAATTCTGTGAAGCTACTTAGCAATAACTTGGCTTCTAATAATAATACTTAAATAACTCCCAACAAAGAAAAGAAAATGATTTATTCCCTGCATTCTTTAATTGATATGCATTGCCTATGAAGTCAATTTCAGATGGATGAGTGTGCTAGTCAATAGAATTCACTTGGATGTTTTTCTTGATTGCTTTATCCTGAATTGCAGTCAAACAGCCATAACATTATTATGGTCATCCTCCTTAATATTATCAGAACTACAAAATTTCAAATATAGATATTCTCAAACAAAAATTCATGTTTCCCTCTATAGGCCTCAGTTTCCTCTTTTGTAAAATGAATGAGTTTTATTCAAAGTTGCCTGTGTCATTTCTAATACTCCAAAATTATTTACAGTTAAGAATGAATAGCTCCACCAAGTATTGGTGCACAGATGTATTAATTTGAGCTACAGCTTTAAAGCATCTATAAAATATGTACTATGGAAGAGAAATAAGGGCAGCAAGAAAGGATCACCTGGGAAATATCGATGATTCCTTTGAAAAGTATTCATTTTAATTAGAATGTCCTATTTCAATTTATAATGAATTTACCCTCTGAAATTCAATTTTCAAAGTGAGCTTGGTCAAGCTGGTTCCATTAGAGACTGTGAAACATGATGAAAATCTCAACTGGAATGAAGATTCAGTTATAGAAAAATAAATGAAAAAAAAGATAGGGAAAAAATAGTACTGAGTAAAGACAACTGTTTCACTATTTTGCTTTTTTTATTTTTAAGAAAACAGTGTGCTTAGGTGAAAAATATATTTTTAGTACTTCTTACATTTTCCATAATCCATCACTGCCTTTTCACTGAATGGCTAACAAGTGAAGATGGGAAAAGTTTGAATCAATGTGTCAGGGCCCACTTTTAAAGCAGTCATGTTTCAGTTCTATATTAGGAACACAGCTGCCTTTTTCTTATGGAAATGAGATTTTCATGTTGAAAAAAAAAAAAAAAAACCTCTGCAACTTTAGAGGAGAAAATGTAGAATATTTGTAAGTGAATGTTGCCTTAAGAATGGATAAAGTTTATTAGAAGGGGAACACACTTTTTAGATATGCTCTAAAAATACACATTGTGATTTTCAAAACACAAAGCTGTGTCTCAACATATTGGCCACAGGCATAGTGATAAATTACAGTTTCTTTTTGTTGTTCCCTGCTTATGTATGAACTATGTAAATATGATCATAAGTTACTTGTGTTTGCACATGAGATATGTATAATTTTGAATTGTCATTGCAGAAGTGCTATAATAAATTATTAGTGTTGTTGAGTGAGTATTTATCAAGATTATTCTATTCAATTGAAGAAAATATTTTTTCATAAAAATGAAAACTTGTCATTTAAGGTACCATTCAAAAAGCAAGAGATATGAAGAGATAAAAATAAACAAAATACATAAACAAAAGAGAAAAAACTGGGGAAGAAGGAAAAAGGAAGTTACCCTAAGAATTATATTTAAGCAGATTCCCAGAGTACTTGAAATACTAGTGACTGACACACATACTATTTTTTAAAAATACTCTGTTACTAATTCACACCTGGTTGGCAGAATAGGAGGAGCACAAATCTTAATCAAGAGACTGGTTTTGAATCAAGCTTTGTTGTTAATTAGCTGGGTACCTTTGGGGAAATTACACAACCACACCCAGCCCCAGCTTCTTCATTTTAAAGTGTGTCTTGTAGAATGAGTAACTGTGCCCTAAAAAGAAAATGGGCAATGCAGAAGTGTCCAAAGTAGAAAGTTCCCTGAGTAACGACTATCCTGTGCACTTTGAGATTCATCAAAAGACGAGTCATTGTGATCTTAACTCAACTCCAGGAGACCTAAAATCCTGTGAATTTTCACAGTATAAAGTCCAACCCTGGCTGGATAAAGCATAATGATATTTTCAAATTTATCCATGTCTTTTGGCGTAGAGTGAGCATGCCTAATGAGTCACCAACTTATAAAATCGTGACATCCTTCCAGTCAATATATAGTAATTAACCACCTACTCTGTCTCAGGCACTGTTCTAACTAGGAAATTAGCAGTGTATACAACAGTCTCTATTGCCACAGAGCTTCCATTCTGGCTGGGGATGAGACAGACAATAGTCATATAAACCAACAGACTTGCTAGTTTATAAATACTATGAAGAAAGATCAAACATGAAGATCAAAGAATAATTGCCCCATTTACTGAATGCTTTTAATGCGAAGTCATTTAATATACATTTTATTCTAATCCCAACAAAAATTAATATCATTTTTCATTTTACAGAAAATGAAACTGAAACTCCTAAATTTTGTTACATTATCAACATTTTACAGTAGAAAAGTAGAAACGCAGACTGGGAATTCAAATTAGTATTTTGACCACAGAGTCACTTTCTACAACAATACACAGTCCCATTGATCTCATAAGCACTGGGCATACTTTCTTCCTTAACAGAAAACATTTTCTTAACCTTATTTCGGTTATAATGGAAGTAGGCATAACAGTAGATACTTGTTGGGAAACTATAATTGCTTTTGAAAACATATTCATAAATCAGCACTTCCATACAAGAAAAGTGGCACATGTGCAGAATGATTAATCTGTAATACATTTTACAAATATTTAGAAATCCTCTACTTCAGTACCAGGCACTGCCCCAGACAACTGGTATACCACCATGTGCAAACAAACTATGGTCTCTGTCTTACTCCACCTGGCATGAACAAGTGGAAACACTGCAAGGTACAGGCCAGAAAAAGATGGTGTGACAGGAGTGTTAAGTAAGAATATCGGCATTGAACTCAGTCTGGATCTGGAGGTCAGGGTCAGAAAGGTTAAAGTTTGTTGAATCTATGTGTGTTTAAAACTTTTAGACAACTTTGTACTCATTGTTTAACTAGTATTAGATAGGTTCTTAGACGATTTAAGTCAGTTTTCTAAAAGGAGTAATATAATTTAAAAAATGTTACATCCAGTTCAAGGACTCAACATTCTGACTAGGCATTTGAGTAAATAATTTATTTTCTCTAAATCATGGGTTCTTCATCTGTTTTATGAGTCTACTAATACACACCTATACTGCTTCATAGCACAGTTGAAAGGCTGTAATGGGAGAATGGATGTAAAAGAAGTTAGTAAATCATAATATTTACATATCATTGTAATTCACTATAAGAATTATCAATTACCTTTTGCTCGATTGAATATAGTTATGAATGAAGAACAGTCTAGTCATGCTAGTCATTACATGGTGTATAACAAATACATGGTGTTGTAGGAGAAACCAGTATGAGAGATGACATTCCAGAGCAGATATTCAATGGATGAATTAGTATTTTTGGCTTCAAATGTAGAATACACAAATGGCAAGAAGCTGGGAACTACTGGAAATATTTATGAGAACTAACTTGTTTGGTATGTACTATGTACCCTGGGCCTTTCTTTTCTTCATGTAACAAAAGGGACATTCCATTTTCCCTGACAGTAGTTTTGGCAGCTTCATTGACAGCACTGTCATCATTAGATAATTAGAATTGTAAGCCTTTACTTTTCTCCATTTTCTATACAGGATTTACTATACTTCCAGGCTCGTCTTCTTTCGATGTATGGAAGGTGAATCACGTGAAAAGCATACTATGAATTGTTAATGTAAATAGTTTAGAAGTAGTAATCATAGAATAGAATGTAACATTTGCCAAATGCTTATTCTATGCCATGCCCTTGATTGTCTTATTTGGGTTCCCCTAGAAGCAGGCGCTCAAACAAGGATTTGAGTACAAGTCGTTTAATAAAGAGATGATTCCAAGAAATGTAAGTATTGGAATAGGAAAATAAGACAATAGGTAAAAAGGCTACGGAAGGTAGATTGTCAGACAATTACTACAGTGGGCCTGCTTTCCCTGAGGGAACCTGAAACAAAGTATAAGATATGACCCTTACAGGCATCCTGCCTAACGAAGAGGACACTGGGGCATTTAACTGCCAGTGCCCAGCAGTCGTAGTTGAGTCCTGCTGATGAAACAGAAAACCTGCAACCTGCCCTGTTTGCAGGCAGAACAGACAGTTAAATATATCAGCCAAGGAACAGCAGGGGCTGGTAGCTGAAGTTTGGACAGTCGAGCCCGTAAATGGTAGGGAACGGATTTGTCACAACATCAACTTTGCACGTATTATATGATACTTTTTTTTATTATACTTTAAGTTTTAGGGTACATGTGCACGATGTGCAGGTTTGTTACATATGTATACATGTGCCATGTTGGTGTGCTGCACCCATTAACTCGTCATTTAGCATTAGGTATATCTCCTAATGCTATCCCTCCCCCCTCCCCCCACCCCACAACAGGCCCCGGTGTGTGATGTTCCCCACCCTGTGTCCATGTGTTCTCATTGTTCAATTCCCACCTATGAGTGAGAACATGCGGTGTTTGGTTTTTTGACCTTGCGATAATTTGCTTAGAATGATGGTTTCCAGCTTCATCCAGGACCCTACAAAGAACATGAACTCATCATTTTTTATGGCTGCATAGTATTCCATGGTGTATATGTGCCACATTTTCTTCATCCAGTCTATCACTGTTGGACATTTGGGTTGGTTCCAAGTCTTTGCTATTGTGAATAGTGCCGCAATAAACATACGTGTGCATGTGTCTTTATAGCAGCATGATTTATAATCCTTTGGATATATACCCAGTAATGGGATGTCTGGGTCAAATGGTATTTCTAGTTCTAGATCCCTGAGGAATCACCACACTGACTTCCACAATGGTTGAACTAGTTTACAGTCCCACCAACAGTGTAAAAGTGTTCCTATTTCTCCACATCCTGTCCAGCACCTGTTGTTCCCTGACTTTTTAACGGTCGCCATTCTAACTGGTGTGAGATGGTATCTCATTGTGGTTTTGATTTGCATTTCTCTGATGGCCAGTGATGATGAGCACTTTTTCATGTGTCTTTTGGATGCATAAATGTCTTCTTTTGAGAAGTGTCTGTTCATATCCTTTGCCCACTTGTTGATGGGGTTGCTTGTTTTTTTCTTCTAAATTTGTTTGAGTTCTTTGTAGATTCTGTTAGCCCTTTGTCAGATGAGTAGATTGCAAAAATTTTCTCCCATTCTATAGGTTGCCTGTTCACTCTGATGGTAGTTTCTTTTGCTGTGCAGAAGCTCTTTAGTTTAATTAGATCCCATTTGTCAATTTTGGCTTTTGTTGCCATTGCTTTTGGTGTTCTAGAGATGAAGTCCTTGCCCATGCCTATGTCCTGAATGGTATTGCCTAGGTTTTCTTCTAGGGTTTTTGTGGTTCTGTGCAGTCTGTAGTATTACCAATGCTAATTATAAATGAAGAAACTGAGGTTCAGAGAAGTTACTTAATTCACTTAAGGCCACACAGCTAGTAAGCAGAGGAAGTGAATTCCAAACCCAGGATTTCATCTGACTTCCACGCTTCGACTCTTGACCTCTCATTAATACGTTGTTTACTTGGCAACTGGTCAGTTTGGAAAGTTGGCTTTCTCTGGGGAATATCATGGGGCTAATTGGGAGATGCTTTCAATCACAATATGTTAATAATCTACAATAATTCAAAAAAGTGTAATAGAACTGTGGAATCCCTGAAGTAAAACATGATAAACCTCCACTTCTTTCTCTCTCTTTGCAGTGTTCTTAAGTATTTGTTCCAGTGTGTAGATGTTCCCGTTATGTTTTTCTGTATGCATATGTATATGGGAAATATTGAAGTGGGACATAACAAATATATATTAACTTTGGGACATTTTTATTATTAGGGGCTAGGCTTAAGGCATCTCATCACCTGTTTCTAGGGTGTTAATGAATGTTGTGGGTGAAATAAATTCTCTTTAGCTTGCACAAGCTGGATTGGAACTCCACACTGGATTTCAGGGAAAACATGGCTTTTAAGGAAAAGAAAGAATTCAAATAAGGATAGAATATAGGACTCTGAAAGGTACAGAGGAGAAGGAATGTCATTCCAGGTAATAAAATTTGGTATGAGGATATTTGTGGAAGTAGAACTCTGCAAAGTGCATTCTGAGGATATGAACAAAACAATTTCATAGAATGGAATTTATGAGACATATGGGACTCAAGGTCATAACGCTATATTGAGGCCAGATTGCAGGGGCTCTTGAATGCCAGGCTTAGAAGTTTGAATTTTACCTCATCCTTTTGGACCTAGAGAAGACCTTTGCTTCCATAAATAAAAGGACAGCATTTACTTCCTAGCCATCATTACAGCAGAATTATTGCTTCTGCTATGCCAACCCTAATATTGCCTTTTTGGTTTGTTTTTCTTTATTTCATGATAAAATAAACTAGTTCACTGCAAGCAATTTTCTACAATAGCCAAACTGTAAAATAAAAGTCCTACGTAAATTCACCCCAAAAATGTCAGTTTAGTGTACCTTCCACATATATATACACGTGTATCTCTCATACACACAGACAGTCTCAATCAGCAAGCTGCTCCTTTGTAATTCCAAATTTATTCACTTGATATAACATTAATATATTTATGTACCAAGATGTATCAGTCTAACTCAACATGTTTATGTGTATGTATATTGGTAAAAATAGTTATAAACTACCAAAATCATCCATAATCTTACCATGGCTAGAAATAAATATTTATATTTATGAAAGTAGCTAAAGATTCCCCTGAACCCATTCCATTCCATTTGTATAAGGTAAATCTCTGTACCTTTCTTGACACATTAATATGTATCTTTCCTTTTCTTAAATAAGTATATATATATACACACACACACACACACACACACGCATATTTGTGTATTTTAATAAAAATGTAATCATTTCATACCTATAAAACTGCCTCTTGCTTTTTCTTATTGAATGCTTATGGAAGACATGTACTTTATTCCTCCTAATAGATCAATAATATGAATTCACTCAGCCACTTTTCCTATTGTTGCAAATAAGTTTTTTTCCTTAGTGTGGTTTCTAGCCACGTTTATTTTTATGGATTTGTAACATATGTTTCAGCTGTGAATATTATGTGGAAACACTTCCACTTGCTGTCCAAACCTCTAATCCAAATTGTGACTCCAAACACAACTCTCTGGACCGTGTTCCATCTGACCAAATCCTCAAGCAAGTTCTGTAGCCCAACACTCATTTGTTTAGTTGCCAACCACATTATTTTTAAATTAAGTTCCTAGTATGTGCCAGAAACTGTGCATGCTGCTAAAGAGTTAAGTATATCTAAGATCTAATCCCTGCTCTCAACGATTTTGGCAACAGCAAGTTGAGAACATAATGAACTTTACGGCAAAGTTTCAAATGCTTTCATAAAAAATTTAGTTTTGTCCCTAACACAAGCTTGACTCATTTTTGTTCCTGTGATTCAGACGTATTTCTGGTATCTGGAGGACTGCGGGTGGGTGTGCACATCATATATGTTCGTATGGTTAACAAACTCAGGAGTTTTTTTGTGAAAAAAAAAATGAATTATCCTAAAAGAGACCTACAAGGAGTATCATGACTGGTTTAAGGCAAATAAGTAATGATCTGATTGGAGGATAAATCTAAAGATCAGAAAATTTGAGCCTATGCAGTGTTGAGCACCAAGACTCTGAGGTCACAAAGCTATTGCTTCCACTACTCCACTACTTTTCTCCACTCCACTAATTTTCAGCTATGGGATTTTTGACATGGTGTTTATCTTCTCAGTGCCTTAGTTTTTTCATTTCTAAACTTATGATTTTAAAGATCGAAGTTTTGTAAAGCTTAAATGAGATAATGCATGCTAAAGACTAATCATAGTGTCCAAGGAATTATGAAGAATAATGATGTAGCTGTACTAATCAGCTCAATGAATTAAATAGACAAGTTCAATACTTTTAGCCATTATTTTATTAGTAATTATTTGTCTCCCATTATCTTGTGGGATCATATGTGATTTTTTACCACAAATGCCTTTGTTAACTTGTTTTGCTAAATTTTTTTACTTTTAATTTTATGGGTGTATTAGTCCATTCTCCTGCTGCTAATAAGGAGATACCCGAGACTGGGTAATTTATAAAGGAAAGAGGTTTAATTGACTCACAGTTCAGCATGGCTGGGGAGGCCTCAGGAAGTTACAATCATGGTGGAAGGGGAAGCAAACATGTTCCTCTTCACATGGCAGCATCAAGGAGAAGAATGTGTGTCCAACGAAGGGGGAAGCCCCTTATAAAACCATCACTTCTCAAGACAACTAACTCACTATCACAAGAACAGGATGGGCGAAACCTCCCTCATGATTCAATCATCTGCTCCCGGTTCCTCCCATGAGAGGTTGGGATTATGGGAACTACAATTCAAGATGAGATTTGGAGGGGGACACAGCCAAACCATATCAATGGGTATAAGGTAGGTGTATGTATAAATATATAATATATAAAAATATATACACCTACTATATATATTATCTCTGTATAATCTATATTAACATGTAATATATAATTATATATACCTACTATATACTCATAAAATTAAAAGTAAAAAAAATTAACAAGCAAACAAATGTGAGGTAAAAATCAAGTATGATCCAATAAGATAATGGTAGAAAAATAAATACTAATACTAACAAAATAATAACAGTAAAAGTAAAAAAGAAAAATTTAATTAAAAATAAAAGTAAAAAATAATATCTTGTGATGGAGTACCCAAGATATTTTGATACAGGCACACAATGTGTCACATCAGAGTAAATGAACTGTCCATTACCTCAACCATTTATCCTTTCTTTGTGTTACAAACATTCCAATTATACTCTTTTAGTTATTTTAAAATGTCAAATGGGTATTTTTAAATAAGCAAGTAGACATTAAAAGAATTGGATTACGATAATTTCCAGGGACGCTCAGAATGTAGTCTCAGATAAAATCTGTACGGTTAATGTGCTTCATTTCTTGGCAATTGTGTCAGGGGTCCCCATAAATACTGCTAGGTTTAATGATACACTAGGAACACTCATAGAAATCAGTATATAATTATGTTCATGGCTATGACTTATTCTAGCAACAGAATACAAAGCAAAATCAGCAAAGAGAAAAGTCACCTTTTCTTGCACCTGGGGTGAAATTCAGAGAAAACTAGACTCAAGCTTCCAACAGACTTCTCATGGTGTACTCACACAAGACACACTTAATACCTCAAGCAACAAGTTGTCACAATGCATGTAAAACATCATCTACCAGAGGAATGCATTACAACCTCAGTGCCTGAAGTGTCTATTGGTAGCTGGTCATGTAAAAACCCTCAGCCTCAGATGTATCAGTATTGCAGACTCTCAGAAAGAAAGCAAGTATTCAGCATAAACCATAATGTTTGTACGGTTTAGGCACAGGGAGCTACATTTATCAGTTCCTAGAATGGTGGGAAATTGAAGTTACCACATGCCACCCGAGGGCCAACCTGGCAAGGGAGTCTTTCTAAGAATAGCAGTATCACTTAGGCTATGTTAATGATTTTCTACATAGCAACGAAAAAGGAAATTTTTACAGGGAAGGTGCAATTGCATTTCACAGGAAGTCACGGTGGAGGTAGGAATGCCTGCAACAGTAGCGGTGCTATATGATACGTAATATTTGCATTTACAATAAAGTTATGTGAAAAACGTATTGTGTTTCACTGCCATGAGGTTGTTTCCACACTGAGGAGTTAGCACTCTGTCCAAACACTGGTGTTTCCAGCCTTGAGCATTTTAAATCCCCATTGCAAAAGTTTTTTCATGCAATGAAAAGTTGGAAGTTGTGCAGGCATTTTTCCTACGCTTCTCTTTCCCTTTTTGGCTTCTGAGGCTGACAGCTTCAACCCAGGAATCATTAGTAGAGATTGCATTTAGGCACCTAAGCAGTGGCAGTAATGTCTTTTATAGACATTTACTCTCTTCAGAGACTAAGTCACATTTAGGCGTGATCTAGACTAAATGTTTGTGTCACACTCAATATTTCTATGTTGAAATATTTACTCCCAGTGTGATGGTATTTGGAGATACTTTAGGTTAGGTTAAGTTGTGAGAGTGGAGCCCTAATGAATGGGATTAGTGCCCTTATAAAAGAGATCCCCGAGTGCCACATTGCCCCTCTGACCATATGAAGACACAGCCAGAAGATGGCTGTCTATGAATAAGAAAGCAGGCCCTCATCAGACACCAGATCTGCCAGCATCTTGATCTTGGACTTCCCAGCCTCCAGATATGTGATGGATGTTTGTTGCTTAAGCCACCCAGTCTGTGGTGATTTGTTGTAGTAGGCTGAACTACTAAGACATATAGAGTAGAAACACAAGAAAATATGGCAGCCAAGAATAAATTCGAGATCAACATGAACCAACTCATTGGAAACTCTATGATCAGGTAAATGACACCTGAGAAGGACTGGAGTTCCTGTTTACCTGATGACACCCATTTTTACATAGTATTCCGTTTCCCCAGGCTTTCTGCATTCATTCAATGAAATTATATTTAGTATGTGTATCAGGCAAACACTTTTCTAAGAATTGGGAATCAAGCAGTGAATCAGAGAGAAAAACGCCCTGCCTTCATGGAGTGTAATTCTGGTAAATACAGATCTTAAACTTGTTCCAAGTTTGCTAAATAGATCTCATATGGCTTCATTTAAATCACATAAAATTCTCAGCAGAACATAGCTAAAGTTAACACTGAACTTTTTTCTCCATTTATGATGAAAGCGCTATGACACCACCTTGAAATCAAATAAATATATTATCCAGCTCTCATTTCACCATGTTTATTCCATTATGAAATATTTATTTACTCTCTATAAAAAAGACAACTAAGAAATTTGGCAACACTTGGCTCTTAACTCATGTTAGTTCTCATTGATCATTAATTTCATGCATTGTGAGTCAACCCATATAATAGATATCTTCACATACCTGTATGAGAGATCTTATGTATCCTAAGTGTTCAAATACAACATTAATTTAATTGCCTCCGTTAGACAGTGACAAAAATCTGTAATTTCCTCTCTAAAAAATGAGGACACATTCCTGATTTTTTCCTCTCTAAAAAATCAGGACACGTTCTCACCTTTATAGTTCCTGGCACTTTTTCCTTCTTCCAGGATTTCTCAGTGTACAATGATGGCTGCTCAGTTATCAAATCGGCAGATTCTGTCAGCAGTCTGAGATGTAACCCCTGACTATGCTGAATACATTAATGTATGAGTGCAGCCTTCTTCAGAGTATTCAGAGCTATCAACCTCAATGGCACTCCCTATCATGGGCTTCCAGTGAATTTAATCAGCAATGTCTCCTTAATAACTCTGTTTCATCCTAAAATGATTTTTTTTTTTTTTTTTTTTTTTTTTTTTTTTTAGATGGAGTCTGGCTCTGTCATCCAGGCTGGAGTGCACTGATGCGATCTGGCTCACTGCATCCTCCATCCTCCTCCCTGATTCAAGCGATTCTCCTGCCTCAGCCTCCAGAGTAGCTGGGATTACAGGCACGTGCCACTATGCTCGGCTAATTTTTTGTATGTTTAGTAGAGACAGAGTTTCACCGTGTTAGCCAGGTTGGTCTCCATCTCCTGACCTCGTGATCCATCCGCCTCGGCTCCCAAAGTGCTGGGATTACAGGCTTGAGCCACCGCGTCTGGCCCAAAAGTGATTTTTTAAAATCACTCTAGGGTGGTCCTTGTAAGGCTCTAACTCTCCATGATGACCGTGTAGTTTGGTTTGACCTAATACCTGTTGCTGGGGAGACAAGACCAGACTAGGAAAGTGTACTTTGTATGTGACAAGCTGAATAGGTTGTTGACAGATTTTTACAAGGACGCTGTCAAACATAATTGGAAACATTGTGGCAGAGCTGTTGATTCTTGGGAAATGACACCTGCAAAGAGGTTACTTGTCAATCTCAAGCCACGTGGTTCTGCTATAGTAAGAGAAAACAAAACTTCCTGTGGGGAAAAAATGGCAGAGCTTTTAAAGGGAGAAGGCTGTGGGAAGCCACGGTCATTTTGAGGACAATTGCTGCAGGCACATGGAACAGGAAGAACACAAGGTTATGTATCCATCATATTTATAGACACATAGACATTACCATAGCTGCCATTTTTTGATTAGTTCGATGAGTATTTAGCAACTGACTTTCAAATGACATACAACACACACACATAGAGACACAAGTCTTTGGTGTATGATTTTGGATTGCAATTAGAACAATTTCACAGTATACTGAAAGATTCTAGACTGCAGAGAAGACCTGAGCTATTTCCCTGGCTTTTCCACTTACAGGCAGAGGAATTTTGGACAAGTCATTTCACCTCTTTGCATGTCAGTTTCCTCAGCTATAAATGAGGACATTGGATGCAGTATTTAAAACTCCCCCTTTTTCCCGGTCCTAATATTTATTGAGTAAATATTTCTAGATATAATGTAAAAATATACAAATCTAAATTATGAGATATCACATACATCTTTTCCATGCTTACAATCCCTTTTCAAGTAAGTAATGGTCATGAAAGTTTCTGTGGTTCAGAAAAAAAAAAGGAAGAGAAAGAGAGAAACTCGAAATTTGAAAATTATTGTTACTGTGAAATTACCTGGTTCTCAATAAGAACGTCATCAATATTTAATACCTATTTGTTTATGTTAGGTGATCTTGAGGCCAGTAGGAGATGTTAAATGGTAAAACAAAACAACATGTTGAAAAGTTTATAAATGTGGGTTGTGTTAAATACAGACTGGAATCTGCTTTAATTGTGGATTCACTAACAATGTTTAAAGAATTCTGAGGCTCCTCGAAGTAAAATTAGCAAATAATGTGATCAAAACGTGGAACTCTCAGGGGATAAATTATCATTAATGGGTTGATACACATAAGATGGCAAATTGAGCCTACTTTCTTATCTCATTACTCAATAAATAGCAGTCAAAATATAAGTTTGCTATATCATTTAATTTTAATAATAATAATATTACTAGAAACCACCCCCAAGCCTGTGCATCTCTTATTCTTGGCAAATCTTGGGACATTGGGTTCATGGACACTTTTTCATGCTAGCAGGCCCATCACTCCATTTCATATTTTCCAATTATGGTCATTGATTTCCAGCCATAGATGTTTATATAACCGTACTTAGTAATATGTTGAAGATCCTTTTAAAAGGGCATATTTTTGATTCCCTAATTTGTTAATTGTGTCTAATTTGTTAATATGAGCATTTAAGATGACAAAGTTCACTATTTGCTTAGAAATAGCTGCACTCAAGGCCACAACCCTAGTTCTATACCAACCATGTCTGCATTATAGAAGACTGTTTAAGCAAGCCCACAAATCACATGACATTCTGTTCTCTCCTCCCTGGAGATGGGGATTGAAAGTAAAAGATGGAGATTGGAAAGACAAGGGAAGGAGATGAAAAAGGTAGGCTTAGAAGTGTACTTCGGGCCTATCTCCATGAAAGAGTTTATGACCAAATCTATGATCAGATTAGAGGTCACTGAAGTTTCACACAAAGGAATTTTCAACTCAAATCTCCATGGCATAGTACTTAATGTAAGCTGATTTTATTTGTTTTATATAATGAAAACAAAAACAAAAGTACCTACTCTTTTTATTTCCCTTTTGTGAACATCTATAAGTTTACCCAACGACCATTAAAAACATGATTATTAGTTATACCAATTGCCCAGTATATGAAAATGCACCTGAAAACATTTATTCTGATACGAGAATTAGTAGAAAGTCCAGGCTTAGGTATGCTGTACAGTTTCTTAATCACTTTTCAGAAGGGCAACTTGCCCTCAATGCCATCTTCTAAAACAAACGGAAACAGATAATTCAAGGACCAAAACAAAACTGAGACACATGCAGATTATATTTAATGGAGATAAAATAATGTTGTACAGGTTTTGTAAATTGTTGTTTGCTTTTTTATTGATACATAATAGTTGTGCATATTTATGGAATCTATGTGATATTTTGAGACATGCATATAATGTGTAATGATCAAATTCAGACAATTAGGATACCCATCACTCCAAATAGTTACAATTTATTTGTGTTGGTAACATTTCAAACTTCTCTTCTAGCTTTGATGAAATGTACAATAAATTACTGTTAACTATGGTCAACCTACCATGCTAGCTAACACTTGAACTTTTTGCCTTCTATCTAACTGTGTGTTTGTACCCATTACCCAACCTCTCTTCACCACCTCTCACCCTTTCTACTCTCTGATACCCATAATTCCACTCTCTACCTTCACTACATGAACTTTTTTAGCTCTCATATATAAGTGAGAACATGTGATATTTGTCTTTCTATACCTGGCTTATTTCACTTAACATAATGGCTTCCTGTTCCACACATGTTGCTGCAAATAACAGGTACTTATTCTTTATCATATTCTGATATCGTTTGGCTGTGTCCCCACCCAAATCTCATCTTGAATTGTAGCTGTCATAATCCCCACATGTCATGGGAGGGATCAGGTGGGAGGTAATTGAAACATGAGGGCACATTTTCCCAGGCTGTTCTCGTGATATTGAACATGTTTCATTAAATCTGATGATTTTATAAAGGGCAGTTCTGCACACACTCTCTTGCCTGCTGCCATGTAAGATGTGCCTTTGCTTCTCCTTCACCTCCCGCCATGATTGTGAGGCCTCCCTAGCCATGTGGAACTATGAGTCCATTAAACCTCTTTTTCTTTACAAATTACCCAGTCTTGGGTATTTATTCATGGCAGTATGAAAATGGACAAATACATATTCCATTATATATATACACACCCCATTTTCTTTATCCACTCATCTGTCGATGGACTCTTAGGTTGATTACATATTTTGCCTACTATTAATAAAGCACTACTATTAATAGTGCTTTAATGAATATGGTAATGCAGATATCTATTCTATATACCGATTTCATTTCTTTTGTCTATATATCCACCAGGAGGGTTACTGGATTACATGGTAAATTTACTTTTAGTTTTTTTTTTTTGAGAAAGTTTCATACTGTTTTCTATAGTGGCTGTACCAATTCACATTCCCACTAGTAGTGTACTTGCATTCCCCTTTCTCCAAAGGCTCACCAGCATCCTTTTAAAAATCTTTTTGATAATAGCCATTTTAACTGGGGTGAGAAAATATCTCATTGTGGTTTTAATATGCATTCCTCTGATGATCAGTGATACTGAATATTTTTTAATATGCCCATTGTCCATTTGTACGTCTTTCCAGATCATTTGCCCATTTTTAATTGGATTATTTGTTTTCATGCTACTGAGTTGAGTTCCTTATATATTTTTGTTATTAATCTTTCAGCAGATGGATAAATCTGCAAATATTAAAACTTCCATTATATAGATTGATTGTTTCGTCATTCTATTGACTGTTTTTATTCTGTGAAGAAACATTTTAGCTTAATGTAATCCCATTGGTCTATTTTACTTTTGTTATCTGTGCTTTTGGGGTCTTATCCAAAAATTTTTTGCCAAGACCAATGTCCTAAAGCATTTTTCCAATGTTTTCTTCTGGTAGTTTTATACTTTCAGGTATTACATTTAAGTTTTTAATCCATTTTGATTTGATTTTTATATATGGTGAGATATAAGGGTCTAGTTTTCTTTTTTTGCATATGGATATCAAGTTTCTGCAGTATCATTTATTGAAGAGACTGTCCTTTCTCCCACTGAATGTTCTTGAGGCCTTTGCAAAAATCAGTTAGCTGTAAGCACATGGATTTATTTCTAAGTTCTCTATTTTGTTCCATTGGCCTATGTGTCTGTTTTTATGCCAGTAACATGTTGTTTTCTTTCTATAGCTTTGTAGTATATTTTGAAGTCAGGTACTGTTATGCCTCCAACTTTGTTCCTTTTTGCTCAACATTGCTTTGGCTATTCTAGACTTCCTGTTACCATATTAATTTTAGGCTTTTTTATAAAGAATGACATTGGTATATGACACTGCAAGATTGCATTGAATCTGTAGATTAGTTTTGGTAGTACAGTAATTTTCACAAAATTAATTCTTCCAGTCCAGGGACATAGGATATCTTTCATTTTTTGTAATCTTTTTATTTCCTCAGTGTTTTATAGTTCTACTTGTAGAGGTCTTTCACCTCCTTGTTTAAATTTATTCTTAGGTATTTTCTTTGTAGATCCTGCAAATGGCATTGCTTTTTGGATTTCCTTCAATGAATTTGCTGTTGGCATACTACAATGCTGTTGATTTTTGTGTGTCAATTGAACAAACACACTTTGTGTGTCAATGAATAAACACTGTTATAAAGACTATAAATTGCTAGTTTTCTGAGAAGGCAATTTGAGAGTATTTATTAAAATTTTAAAAATGCACATACTTATCAAGGTAAAAAATGTAACTGCAGATATGTGTTCTAGAGAAATATTTATGCATGCACTTAAAGGGGAAAAGGTACAAGCATGTAAACTGCAGCATTTTTAACAAAAAAAATTATTTTCACAGTAGAAACTTCAAAAAAAACTATTCAATTCAAAAATGATTAAACAAATTATAAACATCCACAATAAAGACTCTATTAGGTCAGAACCAACTTCTAAGCTTAGTAGACACAGTGCCTAAAGCTGACACAAATGTTCTAAGTTTAATCTTTCAAAATCAACTAAAACAGTGAATATAATAATTATTATAGCAATTATTATATGATTAGTTCATCCTTAATTATACTCATTTATACCAAAAAGTAATAAAGAATATTATTAGTATCTTAAGAGGCTTATGAAGAAAAAAATTGCTAATGTCCATGAAAGTCATATCTCATTTCTGTATTTAGATGTTAAAAGCAATCATATATATTTATACATAAGCTGCAATGTTACGATTTCCAACATAACCAGTTACATTCAAATGGCAAAAATTTTGAACCATATGAATAGTATTCCACAAATTATTATTATTATCCCTCAAAAGAGAGTATCTATAAAATATGTAAGTGTATAAAGTATCTGGAAGAATGCACATCTAGCTTCAAACGGGGACTACTTTTACCAAGAGTACTAACTCCTTTTGTTCTGAGGGTATGTGTGAAGAGATCTTTTACTTTTGGCTTTATATTCTTAGATATGTGTGGATTTATTTTACAATATGGATATAGGTTTGAAATATAATACATTTTTATTTAAAATGTACCATTTTGGTTACTAGTATTGCATCACAGATCAAGTCAGACTTAGTGGCTTTATCTGAAATTTCTTAATTACAGTCTCACATTCTGAAGGACAGCCACATGGACATTACACAATGCTTGTCTCTGCGTCATAACATATGGGACCTCTACTTGGATGAATTAAAGACTAACCATAATGTGATGATTGGGGGTTGAGATCATTTTAAGGTTCTTTCCCTGACAGGTCCGGTGCCTGGGATGGAATGAATCAAGGGCTAGAACTGCTTACTCTCATGCATACATGCAAAATCACCACGTAGCTTAATTTTCTCAGCATAGCAGTTCCACGGCAGTTAGACTGCCTTCATGAAGGGACTGAAGTATGAGTTTTCCAATAAGTGAAGCAAAATCTGCATCACCTTTTGGATCACATCTTGCAAATGGAAGAATGTCATTTCTGCCATACTCAAAGCAATCACAAGGCCTTTTTTCTTTCCTCATTTTGAGGGGAGAAGTTGCAAATTCACACTATAAATAAATACGTGCAATACAGTTATAGATATCTTTTGAAGATACAACTCTCTCCAATTTGACTTCTAGTCCCAACAATTTACATCCCTTCAACTTAGAAAATACATTCGCCCTCCCCAACACTTCCAAGTTTTCTACTATTATGGAATCAGATGGAAGTTTAAGATTTCATTATCAAAACCAGGTCCATGTTCAGATGAAGCCCCTTTTGTACGACAACTCTAGTGCAGTTTCTATCAATTTAAAAATCTGTAAACTAAAGAGACAGGAGACTATATACCTCCCAACTCTCTCTCTCTCTCTCTCTCTCACACACACACACACACACACACACACACACACACACACAATTCAATAGTGGGACAGGCACGTGACAACCACTGTAGTCATTTTCATTCAAAGGCACACAAAATAGAAGACACCAGATAATAACAATTTCTAAAATGCAAGCAAGCACACATCATCAGTTCTTGATTAGAATTCCATGCTACTCCTTTTTAATTGTTACCCTTGACTCTTGGCTCTGCACTCTGTGGTCGTGCCCCAACCTTCCAAATCAATCAGTTTTCTACATTTTTAGATAGGATGCATGTTTGTAACTAAGTGTCCCTCTCAGCCAACTTTCTGCCTATTAAAATCTGGTTTCTCAAAAGTCTATTTTCTCTTTATACTATCTGTTCCTTTCAGTCCTTTTCTCTTAAAAACTTTCTAGAGCCAGGTGTGGCAGCTCATGCCTGTAATCTCACTACTTTGGGAGGTCAAGGCAGAAGGATCACTTAAAGCCTAGCTTGGGCAACATAATGAGATGGAGATCATGTCTCCACAAATATATATATATATATATATATATATGTGTGTGTGTGTGTGTGTGTGTATATATATATATATATATAAATATATATATATACACACACAGAGACACACATACACATATATTTAAATGGCATGCCACGTTGGCACATACCTGTAGTCCTAGTTACTCAAAGGCTGAGGCAGGAGGATCTCTTGAGCCCAGGAATTCAAGGCTGCAATGAGCTATATTGGCACTGCCCCTGCATTGCAGCCTGGGCAATGAGCTCTACTGGTACCGCCCCTGCACTGCTGTCTGTGCAAGAGAGCAAGACCCTGTCTCCAAATAAATTAGTTTAGTAAATAAATAAAATTAGTCAAATTAGTAAAAATTAGTAAATAAATGAAAATAAAACTTTTTGGGTTTCTTGTATATTGATTTATAATTTATTCCATTAGACTAAGCATACTTCTACAAATTTTCTCTGGATTAGGTTTCTGGGAGGCTCTTCAGATTCTCAGAAGCCCTATAGTTTAAGAGAGATGGTCTGTAAAGCACAATGTTGAGATCCTTAGAAGGCCTCAGTCTATTTTAAAGGTTCTACGAGGTACCACCTAATATAGTTCTAAAGTATTACAAAGGATTTCTGCAATAATAACCTTGGCTTTATATTTATTCTGCAAGTACTCTGTGTTTTATTTTTGCCCAGTGGCTCTTTATCACATGATTTTGCATTTTTGTTTTTTGTTCTTTGTTTTTAATAACCCAACAAATCCTGGCTCCTTTATAATTCCTATAAATTTTAGTTGCTTTAAAACCCGACAATTTCTTGTTGGCTCACTTCTCTCTATCCATATGTTAGCTAAAATACATCAAATAATCATCTTATTTCATATTCCATATTGGAAGTTTTCTCAGTCAAATCCACTAGTTAATTAAAATTATTTTCTATTTTACACATCATCACAGGGAAGACTCCACCAAAACTTGTTGCTACTGCACTTCAAGAATTACCTTGTTTTCAGCCTCCTGTAACAATTTCCTCCCTAGCACTCCAGTGTTCTCTGATATTCTCCTCAAGGCCCTTCAAGATTCAGCCCACTGTTTGGGCCACAGTTAATGCCACATGATTTAGGTTTTTGTTACAGCAGCATCACAATTTTGGTGTCAAGTTTTATTCTGATTCTTCACTCCATAACAAACTGGCCCAAAACGTGTCAGCTTACTGCAAACATTTAATTATGTTCCTGGATTTTAGAGGTTGGGAATTCATAATGTACCTCAGGGCATAGTTTGTCTACACTACATTACTTGATGTTGGGGACTATGGCTGAAAGACTCAAAAGCTAGGGGGAAACTTGAGCCTGGAAAGAATACCATCGAAAGGGTTGTTCACTCACATGGCTGGTGCCTGGCCTGGGAAGATCAAAGACTAATCCTGCTGTTCAGAGCCCCAACGTTTGCCTACTATGTAGCTTGGCTTCCTCACAGTTTAACAGTTGCAGCATATTTAAAGTGTGTGTGTTCCAAGCACAGGTATTTCAGTGAAAAAGGCAAAGGTGCATCACCTTTCATGAGGCAGCCTGAGAAGTTATACAGCATCATATCTGGCATTCTCTATCTGTTAAAGGATTTGGAAGCACACTCTCATTTAAGGGAAGAAGCAGAGGCTTCATCCTTCCATGAAAGGAGGGCCAAAGTCACATTGTAGAGGAAGATGCAAAATAGGAAATGTTGTGACTGTTTTTGGAAATACAACCTGCCATGTCAGAATCACCACATTAGAAGTATTAATATTAATATCTAGAAATAATTGAAAGTTTTTGAAAATCCACAGGAAATCTTGTAGAAAGAAACCAACCATTTAT
This sequence comes from Homo sapiens, assembly GCF_000001405.40. Taxonomy (NCBI): domain Eukaryota; kingdom Metazoa; phylum Chordata; class Mammalia; order Primates; family Hominidae; genus Homo; species Homo sapiens. Next base: position 12,239,825 of record NC_000004.12, read on the forward strand.
TTATTTTTAAAAATCACAAATTATATCAAAACATAATTAAGTCTCCCATTATATTTTGTGTGAAGAGTTTAATTGGTTATAAAGCAATCGCTTATGGAATGTATTCTGTATGAAAAAGTATTTGATTGACTCGGCTACCTCCTGCTCATACTAATTAACTTTGTTTCAGTGTCATCTCTAGGAAACTTTCTGACTCCCTCCTCATCCCTGCTTACTCCATCAGGGGTGTCCTTTATTATGCTCCCAGGGCATACCACACTGATATCTATTTTAGCATGGAACATTTGGAGTGTTTAATCACAAACCACCCACCCTGTCTCTCTCCCTCACTCTATCAGCTAGCTGAGAACTAGATTTTGCTCCCTGTTCATTGAATACCTAGTGTTTGTTTACAAAGTGCTTAGAATACAAGCAGACAATTTTCTTCCTTAGGAAAGACAAAGAAAAATAATAATAATAGCAATAATATTTTACATTTATACATTCTTGAAGTTTACACACATATGATCTAATTTGCTAATTACATGTTGGGGATTTCTATTTTTACTAGTAAGTAAACTGATGCCTGGAAAGCTTTCGTAGCCTGCTCAGTATCATCAGACAGGTTTGTAGCTGAGCTTAAAATAAACTGAAGGATTCCTCAGTTTTACTCAAGTCATCTTTCCATCACCCCTTTCTACCACTGTGAACAATTTAGTAATGATGACTTGTCATGAATCTACCTAACAGACTTTGATACAACTTTGATTGTGCCATATTATGTTTTGAATAAAGCAGTATTAATAGATTTACCTTGAAAAAACTATATATAGAATGTCAAGATAAATAGATGTCACTCTTAATTTCTCCCAATTTATAGTAGCTAAATCCCATATAGAAATAAGAACGTCGTATTAGGATTCCATAAAGACTGAAGTTTCGTAGGAAAAACTCTAAACTTACAAAACTGAAAATAAGATTATTTACTTGCATTTTTTCAAACAAGACATATTTGTTCTTATGACATGCCTCACACATCTTAATATTTCATATTTAAGTATGCACGTGGAAAATATTCACAGATACATAATTTATCCAAATATTTTAACCAAATATTTGTTCACTTATTTTAAGTTCCATTGTTTAGACAGTTTTGTGAGAAATTAAATGAATGCTTTCAAGATCATGGGTTGTTTCTTAGTATACTAGTAATTATAATTACATAAAAACCCAGAAATCGGAGGAGCAGCATTATGATTTTGTGTTTTTATGTTTTTCCCTTTTCTAGGTCCATTCTTCCTAAATGTTAATCAAGGAAGCAAAGGACATCTTGGAGGGAAGGAAAGAGCAAGTCACTGTTTTCTGTGATTCAGCTACTCTCTGTATTTTTTAAAGCTGTTTGAATATGACAGCGTTTCAACCTTTCAGAACATTCATTTTTCTCTTCTGAAAAATGGGCTAAGAGGACCCATCACTTAGATTTTTCATGGAGGAGGGTGACAGATGGAATTGTGTCCCTTTAAAATTCATATGCTGAGTCCTCATCCCCAGCATGTGTGTCATGAATATACCTCAGCATGTGACTACATTTAGATATAAGGTCTTTAAAGAATTAATTAAGGTAAAATGAGATCATTATGGCAAGCCGTAATCCAATATGACTGGTGCCCTTATAATAAGAGGAAATTAGGACAAAGACAGAAAAAAACTAAGGAGTGAAGATGCACAGGCACAGGGAGAAGACTGACATCCACAGCGCAGGGAGAGAGGTCTCAGAAGAAATCAACAATTCTGGTCTCCAAAACTGTGAGACAACAAATTTCTGTTGTTTAAGCCATCCAGTCTGTGCATAACTTTGTTATGGCAGTCCTAGCGAACTAATGCAAGGAGATTATGATTTATCCTAAATTTAGGATTAAATGGATAATGGCACAATCTGCAATGTAGAAGGTAGATTTTCTCTCATTCCTTTTCTTACTCAGTTTTCCTGCTCTTGAAATCTCAGGAACAGAAAACCTGCAGATATCTTGTTCAGATTCCAATGCCAAGTTTTCTTCATCTTTTTAAGGTCACAACTTTTTTTTCCTTATAATGTTTCTTAAATTAAAACCTATCCATTTCAAGCCGCCCTTGGATCTTTCTGTCCTCACAACATTAGTGTTTGCCTGTGTGAGATTGCCAGTGAAATTGATGCATGTTTCTTACGTTAATAGGCATATTTACCTCTTAGTGAGTGTGCATTTATCCTCTAAATGTTAATAGGTCTTATGCATCTCTCTTTCCAGGGAGACTGTATCCTCACACGAATACAGATGCACAAGGAAGAAAAAGCATCCTTTGTGCTGGCCACTCCACATAGCTTTCTCATCTTCAGTGCATCCAAACAGGCATTTCCAAAAGCCAGGTGGCTCATGCTGCCTCACAACAGAAGCTTTTGCTTTCCAACAGTCTCATTTGAGTAATGGGCTAATAGAAAACCAAGTTATGGATCTCCAGGACCAGAACAATAATAAGGCCATAATGAGATTGTTATCAATCTGGCCTCAGTTCTGGTTTCTTCTCTCAGAGGAACATCATGATGAAAATAGGAAAACTCATCAATCATAAAAATCACACAAGAGCCAAGCCAACTGGCTTAAATATACACACAACATTGCAGGTGAGACTGAATTTCACCGCTGGGAAGCAGTTTCTCTTTGAAAAATCAGAGTGACACACTAACTGATGGTTAACACATTAACTGATGTTCCTGCCCCTTTCTGAGTAGGTCCTGGGAAGTATGAAGTTAAGCAACTTTCCCAAGGCCACACAGATAACAAGACGTAAAACCAAGGATAAGAACTCATTTCTGAAATAGAGCTCATGTTGCCTCTCTGGCTCTTTTACTGTAAGCTTTAGGTGTTTAGCAACTCATATGTTATAAACAAACAAACAAGCAAAAAACAATAAAATAAAGAACAAAGAACAATAAAGGAAATGTATAAGTCGAACAGTGAAATAACCCAACCAGTAAGGCAGCTCTAGTTAACTGAGAAGCCCTTGACTTTTCAACATCATTTCACCCCTTATTACTATGTAATTGATAACAATAGACAATAATGATTATGCAGGCTGAAGAGTAAGAGTAGGCAAAGACATCAAATTTCCAAGGTATACATGCCTCCTCACGTACTCATTTCCTATGGATGTACACTCTATCACTAACAGTGTTTTTGTTGCTTTTTTTTTCTTTTTCCCCAAACTCTTAGATTTATTCCACTCTGTTAAGCTTCCTGAATCACAGAGAAGTTGTCAGAAAGATTTTAGCCTCCGCTATAGGAAGTCCTGCCCACCTTCTCCAGATCTCTGTTCTCATAGTCCATCCTCTGGTTCCAGGTAAGCCAGGACTTTGGAGTTTTTACCAAGACAAAGGGTCTGACGCCTGTATTCCCAGCTACTCGGGAGGCTGAGGCAGGAAAATGGCGTGAACCCAGGAGGCAGAGCTTGCAGTGAGCCGAGATAGCGTCGCCGCACTCCAGCCTGGGCAAAGAGCGAGACTCCGTCTCAAAAAAAAAAAAAAAAAAAAAAGGCTCTCACCACATACTTGAGAGGTAAAGTGAAAGGAATGTGAAGAACCATTGTTAAAATCCTCTTATATTTACATTTCTTTACTCTTCCTACTAAAAGCTTCAACTCTCAGGGAGGTAACCTAAGGACATGTTTTGATTTCTCAATTTTCTCTTCAGCACTGATAAAGCTCCTTCTCATTCACAGGAAAGTAAGAATGAGGGTAGAACATGTAGAAATATGTAGAAACAAGGGTAGAAGCAAGCCAGCTTTGCTTATTTATATCATTTTTTTGCCATCCCAGGTTTATTATACAGGAATAACACCACAAACCAGGAAAACTTCGGAAGATTTCTGATAAAAAAAATAATTAACTTGATTAGAACCTCTTTAGACAGTGGACTCATAGTCGAATCACTTCCAAAATAAATAGGTCAAATGGAATCTCTCTTAACATCACTACCAGTAAAAACAAATCACGCTGATAAAGTGTTTGACATGGCCAATTTGGGAAAAAAACTGATACATCTATATGTAATTTTTGAAACAATTTATAGCTCATGCAATTATCTCAGATCTGAAATTTCTATTAAACAGATATTTATTGAATGCCTCCTGCCATGTCAGGCAAAATTCTGTCTGCTGAGGACACAGCTATAAGCAAAATTCTTGTCTTCTCATGGTTTATTTGGAAAAGTTAGAAAACAGTAAAATAAGGAAGAAAAATATAGAATGTTGTAGATTTTTTAAAAATTCAGAGAAGGAGAATAGGAACAACCAGGCTGATGGTACATGTTCTTGCAACTGTAATTAGAGCAGGCAAAGGAATTCTCACCCATAAAGTGATATTTAAATAAATCCTTGAAAGAGTGAGAGATATGTCACGTTGGTATCTGAGCCAAGAGTGTTTAAGACAGAGGGCACCACAGAGCTAAATCCCTGGAAGAGTGAGTTCTTAGTATCCTCAAGAACTAGCCAAAGGGTAAGTATGGTTGCAGGGTAGAAGAAAGGATAAAATACCAGGACATGAGACAAAGTTGAACAGAGGATGCTGTGAGATCATTGAAGTCTTCGTAAATTGATTGTTAGGATTTGGTTGTCATTTTGGGCAGAAGAGTGGCATGATATCACTTACATTCGAAATCATCACTCTGCTTCTGTGTTAAAAATAGATTACAGAGGCCGGGTGCGGTGGCTCATGCCTCTAATCCCAGCATTTTGGAAGGCTGAGGTGGGTGGATCACGAGGTCAGGAGTTCAAGACCATCCTGGCCAACAGGGTGAAACCCCGTCTCTACTAAAAATAGAAAAATTAGCTGGGTGTGGTGACAAGCATCCGTAGTCCCAGCTGCTCAGGCGGCTAAGGCAGGAGAATTGCTTGAACCCGGGAGGCGGAGGTTGCATTGAACCGAGATCACACCACTGCACTCCAGCCTGGGCAATAGCGCGAGACTCTGTCTGAAAAAAAAAAAAAAAAAAAAAAAAAAAAGATTACAGAGGGCAAAACTGACAGAAGGAAGACCAGTTAAAACATTACTTTTACCCAGGCAGGAAGTGATGATGGTTTGAAAAAGGATAGCAGTGGTGTTGGCAAAAATTGGTGGTATTTTAAATTTATTTTGAAGGCTGCACCAGCAAGCTTCTCTGACAGATTGAATGTGAGATACAAACGAAAAAAGAAGAGCTAATGGTGTTGCCAAGTTTGTAATCAGCTACAAGAATGAAGTTTCCACTTACTGAGATGGGAAGACTTAAGGGAGGCAGGCTTGTTGAGGGAGGGGATGGATGAAGAAACAAATGCTCTTAAAAATTGTTCTGAGTCAACATATCTACGGTTAAGAACAGTTTGATGAAAACGGGTTGGAGTTAGTTAAAGAAAATTATTCTTGGCATATGTTAAAGTTCTCAAGAAAGCATTCTTGGAAAAAAACATGTTTAAACTGAGGTCTAAGGGATAAACAGGAGTTGTGAAACTGAAGGGTGGGGATGGAGAAAGGGTTCTATGGAAAAGCCTAGTAAAGACCCAGGAACAGGATAAACCACAGCACATCAAAGTGCGATCTGCTGTAGCACTTGCTTTGAATAGGTGAATCTGTTCCAAAGCAATTGATTAAATTAGAGGTAATTTGAGTATTGGACGAAGGCCTCAAAGAAGAGATTCAGAATTCGGTGCTTCAATCCAGAGTCTCATTCAAGAAGAAAAAACTTTTTGGGAAACTCCCAAGCTTTCTTACCCATTTCATATTCTACACAACTACCTTTCCCTTCTTTGTAGAGTGCAACCGAATATTTTTATTCTGTAGACCTATTACATTAGCAAGTCTGTGTGCAGTAAACAGTTTCATGTGAGTCCAGACATGAAAGGATGGAGAAATCACTCCAATAAGAAATGCAATTGAATGGCCAAAACGAGGGTGTTGTGATGGCTAATTTTATGTGTCAACTTGACTGAGCAAAAGGATGCGCAGGTAGCTGAAAAAAAAAAAAACTATTTATGAATGTGTCCGGCAGGGTATTTCTCAGAGATTAGCACTGAACTGGTAGCCTGAGTAAAAAGGATTACCCTTCTCAATGTGAATGGGCATCAACCAACTCATTGAAAGTCAAAATAGAACGACAAGGTGGAAGATGAGTAAATTTTCTCTCTTCTTGAAATGAGACAACCATCATCTTATACCTTCAGACACTGACATTCCTGGCTCTTGGACCTTCACACTCAGACTGCAACTTAGACCATTGACTTCCCTGGTTCTCAGGCCTTTAGACGTGGACTAGAACTTCATAACCATCTCTCATGTGCCTCCAGCTTTCAGAGAGCTGATAGTGGGACTTCTCAGTTTCCATAGCCATGTGAACCAACTCCTTATAATAAATCCCTTCCCTCCCTCCCTCCCTCCCTCCCTCCCTCCTTTCTTTCTTTTTCTTTCTTTTCTTTATTTCTTTCTTTCCATCTACCTATTTGTCTATCTATCTATCTATCTGTCTATCTATCTATCTATCTATCTATCTATCTATCTATCTATCTATCTGTTCATGTATCTTTCTATCTCCCATTGGTTCTGTTTCTTTGCAGAACATTCACTAATAAAGGTGTGGTCCTCCAGAGAGATGAGTACATCTTGAATATATTATTTCTGTTATTCTCACAATAATTCTAGGAAATGCGTAGAGCCTAATTTCTTCTGCTGTAACACTTTATTATGTGTTGATTATCCTCAGGTAAGTTAATTACTAGTAAGGATAATGAAAAACCTGAAACTAGCAGTTAAGTGGGTGGGAGCAGTTCAAGCATAATGTAAATTATAAATGTTTTCCTTTTCTTCAATTTTTGAAGATCTAAAACAGCTATCACCTTGCCATCCACCTAATACCTGAAAGATTAAGAATTAATGCAAAGAAAAAAATCATCAAACCAAATGCAACTTATTCCCAGAGTGCTAAAGGACATTATTTTAGTGATTCCGGAATAAAACTTGGCAGAAAGTTATTCCTTTGATGTGTTTGCTTGATTTATTATGAAGCCTATGATACTAGGCCTTAAATGTTTCAAACAGAATTGAGCATATACAAATAACTATCTTTTCAGGTGGAAGAATTCTAAAATCACACAAGAAAATGTAAGGTAAGTTTGTAACTATTCTTATTTTACAGCTGAGGAAAGTGAAGCTCATAAAACATAAAGAACTGAGCTAACATCATCCAGGTGTTAAATTAAAACTAGAACATCAATTCATTCTCTTGTATTTTTAGCACTGCATTAATATACCTTATTAAGCAGGTGTGATGTTGAAATGTTAAATCAATTATGCCAGACTATATAGACCACGACGATATGGGTCACAAGTGTTTTGTCACTATTCTATCCCAAACTCAAAGCAGTGTTGAGTACACAATAAGTCCTAAATAAATATTGGCTGAATTGATGAAAAAAATGATATTATTAATAGGTCACCTTGTTAGGGACACAGTCTGTATCTTAGAAGTTATCAAAATTGCCTCTAAGTTATGAACGCATTTAGGACATTGCTTTTTAAGTGGTAGCATTTTGAGAACAGGACAATTTGAACTTGTGCGGGAAATGTGTGCATGTGTGTTTGTGCATGTGTATGTGTGTGTGCACATATGCATGAAAATGAAGGGCTGGTAGTATTGAAGAACCAGAAGGAAGGTCTAGGGATCATGAAAAATATCCCAAAAGACAACTAAATGTAAGTAATGTATCATTTCTAGAATTTGGTTTTAAAATTACTTTGGAAATCTTGCTCTCCAGAGAGGTCATATGCATTTGAGAGCAGATAATATTGGGGCAGATGTGACCTTTAGAGATCACTTAGTAAAGGGATCAGCAAACTATGAACCATGGACCAAATTGGTCCACTGTTTTGTGAATAAAGTATTATTGGAAGATAGCCGTGTTCACTGGCTTACATATTTTCTATGGCTGTTCTCACATTTAATGGGTAGAACTGAGCAGTTGCAACAAATAACAAAGCCTAAAACATTTACATTAAAAATGTTTTCTGACACCTGATTTAATCTACATTCTTCATTTTACAGTCAAAGAAGCTGAGATCTCAATGGATGACAAGATCAGCTCAAAGTTACAAACACAGACTTAGAGGCAGGGCTGAACCGCCATTTCTTAGCATCTCCCTTTATCATCATCCTATTTTAAAGAGTAACACTGACTCGCAAACAATTTAGTTTTACTTTATTACAAAATTCACTGTTTCTATTTCCTATACATATGGTTTACCTTGTCTATGCAAACCGGCATCTTCCAGCTGCTTTATAACATCTGCTACATAAGAATACCTTGGACCAGTAAACCCCCAGGGGAAACTGCAACATCACTAATGGGCTTATAAAAGCTGAGTTGAAAACTGACACAAGATCATACAAAATTTTGTAGAAAATTGATTTGAAAAAGAATGAGGTTTCAGCAATAACTCAATGGCCAATTGTATTAAGATACCAGCTGTATATTCGCCTTTGATGGGCCCTCCATAAATATTAACAATGCTCAATTTTGGGATACAGAGAAAGACAAGGTAATGGGTCAGAATCCCTCAGTTCCCATTTGGAATGTATGGTGGATATTTCAATAGTGATAAGGGTGCCGACATGATATAGGAACTATCTCTCCCTTACAGAAATGGAGAATGGGAATTGACCTCAGGAATGAAGTCTAATGAGGCCAAGATGACAAAAGAGCTCCTACTGACCCTCTGTGTGAAATGCACAAATCAGGACAGTATGCAGAATTGCAAATGAGTTGAAAAAAAAGCCAAAGAAGGAATTAACCATCAAAATAGAAAAGAATCAAAGAAGGCAATTAAAAATTGGTATTAGTAGAAGGAACCAAAGTTGGAGTTTATGGGTGAAGGAGAAAAAGGAAATCAGAGCTTGTGGTTCTGAACTTCATGGCAGGTTCAGGTGCCTGTCCCAGCAGCATATCTGTGCTGACTGGCTTCACATAAAGAGCTAGTGGGGAACCAGCCAAGCAGATAAAATAAGCACATTCGTTCATTGGAGAATGATTCACAGAGTTGTTTTCAGTTGTTGTTGTTGTTTTTGGTTTTGGTTTTTTTTTTTTTTTTTAGTCAGAGTCTTACTCTGTTGCCCAGGCTGGAGTGCAGTGGCACGATCTCGGTTCACTGCAAACTCCACCTCCCGGGTTCAAATGATTCTCCTGCCTCAGCCTCCTGAGTCACTGGGATTACAGGCTCCCGCCACCACGCTCGGCTAATTTTTGTATTTTTAGTAGAGACGGGGTTTCACCATGTTGGTCAGGCTGGTCTCGAACTCCTGACCTCATGATCTGCCCACATCTGCCTTCCAAAGTGCTGGTATTACAGGCATGAGCCACCGTGCCCAGCCAATCCACAGAGATTTTAATTAATTAACAAATCAATGAATAACTCCACAAGTGACGATTCCTGCTACCTAATGTCAGACCTATGTGAGTCTTTTGACAGTCCAGCATTGCCTTCATTGGAGAAATGACTCTTTCCCAAATCATGTCAATTTGCTATCAAGCTACTTCCCCAACAACAGGATGGGCTGCTGACCCAGGTTAGCTATAAATAACAATCAGGGTTATTAGTTGCAAACATATGAACCAATTCTTTCTAATTTAGCAAAAATGACAACAAACCTTGAATTTCTTGTGAGGTGGCACAAATTATCTGTGAGAATGTCACAGTCATTCATGCAAGAGAATGCATGGCCAGAAACAAAGTCTGAAGATACTGATGAAGGTACATGGACATTTGTGGTGTCAACCAGTACCCTTGCTGTATTCTTCATAGCACCTACTTCCTCCCTTTGCTCTATTCTGAATGAATCTTACATGGATGAGTCTGAGAGGTGAAATGTAATACTCATGTCTATTCCCTGGATGCTAGAAGAGGGCATTTTAGGCTAACATCATGCGGACATGGAATTCGTTATATGGGTAATTCCCTAAACATAACTAGGGTACAAGAAATGATAGTCATTCATTATTTTATCCAAAGAGAGAACCCTATTTCTTAGAGGGACCTAGCATTTGATCCAAGTAGAATCTTATGGGTTAGACAGAGTCAATAAGACTCCTTCTTGGAGGAGAATGTATAGATGTTCAAAGATACTGGTTAGAAACTGTCACTGAGACTCCTTTTTTAGGGGAAGGGGCATAGATGTTCAAAGATAGCAGATTATTCAAAGATAGTGGATCTTTGGCCCTGCTCCATCATGTGGCAGGAGTACCAAAAGTTGAAACACACAGAGAAAAATGAAGCTAAGAGATATTGTAAAAGGCAGGGATGTGACTGCATCACAAACACCTGCATTCAGTTGCAGCTGAAGCCACACAATCCTGAACTGTACAATTTCCCTAACTGGTTTTCTTATTATCTTAATTAAACTAATTCACATACATCAAACAGCCTAATAGAACGTCTATTCTCTAAATTTGTGTGCTTACTGAGTAAAATCCTAGGATAGGAGACTCCAACAGAAATTTCAGGAAAGAAAATCAGAATGTTTTGCTGTACCTCTTACACATGAAGACTTCAAGCAGAGGGTAAACAAGATAAACAGGACACTTACTCTTTTCCTTCCTTGCACAGATAGTGCATCACTTCCTTTCTAACAATTCTTCAGGAGTTTTAAAGTTGATGGGACAGAACTCCTTGTCCGGTACATGTTTTCCAGTGAGTGTGGTTATGGAACAGACACACATACACATCAACATATGGATGGTTTTCTCTGTGTGCCTAAGACAAGGTGCCATGCAGGCTCAAAAGCAATGTGCCTGTGTTATCTCTCTCACTCTTTCTTCCTGTCTACATGTTGGTGCTCTCGTATCTTCCATTTCTATACAGAGGATGAGGCTGATGCTACCATTTTTGTTTACATGGAGAGAAAGAAGGAGAAAGAAGCGCACACACACACACACACACACACACACACAAACAGAGAGAGAGAGAAGAAAAGAAAAGAAAAGAAAGGAGACACTCAGAGGCTTTCAGCCTAAGGCACTTCCTTTAGCCCAATTCACCAGTTGACCCAAAACTCTGCATTAGATTTTAGGCAAAAGCTCTCTGATAATTTTAAAGTCTAAATTCCTTGTGGTTTCCTCTCCTCCCTTTGCAGATATCTTCCTCGAATATCAACAGAGAAGAACAGCAGCCACGTGGATAAGGCAGAGTTTGGGAAATCCTGGATTCCCTTATCATAAAGCATCTTACAGTAACCTCAGAAATGCAGAAGTTACTTGTAATGGTGCTGTAGACACTGTACGAGAAAGTTTCACCTTTATGATCTAATTTAATTCTCACAAAAACCCTGTTAGGTAGGGTGTTATTATTTAAATTTAAATCAGAGGAAAATGTAACAGGAATTCTGCAACTTACAGTCAAAGAGATAATAAACAGGAGCATCTGTGGTTTGAAATTTGGTTTGACTGAATTAAAACCCACATTTGAGGCCTTATTCCTTGCACCTGGGGTGTGACTTCATAGTGATGTAAATCAGTTTTAGCAAAAGAAGCAAAAGGTTGAAAGTCCTTTGTTTAGTCTGGAAGTGGCTAAAGACATATGAAGATCAAAATCGGCAAAAAAATAATCCATATGAGACTCTTGTGTGTAAAAGATTAAATGGAGTCTGTGTCATTCCGGGAAAAAGATCTAGGGCCCAATTGATATAAATTGAGGAGAAGCTCATTCCCCACTTTTATTGTTTCCATGATCCTCTTAATCCAGGAGAGAAATGTAGAAAAAAACACTACCATCCTATCTCTCCACTTATTTTCTCATTGGTGAGGGAGAGAGGAAGATTCATCAGTCTGATGAGATGATGGGTCTCAAAAATAAACCAAGAGTGTGCAGCAGCATTTCCTTCTAGGTCCCCTGTTTGAGTCAGATTTCTCCAGAGAAGCAGAAGCAATAGCAGGTGTATATACAGAAAGAGAGTTATTTTAAGAAACTGGATCATGCGACTGCGGAGGCTCAGGAAGTCCAAAATCTAGTAGGGGAGGTCCGTAGGCTAGATACTTCAGAATGAGTTACAGTTTGAATCCAAACGCAGTCTGGTGGTGAACCAGGAAGACACGATGTTGAGGATGAAGTCTGAAGGTTGTCTGCTGGCAAAGTCTCTTCTTGCTTAGGGGAGGTCAGTCTTTTCCTTCTAATAAGGCCTTCAACTAATTGAATGAGGCCCACCAAAACTATAAAAGATACTTGGCTTTGCTTTAAGTCCAGCAATTTCATTTAAATCTCATCCAAGAATACCCCTCTCAGAAACATCCAGAATAATGTTTGACCAAATATCTTGCACTGTGGCCCAGCCAAGTTGATACATACAATTAACCATCACACTCCTTTCTCCTCTCTTTTTAAGTCTGGCTCTCAGACATGTAGGAATTTTACTTTTCTAGCACTCTCAAGGACTGGGTAGGGGAAAGATAAATTCACAAGTAGAAGGCATATTGGAAGACTGTTGACAGCAGAGGTAAGACTGTATTCCCTTCAGCTTTATTAATCACAAAGATAACATTTTGACTCCTTTACTGAATTTCCACAAATGGGTCCTCATTTGAGTAGGAGATGATGGCACATTACATAAGGGATCATGGGCTTAGAATCTTAAGAATTAGGGACTAAAATTATGCATAGAAAATTTGGATGTGTTGAGGGGGCTTTTGCCTCAGTCAGGATGAGATGCCTTAGGATTTAAGTTTCAGTGAATTCAGATCTCCAAAGGCTTTTTGAATAGGGTAGATCACAGCTACCCAAATTGCTATTGGTTATGAACATGGAGCTATTTTTAAAAGGTGAGGCCCTAAGTGATTCCCTCCTTGGCTTTTTGTAAGCACCTCCCAGGGGCCTTAGCATGTAGGCCAGTGTAACTTACCTTGGCTTGAATTACATAGTAAGGCCAAATCAGAGAGTAGGTAACAGGGAAATGATTTGAACCCAACTAAGATTTCTCAAGAAAGAGATGTTTTAGGCATTAGTAGATGAGATCGTTTGTGCTCTCTTTATAAGTTTTGTCCTCCACTCCGCCCAAAGATCCCCAGGAAGCAATTTAACACTGCAAATACATAAGTGCAGCTAGGTTCAGCTTAAGTTGTAGAGCATGGGATCTAGCTTTTGTTTTCAGAGAGAGTTGGGACACGTGCCTGGAAAATGGTATTAGATTTCAAAAACACAAATTCATGACAACAAAGTAGTGGTTTTAACCAATTAATAAATAAAAAGGAATAAGCTCATTACTATATAAGAACTATGCCATATTCTTGGATTGAGGTAGAGAGTAACTCAGTGAAACAATGGTGAACTCAAAAAATTAAGAAAAAAAAACACAAAAAGGTTTATGCTTATAACCCACTTCATCTCTAAGAAATGAGTCTGCTCCAGAAATGAACTGGTTTAAAATTATGCTTCTGTCTTTCTATTATAATAGGGGCAGTAGAGAATGACAGACATGCTAAAGAAGGCAATATGTTTGTGTGGAAAGGAAGGTGCTCTTTCATTAAGATAATTGAGTCTGGATCACTGAGGCCATGCTGGAGAAATAGGATAAAAGAAGGGAGACAGATGCCTGCAGGCCAAATGTTCTTGTTGAAGGTAGTTTAGAAAAGAGGCAGGTACCTGAGTTGATACTATATCAGAGAGGATGATACCTCTGCTCTCAATCATACATAAAAAGGCAGCTTTATTTCAGTGAGCAGAGTGCAAAGACATCCCCAGAGGAAAACCAGATACAGGGCCTAACTCGGGCTTTTAAAAGTGTGTCATAACACAAGTGAAAACTTCTAGAAAAGATCAGAACAGCTGTATACAGTGGTGATGAGCAACTCGCACTGATTTGAGAAGGAAACATCAAGAAGAAAAACAATAGCTGCTCAAAGCCATCTAGAGTGTTAGAAAATCACAGTTGTAGTTAGGGACACAGCCATTGCCTTGAGTGAGTATAATAGGGTTTGAGAGTCTAAGAAAAGCACAGGAAACAAATGCCACTCCTAAGGGAACCTAGATTGACAGAGATAAATAAAGAACAGGCCTGGTTTAGATGTTAATCTGAAAGGAGGGTACTACCAGTGTAGAGCTATGCTCCTTAGGAAGCTGAGAGAAGACAGGATTGTCTGGATGGAATTGTTCTGGATGCTTTTTCTAAGATCCACAAATCATTGTATCTCTCATTATGACAAAAATCTACAGAAGATGCTATAGGAACAACTACCTGTGCCTCAAAAGACAGATGAAAGGAAAAAAAAATGATGCTTAGATCTAGTAAACTGGGCTAGCATAATAGGAAGGAAAGGGACTAGAAGAAGAAATCATTAAGTTCGACTAAACTATTGAACCTTCTTTAAAGGAGCAGAGGGAGGCAAGAAAATTAGGTGGAAATAGGACATGAGGGCCCTATCTTATTCTGCTCAAAAAGATACAGCTGAAATGCTACTCAAAGCCTGAAATACTCCAAAACAGCAGAAAGAAAGGTCTTGAGGAGTTCACAGTGAAGCTATTGATCCTCACAGTGGTCGTGTGGACAGTGACTGAAGCTATTACACTCACTCAGGCATCCGAGGGCACAAGCATCATGACTAGCCCCAGTGGCTTTAGTTATAGACTCTGCTGAGAGTGATGCTTGCCAGAAATAAAATATAATGAAAAAGAGTGAATTGTTCCCAGCAGGCAGTTTTTCAAAATCCTGAGAGAGTCTATGACAAAAGGCTGTGGGCAGAATCCACTGTGAGATGGGGCTAAATGTGGCTGCTCAGGAGATAGAGTCTGGACCATCAAGGAGCCCACATTCAATGAGAAGCCAGGCCACCAGAAGTCCAGACACCAAAGGGAAATGAACATCGGGAGCTTTAAATGGCAGGGGAAGGCAAGACAATGTGTTGAAGGGGCTGCCAACAACTTTTTCCAAGAAATGGAGAAATGTCTCTGGTGTCTATGAGAGTATGCATGGGGAATTTTTCACCCCAGATATAGTCAACGCTTTTCTCTGTGGGTGGGCGATTTCCCTCAATAGAGCTCAAGTTCACAGGTTTCACTTTCTGGATATGTATCACAGACTAACTGGTATCCTGGTGAGAGAAAGCAAAGCATCTGTCTTCATGATTCTTTGACTACTGAGTCTCCAATGGTTTTTTTTGATGAGTGCCAGTGACGTGGCCCTGCGTTGCCCCAAGTACTGGACGTTGATATTAATTTTACATAATTGTACTGCTTTTAGGGTCTAAGATTTCTTTTTCCTTTTCAGTTTGAATGCAGATAGTTGAGTTAATTATACTCTTTAGTCCATGCAACACTATCTTTTTAGGTACCAGGAAGGGTTTTTTTTTCCCCCTATAACTTCTCTCTTTATCTCTTGTCCCCACTCTGATTCCTCTCCTCCCCCTGGCCATCTGTGCAAATGTATTTGGTATTTATCTGCAGTTGTGCATCTCCTTCTTTTATGTGTGGAGGAGTGAGGACTTCCCTGGCTCCTTTATCTAAAATCTTATCCACCTCCCACCCCCAACATATATTCTGACTCGTTTCCAGCTTTGTACATTTTTTTTTCTTTCTGGCACGATGAAAAAAGGCATGATGGTTCCACATTTAACATGTGTGTATTTTCCTTATGTGCATCTTTCACATTTTTTGTCTACAAATGTAAGTTCCATGAATAAAACAGTTTCTGTCAGTTTTGTCCAATGTTGTGGCCCTAGTTCCTGGCATAGTACTGGCACATAGTAGGCATTTATTAAATACCTGTGAAATGAGTGAATAAATACTTTAAATAGTGTTGGGATGAATATTATTATGTTTTTGCTTGTGTTTGGTCAATATAGGATTGTGGAACTGGCTATGAGGAAGTCTATAATGTTTTATAATATTAACATCTGAATTCTTAAAAGTGAGATGCAGGAGGGAGTTGCTGTTGACTTAATTCAACTTCAGAAACTGGGAAGCAGCATCACCTATTATGGGAATCCGAGTAAGACTGGAACTGCATGAAGAGTGAATAGAGAATCATATTGTTAATTAAAACTAAAAGAGAAAGGAAATAAGATCTTTAAGCACTTTTTTCTTCACTGAGGATTTGATGGAGGAAAGATACTTAAAATGCATATTTGGAGGTATTCTGTGTTAGAAATATTGTGTTAAATAAGTACCTTTAAGTTTACATATGAAGTTGTTGCTTAAACGCTATAGGATTTTATATTGGGCAGAGTGGATGTGTCCAATAGAACAAGGAACACATTTTGGGCCTTGGGTATAATAGACTTTTAAAATTATCTTTAAATATTTTTCTGTGCTATTTAGCTTTGGCAGGGAGGGTAAAAGATAAACTGTCCACCAGTGGTTCCAGAAAGAAAAACAAAAAGACTTGCTTGGAATTAGGAGAAAATATTCATGAATGAAGACAAACTACACTAAAAACTGTAGTTCTAGCCCGTGAGGATGAGAGCCACATGTCTGGTTAGCCATAAAGTTTATGGATATGATCAACAGTTTAAGGAACAAAATCTGGGAAGTTACGAAGTTACAGAGAACCCCTTACCTTTCCTTCCTGCTGTTTAAAGGGAGCCTAAAAATAGTCCACTCTACATGAGGTACATACAATATGCTGAGACTCTCCCACACTTTCTCTTTTTAAGCCTTCTCTTGTGACAGTGTGTGGCTGGAGAGAGGGATAGAATGGGATAGAAAATTTAAGCTCATTCTCCTTCTTTGATCTCTTTGCCTGTAATATATATTTCTCACAACACAGGGTAAATATCCCTGAAAATATGCAGCTTTATGGCCAGGATTCAATTTAGGATGAGAAATCATATTAGGGAAATAAGGTGTGGTCATGGGTCAAGCAGCATTTCCCAGTAATATCTATAATACTTACCAATAATAAAACATAGTTTTATATCTATTCTTTCTTCTAGTTCTTAGTAGGTTCTATACTTGAGAAAGAAAGAATGGTATTGATGGATTTCCTAAAACCCAAGAATATACCAAAATCGATTTTGATGTAACACAAAGACATTCTGTCTCAAATGGAGAGATGTTTGTAAATTACGATGCGACTGCTTCATAAGGTATCAAGATTCCTCATCTGAAGAGGCTAAGCCACCACCTATCCAGATATTATTGAGTCCTCTCCCTAGGAAAAGATGGGATTTATTTTAAGATTAATAATTGTTTCTACATTGGATAAGAACTTTAGAGTTTACAAAAGACATTAAGATGTATCATTTCCCCTTAATAGGAAATTATTTATATTTATTTTTGTATTTACTTACCCAATTAATTTGAGATGATGGAATGTTCTAATGAATCATTTTCAAAGTAGACCATTGAGAGTTTACTTGATTTTATAAGGCAATGAAATTTTTTAAAAAAGGTTTTAAGCTACAAATTAATAATAGATACTAGTATTACT
Organism: Homo sapiens; assembly: GCF_000001405.40. Lineage (NCBI taxonomy): Eukaryota > Metazoa > Chordata > Mammalia > Primates > Hominidae > Homo > Homo sapiens. Next base: position 12,257,266 of record NC_000004.12, read on the forward strand.
GTCAACAGTAGTAATAGTACAAGGTTAAATATGCTATCATCACTCAAAACTTTGGTATATCCTCAAAGGGCCTATAGCACACTTTGAAATATTTCTTATAATGAAAAATTATTTACTTTGATGTAACAAATCTATTTTTATTTTAACTTCATGTCTTTAGCAAAAGTAATCTCCAGCTTAGTGTTGTGAATAAGATGGGGTGATTGAAGAAAGTAGTGGAATTTCTAGTACATCTAGAGGTTTTTTTTTTAATTTGCTTGATTCTGTTATTTTTAGGGGCCAGTATATGACTTTGGTCAGATGCACTGTAAAATAAAATTAAACCAGAAAAATAGTATTGTGGTGCATGATAGTAATAAAGAACAAGACCTACTTTGAATTCTGGGCTCACAACTTATTATTTCTGGACTATTGCAAGCTGCTTAAGCTATCTCTAAGCTTTGGAATCTTTATTGATAAAAATGAGTTAAATAATACCTACTATCTCTAGATTCTGTATTAAGAATTACATGAAAAATACCCAGAACAAAGTAAGTGCTGAATAAATGGTACAAATTATACACACATAACCAGGCACTCTTTCTGCCTGCTGAGGGATCTCTTAGCAACAGAAATCTTATTTTGATGAATATATTCTAATCTCTTGATTACAGCATCAAAATCATTACAACAGAATCATACTTGAAGTGCAGAATAAATAACGTGCAGTCAGACAGTTGATTTAGAGTACTGCTGTGTCCTTAAAACTAAGGAGAGAACTCTCTTGGAAATAGGTATCTAAATTTTTCTAAAGATGCTCAGATCTACCATAATAATATAGGATCAACTTTCCCTGGAACTATATTTGTGCTTTTACTGGTTCTCTAGTAATCGCAAAGCCATTTGCTTTGTGATTCTACTCTCACTTTGCCTCCCAGCTTCAATTTATTACTGGGCAGACTTCAGATTTGAAGCTAATAACTACTGGCATTTTATGTAGGCCATTCTACAGGAGGATTCTGGTTATCCCTTTTGCTTCTCTGCTGTTCCTTCAGTACTGACAGCTCTGAGACCTTTCCCTGTGTAGTACAAGTTTCTACACATGTCTCTTTAGAGAGATGTCAAGAGGAACATGGCACTTGCGCTGTGATCTTATCACCACACAGTCTTCAGTAGCTTCTCGTGTCTGCCTCTGTGATTTGCCATTTAGAACTGGTGCCAAAAGGTGGTCACACTTCTAAAAAGAAAGTACCTAAAAAGGGTTGGGACATAAATCTTCCGAAGAATGGTTGGAGCAATGTGGGTATTTGTAATACTAAAGTAGGAGTCCCCCAGTAGGAGGCAGACATTTTGCATCAGAAAACCCATAACTTGCACAATGGCTGAACAAATTTACACTCCCATCAACAGTGTATAAGCATTCCTTTTTCTCCGCAACCTTGCCAGCATCTGTTATTTTTTGACTTTGTAAAAACAGCCATTCTGACTGGTGTTAGATGGTAATCTTATTGTGGTTTTGACTTGCATATCTCTAATAGTCAATGCTGTTGAGCTTTTTTATCACTGGATTGTTGGCCACATATATGTGTTCTTTTGAAAAGTGTTTGTTCATGTTCTTGCCCACTTTTTAATGTGGTTGTTTTTTCTTCTAAATTTATTTAAGTTCCTTATAGATGCTGGATATTAGACCTTTGTCAGATGCATAGTTTGCAAAAATTTTCTCCAATTCTGTAAATTGTCTGTTTACTCTCTTGATAGTTTCACTTGCTGTGCAGAAGCTCTCTAGTTTAATTAGATCTCATTTGTGTTGCAATTCCTCAAAGACCTGAAGACAGGACTACCATTCAACCCAGCAATCCCATTACTGGGCTTATACACAAAGGAATATAAATCATTCCATTATAAAGACACATGCATACATATGTTCATTGTGGCATATTCACAATAGCAAAGACACGAACTTAATGCCCAACATTCATACACTGGATAAAGAAGATGTGGTACATATACACCATGGAATACTATGCAGCCATAAAAAAGAACAAGATCATGTCTTTTGCAGGGACATGAATGGAGCCAGAGGCCATTATCCTTAGCAAACTAACACAGAAACTGAAGACCAAATGTCATATGTTCTCATTTATAAGTGAGAGCTAAGTGATAGGAACACATGGACACATAGAGGATAACAACACACATTGGAGCCTTTCGGAGGGTAGATGGGGAAGGAGGGAGAAGAGTAGGAAAAACAACTGGGTGATTAAATAATCCATAAAACAAATCCTAATGACACAAGTTCACCTATGGAACAAACCTGTACTTACTGGTATCCATGAACTCAAAACGAAAGTTTTTTTTTTTTTTTTAAAAAAAGGAAGAAAACCCATAGCTAATGATGGACTATTCCACTGAATAGCAAGATCCCAGTAACCACCACCACAAGATGCAAATAATTACATTTTATGCAGTAATAAATTAAAAAAACTACTATGTAAGCATTAAATACTTCTTGAAAACTTCCTTTCCAAGAGGAGCTGCCTATGTTATCAAGTTCTGATAGAAACTTGATCATAAAGGAGAATCATTGATAAGGCAAATAGTAAGTTCCTTATTGACCTTTTTGTTTAGTGGAAATATTTTCATGATGAATCATTATGAAATCAACTTTTCATTGCTTTAAAAAATAATAGTAATCCTGCTTTTCCTAGGCAAAATATTTTGCTTTGGGCATTTAAGTAGTTTGTTAGAAATGGCTTATTAGCAGATTCCAGAACAATTCCTCATTTTTTAGTTTTCTACAATAAGCTGTGATTTCTTTGGGAGCAGCGAACATCTTTCTACTGAAGTTAATGCCAAAAGGAATCAACTTGATATCATTTTGGTTTGTTAGCTGACAGGTTGGACAGTGAATACATGAATCAGTGGGAGGAAAGAGAGCATGATATGAGGGCCAAAAGAATTATTTGAGTCTTAGACAAATCGTAGTTGGCATTGAGGCTGCTCTGTTTCTCAGCTGCTTGGAATTTCAATGTTCTCATCTGTAAAATGTATATAATTAAGGAACTAACACCTAGCACAAAAATGGTTGTGAATATAAAATGAGATAATGTATGTAAAACACTTACTATAGTACCAGAACATAGCAATTTTTTGATGATTGTGATCTATTATCTATCTTTCTGTTACCTATCTACCAGTGATGATGATTATTATCATCATCCTTCTCTTTCAGATTGTCTTTCAGAATTAAAAGTAACATAGTAAAAAATAATAATGCTGGATTTTAGCTCTAGCACTATTTTGCTATATGATGACAGTCAAGTCATTTAATTGTTCTGGGTATATGGGTCCTCATGTGTAAAAATAGGACCAATGATAACAGCTCACACTTGGCATGATCTTCGTAAACCACTACACTCGCTCTTCAGCATAACTAGTAACTGAATGCGGATGAGCTCTACTTGATCATCTCCAGCTCTGATTTCCTCTTTGAGCTGTAGACTTTTCTAAATTTAACTCTTGTTATTGTAGCCATTTAAATGACTCTCCAAAAACTCAAATTTAACATGTTTAAAATGGCATATAGTTTCCCTAAATCATGCCCTATCTCCACATTTTTTTCTTTTTGTCATTGCCTACTTAGTTAGTAGCTTTTCCATTTACCCAGGAAATTAAGACAAAAATCCTCAAGACGGCCTATATTTCTCCCTCTCTCTCTTCCCAACACCCTTTGAGTCACAAAATTATTACTTATAGAATGTCTATATGTCTGTTATTAATGTCCAATTCTCTCACTTAGAATTTAACTGTTTATGGGTTATTTAAGCAGCTTAATATCTTTTTTTTTTTTTAAATCTAGTGTTGGCATATAAGTGCTAGAATAATTAACTACCACCACCACCTTCTCACTGGATCAAGAAATCATGTAATCTAGCCCCGTTGTTTGGTGATGAGACTTTATTTCCAGGAAGGCTGAGCTTGTGTCTGTCCTGTTCAACATTGCATCTACAGTGCCAAGCTCAGTCCCCAGAAATGTATACTATATTTTGATTAGGCAAAGAGGGACAACTGAAGTATAAGGCAGACAGATCAAGACCTGGGGTATCCCATGGGTATAAAAATTGTCTATCAGAAGAGAAAAGACTAGGCCTGAAGAGATCTCATAATCTGAAGATGTTTGCTGTAGAATGTTTCCCTGTGACATTAAGGACATATACCTTAGTAAAGAATAAGTCAGCAGTAAAGTATGGATACATCAAACCATGAGTCTGTTTTGGAAAAGAGCTGTTTCTTTTCCTTCTTTGTCCCTTGTAAGAAGCAAAATGTTGGATACAGGATAAATATTCAGCAAATTTGTTGAACTGAACAGAAATTATGAGTTACTTTTTGAGCAGAAATGACATTGTAACTATAATTTATCTGAAACGCCATGATTAAATTTCTTTGGGCATTGAACATTTCACACTGGTAATTTATTTGTCATGCAAATCAGCAAATGCATATTGTTTCAACAGTACAATTTAAAAACTCAGATCACCAAGGTAACTTGAAAAAATATGATAATCAGTAGAGGCCTGAAACATAATTTCTTTTAGCACCTTCAGAAAAGTCAAGGATTAGAATATGTCATACAGGTGTGAAGATTTTACATGAACACACACAGAATATTAGTCATTTTGTGTATTTAGGCAAGGTAAAGGAAAATAAAATATAAAAACCTAGTTTTAGAGTTGACATTCTCCTTTGGGATTAAAATATTCCTCATATAATGAGCTAACTCATTGTACATTTCTAATCTATGTCTCTGGATATGCACAAAGTTAAATTAAAAAGCATGAATTTAATTTTTTTCTTTAAATTTATCATTTTTGTGAGAAGCTACAAGAGACAAAGTAGCTCACACAAAATGACATCCCTGCAGAGGCTGAGATGTGGTACTATGCAGTGCTCATGAGGATGCTGAGGTTTTGTTTCTGCAATTTCTTTTTGCTATCAAAGAACTGGAGGATTGGAAACCAGGTACCAAGACTAGAAGCCTACAAACAAAAGGAGAACAGATACATAATTTCAAAACTCTTGCCTGGAACTGAATGAACTAACCAAATAAGCAAATTCCTTCTTTGCCACTGAAATTATGATACTGTGTACCCATTGTTTTCAGTCTGGAAATTTATTCTGAAGTCACCAGACAAGAAATCTAAAGGAAGTAGAGCTTTTCAAACACAGTTTCTTATTTCTACAGAAGACACTGAATTCAATAAAAACCGCAATAGGATTAGATACTCCTATGAGTCCCAGAATCACTGGGAACAATATAAAACATAGAATACATGTTCCTATAAAAAGACTAAGATGAACAAAAATTCAAGAGTAGGCCTATGTCCTCTAGTGCTGCCATTTCCTTGAGGCCAACAATAATGATAAATAATGACAGACTGTACTGATCAGGGTCCAATTCCCCACTAGACTTGACCATTGTGCAGTCTGTCTCATGTCTTGCCAGAACTTGGAAAGTATTAAGTAATAAAAGATAATAAAAGAGCCACCCTGCAGGCCATATAAGACATAAAAAAAAAAGATTCATGATAATCCAGATAAATAGCAAGAGACCTCAAAGAAAAACACTCAATATTTTCCTAACGGTTCAAAATAAACCTGACTTTATTAAAGTGTACATGGAAAATACAGTATAAAGTAAACCACATTAAAATAATCTAAAAAGGTCTGGAGTGGTGGCTCACGCCTGGAATCCCAGCACTTTGGGAGGCCGAGGCGGGAGGATCACGAGGTCAGGAGATCGAGACCATCTTGGCTAACACGGTGAAACCCCGTCTCCACTAAAAATACAAAAAATTAGCCAGGTGTGGTGGCGGGTGCCTGTGGTCCCAACTACTCGGGAGGCTGAGGGAGAAGAATGGCATGAACCTGGGAGGCGGAGCTTGCAGTGAGCCGAGATAGCACCACTGCAGTCCGGCCTGGGTGAAAGAGCGAGACTCAGTCTCAAAAAAAAAAAAATAATAATAATAATAATAATAATAATAATAATCTAAAAACTAAAAGGGGATACATAAGAAACAAATTCATTAATTGAATTGCTGATCAGCAAATATTTATTGAATACCTACTGTGAACCTGGGATGACCCCGGGCACGAGTGATACAATGATGAATTGCACAGATATATGTCTATCTCCTAATGGAGCTCATGATCTAATGAAGAGAGACCAGTCAATGAATCCAATATATAATTTGCAGGTGGGTGCCATGTGATGGCAAGAAAAATAAGGAGACTGAGAAGAGGAATGTGTGGTCAGCAAGGTGGTTTAACATTGAGCCAGGGAATGGGTTCCAGGGATGAGGGCATGCGCAGGCATCTTGGGCTTCTTCTGGAGACTGACTTGATCCAGGAAGAGGACGTAGGAGATAAGCCATGACAACCCCATGGTGGAGAGTGAAGAGGAAGCTGCTAATGAGGGGGTCACAGGGCTTCTGAGGATACTTCTTTCCTTACCGTTGCAATGTAAAATTGAGGGAAGGGGTGCTTTGCTTTCTCTTGAGCATACATAGGGCTGAGTTACCCTCTTGTATCCTGGACAAGCCAAGCCCTGGTATTCCTCCTGACTCTTCTTGGTGGACATAGTGTAGGTAGCAGAGGGGTGTTCATAACTGGAACACCTCAGCTCTTCGTTCTGCAGGAGGTGAGATCAGCAGAGAGGAGGGCCCCCTCTTCCTCCTGCTGGGACCAGGATGATGACTGCTATTTTTATTTTATTATTATTATACTTTAAGTTTTAGGGTACATGTGCACAACGTGTAGGTTTCTTACATACGTATACATGTGCCATGTTGCTGTGCTGCACCCATTAACTCATCATTTAGCATTAGGTATATCTCCTAATGCTATCCCTCCCCCCTCCCCCCACCCCACAACAGTCCTGGGTGTGTGATGTTCCCCACCCTGTGTCCAAGTGTTCTCATTGTTCAGTTCCCACCTATGAGTGAGAACATGAGGTGTTTGGTTTTTTGTCCTTGCGACAGTTTGCTGAGAATGATGGTTTCCAGTTTCATCCATGTCCCTACAAAGGACATGAACTCATCATTTTTTATGGCTGCATAGTATTCCATGGTGTATATGTGCCACATTTTCTTCATCCAGTCTATCATTGTTGGACATATAGGTTGGTTCCAAGTCTTTGCTATTGTGAATAGTGCCGCAATAAACATATGTGTGCATGTGTCTTTATAGCAGCATGATTTATAATCCTTTGGGTATATACCCAGTAATGGGATTGCTGGGTCAAATGGTATTTCTAGTTCTAGATCCCTGAGGAATGGCCACAGTGACTTCCACAATGGTTGAACTAGTTTACAGTTCCACCAACAGTGTAAAAGTGATCCTATTTCTCCACACCCTCTCCAGCACCTGTTGTTTCCTGACTTTTTAATGATCTCCATTCTAACTGGTGTGAGATGGTATCTCACTGTGGTTTTGATTTGCATTTCTCTGATGGCCAGTGATGATGAGCATTTTTTCATATGTTTTTTGGCTGCATAAATGTCTTCTTTTGAGAAGTGTCTGTTCATATCCTTCGCCCACTTTTTAATGGGGTTGTTTTTTTCTTGTAAATTTGAGTTCATTGTAGATTCTGGATATTAGCCCTTTGTCAGATGAGTAGGTTGCAAACATTTTCTCCCATTCTGTAGTTTGCCTGTTCACTCTGATGGTAGTTTATTTTGCTGTGCAGAAGTTCTTCAGTTTAATTAGATCCCATTTGTCAATCAATTTTGGCTTTTGTTGCCATTGCTTTTGGTGTTTAGACATGAAGTCCTTGCCCATGCCTATGTCCTGAATGGTAATGCCTAGGTTTTCTTCTAGGATTTTTATGGTTTTAGGTCTAACGTTTAAGTCTTTAATCCATCTTGAATTAATTTTTGTATAAGGTGTAAGGAAGGGATCCAGTTTCAGCTTTCTACATATGGCTAGCCAGTTTTCCCAGCACCATTTATTAAATAGGGAATCCTTTCCCCATTGCTTGTTTTTGTCAGGTTTGTCAAAGATCAGATAGTTGTAGATAAGCAGCATTATTTCTGAGGGCTCTGTTCTGTTCCATTGGTCTATATCTCTGTTTCTATCTCCAAGAACATGGCCAGGTGCAGTGGCTCCTGCCTGTAATCCCAGCACTTTGGGAGGCCAAGGTGGGTGGATCACCTGAGGTCAGGAGCTCAAGAGCAGCCTGGCCAACATGGTGAAACCTCGTCTCTACTAAAAAGACAAAAAATAGACGGGCATGGTGGTGTGTGCCTGTAATCCCAAGTACTCAGGAGGCTGTGGCAGGAGAATCGCTTGAACCCTGGAGGCAGAGGTTGTAATGAGCTGAGATGGTGCCACTGCACTCCAGCTTGGGTGACAGTGAAACTCCATCAAAGAAAAGAAAAGAGAAGGGGAGGGGAGGGGAGGGGAATAATCTTATTTATTTATTGAAATTTTTAGTTTAGAAAACAGAAATAACTTTGGAAAAAAATCACTATGATTTCCTAAGAAAATCGAAGAATACACTTTTTTAATTAAAATAATAAGTTATGAAAGACAAGTGTCAGAGAATTTTTTAAATAAAGGGATTTAACAAAAGAACTATGGCCATAAAAGTTATAAAAATACATATTTGCCCCACAAAATTTGGTGGAATTTAGGGAGGGAAAACAAAAAATGAAAATTCAAATTTCCAGTAAAGACTGACTATAAATATAAAAGAACATAAAATATCCAAAAATTACAACCCTCAAATAAAAAATATAAAATATTTTTTAGAAATAAAATTATTATCAGAATAAAAATTCCTGTGTATACCAAGCATCTGTGGGGTGGACAGGAAAATAGAGACGTAGGAAGGAGTACTTGCTAGTGATTTTCTTTATCACAGATACAATGAATTAACCTTTTGTGCCTGATTTAACAACTTTAGTAATAAGATAAAATATTTTAAAAAGAACAAACACAATTATTAGTTGAAGTAAACAGGACTGCATATTTGAGATGGGGTCATATAAAGCAAAGAAACTCAAAATCTATAGCAAATATTAAATACAAAGAGAAGTTCTTTAAAGCATTAAAAATAGAAAATAGCTCAAAGAACATCCAAATACATCTGTTTTTCAGTAAAATGAATGGACTATACTCACAATTTTTAAAAATTAGCACTATCAAAATTTAAATATTACTTAGAGGTATACTTTAAACAAACCGATTTTGAAAGGTTAAATGTAATAGAATGGGCCATGTTATATTATCACAATACAGTATTAATTCAAGGTAAGTGGAATTCAAGATTAAAACAATAACGTTAATAAAGAGAATAAAAGTGATCTTTTATGGAGATGTAATTGTTGGAAACTAAAATGGGAACAAGTTTTATTGTTCAGTTTTCTTTTGATTGCAAGACAAAACTTAACTTCAACTAACTTAGGGAAAATAATTTCAAGTTCAATCTAGTGCAGTAGGAAAATAATATACCTGAGTCTAGGAAATAGAAAATTGTCTCAATGGGCAGATGTCTACTCTTAGACTATGCATTGCAGCCAGCAACTGCTACCAGGCATAAGAGAAAAATTGCTTGAAATATAATCAGAGAATCACTGAAATAAAGTAGTTTCAGGGATGCATTAAATGTGTCTCATAATCCATGACATGCTATAAAAAATGAGTATATACAATCTCAGTAATTATAATGTAATAGATGTAGTCATACATGCATACGCGCAAATACACATGTTTATGTATCCAAATATACACACTTTGCAAATTAAGAACACTCATCTTCTTGTGCTTACAGAAAACTTACGAAAACCAATCACATATTAACTTAAAAGAAAAACCTCATTATATTACAGGAGATAGAAATAACACAGTGTACTTTCTCTGCTCTTCACTGAAATAATAGATTAGCTATAGTAATATAAATAACTATAATAAGAATAATTAAAAGAAAACAAACAGAAATATCTTTTCCTTCCTAATCTCTTTGGTGAAAAAGAGAGAACGATAATTTAATAATATTTAAAAGCAATGACAATGGAAATAACGTATACAAAAATAATGAGGCAGTCAAAGTGGTACTCAGAGTAAATCCCCAGATATTCTTGTTTTTATTACTAAATAAAGAATGTAAATTTATGAGTCAAACTTGGACTTAAAGAACTTCTGTGTTTGTATAAAATAGTAATCCTAAAAAAAGCAAGAAAATATCATTCATCAAGAATAAAAATGAATCAGAAGAAATATAGCAGAATCAACAAATATATTATGAATAGGCTTCTTTGGGATACAACAAACATGAAGCACTTAATATTTAATTGAAAAATATAACGTATATTTGATAAAATAGAATAAATTTAATATTTTCTAAAATATATATATAAGTTGTCCATATGTCCTAAAATGTGGTTGTAAAATACAAATTGATGTGGGAAATTTGGAGAAAATTCTTCAAGAATGATCCACCAAAAAGCTGTGTTTCACAAGTGAATCATGTAATTACCAGTGAAGTAACAGACAATCATTATGTTACTTAAAATAATCCAAACTGTAGAGAAAGACGTCTATCCAGTTACTTTATAAAATTTGACAATAGTGGCTAGAATAACACATAAAACATATTTAAAATTGATCTTACTTATGAAAACAAGTACAAAACTCTGAGTAAAATCATATAACATCCACCTATTTGTATAATAAAGAATACTACCTTCTGCCTAAGTAGGGTTTACTCAAACAGTGCAAAGATGATTAATCAGTCATTCGTCCATTGTGTTAATAAGTAAAAGAAAGAAAGTTGATTGATTGTTTTGATAAATATCCAAAAAAAAAAACCTCATACAGTTGAATAGGCAGATATTGGTTTAGAAGGCAAAACAAAACAGAGCAATGAATTCTTAGTACCATAGCAAAAGAATGTCATTAATACAAAAAGCACAACTTTAGATAAATATTTAAACTAATGGTGAAATATGACACACTAGAGAGAATTCAAACAGTTAAAGCAAAGAATGGCTACACATTATTAACATTTGTATATTAATCTGAAAATGTATTAGGAAAGATATAAAGTAAATAGTATAAATGAAGTGACAAAATATAATTAAGTAGACGCATATATGGAAAGCAAATACAGTTTCAAAATAAATAAAAATAGTTAAGAACAATAAGAGTTCACTAAGATGTTCAGCTGAAAAATAATGGTACATAAAGTTTTGATTTTTTAGAGACTGATAATAAAGATAGAAATCAAAAATAACTTTAAAAACTTATCAGAATATCCAAAACAAATTAATTGACTTGGAATCAAACTTTAGAAAAAACTGTTCGTAGGTATTTAAACAAAGTAACAAAAATGCTTTCATAAGAGAATATTTGAATAAACAGATATTCCTGGATGTGGAGCCCCAATTATATATGTATAATGCTTTAATTGCAGACCAACGCTTGAAGTATATTGGTTAAGTCCATTTTATATATATGAGGCATCATGTATTTAAGAAAGTTACTAAATATTACACAACTGTGATAACATGATAGTTGATTATATGTTCCAGTCAAGATTAAAACCTAGATAGTCTGACTCCAGGGTCTGCACTCTAAACAACCATGCTATAGAGGATGAAATCCTGTAGGAAAAATAGCCAAAGAACATGAAAGGTTATATCTCTGTGAATAAAATACAAGTGATTTTCAAAGATATTAAATAATATTTCATCTTAAAAATCATCAAGAAATGAAAAACATCACAATAAAAAATGACATGAGATATCATATTTCACCTATTGGACTGAAAACCAGAGAACTGTTGGACAAGAGTTAGAAAGAGGCATTTCTCCAGCCTGGGCAGCAGAGCAAGACTCCAACTCAAAAAAAAAAAAAAAAAAAAAAGAAAGAAAGAAGTGTTCACGGCTGGGCGTGGTGGCTCACACCTGTAATCCCAGCACTTTAGGAGGTCAAGGCAGGTGGATCACGAGGTCAGGTCAAGACCTGGCCAAGATGCTGAAACCCTGTCTCTACTAAAAATACAAAAATTAGCCAAGAGCAGTGGCAGGTGCCTGTAATCCCAGCTACTCGGGAGGCTGAGGCAGGAGAATTGCTTGAACCCGGGCAGCAGAAGTTGCTGTGAGTCGAGATCATACCACTGCACTCCCACCTGGGCGACAGAGTGAGACTCTGTCTCAAAAAAAAGAAAGAAAGGGACACTTACTAAGATTGCTTCTAGGAGTATAAATTGATACAACATTTTATCAAGCTGATTTGCTAATATATCAAGTTTGCTAATCCTTAGAGCTGTTTGGGAATATTTCAATCCCTCTTATCACAGACATGTGGAAGACTTGCTCCTTCCTTCATCTGTTGAAGTTAGACTTAGTTTCTCCAATCAAATGTAAGTAGAAATAATATATGTGCCTGGAAGGTGGAATATTTTATTATATTTTTCATTAAAATTAACTTAAAAGTTAAACACAAGGAAAAAAAGTTGACTTGAGTTTTAAAATAAAGACAGTTACCAGAAAGATCTGAAATAGAAAAGATGCATAGGCCGGGGGCAGTGGCTCACGCTAGTAACCCCAGCACTTTGAGAGGCCGAGGCGGGAAGATCACGAGGTCAGGAGTTTGAAACCAGCCTGACCAACATGGTGAAACCCCATCTCTACTAAAAATACAAAAAATAGCCGGGCATGGCGGCGCATGCCTGTAATCTCAGCTACTCAGGAGGCTGAGGCAAGAGAATCACTTGAACCCTGTGTAGCCTGGGAGGCGAAGGTTGCAGTGAGCCGAGATCGTGTCACTGCACTCCAACCTGATTGACAGAGCGAGACATGTGTGTGCATGTATGTGCACATGTACAAGTTAAAAATAGCATACATGTGTATAAAGACCATAAGTTTGATAACACAATGATGGGGACTTGCTTTTTGTCCACACTACTCATTTGCTATTTGACATGTATTGGCCTCACTAATACTCTGTCTTCTATGTTATAAAATAGCAGAATTAAAATATACTTTACAGTATTATTGTAAAACTTATTACAGAGATTGAAATAGTTAGGCAGAAATATATACAGCTTAACATAGTGACTAAAACAAATCACAGCTCAGTAAATGTTAGTTTCTGCCTGGAGTAACTTCATCGATGTAAAATAGGATGGAACACTGAAAATAACAGTGGCTCAAAGGAGACACTTTTCCTCTTCCATAAAAGAAATTTGAAAAATGAGCTACTTAAGACTGGATGGTGAATTCCATCCTCTTCTGTGTTCTAATTCGTTATCTTCATATAGGATTCTATTTTAAGTTTACTTAGCAGTCCAAAGTGACAAAGTGAATGCTAGAGTTCTGGCTACCATGTTCACATTCCGTGTAGCAAAAAAAAAAACTATGTAGGAAACACAAAAGAGCCCCTTGTCAGATAAATCAGCTTCCTGTTTCTATAGCCTTAATACATTCCACACTATATTTGCATACATTTTTTTGGCCCAAACTGAGTCACTTCCAGGGCTCCTGTCTTCCATTCCACAGACAGACCTTCTCAGTTTTCCCAGAGGAAAATGATTTCTAAGTAGCTAAATTATGCAGATACCTCAGAGTGAAGTTTGGGAATTACCAGAGGAAGGAATTTTCCGCCCCCTTTCCTCCTCCGACTGTCTGTCCCACTTTCTCTTAAAGTGACCCCTCTGTGTTCTCAAAACATAGCAAAATTTTTCCACTTTTCCTACATGCTAGTGGTGTGTGTGTGTGCACTCACACACAAAATCTCCAACTTTCATTGAGACTATATTCCCTGAGAATGCTTCCCATCAAACCAATCTGCCCTGTTTTCCCTGAGCATAGCCCTCAAGTCTAGCTTGAGAATTTGCTGTGAAAAGCCTTCCTCCAGAACTGATTTTCCCATGTCATGTAGGTGGAAGTCCTGCCACCTTACAAATACTTTCTCGAATCTCGCAACTATTTCCAAGCTTGAGTCTGCTTTTTAACACTGATGTTTCTCTTTGGTGTGCCCTCAACTAACTTAGTTTAAATTTATCTTTCTGAATCCTTCAAAATTGGGATCACTTGACATTTAATTGGGTTCACATCACCTCCCCTACCTGACATCAGGTGGTTGAGGTCAGGGAGCATTCCCGAGCATCTCTTCTTTCCCTATGTGGTTAGCAGAGAGCCTGGCACAGGAGTCCTTTGCTCACAGCATATGTAAACTGGCTTAACTGAAAAGCACCAGCCTCCAAAGTTTCCAAAATAACTTCATCCAAATATATGTTTATTTTTATTTTACTATTACACTCAATTTGGGTTGATTAAAGAAAACTGGTAGAACTATGAGAGAAGAACTTTCTCAAAGTCTAAACTCTACAGTGCTAATATATTTTGATTCATTTTTCTGAACAATTTAATACGATTATAATAATACATCATATAGAGTAGTTATCCTGCTATTTCCTTTAATGCAAAATGCTTATAATTTATGACTTCCTCTTCATAGGCATTCAGTTTAAATGTTGTATGATATTTCATTAAGTATATATCATATATAATTTTTAAATTATTCAAAATTTGTCATCCATTTAAGTTGTTTTACATTTGTTGGTGTTACAAATATTTATGTTAAATGTTGAATGTAAAGATGTTTCTGTCTTTAAGACTTCTTTCTTTAGCATAGAGTTTCATAAATACATTATGTCTCACTTTATTAAGATTGTGTTTTTCTCTTAATACAGAGATCCAAAAGGCTTTTTATAAGGATCATGCCAATTTTCTTACTCACACTTTTTTTACGTCACCCTTGCCCACATCAGAGATGACGATGATGGTGTTGATGGCGATGATAATGATGTAGCACCATCATTTTTTATTTTTACTGATGCTGTTAATGTGCTGAGATTTTAGCACTAAAACGTAAAATTTTTAGCACCAAAATAGAAGACAGAATAACCACAACAAATTCATTCCTTTTTCCAGTGTTTGATTTATTTTGGTACTAGCAGAATGAGGTTGATTTAAGACCGGAAAAAAGTAGGAGGAAGAACAGGAGGAGAAGAAAAAGTAGAAGAGGAAGGGGAGAAGAGAAAAATAAGGAGGGTATCTGTGTTATCTTCCTTCCATCTTCTAGAATACTAATTATTTTTAAACATCATCATAACTTTACCTTTATCTAGGTTCTTATTGAGAAGTAATTATTGCCAAATAATCCCTTTAATGTATTTTATTATACATTAAATTTAGATGCTTGATATCCTTTAGATGATGATATTTAGAAGCTTGGGATAGTATAATCCATTAACCTCTCCATAGAATAAAATAAATTTTTAAGTGATACATTTTATATACAAGATATCGTTAAATAGAACGTAAGAAAGCAATTTCCTTGTTAAATGATTACTTTCATTTTCAAAGTATCTAGGCTAAACAATTATTTGAATAACAGCAGTGTGAATAACCTGAAGACGAATACAGTAAATGTTACAGGCTTCAATGCTATTCGCTTCTAAGCCTAGCTATTAAAAATCTTCTGTTCTGGGAAACAAGAGATTGTGTACTTGGGCTTTTATATCTAGATTCAGAGACTCAGAGATGACAGCTCAGAAGAAACTAATAAATCATCAGGTTATTCCCTTCACCAGATCCTGCCCCAATTCTGGCACTCTCTCATTTTATAGACCTGTCAGGTAGAATAACTTGTCCAATACTGAGGTTCTTGCCTTCCACATTTGCATTTCTTTGATTTATACTCTGTTAACTTTGAAAAAATGGTATTTTCCTAACTTTTTTTGACATTAGTAAGATTTTATCTTTATCTCCCTCTAATTCAAATTGTGAATAACCTAGAAAGGGCTCGAATTATCATTGAAAAGCTTCAAGAAATGCATGGGAAAGAGTTGAGAAGAGCTGAAAACTAAGAAATGGGGTAGGAGAATATCAACGTGTTTATAACTAGCATGATCTTGAGTGCCTGGCTTGTTTGAACCTCGGAGACATTAGCCAGAGAAAGTTGGCAAAATAAATTATCCAGAAGATCATACCTAGAAAAAGAGACCTGAATAGAGATGGAACTTTGAAGGAAATCACCCATAAGGTAAATTGTGGTGCCTACGAGGTGGAAGGGCAAAATTTGGATTTGCCTTGGCTGTTTGTTAATTTGCCTGTGCACAAATTCCAGGTTTTTAATTGGAACAGGGCTCCAGACTGTGGCTAGAGGATATAATACTGCAGTCTTCGGTGAGGGATTTGGCAAGAACCAGGCAGAAGGAAGTCATCTCTTCAAGTTGTTGGGAATTCAGGGTAGAATTCTCATTTTAAATGGAAATGTTATTCATCAAAATAAATATGAGACATACAGTTGGTCTTTGGAAGTGAGCAAAGAATGTTACTAAGGGCCGCATACATACAATGGGTGGGTTTTAGAGTCTACTATAGGGTAAATACGTGGATAGTCTCCCTGCAGCCATATTGCATATACAGGAAAATTAATTCTAAACACCAAAAGCTTGTAAATGAGGTATGAAGAGGGACAACATTGAGGCATTGCAGAATCTACATTTTTATGTGTGTATATATTCTAATAATGAAGTCATGCGAAAAGGAGGGAAGAGTTTAAGAGCTAAAATTTATAATTAATTTTATAACATGATATTGAATTATACATTTGAAAAAGTGTGCAAATTTTAAGTTTAGTGCTTAACACTTTTTCACAAAGTAAACAACCATGTAATCAGCCTTCAGATTTTTAGACCTTGATAATTAACCACATCACAGAAGCCTCTCTCACACCTTCATTGAGTCATCCCAATAGCAACTACTGTTCTAACCTCTACATCCATTGATTATCTTTGACTGTAAAATTCACGTAAATGAAATATACATATCTGGTTGAAACTAACATTGTCTGTTAGGTTCATCCAAGTCATTTTGTTAAGTAGTACTTTTTGTTGGTTAATTCATTTGTTTGTTTCATTTTTGTTGCTGAGTATTACCCCAGTACATAAATGTACCACAATTATTTACACATTCTACTTCTGATGTGCATTTAGGTTGTTTCCAGAATTGCTATATTAGTAGCACTGAACTATCACTAATTGTGGTAAACATAAAAACAGTGTTCTGTTGCATAAACACCTAGAAGTGAAACTGATGAATAAGAGAGTGTGAGTATGCACAGTTTTGGTAGAAAGTGCCATACAGGTTTTACAAATTGACTTTACCATTGAGTATGATATTGGCTGTTTTTGTTTGTTAGTAGTTTGGAGAAATTGATTGAAGTTCCTTTGGTCCAGGTAGGAGGAATAGGTTTTCAAGATTGATTACACAACAAGATGACCATAGTTAATAATAATGTATTGTACATATCAAAATTGCTAAATTAATAGATAATAAATATTGTCACTACAAAAAATGATGTCTGTGAGGTGATGTTATGTTAATTAGATTAGTTATGTTAATTAGTTTTTAAAATTAGCTTAATATAATCATCCAACTATGTATACATAGCGAAAATATTTTGTACCCCATTTATATACAAGTATTTCAATTAAAACTACAAATTTAAAATGAAAATTAATAGGTTTTCATTGTGGGATATTTGATTTTTCACTACAGGCATCAGTAAGCTCAGAGAAGTCCCTTATTAGATTCCACAAAAAGAGTGTTTCCAACCTGGTGAACCAAAATAAATGTTCCATTCTGTGAGATGAATCCACACAACACAAAACATTTTGACAGACAGCTTGTTTCTAGATTTTATCGTGGGATACTTGATTTCTCACTATAGGAATCAATGGGATCAGAGGAGTCCCTCTGTAGCTTCTACAAAAAGAGTGTTTCCAACGTAGTGAATCAACATACAGGTTCCATTCTGTGAGATGAAACACACATCACAAAGCATTTTCACAGATAGCTTGTTTCTAGATTTTATCGCAGGATATTCGATTTTTTTTTTATGGACCTCAATGGGCTAAGAAATTCCCTTGCAGATTCAAAAAAGGAGTGTTTCCTACATGGTGAATCAAAACACTGCTTTGATTCTGTGAGATGAATTCACACATCACAAAGAATTTTCACAGATAGCTTGTTTCTAGTATTTATCAAGGGATATTTGACATTTCCTTATGGGCCTCAATGAGTTCAGAAATGTCACTTTGTACAATCTACAAAAAGAGGGTTTCCAACCTGGTGATTCAAAACACAGGTTCCATTGTGTGATATGAATCCAGACATCATGAAGCATTTTCACAGATAGTTTATTCCAAGTTTCTATCACAGGATATTTGATTATTCACTATAGGCCTCAATGGGCTCCAAAATGTCCTTTCGTAGATTATACAACCGAATATTTCCAACCTGGTGAATCAAAATGCAGGTTCCACTCTGTGAGATGAGTCCATACATCACAAAGCATTTTCACAGATAGCTGGTTTCTAGTTTTTATCACAGGATATAAAATGTTTCCTTATTGGCCTCAATGGGCTCTGCAATGTCCTTTCATAGATTCTACAAAAAGAATGTTCCCAACTTGCTGAATGAAAACACAGGTTTCACTCTGTGAGAAGAATCCACACATCACAAAACACTTTCACAGACAGCTTCTTTCTAGTTTATATAGTGGGGTATTCTATTCTTCCTTATGGACCTCAATGGCTGAGAAATGTCTCCCTGCAGATTCTACAGAGTGTTTCAAAACAGGCAAATCCAATCACAAGTTCCATCATGTGAGATGAATCCACACATCACAAAGCATTTTCATAGAAAGCTTGTTTCTAGTTTTTATCGTGGAATATATGATTTTCCCTTATGGGCCTCAGTGGCTTCAGAAATGTCACTTCATAGATTCTACAAAAATACAAAAAGAGTGTTTCCACCTTGTGAATTAAAAGAGGGGTTCCATTCCATGAAATGAATCCACACATCACAAAGCATTTCCACAGATAGCTTCTTTCTAGTATTTATCATGGGATATATGATTTTTAACTCTAGGCCTCATGGACTCAGAGAAGTCCCTTTGTAGATTCTACAAAAAGAGTGTTTTCAAACTGGTGAATCAAAATACAGGTTCCATTCTGTGAGATGAATCCACTTCACAAAGCTTTTTATAAACAGCTTGTTTCTAGTTTTTATCATGGGATGCTCGATTTCTCACAATAGGAATCAATGGGATCAGAGCAGTCCCTTCATAGCTTCTCCAAAAAGAGTGTTTCCAACTTACTGAATAAAAACACAGGTTCCATTCTGTGAGATGAATCCACACATGATGAAGTATTTTCACAGACAGCTTGTTTCTGGATTTTATCATGGAATATTCCATTTTTCGTTATGGGTCTCAATGGGCCTAGAACTTCTCATGTAGATTCAACAAAAAAAGTGTTTCCAAACTGCTGATTCAAAACCCTGCTTCCATTCTGTGAGATGAAGCCACACATAACAAAGCATTTTCACAGATAGCTTGTTTCTAGTTTTTATCGAGGAATATTCAATTTTTTCATTATGGGCCTTGAGGACAAGGAAAAGTCCCTTCCAGATTCAACAACAAGAGTGTTTCCAACCTGGTGCATCAAAATACAGGTTCCATTCTGTGAGATGAATCCACACATCAGAAAGCATTTTCACAGGTAGCTTGTTTCAAGTTTTTACCATGGGATAATCAATTTCTCACTATAAGAATCAATGGGCTCAGTGAAGTCCCTTCGCAGATTCTACAAAAAAAGGTTTTTCAAATGGGTGAATAAAAACACTGGATCCATTCTGTGAGATGAATGCACACATCACAAAGCATTTTAACAATTAGCTTCTTTCTAGTTTTTATTGCAGAATATTCTATTTTTCACTGAAAGCTTCAATGGGCTCGGATGTCCCTTCGTAGATGCTACAAAAAGAGTGTTTCCAAACTGGTGAAGCCAAATGCAGGTTTCATTCTGTGAGATGAATCCACACATCACAAAGCGTTTTTGCAGAGAGCTTGTTTCTAGTTTTTGTTGTGAGATATAGTATTTTACTCGTGGGCTCAAAGAGCTCAGAAATGTCCCTACGTAGATCCTTAAAAATGAGTATTTTCATCCTGATGAAACAAAACATATGTTCAATTCTGTGAGGTGAATCCACACATCACAAAGCATTTTCACAGACTGCTTCTTCTAGTTTTATTGTGAGATAATTTAGTTTTTCACAAAAGGCTTCTAAGGACTCAGAAATGCCCCTTCATAGATTCTACAAACAAAATGTTTCCAACCTGTTGAATCAAAACAGTAGTTTCATTCTGTGACATGAATCGACACATCACTAAGCATTTTCACAGAGAGTTTGTTTCCAGTTCTTATTGTGGGATATTTGTTTTTCACTATAGGCCTCAAAGGGCTCAAAACTGTCCCATGTAGAAACTACAAAAAGAGTGTTTCCAACCTAATGAATCAAATCATGGGTTCTATTCTGTAATATGTATCCACACATTACAAAGCATTTTCATAGAGAGCTTGTTTCTAGTTTTTATCACAGGATATCCCATTTTCACTATAGGCCTCAATGAACTCAGAAATGTGCCTTTGTAGATTATTCATTAAGAATGTTTCCAACCTGATGAATCAAAACACAAGCTCCATTCTGTGAGATGAATCTACACATCACAAAGCATTTTCACAGACATCTTTAGTTTTTATCATGGAATATTTGATTATTCACTATAGGACTCTATGGGCTCGGAAACGACCCTTTGTAGATATTACAAAAGACTGTTTCTAACCTCGTGAATCAAATCACAGGTTTCATTCTGTGAGATGAATCCACATATCAGAGAGCATTTTCACCAACACCTTGTTTCTAGCTTTTATCATGGGATATTCAGTTTTACACTATGAGCCTCAGTGGGCTCGGAAATGTCCAATTGTAGATTCTACAAAAAGAGTGTTTCCAACCTTGTGAATCAAAACACAGGTTTCATTCTGTGAGATGAATCCACCCATCACAAACCATTTTTACAGATAGCTTGTTTCTAGTTTTTAATTGTGGGATATTCAGTTTTTCATTATGGGCCTCAGTGAACACAGAAATGTCCCTTCATAGATTCTTCAGAAAGAGCGTTTCCATCTTGGTGAATCAAAACCAGGTTCTGTTCTGTGAGATGAATCCACACATCACACAGCATTTTCACAAATAGCTTTTTCTAGTTTTTATTGCTGGAAAATCAGTTTTTTACTATAGGCCTATAAGGGCTCAGAAAGGCCCCTTCGTAGATTTTACAAAAAGAGTGTTTCCAACCTGTTGAATCAGAACAGCAGATCGATTCTGTGAGATGAATCCACACATCACAAAGAATTTTCACAGATAGCTTGTTTCTAGTTTTACCGCAGTATATTCAGTTTTTCACTATAAACCTCAAAGGGCTCTGAAAGATCCATTCATAGATTCTACAAAAAGAGTGTTTCCAACCTGGTGAATAAAAAAAGTGGTTTCACTCTGTGTGATGAAATCACACATCACAAAACATTTTCACAGAAAGTTTGTTTCTGCTTTTCATCGTGGGATATTTGGTTTTTCACTGTAGGTCTCAATGGGCTAGGAAATGTCCCTTTGTAGATTCTACAAAAAGAGTGCTTCCAATCTGGTGAATCAAATCACAGGGTCCATTCTGTGAGATGAATCCCCATATCACAAAGCATTTTCCCAGAAAGCATGTTTACACTTTTAATGTGGGACCCTCGAATTCTCACAATAGGAATCAATGGGATCAGAGAAGTCCCTTTGTAGCTTCTCCAAAAAGAGTGTTTCCAATCTTGTGAATGAAAACACAGGTTCCATTCTGTGAGATGAATCCTAACATCATGAAGCATTTTCACAGATAGCTCGTTTCTAGTTTTTATCACAGGATATTCAGTTTTTCACTATAGGCCTCAATGAGCTCAGAAATGTCCCAAGTGGATAATACAAAAAAAGTGTCCAACCTGGTGAATCAATTCATAGGTTATGCTCTGTGAGATGAACCCACAAATAACAAAGCATTTTCAAAGATATCTGGTTTTAGTTTTTATCAAGGGATATTCATTTTTCAGTATTGGTCTCAATGAAAGCAGAAATATGGCTTCCAAGACTCTTCAAAAAGACTGTTTCCAACCTGGCAAATGAAAAAAGCACCTCCATTCTGTGAGATGAATCCACACATCACCAAGCATTTTCACAGATAGCTTGTTTCTAGTTTTTATCTCAGGGTATTCGGTTTTTCACTGCAGGCTTCAATGGGCTCGGAAATGTCCCTTCGTAGATACTACAAAAAGAATGTTTCCAACCTGGTGAGTCAAATCACAGGTTCCATTCTGTAAGATGAATCCACACATCAGAAAGCATTTTCACAAATACCTTGTTTCTAGTTCTTATTGCAGGATATTAGTTTTTTCACTATAGGCCTCAATGGGCTCAAAAATGTCTTATATAGATACTACAAAAAGAGTGTTTCCAACCTTGTGAACCAAATCACAGGTTTCATTCTGTGAGATGAATCCACACATCAGAAAGCATTTTCAAACAGAGTTTTTTTCTAGTTTTAATTGCAAGATATTCAGTTTTTCACTGTAGGCCTCAATGTGGTAAGAAATGTCCCTTTGTAAATTCTACAAAAAGAGTGTTTCCAACCTGGTGAATGAAAAAGCTGTTCCATTCAGGGAGATTAATCCACCCATCCCAAACTTTTTCAAATATAGCTTGTTTCTAATTGTTATTGTGAGATATTTGGTTTTTCACTGAAGGCCTAAATGTGCTCAGAAATGTCCATTCGTAGATACTAGAAAAAGAGTGTTTTCAAACAGAAGAAGAAAAAAAGTGTTTCGGTTAGGTGAGATGAATCCACAACTCACAAAGCATTTTCACAGATAGCTTGTTTTTAGTTTTTATCACAGGGTATTCGGTTTTTCACTGTAGGCCACAATTGGCTCAGAAATGTTCCTTCGTAGATACTAGAAAAAGAGTGTTTCCCACAAGGTGAATCAAATCACAGGTTTCATTCTGTGAGGTGAATCGATAAATCACAAAGCATTTTCACAGACAGTGGGATATTCGTTTTTTTACTATCGCCTACAAAGGGCTCAGAAATGTCCCTTCATAGATACTACAAAAAGAGGGTTTCCCACCAGGTGAATCAAATGACAGGTTCCATTCTGTGAGATGAATCCACACATCAAAAAGTATTTACGCAGATAGCTTGTTTCTAGTTTTTATTGTGGGATATTCATTTTTTTCTCTGTAGGCCTCAATGGGCTCAAAAATATCTTATGAGGATACTTCAAAAAGAGTGTTTCCAACCTGGTGAATCAAATAACAGGTTCCATTCTGTGAGATGAATCCACACAACACAAAGCATTTTCACAGATAGCTTGTTTCTAGTTCTTATTACAGGATATTAGTTTTTTCACTATAGGCCTTGATGGGCTTGAAAATGTCTTATACAGATACTACAAGAAGAGTGTTTCCAACATGGTGAATCAAATCACATGTTCCATTCTGTGAGATGACTCCACCCATCACAAAGCATTTTCACAGATAGCTTGTTTCTAGTCTTTATTGCGGAATATTCAGTTTTTCACTACAGACCACAGTGTGTGTAGAAATATCCCTTCATAGTTACTACAAAAAGAGTGTTTGCCACCCAGAGAAACAAATCACATGTTCCATCTGTGAGATGAATCCACACATCAGAAAGCATCTTTGCAGATAACTTATTTCTAGTTTTTATCACATGATATTTGGTTTTTCACCGTAGGCCTCAATGTGCTAAGAAATGTCCCATTGTAAATTCTACAAAAAGAGTGTTTCCAACCTGGTGAACAAAAAAAGCAGTTTCATTCAGTGAGATGAATCCACATATCAGAAAGCTTTTTCACAAATAGCTTGCTTCCAGTTTTTATCATGAGATATTTGGTTTTTCACTGTAGGCCTCAATGGGCTCAGAAATGTCCGTTCATAGATACTACAAAAAAAGTTTTCAACCTGGTGAAGAAAAAAAGCAGTTCCATACTGTGAAATAAATCCACACATAACAAAGCACTTTCACAGATGGCTTGTTTCTAGTTTTTATCACGGAATATTCAGTTTTTTGCTGTAGGCAACAATGAGCTCAGAAATGTTTCTTCATAGAACTAGAAAAAAGACTGTTTCCCACCAGGTGAATCCAATCACAGGTTCCGTTCTGTGAGATAAATCCATACATCACAAAAACATTTTCACAGATAGCTTGTTTCTGGTTTTAATTGCGGGACTTTCCATTTTTCACTAAAGGCCACAATTTGCTCAGAAATGTCCCTTCGTAGATTCTACAAAAAGAGTGTTTTCAACCTGGTAAATTAAAAAAAAAGAGATTCCATTCCGTGAGATGAATCTACACCTCAAAAAACATTTTCACACATAGCTTGTTTCTAGTTTTTATAGCAAAATTTTCGAGTTTTTTTTTCTTTCTTTTTTTTTTTTTATGGAGTCTCCTCTGTTGCCCAGGCTGAAGTGCAGTGGCGCAATCTCGGCTCACTGCAAGCTCCGCCTCCTGGGTTCATGCCATTCCCCCTCAGCCTCCCAAGTAGCTGGGACTACAGACGCCCGCTACCACACCCAGCTAATTTTTTTTTTTGTATTTTTAGTAGAGATGGTGTTTCACCATGTTAGCCAGGATGGTCTTGATCTCCTGACCTTGTAATCCTCGATCTCCCAACCTCGTGATCCACCTGCCTCAGCTTTCCAAAGTGCTGGGATTACAGGCATGAGCCACCATGCCCAGCCAAATTTTCGTTTTTTTACTATAGGCTTGATGTGCTCAGAAATGTCCCTTCATAAATTCTACCAAAAGAGTGTTTCCATCCTGGTGAATAAAAAAGTGGTTCCATTCTCTGAGTTGAGTCCACACATCACAAAGTGTTTTCACAGGTAGCTTGTTTCTAGTTTTGGTTGTGGGATATTTTGTTTTTCTTTATAGGCCACAATAGGCTCAGAATTGTCCCTTCATAAATACTACAAAAAAAGTGTTTCAAAACAGGTGATTCAAATCACAGCTTCCATTTGGAGATAAATCCACACATCATAAAACATTTTCACAGATAGCTTGTTTCCAGTTTTTATCAAGAGATATGTGGTTTTTCACTAAAGGCCACATTGAGCTCAGTTTTTCAGTGTAGACCTCGATGGGCTCTAAATATCCCACTTAGATATGACAAAAAGAGTGGTTCTCACCTGGTGAATAAAATCACCATCTCCATTCTGTGAGATGAATCCACACATCACAAAGCATTTTCACAGATAGCTTGTTTCTAACTTTTATTACAGAACATTTGGTTTTTCACTATAGGACTCATTCTTATAGAAAATCTCCCATGTAGATACTATAAAAAGAGTGTTTCCCACCTGGTGAATCAAATCACAGGTGTCATTCTGTGAGATGAATCCACACCTCAGAAAGCATTTTGCCAGATAGCTTCTTTCTAGTTTTTATTGCAGGACACTCAGTGAGTGTTTCACTATAGACTTCAGTAGGCTCTGAAATGTCCCAGGTAGATACTACAAAAAAAGTGTTTCCAACCTGGTGAATCAAGTCACAGATTCCATTCTGTGAGATGAATCCACACATTATAAAGCATTTATTCAGACATCTTGTATCTAGTTTTTTTTTTTCTTTTTTTCTTTTTTTTTTTTTTTTGATGGAGTCTCGCTCTGTTCCCCAGGCTGGAGTTTAGTGGCACAATCTCAGCTCACTGCAATCTCTGCTCTCCAGGTACATGCCATTCTCCTGCCTCAGCCCCCCAAGTAGCTGTGACTACAGGTGCACGCTGCCACACCCAGCTAATTTTTTTTTTTTTTTTTGTATTTTTAGTAGAGACAGGGTTTCACCGTGTTGTGCAGGATGGTCTCGATCTCCTGACCTCGTGATCCACCCACCTCGGCCTCCCAAAGTGCTGGGATTACAGGTGTGAGCCACCATGCCTGGCCCTTGTATCTAGTTTTTATCTCGGGATATTCTGTTTTTCACTGTAGGTCTCAAAGGGCTAAGAAATGTCCCTTCGTAGATACTACAAAAAGTTTGTTTCCCACCTGGTAAACCAAAACATTGATTCCATGATGTGTGAGATGAATTCACACATCACAAAGCATTTTCAAAGATAGCTTGTTTTTAGTTTTTATTGCAAGATATTCAGTTTTTCACTGTACGTCTCAATGAGCTTAAAAATGTCCCATGTATATCCTACAGAAAGAGTGTTTCAAACCTGGTGGATCAAATCACTGGTTCCATTCTTTGAGATGAATCTACACAGTACAAACCATTTTGTAGATAGTTTGTTTCTAGTTTTTATTGCAGGATATTCAGTTTTTAACTGTAGGTTTAAATGGACTCATAAATGCCTCTCCGTAGATACTACAGAAAAAGTGTTTACCTCCTGGTGAATAAACAAAGCAGTTTCATTCTGTGAGATGAACCCATACATTACAAAGCTTTTTCACAGATAGCTTGTTTCTAATTTTTTTATCATGATATATTTGGTTTTTCATTAGAGGGCTCGATTGGCTTGAAAATCTCCCATGTAGATACCATAAAAACAGTGTTTCCCACCTGGTGAATCAAATCACAGGTTTCATTCTGTGAGATGAATCCACACATCAGAAAGCATTTTGACAGATAGCTTCTTTCTAGTTTTTATTTGGGATACTCGGTGTTTCACTATAGTCCTAAATGGGCTCCAAAATGCCCCACGTAGATACCACAAAAAGAGTGTTTCACATCTGGTGAATGAAATCACAGGTTCCATTATGTGAAATGAATCCACACCTCACAAAGCATTTTTCACTGATAGCTTGTTTCTAGTTTTTATCTTGGATATTTGCTTTTTCACTACAGGCCTCAATGGGATGGGAAATGTCCTTGTCCCACATGATACTACAAAAAGAGTGTTTCAACATAGTGGATCAAAAATCAGTTTCCATTCTGTGAGATAAACCCACACCTCAAAAAGCATTTTCACAGAAAGCTTGTTTCTAGTTTTTATCATAGGATATTTGGTTTTTAACTATAGGCCAAAATGGTCTCAGAAATTCCCTTAGCAAATTTTACAATAACAGGGTTTTCAACCTGGTGTATCAAAGTAATGGCACAATTTTGTGAGTTGAATCCACACATCACAAATAATTTTCACAGAGACCTTGCTTCTAGTTTTTATTGCAAAATATTCAATTTTTCACAATAGTCCACAGTGGGTTCACATGACCCTTCATGGATACTACAAAAAGAATGTTTCCAACCAGGTGAATCAAATTACAGGTTCCATTCTTTGAGATGAATCTATAGATTACAAAGCATTTTTACAGATATCTTTTTAGGTTTTACTGTGGAATATTCGGTTTTTCACTATAGGTCTCAGTGGGCTCAGAAATGTCCCACGTAGATACTACAAAAAGATTGTTCATACCTGGTTAATTAATTAATTCACAATTCAAAAAGCATTTTCAAAGATAGTTTTTATCTCATTTTTATCATGAGATATTCGGTTTTTCCCTGTAGGCCACAATGGGCTCAGAAATCTCATTTCATAGATACTACAAAAAGTGTGTTACCAAACTGGAGAATAAAAGAAGCAGTTCCACACTCTGAGATAAATCCAGACATCACAAACCATTTTCACAGATAGCTTGTTTCTAGTTTTTATCATGGATATTTTTAATTCACTACAGGCCACAGTGAGCTCAGAAATGTCCCACGTGATACTACAAAAAGAGTGTTCCAACATGCTGAATCAAACAATGTGTTTCATTCTGTGAGATGAATCTACACCTCACAAAACATTTTCACTGATAGCTTGTTTTTAGTTTTTATCACAAGATATTCGGTTTTTCACTGTAGGCCTCAATGGGCTTAGAAATGACTTTTCATAGATACTAGAAAAAAGAATGTTTCCTACCTAGTGAATAAACAAAGCAATTTCATTCTGTGAGATGAATCCAATGGGCACAAAAACGCAAATTCATAGATAGGACAAAAAGAATGTTTCCAGCCTGTTGAATCAAATCACAGGTTCCATTCTGTGAGATGAGTCCACTCATCTCAAAGCATTTTCACAGTTAGCTTGCCTCTAGTTTTTATCATGGAATATCCGGTTTTTCACTGCAGTCTTCAATGGGCTCAGAATTGTCCCTTCGTGGCTTACACAAAAAGAATGTTCCCAATCTTGTGAATAAAAAAAGTGGTTCCATTAAATGAGATGAAGTCACACGTCACAAAGCGTTTTCACACATAGCTTGTTTCTAATGTTTATCACGGTTTTTCAATATAGGGCTCAACAGGCTCGAATATGTCCCATGTAGATACTATAAAAAGAGTGTTTCCAAACTTGTGAATTAAATCAGAGATTCCATTCTGTGAGGTGCATCCACACTTCAAAAAGCATTTTCACAGATAGCTTTTCTTCTAGTTTTTATCACGGGATATTGATTATTCACTCTAGAACTCAGTGGACTCAGAAATGGTGCCACGTAGATACTACAAAAAGAATGTTTCCAATCTGATTAATTTAAAAAAGGTTCCATTCTATGTGATGAATCCAAACATCACAAAGAATTTTCACAGAGCGTTTCCGGTTTTTATCCCGGGCTAATCATTTTTTCACTGTACTCCTCAATGGGCTCAGAAATGTCCCCTGGCAGATACTACAGAAAGACTGTTTCTTACCTGATGTATAAAAAAACTGTTCCCATTCTGTGAGAAAAATCTACACATCACAAAGCATTTTCACAGACAACTTGTTTCTGGTTTTTATCGCGGGCAGTTCAGTGTTTCCCTATAGGGCTCAACAGGCTCGAAAGTGTCCCATGTAGATACTACAAAAAGTGTGTTTCCAAACTTTTGACTCAAAACAGAAGTTCCATTCTATGAGATGAATCCATATATTAACAAAGCATTTTCTCAGATTGCTTGTATCTAATTATCACAAGATTTCGGTTTTTCGCTATAGGACCCAAGGGGCTGAAAAATGTCTTTTCCTAGATACTACAAAAAGTGTGTTTCCTACCTTGTGAATAAAAAAAAGCAGTTGCATTCTGTGAAATGAATCTGCACATCACAAAGCATTTTCAAAGGTAGCTTGTTTCAAATTTTTATCTCTGGATATTTGGTTTTTCACTATAGGCTTCAATAGACTTGGAAATGTTTTACGTAGGTACTACAAGAAGAGTGTTTCCAACCTGGTGAATAAATTCCAGGTTTCATTCTGTAAGATGAATACACACATCTCAAAGCATTTTCACAGAAAGCTTCCTTCTAGCTTTTATTGCGCAATATTCGGTTTTTCACTATAGACCATAATGGGCTTGGAAATGTCCATTTATAGATACTACAAATAGAGCGTCTCCAACTAAGTGAATTTAAACTCAGATTCCATTCTGTGAGATGAATTCACACACCACAAAGCATTTCCAAAGACAGCTTGTTTCAAGTTTTTATCACGGGATACTGGGTTTTTCACTATAGGCTTCAATGGGCTGAAAAATGTTTCACTTAGATAGTACAAAAAGAGTGTTTCAAACCAGGTGAATCAAATCACAGGTTTTATTCTGTGAGATGAATCCACACATTAAAAAGAATTTTCACAGATAGCTTGCTTCTAGTTTTTAACGCAGAATATTCAGTGTTTACTAAGACCTCAATAAGCTCAGAAATATCCCACGTAGACACTACAAAAAGAGTGTTTCCAGCATGGAAAGTAACATCCCAGGTTTCATTCAGTGACAAGAATCCAAAGCATTTTTACACAAAACATTTTTACAGAGTACTTTTTTCTAGTTTATATTGCGCACTATTTGGTTTTTCACTATAGGCTGAAATGGGCTCCGAAATGTCCATTTATAGGTACGCAAAAGGAGTGTTTCCAACCAGGTGAATCAAAACTAAGGTTCCATTCTGTGAGATGAATCTGCACATTACAAAGCATTTTCACAGAGAACTTTTTTCTAGTTTTTATCGAGCGATATTCGGGTTTTCACTATATGCCACAATGAGCTCAGAAATGCCCATTGTAGATTCTACAAAAAGAGTGTTTCCAACCTGCTGAATCAAAACAGAGGTTCCAATCTGTGAGATGAATCCATACGTCACAAAACATTTGACAGTTTGTTTTTAGTTTTTATGGTGGGATATTCAGTTTTTCACTGTAGGCTTCAATGGGCACAAAAATGTCCCATTGTAGATTCTACAAAAATAGTGTACTGAAACCGATGAATCAAAACACAGGTTCCATTCTGTGAGATGAACCCATATATCACAACACACTTTCTCAGATAGCTTCTTTCTAGTTTTTATTGTGGGATATTCTGTTTTTCACTATCTTTCCTCAATAGGCTCAGAAATGTCCCTTCATAGATTCTACAAAAAGAGTGTTTCGACCGGGTAAATCAAAATACATGTTCTATTCTGTGAGATGAATGCACAAATCACAAAACGATTTAACAGATAACTTGTTTCTAATTTTTATTTTGGAATATTCTATTTTTTACTATAAGCCTCAGTGGGCAAGGAAATGTTGCTTCATAGATTTTACAAATGGAGTGTTTCCAACCTGGTGAATCAATGCACAGGTTCCACTCTGTGAGATGAATCCACACATCACAAAGCATTTTCAGAGATATCTTCTTTCTAGTTTTCATCACTTGATATTAGATTTTTTCTGATCAGCCTCAATGTGTTCAGAAATGTCCCATCATATATTCTACAAAAAGAGTGTTTCCAACTTGGTGAATCAAAAAACAGTTTCCATTGTATGTGATGAATCCATACACCACAAAACATTTCACAGAGAGCTTATTTCTAGTTTTTATCATGAGATATTTGATTTTTTAATATAGGCCTCCATTGCCTCAGAAATATCCCTTCATATATTCTACAAAAAGAGTGTTTCCAACCTGGTGAATCAAAACACAGACTGCATTTGTGAGATGGATCCACACATCAAAAGGCATTTTCTTGATTTTTCCTTATCATTCAAAATAAGGTCAGGAATGTCCCCTCATAGAATCTACAAAAAGAGTGTTTCCAATATGGTGAATCAAAACACAGGTTCCATTCTGTGAGATGAATCTATACATCACAAAGCATTTTCACAGATAGCTTGTTTCTAGTTTTTACCATGGGATATTGATTTTTCACTGTAGGCATGAATGGGCTCTGAAATTTCCCATTGTAGATTCTACAAAAGGAATGTTTCCAACCTGGTGAATATAAACATGGGTTCACTGAAATAAATACACACAGGACAAAGCATTTTCATATATATCTTGTTTCTAGATTTTTATCCCTAGATTTTCTATTTTTCACTGCAGGCCTCCAGAGGCTTAGAAATATCCCTTTGTAGATGCTACAAAAACTGTTTCCAATCTGGTGAATCAAAACACAGATTCCATTCTATGAGATTTAACCACGCAGGATGAAGTCTTTTCACAGATATCTTGTTTCTAGTTTTTATCATGGAATATTGGATTTCTCACTATAGGCCTCAACGGGCTCAGAAATTTCCTTTCGTATATTTACAAAAGTGTGTTTCAAACCTGGTGAATGAAAACCCAGGTTCCATTCTGTGAGATGAATCCACACATCACAAAGCATTTTCACAGATAGCACGTTTCTAGTTTTTACCACGGGATATTCGATTTTTCACTATAGGCCTCATTGTGCTTAGGAATTTCCCTTTGTAGATTCCACAAAAAGAGAGTTTCCAATCTGCAGAATCAAGACATGGATTCATTATGAGTGATGAATCCACACATCAGACAGCATTTTCACAGACAGCTTGTTTCTAATTTTTATCACCAGCTATTTGATTTTTCCTTATCCCTCAATGGCCTTAGAAATGTCCCATCATAGATTCTACAAAAAAAAAAAGTTCCCAATCTGGTTAATCAAAACACGGTTCTATTATATGAGATGAATCCACACATAACAAAGCTTTTTCAGAGATACCTTCTTTCTAGTTTTTATCTAGGGATATTTGGTTTTTCACCCTAGGCCTCAATGGGCTCAGAAATATCCCTTCATAGATTCTACAGAAAGAGTTTTTCCAACCTGGTGAATCAAAACACAAGTTCCATTCTGTGAGATGACTGTGTACATCCCAAAGCTTTTTCACAGATAGCTTGTGTTTAGTTTTTATTGTGGAATATTCAATTTTTCACTATAGGCCTCAATGGCCTCAGAAATTTCCCTTCACAGATTCCACTAAAAGTGTGTTTCCTACCTGTTGAATGAAAACACAGGTTCATTCTGTGAGGTGAATCCAAACATCACAAAGCATTTTCACAGATAGCTTGTTTCTAGTTTTTATTGCAGGATATTTGATTTTTCACTATAGGCCCCAGTGGGCTCAGAAATGTTCCTTCGTAGATTCTACAAAAAGAGTGTTTCCAACCTGGTGAATCCAAAAACAGGTTCCATTCTGTGAGATGAATTTACACATCACAAAGCATTTACACAGATAGCTTCTTTCTAGTTTTCATCCTGGGACATTTGATTTTTCACTGTAGACTTCAAAGGGTTCAAAAATGTCCTTTCGTAGATTCTCCAAAAAAGTGTTTCCAACATGGTGAATCAAAACACAGATTCCATTCTGCTTGATGAATCCACACATCACAAAGCATTTTCAGAGTTGGCTTGTTTCTAGATTTTATCGGGGGATATTCGATATTTTCTTATGGGCCTCAATTTGTTCAGAAATGTCTCTTTGTAGATTCTATAAAAAGAGTGTTTCCAACTTGCTGAATCCAAAAACAGGTTCCATTCTGTGAGATGAATTCACCCATCACAAAGCATCTTCACAGATAGCTTGTTCCTAGTTTTGTTTCTAGTTTCTATCACAGGATATTCAATTTTTCACTATAGTCTGAAGGGGCTCAGAAATTTCCCTTCATATATTCTACAAGAAGGGTGTTTCCAACCTGCTGAATCAAAGGACAGGTTCCATTCTGTGAGATTAATCCAGACATCAAAATGCATTTTCACAGATAGCTTCTTTCTAGTTTTTTCTCAGGATATTCGATTTTTCTTTATGGGTCTCAATGGGCTCAGAAATGTCCCTTGGTAGATTCTAAAGAAAAGAGTGTTTCAGCCTGGTGATTCAAAACACAGGTTCCATTCTATGAGATTAATTCACACATCATAAATCTTTCTTATGGAGAGCTTGTTTCTTGTATTCATTGCTTGATATCTGATTTTTTCTTATCGACCTCAATTGGTTCAAAAATGTGTATTTGTGGTTTCTACAGAAAGAGTGTTTTTTACAAAGTGAATCAAACACTGGTTCCATTGTGAGATAAATTTCTACATCACAAAGCATTTTCACAGATAGCTTGTTTCTAGTTTTTATCACAGGATATTTGATTTTCCCTTATGGGCCTCAGTGGGCTCAGAAATGTCCTTTCATAGATTCTACAAAAAGAGTGTTTCCCACTGGTGAATCAAACACAGGTTCCATTCTGTGAGATGAATCCACACATCACAAAGCATTTTGACAGCTTGTTTCTAGTTTTTATCACGAGATGTTGTTTGCTTATTTTTTACAAATAGATTTAAAATTTTATCAAAACGTTTTCCTTAAATTGTAAAATAATTTTTTCATTTATTTCTACTGAAGTGGTTAATTATTGTGATTTTTGTTTTTTAAACTATTCTTGCATTTCTGAATTAAATTCCAGTTTATACATATTTCTGGGTTTTATTTACTAATATTTTGTTTGGAATATTTACATCTATATAATGATAGATACATTAGTCTGTATCTTTTTTATAGTAATGTCTTTACTGCCTTATAATGGTAAGGTTGTATTCCCCAAATAACGAATTGAGAAGTGTTCTTTATTTTTCCATTTGCTGGAATAGTTGAGCGATATTGACGCTTCACTCTGGAACAATTTACTGTCGAAACTGTTTGGCTCTGTAGTTTCCTTCATGGGGAGGTTTTCAAATAACACCCTTTATTTCCCTAACAGATATGTAATTATTCAGACCTAACATTTATTTTATGTCAGCATCTATAAGTAATATTTATTTTATATAATATTTTTCCAATTCATCTAAGTAGTAAAGATTTTATTTATTTATATATTTATTATTTTTTATCTACTTTTAAGTCAGGGGTACTTGTGCAAATTTGTTACATTGGTAAACGGGGTCATGGGGGTTTGCTGTACAGATTATTTCATCACCCAGGTATTAAGCCTAGTACCCATTAGTTATTTTTCCTAATCTTCTCCCTCCTCCCACTCTCCACCTCTTGATAGGCCCCACTGTGTGTTGTTGTTCTCTGTTTGCCCATATGTTCCCATTATCTAGCTCCCACTTACAAGTGAGAACTTGCAGTATTTGGTGTTCTGATCCTGTGTTAGCTTGCTAAGGATAATGGCCTCCATCTCCATCCATGTCCCTGCAAAGTACATAATCTCATTATTTTTTATGGCTGCATAGTGTTCCATAGTGTATATGTACTAATTTTCTTTATCCAGTCTTGTTGATTGACATTTAGATTTATTTTTTTTTTAATAGGCAAGGTTTTGCTCTGTCATGCAGGGTGGATGCAGTGGCACAATCATAGCTTACTGAAACCTCAAACAGCTGGGCTTAAACAATCCTCTTGCCTCAGCCTCCTGAGTAGCTGGGTATGTGCCACTACAGTTACAGTTTCCTGGCAAAGGCCCCACCCTCAAGCCTGGAAACTTACAGTCCTGAATGGGAGCAGGCATTCCTGTTTTTGTGCCCAAAATTCCTGTTTGGCTTACTATGCCCCCCTATTCTGTACCCATGTAAACCCCAGACCGCAGGCTCCAGAAGCAAATGAATAGATGAAGAAACGAACAGAAGACCAAAGGAATGCCAGAAAAGTATGGCACAGCAGATAAAAGAGAAGGAGCATATGAATGCTGAGAGTTCAGCTGGGGATGGTTGGAGAGGTAATCAGCTGCTGGACAGCCACACTCCAGGGGAAGATCATCTTCCCGCTCCATCTGCCTTGCAGCTCTCCGTCATCCCACTGAGAGCCACCTCCACCATTCAATAAAACTCCCACATTCATCCTTCAAGTCTACGTGTGACCTGATTCTTCCTGGATGCTGGACAAGCACCTGGGTACCAAGAGGACACTGAGCTGGTTAACGCTTAAGCTCTCCGTGGATGGCAAAGCTAAGAGAGTGTGTTGTAACACATGTGCACTTGGGTTTCAGGAGCAAAAGGCACCTACCCCTTGACTCTGCTGTGGGCCTGGAGCCCAGGGGCACTCGCCCTGGCTGCTGCACCTGCCCATCTGCGTGCTCCCCTTCCTGTAAGGGGTTTGAGCAGCAGTGAAGGGCAAACAGACACGCCACAACCCTGTCACATATTCTGAGAGGGGGGTCCCAGAACTCTCCTGTTTTGACATAGATAGAGAAACTCATTATGTTGCCAAACCTGGTCTTGCACTCCTGGCCTCAAGCAATCCTTTTGTCTTGGCCTCCCAAAGTGCTGGAATTACAGGTGTGGGACACCATGCTCTGCCATTAGTAGTAAAAATTTTAGTGTAAACTTATTCATAACATCATCTTAATATGTTGCTATCCTTTTAGCTTGACAGTGAAGTTTAGGTCATTCATTTTCAGTATTTATTTCTAACAAATGCTTTAAGGCCGATTTTGATAATTTGTATCTTCATGATTTTTCCATTCACAATTTTTTTTTAAATTTCTGTTGAGATTTATTGTTGTTGTTAATTCTCATTTAATTAGAAGTATATTTCTAAGGAGTTGAACACTTCCTAATTATGTTTTGTGTGTGTGTCAGTTATTTTATTTTAGCTTACTTCTACACTTTAAAAAAATCTTTGAAAGAATTTACCCTTTGAAATTAGTTAACAACTACTTTATAACCCAGCATTGGACAATATTGATAAATGAATCACGCACACATAAAAAGAACTTGTTTTTTGTTATTGTTGGATACAATGTAACAGGCTTTTTTAACACATTGTGATAATTGTGCTGTCTACATCTTTTATATCTTTACTGTTTTTCCTTTTGTTGTTGTTGTTCTATCAGTTTTTGCGAAATGTGTTAAAGCTTCCCAGTATGATTTTGGATATATCTATCTCTCATCTCCATTTTTATCTGTGCTCCTTTATTTATTTTTATTTTTATTTTTTGCTTTATGTCCATTGATGCCTACTTTGGGTGTATATGGATTAGAAACGTTGTATCTTCACTGTGAATTAATCCTTTTATTGATATGACATACCCATTTTTATCTGTAATAATATATCTTGTTACAAAAAGTTACTTTGTCTGACAGTTAGTTATAATAGCTTTGTTTTAGTTGATATTTGCATGGCACGTATTTTTGCTTTCAATAGCTTTGTATCCTTATTTTGAAGATGTGTTTCTTTATAGCAGCATACATTTGGCTTTTTTAAAATTAATTCAGTGTTGATATACAGTGTGAAACAAAAAGATTTCTGTGGGCATAGTTGGAAGATGTTATATTTCAACTTTGCTAGGAAATTTCTAATGTCCATTAGCATATTAACAGTGCTAAGAAGTTTTGCAGTAATAAAATCTATTTAGCTTTGTACAGCCCAGCATTTCCAAGAATTTCCTGGTGACAAGTCCCTTTTATTTTGTAATATTGATTAAAGTGAAAAAACTGCTGTTCCAAATGGACACGCTGAGAAAATTTACATTGTGTCTTTCCAGACTCACTTAACTTTGCTTGCTGAACCTATTGGTCTCATTAACTGTCCAGTGGAACACAGAGGAACTAGGCAACATGTTCTACAACTGGTCCCTTCTATTCCTGGAATATTCTCCATTCTCAATAATGTTTTTCTTAGTTCTCAGAGTGCTCCACAGAGTTATCAACTCACATTGTGTACCATTATGTGTTAGGGCAATAGTCACTGCTATAAAAACCACTACTATCACCACCAACAAAAATAGCTAATGTGGCAGAAGTTAGTGTTTATGAGCATATAATACAAAACATGTTTTCTTGAGTAGTACATGGCTCTCTTCCAAGTGGATTCAAGGACCTAGAGTCCTTCAGTCTTGAAGCACTACTGTTGTTAGCACATGGCTTACTGGGTCACCCTGATTATGTGCTTCAAGTAGGCTGAAGAGAAAGAATGAAAGTAGGAACACATATTAATCTTGATCCAGAAATAATAATGCTTTTGCTCCATTTCCCTTCATTATGTAAGATTTGGACAGACATAGTGGAGGGTAAATGCAAATTAAGAAAAATAATCAACAAATTGAAAAGCATGTTAGAGACTTGAAAGGATTGTAGTAAAACAGAACTGCAGGTTACTGAAGTGAGGGGATGGGTAAGACTGACGAGATATAAGAAATTGACTGGCTGGGCGCGGTGGCTCACGCCTGTAACGCCTGTAATCCCAGCACTTTGGGAGGCCGAGGCGGGTGGATCACAAGGTCAGGAGATCGAGACCATCCCGGCTAACATGGTAAAACCCCGACTCTACTAAAAATACAAAAAATTAGCCGGGCGTGGTGGCGGGCGCCTGTAGTCCCAGCTACTCGGGAGGCTGAGACAGGAGAATGGCGTGAACCCCGGGGGGCAGAGCCTGCAGTGAGCCGAGATTGCGCCACTGCACTCCAGCCTGGGTGATAGAGCGAGACTCCGTCTCAGAAAAAAAAAAAAAAAAAAAATTGATTAAGTCAAGCAATAGGTACTAAGGACCAGGGAAGAGTTTTGAATTAGAAAGTAACATGATCAGAGCTGCATTAAAAAAAAAATTAATTTGATAACAGTATTTTACATGAATTGAAGCTAAGAGAAACGGAGACAAAGAAACGTCGTGGTGTCTGCTTAGTTTTTCTTAGGTGTCAACACTGTTCCAGACATTGTGATAGGAACTTTTGATTTATCAGTTAATCCCCATAATAATTCCAATAGGTAGACATTGTCTTTTTTTTTCTAATAATCATAGTATTAACAAACTAAATTGCCCAGAAGCACACAGGTAAATTATGCTGCTGATAGATAGTTAACTAGTTAAGATCTCATGACCAATGTCCAGTTAATACATAATTAAGCATCTACTGGCTGTAGTCAAATTGGGAATGGAAATAGGTGAAATACATGATGAGACAAAGCAGACCTGGAAAAGAACAGGCTTGTCAGAATGGATTAGAATATGGTTTTTTAGTCTCCCTTCTCAAAGCTCTTTCCATTTTACCAAACATCTCCTCAGCAACTGCCGGGGTCAGTTCCAGTCCTATTGCTTTATGATTCTTGAATTGAAAACAGATTTATGCCAGTTGAGTAGCAATTATTCAGAATTCATTTGGCCACCGAAATGTTCCTGCGGTCTGCAGGATTATGTTATGCTCATATAAGGAGCGATACATCAACACGGATGAACCACAAAGACAGGAAAATAAAATCAGATGGAAAAATGTAATAGCCCAGCTGTTTCAGGAAAATATCAGTTTTCTTTCTAAGGGTTTTCTTAGATATTTTTTTCAACATTGATAAGGCAAAAATTATTTTTGCTAGGATGTTCAGAAGACCAAAATCTATTTCTTGCTGTCTACTAATAAGGTTTGCCAGTAACACCTGCAGTGTCAGATAAAAGTCAGAATTTAAGTCAAACTATTTATACAATCCCCCGAAGACGAAGAATCAGGGGGTGATGTGTCTGTCGTAAAAGAATTAAAACTCTACTTCCCTCAGTACTGTTTGAATAGAGATTCATAAACCCCATATATTTTACCTAATGATAGTGCTTTACTATTCAAATAGCTTTTCGTCTTCATTCCTCTTCTAATCTTTCCAATACACTTATGAGGTGTTAAGGCACATATCATACTCCCATTCTGGATGAGAAATAGCAAGTTTCAGAGGAGTTAAAATACTTGCCTCTCACAACATGTATAATTGATGATGGAGAATGTGTATTAGTTCCTGCCTTACTCCTCTTAAGGAAAGGTTTTGTCATTTAATTGTCTGCTATCTATACCTTGCACCTTGTATCCTTGAGTGAGTTCCCTGCACTCTGGAATCTTGGTGGTCATAGAGTTCCCTAGTGCTAGGAATGTTGAGGATTTTACTAAGACTAAGGCAATACAGTAGTCCTGGGTAAGAGGTGAAGGGTGGCAATTGCAAGATGAAGAAGGATCTGAGTTTTAATCCATGCTCTATTTTCATGTGATCTTATTCATAATGCAGGGAAATGTGGCTTTGGTAGCTGGATAATGGCCCAGGTCCTAATTCCAGAAATCTGTGAGTGTAACCTTATATGGCAAAAAAAAAAAAAGAAAAAAAAGTGCAGACATGATTAAGCTAAAAATGTTAAGATGGGGAGCTTAGCCTGGATTAGCCAGGTGGGCCTTGATTTCAATTGCAGTGTTTTGAAGGAGGAAAATAAGATTGTCGAGAGAAGAAGGCAACATAAAAACTGAAGAAAATATTGTGTTGATGGCCTTGAAAATGGAGAAAGAACCCCAGAGCCAAGGAAAGCACAGTATGCAGTTCTTGAATCTGGAAAAGACAAAGAAACAGATTATCCCCTAAACATTAGGAGAGAGCATAGTCCTAATGACACCTTGATTTCAACTCAGTGCAACAGATTTTTGACATCTGACCTCTAAAAAATTTAAGATCATGCGTTGATGGTAATCTGTTATGACAGTAAGAAACCAATACAATGGTTTTTCAGGACTGTCATTGGAATTAAATGACCTCTTGCAAGTAAATGCCAGGCAGAGTGCAGGTGCCAGACCTCACATTTTCATCTAGTCATATTTCTCTGCAAGATCTAGAACATAGCAGAGACTTTAGGTAAATATATTATCTTTATCACTATTTTCTCCCACAAAATTCTCTTTAATTTTCTACCCTTGAGAACTCATGTATCATAACAAACCTCAAAAGCTGCTTCTAATCTTCACTGAAAGATCCTAAAAGAAAATCAATCTCAGGTTGTCCAGTCTACATTTCTTTTGTTTGATCTATACTGATCTTATTAAACCTTCCAAAGACATGAGTAACTTTGAGGCCCTGTAGAACTCCCACAGAATTCTGAGTTGGAGAGGGAAAACTGCAAAAACAGAAACAGAACATTGGACTTCTCAGTTCCTCCTCCATCCTGATCCATGACATTAGCTAAATTTAATGCCTTGTCTATATTCACAACCCCTATCAGATACAATTTTCATAAGAATGGAACTACGCAAGATGGAATGAAGGAAGCTGGAAGAAATTTTGTGGCAACCCAGAGTGAGCAACACTTAGTACAATGTGGATGTTAGCAATACTCATCACTTCCCTCTTTCATATCTGCTTCCTACAAAACATCCAGATGAATACTATGAGAACCAGATAAAGACTATGAAGCTCAGTTAGTTTGAATTAGACTCTTTATCCTGCCATGCTATGCACTGTTCCATGCCAATAGAATTGGAATGTCGATGCCAATACCTCCCAAGATATTGTCCTTT
Source organism: Homo sapiens (assembly GCF_000001405.40). Classification (NCBI taxonomy): domain Eukaryota; kingdom Metazoa; phylum Chordata; class Mammalia; order Primates; family Hominidae; genus Homo; species Homo sapiens. The sequence continues at coordinate 12,297,735 of NC_000004.12, forward strand.
TATGAATGGACATATTTCTTGGCATTCCTGTGCTGATGTGTATCAGTCTTGGAACATAATTTGTCAACTATGCTACCTCTGCTGCTATACCCTATCAAACAGAATGAATATGTTTTCAACAGTCTAATCCAAGTAAATTACCTGTGACCTTGACAGACTCTTTGGACACTGTATGTTGGGCAACTACCTTCTCTTGTCAGGATTAGTCTCTTTAATAGGATCAAGTTCCCTAGACCCTTTTTTCATACTGTAAGCTTTCTCTGCCCTTCCACTTTTTTTTTTTTTTTCCTGAGACAGTCTCACTCTGTTGTCCAGGTTCTAGTGCAGTGGTGTTATAATAGCTCTACCTTGTTTTTAACTAGCCTTCATGAGTTTTTTTATGCCTTATAATAATGCACCTGCTTCATTTTCCCAATTTGAAATCAGATCTTCTACCTTAATTTGTAATTCAAAATTTCATATTAGCAAAACTACCCTGGGATGCAGTTTGGGGAAAGATTGATTTTCATCTCAGTCTCTCTACTTGCTATCTATGTAATATTGAACATAGTCTCTAAAATCACAAATTTAACAATTACCTCTGATATATTGTGATAAATAACAGCAGGCCCAATTTCTTTGGTGTATATTATTAGAAAAATATGGAAAATTGTCTGTGCTCATGTTTTGTAAAGTCTAACAAATTTTAATGGGTGATAATCATTATTCCCTTCTACTACCAGAGAAATCCCAAATGGAATATTATTCCTAGAATAAAAACATTATATGATTCAACTAGATACACCTTCTCTGTCTTTTCCTTTGTCTCACTAAGTCACTGCTTCTCAAGTACTACTTATTGCTTGTATTAGTCATGGTTCTCTAGAGGAATAGAACTAATAGGCTAGATGTGTATATGAAGGGGAGTTTATTAAGAAGTATTGACTCAAACAGTCACAAAGTGAAGTCCCACAATAGGCCATCTGCAAGCTGAGGAGCAAGGAAGCCACTTCGAGTCCCAAAACCTCAAAAGTAAGGAAACCGACAGCACAGCCTTCAGTCTGTGGCTGAAGGCCTGAGTGCCCCTGGCAAACCACTGGTGTAAGTCCAAGGGTCCAAAAGCTGAAGAACTTGGAGTCTGATGTTTGAGGGCAGGAAGCAGCCAGTACAGGAGAAAGATGAAGCCTGGAAGACTCAGCAAGTCAGCTTTTTCAACCTTCTTCTGCCTGCTCTATTCTAGCCCTGCTGACAGTGGATTAGATGGTGCCCACCCACAGTGAGGGTGGGTCTGCCTCTCCCATTCCAAGGACTCAAATGTTAATCTCCTTTGGGAACACCCTCACAGACACACCCAGGAATAATATTTTACATCTTTCAATCCAATCAAATTGACACTTAATATTAACCATACCATTGCTCATCACTAAAACTTGAACTCTTTTCTTAGAATAAACTTCATTGAGAATGACTTATATTAGGGGTAGAGTTAGAACACTCATAGCTTTAAATCTTAATTATATGCTGTGTTTGCTATGGCAATACATAAAAAATGACCCCAAAACCCTCTGACATTCTTCCCACTGAAATGTGAGTTCTATTAATTTCTCCCATTGCCACTGCTACTGCCTTGCATGCATAGACACATAATTTAACCTGCTCAGCTTCTCCTACTCTGCTCAAGGTTGCCTACTTACAGAAAACCTCCTACCTGACTAGTCACTCCCCATCCCTTGAATATGAGATCCATGACTACTTGACCAATAGAATACAATAGAAATGGTGACTTTCTGGGTCCCGGCTGTAAGAAAGTGGCAGCTTCCTCTTTTAGCCTTTTGAGATGCCCACTCTCAGACCACAGCTGCTTTGTGGAAGCCATAAACACAGGTATTCTGGACCACAGTTATGTGAATGGGTGAACCACTCTGTGATTTCAGCCTCTAGCCACTGTATAGTCCTTAGCCTTACACCAGTCAAGCCAATAGTGCAAGGAGCAGAGATCAGCTGTTCTTTCCAAGGCCTTGCTAAAATTGCAAATACATAATGCCAATGAAAAGAGTCAAATGCTGTAAAATATTTGAAGAGATTAATTCTGAGTCAAATATGAGTGACCATGGACAGTGACACAGCCCTCAGGAGGTTCTGAGAGCATGTACCCAAGGTGGTTGGGGATCAGTTTGGTTTCATACATTTTAGGGAAGCATGAGACATCAATCAAATACATTTAAGAAAAACATTGGTTTGGTCCGGAAAGGACGACTCAAAGTTGGGGGTGGGGGTTCAGCTATAGGTAAATTTAAACGTTTTCTACTTGACAACTGAGTTTGTCTAAAGACCTGGGATCAATAAAAAGGAAAAGTTCAGGTTAAGATAAAAGACTGTGGAGTTCTTTTGAAGTCTTATAGTCGCTGCCCTTAGAGACAATAGATGGCACATATTTCCTATTCAGACCTTTAAAAGGTGCTATACTCTTAGTTAATTTCTTTAGAATTATGAGGGCCTAGAAGAAAAAGGTCTAGCTATGTTAATAGAAATTCTCTACTCCCCCACAAAGGACATCTTTGCAGGACCATTTCAAGCTATGGCAAAGAAACATGTTTTGAGATAAAATATTTTTATTTTCTCCCTTGTCTCATAATGTTATGCCAGAGTCAGTTTGGAAAGTAAGTCACCATATATAGGGTTAAATAAAACCTATCTGAGGAGAATTTATGGATTGTAGGGCATGACTCCCCAGATCCCTTAGGTAGGAATTTGGGCAAGATAAAAAAAAAATCAGAGCTTAGTCCTCAATGATAAAAATAAATGATTATAGTTATTTTAAGCCACTACATGTGGAGGTTTTTTTTTAACATAGAAATACAAAATTAGAGCAAAAGGTTATATTAAAAAGACCAACGATCTGCCAATTTGCTTAGGAGAGGAGGACTTTCCTGTTTTAGTAGTTGCCTGGAGGGCTCTCAGAGGCAGTGAAAGCATAGTTTAACAATTTTGTGTGTTTGTGTGTATAGATAGGGGAAATAACCAAATTGTGTTAAAAGGAACAGTGTTGGACTCAAAGCTGAGGAAGTGTATTTCAAACCAAAAACAACCTTAAGAAGAGAAAGAGAGCCAAGAGGTGATCAAGTCAAAGCAAGTCAGAAGACTTGAAATAAGGTTAAAATCAGTGAGTTGAAGTGTCACTTAAGCAAATAACAGAAACGACAATTTCTTGCCAAAGTTCCTATTTTACATGTTTCTCATGCCTTTTGTGTTGGCAGGACAGATGAGATTCACAAAAACAATCTTAACTGAGGTACCTTTAAGGTTCAAGGCATGCTATAATGTGCATAACCTAAGAATGCCCATTGTGCTAGCCCCTACCTGGTAACTTTGCAGGAAACAATTGCTCTTTACAGTCCAACCTACATTTTTTCAATAACACGGCAGGGATATTGACCTATAAAAGTGTGCCCCAGAGCAAAATAGATTTACAGTAAAAGGAGAAGATATTGCACTCAGCAAAGGGATAGTTACAGTTCCCAGAGTTATGGGCTGGACTGACATACAAGATCAGGCAACTCATCATGGTGATAAAAATTGACTTACAAGAAATATTTTCAGTGGATTAGGACTCTGAAGCAGAGTCAAAATGTATTTAATGACTTGAGCTGCTTGTTAAAACTGCAGGTTTCTGAGACCCAGCCTCAGAATTCTAGATTTATGATGTGATGACAGAGATCTACATTTTTGACAATCATCCAGGATGATTTTGACAGACAATGATGTTTGACAAACAATAATCTTGATATCGAATTTTTATCGGTTACAGGATTTTATTATTCAGGAGGTGACTGTGTGTTTATGTTCATTTTTACTTAGTTCATATCAAAAATTAATGGGAACCCCTTCTCCTTTTCCCTTACTCTATGGCAGACACAGACACACACTTCTAAGATCCCTCTTCAGGAAAGAATTTGTCGTCAGGCTGTGAGTGTTGTCCTTAGGTGACATTCCCCAGCTGTTACCTCATTCAGTTCTGCCTCAGATTTTAAGTTGAAGTCACACTTTTCTTAACTGGGAAAGCTTAACTAAGCAAGAATTGTCCTTCCTGTACACTGAAGCCCAAGTGGGAGAGGAAGGATCTTCCTGGTGGGTGAGGGGGTGGGGAGTGAGAAGCGTGGCGTGAGCCCAGCGGAGTGAGAAGGGCATCTGATCAGTGAGGATGTGCATGCCAACTCAAGGACATACCCATCCACTCCTCCATGTGGGTGTGGATACTCTACCATACAGATGCGCTCATCACCCTGCTTGGATTCTGAAACCCTAAGCCGAGCCATTCACAAACAGGCATGCCCTCTTGGGCTGATTCTCCATGGCAGTCCATCCCGTACAGATCCATCCCGTACAGATATTATCTTTCAGGTGTTTAGGTTTGGATATCAAGAGCCCCAGCAGAGTGAGAACAGAGCCCTAGCCAGGGTCAACTGGTATGAGGATTCAGAGTTGAAGAGGGTAAGGTGGGTAGCCACACAGCATGCGGACTAGTCAGGGAGGAGGTTTTCTATAAAGAGGGAGCATTGAGATGAGTAGGAGATACTGAGTGTCTTAAATTATATGTCTATGCAGACAAGGCAGTAGCAGGGGCAATGGAAGAAGATAATCAAATATATTAGGAAAGGGGGAGGCTTTATCATCAGAGAAGGAACTTACAAATATGGAAAGAAAGAAAAGTAGAATAAACCCTGTGACATTGGATAGGAATCAGTGCATTGAAAATATTTCATAAACTCATGGATTTATTGATTTCAGTAATGGAAATAGATGATAAATATTGGTGTATTTGTAAATCTTTGTGTGGTGTGAGGCTTGTGTGTAGGCATCTCGAAAATCTATATAGGCATCTATCTATAACACACACACACAAACACACACACACACACACACACAGATACATGCACTCAAGTGCCTCAGCTTTGTCCACTGAGAGGACCACAGCAATATTTCCAGTATTTCATGTTCTTCTAGAATGTTTGACTCTCCCTTCAAAAAGTGTACTTTGTTCTACCCACTTTAAAATTCTTCAGGCCTTTATGGTTGCTTCAACAAATAGCACAATTGACTTTGAATGCTAAGGCATAAAGGAAAGTGTAGTTTCCACTTGCTTTTCTGTTTTGTGGGATTCCTCACCCTTAGAACCCAGCTACCATGTACTGAGGAAGCCCATGTCCTTTCCCCATGGAAGGATCAATTGCAGGTGTCCTGGATGACAGCCCCAGCTAATGCCCAAGTCCACAGCCACCAGGAGCCACTCTACATGTATGTAAGTAAAACTTCAGATGATTTTGAGTCTGTTAAGCTGATGACTAGTAGAATAGAGACAAGCTATATGTGTTAAGCTCTGTCCAGATTGCAGATTTGTGCGCAAAAATAAATGTGATTATTTTAAGCCACTGACTTTTGGGATGGTCTGTTATGGAGCACTAAATAACTGAAACAATTGTCAAGAATTCTTCTTTGGACACATATTTTTCGAGATGCCTATTAGACATCCAATAACAGGATACACAGTTGTGGGAATGGCTTCAAGTGAGGTTAGAAAGTAAAAAAAAAAAAAATTGAAGATGTATTAAAAATTTATTAATTTTAAAAGCAATGAAATTATTGGGATAGAATTTTTAACACATTCCTATTAGCTAGAAAAGAGAGAATAGAACTGAAGGGTCAGAATGGCAGACATCAGGAGCCTGTTTAGAAGACTATTGAAGTAGTCTAGTTAAGATGACTTTGGCTTGTGGAAATACATAAAAATAAGTCCGAAAGGATTTGAGGGCTATTTGTGAAATGCAATAACAAGGATCATAATTGGGCATCATAGCCATATTCCTTTTTGCAGTTTCTCCTGCACATCCATGATTTAATATTTTGAAATCTATTGATTTGTGGAAAAAAAATCACCTTTAGTATATGATGGTAATAAACTTTAAAATGTCATTATTATCAATACTAAGATCATAGATACTAACTGGTACTAATTATCTTTGGCCTTAATAGAAAAACTAGCAGAATAAGTGTCTGCAACACTGGCTGATACGCTCTTTTTACTTCTTAATTACTCTGAGTGCCAATTTCTACATATGTAAGCTAGAAACAACATTATTTTCCTTACAGACAATGATTAAATAAACTATGTAAGGAGCCTAGGGTGATGCTTGGAACAGAATTGGTTCTCATTACATGTTAACTGGATCTGAATTTTAGGAGCTCTGAGTAGATGTCAGAATATATGATTGGAATGTACAAATATTGGCTCCATGTTTTTATCTGATGTTATTACCACTCCAGCTCTGCTAACCTTCCAATCAATAGCCTATTAGGCCCTCAGTAGGACTGAAGAAGGTTGATTGACCAGATGTCACCAGAAAGCTTGAGCCCATCAAAAGATGGGATGCAGCTAGAGCTTAAGTTAACAGGAAAGAGACAAACTCTGTTTTCTTAATCATTTCCCTGGGCACAAAATGATTTTATTTCAAGACTGACACTTGGGCTGCTCATTTAGTGTTCTTCCTACACACTCTCACCCATCAGAGAATCAATCAAAAGCTAATCCACCAACATACTGACTTGCTCAGACCAAGACCCTCTTGAAAATTCTTGCCTGGTCACTTTGCAGATACGTGAACATCTATAGATTAACTGCAGTATCCACAAGAAAAATATATAAACCTGCTCAACAGAGGACAAATATGACTGGATACCATCCACCTATCTTTTAAGATTCCACAATCAAATTTTAAAATCTGGGCAAGTGGTAGCTATTTCTCTCTTTCTTATTATGCTGAAAACTTTACCATAAATCACAACACCTGAAACATAGTTTTGAACTTACCTGGAAGATGGATGGTGGTAAATTGGCCTTTTCCCTGAGGGCAAGTGAAAGGTTGAACAATTTTATCTCAAAGAATTAAAAAATGTGTCTAAGCCATAACTCTACCGTGAAGGTTGGCTAAACCTTCCAAAGTATCATTTGCTAGATTATTTCTGACTTGAGTTTTTAATTTTTTCAACCATTTACTGATTTACTACTTTCTAGGTTAGAGACACAGGATATAAAATAAAAGCCAATGAATTTCCATTATATATAAGGAAATATTCAAGATGGGAATGAGAACAGGATATAGAGTGAAATACATTCACTAATTTCATGCAATTAGGTAAATGTTAAAAATAATTTATTTAGTAGCACTCTGAATAGGAAGATGTTTGTTTGTTTGTTGGTTTGTTTAAAGAAAGGAGTCAGTAAGTTTGTGTTAAGGTATTGAGAATGCTTTTCATTGGATGCAATATTCAACTTGATCAACTAGGATAGCTAGAATATTTTCTTTTCAGAGAGAGCTGTCCATGGTGACTTCCTCATGTAAACAGTGTTTATGCCAAGTTCCAGAAGCAGGTTGCGTTGTTTAAAATCCCGGTTATGCTGCTGCTAGCTATGAGAGTTTGGGCAAGTCCCCTTGTCTTGGGCCTCAGTTTTCCAGCAGTAATTAGCAGGGCCAAAACTTTTTTTAGGGACAGGGATAATAAGAATTGCTCTTGTTCTCACTTCTTCACAGTCGCTATTAGATGGGATGTGTTTTTGTGAAAGGGCAGGGTATTCTTTCCCAGAAGCTCTGCAGTGATTCCTCTGTCCTTCAGACCTATATTTGAATCTTTTAAAGTACAACCACAAATAGGATATCATTTGTCTTTCTTAAAATCCTCCTGGGGACAGAAAACACACACACACACCACACACACACACACACACACGCATATACACACACTTCACTTGTCAATACTGTTTACTATTTGGTGGAATAAATGTAAAGTTGATGTTTACCCCAGCAGTTGCTGATGGCTTTTCATGGACAATGACATGTCCTTGGACTCTCTGACGTTTCATTTTGTGCTGCTGGGGCTGCCAGCTCTTTTCTGTAACTGCCTGTCAAAATAACAAAATCTTGCCTACTTATTTAGAACAACCTGCTTAATAAGTGACAGTCTAATCCTGCCCCAGCCTTTTAATCGTACAAGCTGGCTTTCACAGCGAGATTGGGATATTTTGTCCCTAGAACATAAGGTTTACACTTAAAATATCCTCAAGAATACTGACCTAGAATGACAACTCAAAAGGTGGGGGTTCTTTGTGAAATCACGACATTGGTATTCTTAGAGCTTCACAGATATAAATAATGAACATGAAATCTTGAAGTGAAAGTAGAATCACAGTGAGAGTCGAACACACCCAAGAAATATTTGGCGTACAAAAATAAACTCCTTAATTCATTCAACTAAAAATATTGTTGAATGACAAAGATGTATACTGTTCTACCACGGAATTTCCTCTTTGAGAGGCAGCTGGAACTAGACATCATGGTTAAGGACCAGGGTTTTGCAGTCACATAGATTTCAATACATTCTCTACCTCTCATTTAGCTGATTTATCTTGGGCTAGTTAGCCACCATGTCTGAGCCTCAGCTTTTCTTACATAAAATCGGAAAAATGCTCTCCTTAAATGCTACTTGAGAATGACAACTAAGAATTCTGCATATAGAATACTTAGCAAAATATTGACACATATGAGGTACACACATTGATTTTTTGCTTTTTTTTCTGGTAGAGTTATCATCATCATCATTGGCAACAACGGTATCATGCTGCCATTCTCCTCCTCTTCTCAGCTCACACTCAGGTCTAAACAGTGTTTTAGGATTTGGCTCTCAGACCTCATATCCCACACTCTACCTCCATCATTATTTTCTAGCAACACTTGCTTTCTTTCTGGAGGCAACGTATTCCTGCCTGCAGGCATCTTCACTAGCTGATGCCAGAGCCCGAGATTCTCTCCCTCAGGTTTTTGCAGAAGTGTTTTTTTTTTTCATCATTCGGGTCTTGACTTACAAACCAGCTTCTCTGCAAGGTATCCTCTGACCATGCAATCTCTCTTAATCATGTCCCTGCATTTTATTGGAGCTGAGTCTTCATCCTAATGAATTTGTTTGTTGGTTATTTACACATCCCCGTGCAGCCTCCATGATAGCATTGTTTTTTTCTCATATTTCACCCTGTATTGTCTACTTTTAAAACTAACTCAGGGTAGAAAAGTTTCAAAAAAGAAGCTCATTAAATGGGTGATATAATGAATCAATCATCAATTAATAAAAGATTTACTTCAGAATAAACTTCAAAAAGATAATACTTCACTACTACGGGCTATGAAGCTAGTGGTCTTTGATTCAAATCTGGATACATGCTAATGGAGAGATTTTGGACTAATGTCTTAATCACTAAACTTTGAGGTTTCCATTTGTAAAATTGAAAATTTTATAAATCATCACATAATTTTATGAAGATTAGATGAAAACGTGCATGTAAAGCACTCAAAAAACGTCCTGGTACATAAAAAAAAGGTGTCCACTATTTATTACTGTGAAAATTGAATACTAGCTAAAAACACATTTGGCCCAATATCAGCAATTTTCTGTGGATTCCTGGCATCTGTTTGCATCTTTGTATATTTCATATATGTGCTTCCGGGAGACTTTGGTTTTGGAGCTCAGTTACTTAGCATTATGTGCTCCAAGCATTTTTTAAAATTGAGATATAATTCATTCTTTTAAAGTTATGATAGTCATCATTTAAAACTAGACAATTCAGCATTTTTATTATACTCAAAACATGTTGCAGCTATCACCACTATATAATTCCAGAACATTTTTCTAATAGCAAGAAGACATCCCACATCCATTAGCATTGCAACCCATTCTCCTCTTCCCACAGCCAATGTCAACCACTGATCTCTATCAATGGATTTTTCTCTTCTAAACATTTTACATAAATGAAATCATAATATGTTGCTTTATGTGTTGCTTTTCTTCAACTTGTAGTAATGTTTTCAAGGTTTACCTATATGAATTACCATAAATCAATGCTTCGTTTCTTTTTATTGCCCAATAATATTCCATTTTGTAGATATAACCATATTTTGCTTTTCCTTTCTTCAGATAATAGACATTTGGATTGGTTTTACATTTTAACTATTTTGAACAATGCTGCTATGAACAATAATATATGTTTATGTGTGGACGTATATGTTCACTCCTCTTGGGTATATATCCAAAAGTGAAATGGTGGCCTTATATTTAATGTATTGGAGAACTACAAAACCATTTTCCAAAGTGGCTGAATTATTTGGCATTCCAATCAACAGTTTGTGAGAATTCAAATTTCTTTGCATCTTCACCAGGTTGTGTTTTGCCCACCTTTTTTTATTATAGCCATGTAGTGGGTATGAAATGGTACCTCATTGTGGTTTTGAATTTCTTAGTGACTAATGATGGTAAGCAAATTTTCTTTTTTTACCGTTTATTTTTGGTTCAGGAGTACAGGTGCAGGTTTGTAACATAGGTAAACTGCACATCATGGGGATTTCATGTACAGATTATTTCATCACCCAGGTAAGAAGCATAGTACCCAATAGGCATTTTTCTGATTCTTTCCCTCTTCCCACCTTCCATCTTCAAGTATGCCCCAGTTTCTGTTCCCCTATTAGTGTCCATGTGTTCTTGTTGATTAGCTCCCACTTATAAATGAGAACATGTAGTATTTGCTTTTCTGTTCTTGCATTAGTTTGCTTAGGATAAAGGTCTCCAGCTCCATACATGTTGTTGCAAAGGACATGATCTCATTCTTTTTTAACCTGCATAGTATTCTATGGTGTATATGTACCACATCTTTTTTTACATATAGTCTACCATTGATGGGCATTTAGATTTACTCCATGTCTTTGTTCTTGTGAATAGCACTATAATGAGCATACATGTGCATGTGTCTTCCTGGTAGAACAATTTATATTCTTTTGGGTATATACCCAGTAATGAGATTGCTGGATCAAATGGTAGTTCTGTTTTTAGGTCTTTGAGGAATTGTCACACTGTTTTCCACAATGGTTGAACTAATTAGTTTCACCAACAGTGTGTAAGTGTTTCCTTTTCTCTACAAGCTTACCAACATCTGGTTTTATTGCTTTTTTAATAATAGTCATTCTAACTGGTGTAAGATGGCATCTCATTGTGGTTTTGTGAACTTGGTTCAAAATGATTGGTGATGTCAAACTTATTTTCATAGGCTTATTGATTGCATGTATGTCTTCTTTTGAACAGTGTATATTCATGTCCTTTGCCCACTTTATTATGGGTTGTTTGTTTTTTTTCTTGTAAACTTGTTTAGTTCTTTATAGATGCGGGATATTAGACTTTGTTTTATGTATAGTTGGCAAATATTTCCTCCCATTCTGTAGGTTGTCTCTTCACTCTGTAATTTTCTTTTGTGGTACAGAAGTTTTCAAGTTTAATTACAGCCTATTTGTCAATTTTTGATTTCATCGTGATTGCTTTTGGCATCTTTGTCATTAAATCTTTGCCAGTTCCTATGTCCAGAATAATATTGCCCAGGTTTTCTTCAGGGTTTTCATAGTTTTGTGTTATACATTTAAGTCTTCAATCCATCTTGAGTTGATTTTTGTATATGGAGTAAGGAAAATCCAGTTTCAATCTTCTGCATATGGCAAACCAGTTATTCCAACACCATTTATTGAATATCCTTTCTCCATTGCTTGTTTTTGTCAGCTTTGTCAAAGATCAGATGGTTGCAGGTGTGTGGCCTTATTTGTGGCCTCTCTATTCTATTCTCTTGGTTTATCTGCCTTTTTGTACCAGTACTATCTGGTTTGGTTACTATGGCCCTGTAATGTTGTTTGAAGACAGGCAATGTGATGCCTCCAGCTTTGTTCTTTTTGCTTTGGATTACCCTGGTTCCTCGGACTCTTTTCGGTTCCATATGAATTAAATTTTTTTTTCTAATTTTGTGAATTATGTCATTGGTAGTTTGATGGAAATATGTACTTATTGGCTACTTTCATATCTTCTTGGGAGAAATATCTATCCAAAACGTTTGCCCATTGTTTAATTAAATAATTAGACATTTTAAGATTGAATTATAAGAATGACTTTTTAATATTCTGGGTACAAATTCCTTATCAGGTATATGATTTGCAATTATCTTTCCCACTTTGTTATATTTTCAAAACAAAAATTTTAAATTTTTGATGAAGTTCAATTTATGTATTTTTTCTTTGGTCCCTTGTGGTTTGGGTGCTTATGTAACAAACAATTGCATAAATATAAGTCAAATGATTTACTTCTATGTTTCCTTCTAAGAGTTTTATATTTTTTACCCTTACATTTAGATCTTCAATCCATTTGAATTATTTTATATGGTTTAATGTAGGGGTAGAAATTACAGATAGATATATAGACAGACAAATAGATAGATAGGTAGATAGATAGATAGATAGATAGATAGATAGATAGAGATATCCAGTTGTTCCAGCATCATTTGTTAAAAAAAAAATTATTTCTTCACTCCATTTTCTTGGCATCCTGAGTGAAAATCACTTGACCATGGAAATACAGGTTTATTTATGGAGTCTTAATTGTATTCCATTGATCTACATGTTAAACCTGATACCACTACCACACTGTCTTGATTACTACAGCTTTTAAGATATGATATCAAGAAGTGTGAGTCCTCCAACTTTGGTCTGCTTCAAGATTGTGTTGGCTGGTTTGGTCTCTGACATTTCTATATATATTTTAAGATCATCTTGTCAATATCATCAAAGAAAAAAAAGCATATGATATTTAGACAAGGAATGTGTTAAAACTGTAGATCTAATTGGAGAATGTTTCAATCTTCAGAATATAGAGTCTTCCAATCTAAGAACATGGGAAGTCTTTCCATTTATTTAAGTCTTTAATTTCTCTCAACTATGTTTGTGGTATTAAGTGTGCAAGTCTTGCACTTCCATCATTAAATTAATTCTTAAATATTTAATTATTTAGATGCTATTTTAAATGGCATCAAGTTAATTTCCAGATTATTCATTACTAGTGTAGAAAAATACAATTAATTTTTATGTATTGATCTTGAATCCTGCAAACTTGTCAAGCCTGTTTATGAGCACTAGTGGATTTTTTGGTATATAATTTAGGATTTTCTATTTGCAAGCTCATGTAATATTCAAATAGAGATAGTTTTACTTCTTATCTTGCAATCTCAATGTCTTTTATTCCTTTTTCTTGCATAAATGCCAAGGCTAGAATCTCCAGCACAGTGCTGAATAACAAGTAGTGAGAATGAAAATCTTTACCTTGTGAATTATCTTAGAAAAAAAAAGATTTTGATCTTTCACCATTGAGTATGACGTTAGCTGTGGGGTTTTCGTTAGCCAGCTTTCCAGGTTCAGGTAATCGTCTGCTATCATGAAATAGTTTAGGATTTTATCAAAGGCTTTTTCTGTGTCTATGGGATCATCATGTGTTTTGTTATTATTGCTTTTCTAGTATGGCATATTATAATTTTTTTTGTTGTATGTTGAACTAATCTGTATTCCTTCGATACATTGCATCTGGTCCCACTTTGTCTTACCTGGTGTAATTCTTTTAAGATATTGCTGGATACGATTTGTCAGTATTTTGGTAAGAATTTTTTGTGCTTATATTCACAGGGGATATTTGTCTGTAGTGATATTTTCTTGTGATGTTCTTATCTGATTTTGGTATGATGGCAGTGCTGGTCTCATAGAATAAGTTGAGAAGCGCTCACTTCTAATACATTTTTGGAAAAGCGTGCAAAAAAATGGTATTAATTTTTTTTAATTGGTAGAATTCACCAGTAAAGACATCTAGTCCTAAATTTTTTTATGGAATTTTTAAAAATATTATTTCAATCCCTTGACTTGTTATTGTTTTTTCATTTTCTGTTTCTTTTGAGTAGGTTTTGGCAGTCTGTATCTTTCTAAGAATTTGTATCTTTATCTAATTTAGCCAATCATTTTGTATACAGTTGTATATAGCAATCCTTTATCTTTTTAATATAAAATTGGTAGTATTGTCCCCTTTTTCATCCTGATTTTAGTAATTTGAGTATCCTCTCTTTTTCTTGATTATGCTAGCTAAAGATATGCCAATTGTGTTATTTATTTCAAAGATCCAGTGTTTGGTTTTTTTGTTGTTGTTTTTCTCTATAGTTTTTGTATCTCCATCTCATTTATTTTCATTCAAATTTTTATTATTTATTTATTTCTGCTTGATTAAGGTTTCTCTTGATTTTCTTTTTCCATTCCCTTAAGAAGGAAGATTGGGTTACTGATTTGTGATCTCTCTTCTTTTCTAATACAGGTATTTGCAGACATACATTTTTCTCTAATCATTTTTTAGCTTCATCTCATAAGTTTTGTTATACACTAATCTTTTTCAAATTCATTTTGAAGTACTTTCTGATCTGTCTTGTGACTTATTCTTTGATTATTTAGAAAGATGAGACTTAATTTCTACACATTTATAAATTTCCAAACTTTTATTTTCTTAATGTATTTATAATTTTATTCCATTGTTATTAGAAAACATACTCTGCATGATTTAAATTCTTTAAATTTATTGAAGCTAATTTTATGGCTTAATTTATGGTCTATCTGGAGGAATGTTCCATGTGCACTTGAGAAGAATTTGTCTTCTGTTTTGTTGGATGGATTATTTTATATGAGATGTCTGCTTATTCTGGCTGGTTTATATTGCCATTCAAGTATTCCATTTCCTTGCTTATCTTATGCCTAATTGTCCTATCTGTAATTGAAAGTTGGTTATTAAAATCTCCAACTGTTACCGTTCAACTGTCAAACTCCCCCTTCAATTATGTCAGTTTTGTTTCATATATTTCATGGCTCTGTTGTTGGGGCACATTTATACCTTCTTGTTTGACCTTTTTATTATTATAGAATATAATTTTTGTCATTAGCAATAACTTTGTAGTCTTAAAGTACATTTTGTTGGAACTATACATAGAAGATTAGCATTGCCTCAGTGCAAGGATGATGCACAAATTCATAAAGCATCCCATAATTTTTTAAAAGTATATTATGTCTTTTATTTGTATCACTACCTCAGTTTTCATGTTATTGTTTGTTTGCCTTGAATATCTGTTTCTATCCTTTTTCTTTAAACCTATTTGTATCGTTCACTTGAAGTATGTGTGTTGTAGCAATACATAGTTATATCTTTTTTTTTCATTCTGGTAATTTCAGCCTATTACATGGATAATTAGAATATTTGATTCATTTGCATATAGTGTAATTCCTGACAGTTTGAGACTTACATCTGCCATTCAGCTATTTGTTTTTACATATCATGTGTAATTTCTGTTTTTCTTTCTCCATTTTTTTTCCTCATTACTGCCTTATGTTGTACAGGTACTCTATAGTATCACATTTTAGTTCTCTTGCTATGTCATTTATTATTTTCTTTAGTTATTTTCTCAGTGCTTATCCTGTGGCTTCTCATTATCATGTTAACTTACAACACTCTATCTCGGATTAATAATAACTTAATTACAGTAGTATACAAAATTTGTTCCTATTCATCTTTATCTTTCCTCCTTTGTTCTGATGTCATACAAATGATATAGTTTTGCATTGTATCTCATCAACACAGACTTATAACCACTGTCTTATGCAGCTGTCTTTTAATTCAGAAAGGAGAAGAGATGAGATAAGAATAAAAATACATTTGTGCTATCTTTTATATGTTTCTATGTAATTCTTCAATGGTGTCTTTTATTCTTTCTTGTAGATTTCAGTTACTGTCTAGTACCATTTCATTTCTCTCTAAAGGATTCAGCTTAGTATTTCTTATAGGGAAGCAGTCTACTAGTATTTTTGTTGTTCTTGTTTTGTTTTGTTGTTTTTAGCAGTTTGACTGTGTCATCCCAATCCTCTGTCCCCCTAGGCTTATGTTACAAAGTCAGTTTTAGTCCTATAGAGAACACTTTGTGCTGATGAATCATTTCTTCTTGCTGATTTCAAGTTCCACCGTTGTAGAAAGTGGTGTGGTAGTTCCTCAAAGAATTAAAACAGGATTACCATTTGACCCAGTAATCCTATTATTGAGTACATACCCAAAGGAATATAAATAATTCTACCATGAAGATATATGAATGCATATGTTCATTTCAGCACTATTCACAATAGCAAAAACATAGAATCAACCTAAATGCCCATCAATAATAATCTAGATAAAGAAAATGTGGTATATATACATCATGGAATACTATGCAGTCATAAAAAGAACAAGATCATGTCCTTTGCAGCAAGTTAGATGGAGCTGGAGGCTGTTATCCTACCTAAGCAAACTAATGCAAGAAAAGAAAACCAGAAACTGTATGTTCTCAATTATAAGTGGGAGCTAAATCATGAGAACACATGGACCCAAAGAGAGGAACAACAAACACTGGTGCCTACTTCAGGGTAGAAAGTGGAAGGAGGGAAAAGATTTAAAAAACTACCTATTGGGTGCTATGCTTATTACCTGGGTGACAAAATAATCTGTATACCAAACACCTGTGACATGAATTTTACCTATATAACAAATTTGCACATGGACACCTAGACATAAAAATTTTAAAAAGATTGCCTTGCAAGTGAAGTCTTCCAAGAAACTACCACAACAGTCCAATAATGTCAGTTCTCTGGGAATGAAGGTTAGAAGAAGATGCAGCACAGCTTTGCCTCTTCCTTTGGCTATCAGACTGCTAGTTTTCACAGTAATTGTGATCTCTTAGTTTTCAAGGTTACTCTGGAGCTGGGAAGTAGATGGAAATAGAAAAAGCCAAAGTGCCACAAAACACACTGATTTAACTGAGATTCAGCTTTTTTCTTGGATGCACACTCTGAATTGCTGCCAGCCTAAGTTTAATTTCCAGTGTTCTGAAAGCTGATTCTGACAACTTCCTGCCAGTGTTCTCATTCATTTTACAGAGAATACAATTATTGAAGCTCCTTACATAACCATTTTCACTGAAGTCCAGCTACACATAATTTTACACAATATTTTTATATACCATAAATCTCTAATGAAAATCTTTAAAAACTAAAATATAGACTAAATACACATAATATAAAATGTTTCACATAAAAGGACAATAATTTCTATAATACGCTAGATTGCTTTATCTGATGAACAAGACATGGTATGCCAATGTAGAAGTATCTGTCATAGCTATTTTCTTTTAAAATATCTCATCGATCTATCAGCAACTAATTTATCTCAACAGAAATGAAGGCTAGAAAAATAGCAACCACAGAATACCTTAATCTCTCAACCTGGTTGTTTTTGCCAACTTATTTGTTCATTTATTTATCCCACAGATATTAACTATGCTGAGCATTGAGGACACAGCTCTCAAGAAGACCCTGACCCACATGTTTCACATTCTGATTTAATAACAGTACTTCACTACTAAATAAGTCAGAGGCATGTGAACCAGAGCAACTTCATCCTGAATAGGAGCTGGGTAAAATAAGCCTAGGACCTACTGGGCTGCATTCCCAGATGGTTAAGACATTCAAAGTCACAGAATGAGATAGGAAGTCACCACAAGATATGGGGAATAAAGACCTTCCTAATAAAACAGGTTGCAGTAAAGAAGCTGGCTAAAACCCACCAAACCCGAGATGGCGACTAGAGTGACCTCTGGTTGTCCCCACTGTTACACTCCCACCAGCACCAGCACAGTTTACAAATGCTATGCCAATGTCAGGAAGTTATCCTATACAGTCCAGAGAGGGTAGGCATAAATAATCCACTCCATGTTGAGCATATCATCAAAAAACAACCATAAAAGTGGGCAACCAGCAGCCCTAGGGGCTGCTCTATTTATGGAGTAGCCATTCTTTTATTCCTTTACTTCCTTAATAAAGTTGTTTTTGCTTTACACTGTGGACTCATCCTGAATTCTTTCTTGGGTGAGATCCAAGAACCCTCTCTTGAGGTCTCGACTGGGACCCCTTTCCTGTAACAAACAGGTGTATTTACAAATTGTTATAGAATGGAGAAAAGAGCATCATTAAATCTATCTAGGTTTGGAGGGATGTCCCACAATGGTATTGCCATCTTAGATGAAAATGTTAAGATTAAATTAGACTCTGCCAGAAGAAGCAAGGAGCATAAGGGTTGGGGGATGACATTAAACACTTTATAATGACTTCAGAAGAATCATTCAAACTACAATTCTTACAAGTGTTAGTTAAATCAGTCAAATCAAAGATCTGGCTTCCAGCTAAAGAAAGATGTAAAAATAGAGAAATTAAAAGATGATATGCATTATCAATTCCCCCTTTTTATGGTAATATTCCTTCCAATTATTACTAGTATTTTACATACTTTGTAGGACTAACATCTTGCTTGTCCTGTATTAGGTATGTGCACATTTGTGTCTCCTATTAGATTATAACTCCAATCTTTGTTTCTTTAGAGATGGGGACTTGCTGTGTCACCGAGGCTGGAGTGCAGTGGCAGGATCATGCTCACTGTAGCCTTAAACTCCTGTGCACAAGAGATTCTCCCACCTCAGCTGTGAGTGTCTGGGGCTACAGGCACACTCCACCCAAACTAAGTATTTTAACTTTGTATAGAAAGGGTGTCTCACCATGTTGCCCAGTCTGGTCTTGAACTCCTGGTCTCCAGCCATTCTCCCGATTTAGCCTCCCAAGCCTTTGGGATTACAGGCATGGGCCACCATATGTGTTCCCATTTTTTTTCTATCCCCACAGGGTTAGCAAAGTGCTATGTATGTAGTTGGTGCACCCCAAGTTTTGACAATAGGAAAGAAAACTATGGGACTACTACCTAATATCCCACAGCTAATTCTGAAGTACATTATAAAATTATTGAGTTTGGAATGAATTTTGTGGCCATACTTACACAAACCTCAGCATCTTCAATTCTAATCACAGTCAAAATTGTTTTGGATATAATGGTAAACAAGATCATCTTCAAGAGTGAAGACTAATAGAAGAATGTAGGATCCATCCTTCAAATAATTAATTTAGATGCTTTTGTTTGCCTAACACTTCTCCTTAATTTACAATTTTCATAGTCTAATCATAAAGTGAAATTCTAAATAAAAAGTTAGTTCATACTGAATGTATTAAGAATGTCTTTTTTCTACCCCAGACATCAGGATTCCTTAAAATAATGCTGTTTTCATTTGCTATTTGCCATTCATTCTCAACAGTAAAATTTAAGAGAAAAGTTAAATGAAACATTTCACATGCCCCCTAGTTATTCAGAATAGAAGCAACAAACTAGTGACCAAAGGTGAGTGTTTAGTTTTACTTGCACAAAGTTAAAATAATTTTTTTCAACATGTAAAATTTAGGAGATTGTATATGAAAATCTAGTTATGTGACCTCCCTTTTAAAAATCAGGATATCTGCGAAGTGGAAGCAACCTCCTGGAGTGGAAGAGCATTTTCTCCCTCCCGTGTCACAGTCCTCAGAGTTTTCTTTAGTCTTTCAGACGCTGAGGGTTATGTCAGCTGCAATTCATCTCCATGCTGTCTCTGTTTTCATAGAAGATTTAAGAGTAAAGTAAAATGTTTTTGTGCATGCATTTTTATCTAGAGAGGGGAAATTAAATGTGGATGTTCCAAGAAAAATGTGAGAAAATGTATCTCTCTTTTGAAAATGAAAATATTACTAAATGCTTAAGATTGAAATGAAATGTTTCTACACATATAAATCAATGTGTCACTAATAAACAATACATATTAAGTAGTGTGACTGGAACATGCACAAACAACTTAATAACCACAACAAAAATGCCTGAAATTTAACTGGGTTTGTTTCTGAATTAGATTAAGTGACACTGCTTGCTATAAATGTATTAAGTGAAAAAATGGCTGAGTATCAAAATCATTTACTGTAGGCAAATGTATTAAAGTCCTCAGAGTGTAGCAAAAATGATAAGTCCTAAACTAAAGCAAGCATTTGTAAATGTAAATTTGTCCAAAAATGCAATTGTTTAGCAGGTTGAAGAAATGGGAGAATACCCACAGCACACTAGCTATTTTTGTTTTAATGGCAAATTATAGGTGACTAAGAGACTTATATATACATGCACTGCCTATAATAATTATGTATCCAAATGGCTGCTTCTTGGTTATTGAAAATTGAAGATAAACAAGTCTGTAGTGGTTTGGAATCTGACTGGTGATGATACCTTTGTACAAAACAAACAAAATAAGTTGGAACTTTCGAAAGGAACGCAAATTTAAATCCATCCATTGCATCATTTACCAACAATTGCCTTGCTAAAGCATTACATACGGACCATGTCAGGCATGCAACAATGAGAAATGTGAACTAGAAATGTTCTCATGGTTTTAACCATAGACAGTTGAGGCTGCACGTGATGTTTGTACAGACATCTCACCCGCCATTTACCGACTACTGCGCAACTCACTAATGAATCTTGCGGGGGTGATTTTTGATCTTTGAAAGAAATTTATTTGCTCATGTCAAACAAGAAAAATCCCCAATCTTGGCTCACCAATAAAAACCAAATTAACATTTTGGCATTTTTTTGTTTGACATTATAACCTTACAAACCCTTTGAATATTCATATTTAAGGGCATTCAGAAGTAATTACATAAATGCATTCTTCACTCCTTTCTAATGAAATTGAGTTCTTTAGAAATTCATAAGTAATGAATTATCTGGCACACTTTCTTGTACTTAAGTCATTTCCAAAGGTTAAATAATAGTTTGAGCTATACACACAAATTGTGAAGTTGAAAATTGATTTTCAAAAACTATTTCTTGACTTTCAGTTTTATGAAAATGAACTAAATATGACCATTTTTCTTTGCCAGTTAATAATGGTCAAAGAATGAGGAGTTCCAAAATGAATTTTTTGAATTGCAGTGTAACATAGTCAGAAACAATAAATATGACCATTTGGGATATCACAAACTGAAACTCTATCTTGAATTGTTATCCAATCTATTAAATAAACCATTGATCAAATAGCATTTTCCACAGTCTATATTTAGGGGCACCTATATTATATGTGTGCAGCATTTTTTCTTACACAAAAAAAGAATATATATCATTCCAGATAAATAATTCGATGCTGAATTTTTGTACTGCACATCTCTACAAAAAAATTCAAGAACTGACATTCACATCTTGATGCAAAAGAAAATCTGTCAGGCTTTTAGTTTCAAATCAAAGGAGGCATAAACTATATTAAAAAAACTAAACATCTCTATTTTTTCAACTTACATTTTTTAAGGTTTAATTTTAAAATAATCTAAAATATATTATGTATATAATTTGGATATGTATGCCATAATTAGGTAAAACAATGAATGTTCAGTTACGTTCAATTGTTCACTTATGGTCAGAATGTTCAATTGACATATGTATGCCATAATTAGGTAAAATAATGAATATTCATTTATGTCTTTTACAATTAACTTTACTGTTCCCTGGCCATTCTTCATGAGTAAAAACCTTCTGGCACTCAATTTGAACACCATGCTTTTACATGTGATATATATATTTCAAACAGCTGCTGTATTAGTATACCTAAAATGAAGACTTATTAAGTAATTTGATAGGAAAAAAAAAGTTCTAGAAGGCTTTGAAGATATTCAAAGGAAGGACCTAGTATAAGATTGAGGTATGTGTTAGTCAGTTCAGGGCACTATAAAAAAGCACCATAGACTGGGTATATGATAAACAACAAAAATTTATTTCTCACAATTCTGGGGGCTGGAAGTCAGGGATGAGGGTCCCAACATAGTCAGGTTCTGGTGAATGACTTCTTCCTGGTTGCAGACTGCTAAGTTACTGTATCTTCATGTGGCAAAAAAAAAAAAAAAGAAAAGAAAAGCACCTAGCTATTTCTCTGGCTTCTTATAAGTGCACAAATCCCATTCATGAGGGCTCTACTCTCATGACCTAATCACCTCCTCAAAGCCTCTAATACCATTAAATTGAACATTAGATTTCAACATATAAATGTTTGGTGGACACAAATATTCAGGTTACAATAGGATGATATCAGAAAAGACTGAGTGACTGAAATTCTAAGAGGGTGATATTGAAATTGGTTATCTACCAAAGTACAAGATCAAATGACCATTTTTATATTTTTAGTAATTTATTAACAGGATAGTGACAAGTGTGCTAACTCTTTTGGTGATAGTCACGAAATCAGTCTCACAAACAAACCAGTATAGAACATTCTGAAATAACTAATAAGTCAATGAAGCATGGATGGTGAACAGCTAAGTGTAAGAGCAGTGGAAGGGAGCCAACGAAAAGCTACCAGGAATAAAGGAGCACCCACGGAGTCTGCCTGATGACTAAGCAGAGATGCACGAACAAAATAAATCAGATTGAAGACTTCATCACCACTCTTTTCTGTTTTATGCTCTCATCCATATCCTGCATGCAGGAGGTATTTCAGGGAAAAGATTGATAATTTTCAAATATATTTTTGAAGCTAAGTGAAATAAGTATAACCCTGGTAAATTATAGAATCCTGGGACAACATTCCTGCCTTCCACTAATGTTTCCTTTGCCCAGAATCTGCATTCTCACGATCTTCAGCCAAAAATAAAACTCCCAAGTTGTTATAAAACAGATGCAGTAACATTAACTGTATCTCAGTAATCAAGTAATATTTGATATTAAATTATACCGCTGACTTTTATTCTCCTCTAATGATAATAAAATGACTTGGAGTAATTACATGGGCAATTATCTGTTAACATTTCAATTATAACATTATGAGGTTTGCTTAATTGTCTTCACTGGGGGTACCACAAGTCAAACCTACAAGTGGTGGTCCACCACATTAAACGTGAATCTACTATTGGCAATTTATGCTCAGGTCATTGGCTACAAGGCAGAAGACTAAAAAGGTAATGTTTCCAGATGACACTCAATTTTAAAGTGATCCAGGGCTTTAGAATCATCTTTTTATACTGTATATCCATGAAAGGAACAAACAAAGGCCAGTGGGTACCACACCATCTTTAGACTTCTCGGTGGAAAACCTCAGCACTCTAGAAGCTAAATAGCTGAGAATAAAGAGCCACGTGGGCATTTGAGCTTATTTTTTAAATTTAAATTATTTTGATTTTTACAGTAATATTGGTAAACATAATGGAAAGTGCCCTTCAGAAATTCACCTATATTCTCTTTAGCCCAGTACTTAATACTGTACTTCATAAAGATCCATCCCTGAGGTCATCCCACATTATGCAGGAAGGTCATGAGGCTGTGAGTCCTCATTGCAATGGCACAATCATACCCAGAGGTTAGCATATGGTGCAAACCTTTCAATGCATGCAGAGCCCCTCCTGGATGGGTGTTTCAAATCTTGTCTCTCTTGCTTCTCCTGTACTATTCTCCACCTCTAACTTCTTCACTCCTTGTACTTGCCATATTCTGGCAAGGTAGTCTCTAGCTTGCAGTTTCTATACTTTAATGGAAAGACTTTAAATCCTACAACTCCATCATTGGAACATCAACAGAATAAGATCTTTCCTCATTTGTGGAATATTGATTGTTTTAATATATTTTTAATCCTTTTTGGTTTCTTTCCCTTTATTGTCTCTTGCCAAGACCTCTGGAGACATGGAAATTAGCAGGAATGAGGAGGAAGATAAAGCGATGCTGCATTTGCCAAAACCAGGCTCACAAATTCTCTATATTCCACCATAAACTTTAGCCTCCAAAGTATTCAGAAAAGTTTGCTTCATAATATTTATCAGGATTCTTAAGCATGTAAACAACTTGATTTAGTATGTGAGAGACTAGGTTTTCCTGAGTTTGTAGGAGGATAAATTTTAAATTATAAAAAGGAAAAATAGGAGACTAGAAGGATACTCTATTTATTGACGTCACTCTGCACCAGGTTCTAGATAGGAAGTTATAGAATTTACTTCATTTAAATTAGAGTCAATTCTCCTATTAAATTGTAAAAGAAGAAGTAGGATAATTATCTTCTGTATTTTAGTAATACTTTATGAAAACCCACACAACACACATATGTGAAAAAGGAGACTGGGCTCCAGAGCCTGACTGCCAGGGTCAAGGCCAGCTCTACGACCCACTAGCTGTGTGACCCTGAGTCAGTTAATTCTTGGTGGATTCATTTCCTTTATAAAATTGAGATAATAATATCATCTGGCTTCTGAGGTTATTTTAAGGAACACAAGAGTCAATAAATGTAAAGGGCTTGGCCCAATGAACTGGCCCAGTGTAGACACTCTATTAATGTGGTAATTAAGTTAGAGTCATAACTTTAGCCCCTGCTTGCTTCCTTGATTGGACACAAACTGTACAATGATATGTGGAGGCAACAGGAGGGTTTTTTGTTCTTTTTTCTTTTGGTTTGATTTCATTTGGATTTTAGTTTACTAGTTTTTTGTTGTGGTTCATTTTTTGTTATTGTTGTGTTTTGTTTTGGATTTTTAGCAGATGGAGGAACTAAAACTAAGAAAAAATAAACAAAAACCTATGAAAGCCAATTTTCTTCCTAATGTCTTGCTGGTTTCAAATTAAGACTATTGTAAAGAGGCAGGAGTTGTCATTAACTACTATATTCTTAGAAACATCTATTTATTGTTGTGTATATTTCCAATCGAGAAAACAGCTTAGAAATGTTTGCCCTGAAATTTCAGAATGTATTAATGGATAATGGGTTTCTTTTCATTCATCAGAGATTTCATTTGAAAAGTTACGATCATTTAAAATATTTTAAAATTAATACTATTATTTGCTTTTTAATTCCCTCTCATTGGAATTTTTTAATTCTTTAATATTTGTTTTCCATCGGAAAAAGGGCAGCCTAGATTGTCCCATAGCTTATTTGTTTACATCCTCAACGTTCATAACTGCAGGGCACTTATGTCTAATTCAGCTATGATTTCCAACTTTTTGGGGATCTGAATAAGTTCTCAAGATCCTGGAGGCATCAACTGCATTTATGAAAGAGCCAATGAGGCTATCAGATTCAACCAAGCTGAGCTTCCCACCCAATCTAATGTTTATAATGATTAAAGTGATACAATTGCAAATCCTACTCCCACCACCCAACAAACCTCCAACCCTTCAGATAATGGAAAAGTCACAAAAGATGGCATCAGAACCAATAAAGTTCTACTCAACTCTTCTAGAAGAAAGATAGTTATAAAGCATCTATTTCTTTTCTCTTTTATTCATTTTCCACTTCTGTTGCAAACAAAATAATATTAAATCAACAAAAGCTGGAGTCAAGCTTGGAGTCAAATTAGAGTAGGTATGAGCTAGATTAGGAATAGGGTGACAAGTTCAGTTTGGACAGCACAACCTACATTTAACTTTGTCTTTAGGAAAAAGGAGATAAATACTGATTTAAAAGGAAAATCAATAATATAATTAAACAAGCTCTCATCTTGCTTTGTTAATTCTAAATTATTTTCTGATTTGGCTTTCTGTTGCCCTATTTTGGTGTTCTTAAAAAACATGATATGCTAGAGGTCATTTTTATTTGCTGATATTCAGTGCTTTTCATCATCAAACTATACCTGCTCCTAATACAGGCCCCCAACCATTCAGCCATTGAGAAGGTAGTGATTTTCACCGGTGTGATTTCCTCCCAATGACATTTCTTTCAAATAAGAAAATCTGTGTGAAGTGGCTTTGTGACTATGAGTAAATTGTTTGAAGTTTAAAATGTCAAATATTGGCAATAACCATGTTAATTTTGTAAGTTTGGAAAGTAAAGCAAAATAAATGTTGACTTTTCATTTCCCAGGGAGGACCTAATACTATTCTAGTAATCCCCAATCCTCTGGCTACCCTTTCTTAAATTATACCTATGCCAGCTGGAATGTAAATCACAGAGGTATGCAACTCTCATAGCACAGGAGGTCTTTTAATCATAGTCAAGAATAAAACTAGAATCACTATCTATTTTCTGGTCTAGTTCTTTATTTAAAGGCTAACCCTAGGGAGAAAATGCAAAGTTCACTTATTTCCTTGTAACAACAATGAAGAAACACTTCATTCCATTTCAGACGCATCTTCAAGTGATTGCCCACACAACTGAATGTTGTTATAGAAATATGGTATTTATGAATAGCTAAAAGTTGAATATATGAGTTCCAGTGGGAAACTAGCATATGTCCATGTGAGGAAGATGTCCTATAAGAATTTTGCAAAACATGCAGTTTGTGAAGCATTGAAGGGTTAATTTATGTTTAAACTGGAGACGAGAAGTCTTGGGTAGGATAAGTTATTTGCCTTCAAATATATGAAGAAGTGACACATTTAACATAAATAAATAAATACATAAATAAATAAATTTAAGTGACTGGTTTTCTTTGTTCTTCCAGAAGACTAATCTGGGATAGGTATATATAAATTATAATGAAGATAATTTATAATAACTGGAACAGTTCAACAATAAATTGTCTGCCTTATGAAGGGCTGTGTTCCTTCTTTCTAGGTGATATTCATGTCAAGGCTGAGGCCCAGCCTGGCACTGATTCATTATTATTATTAGTTTTTGGCTAGAGCTGTTTTATCTTTGAGCACAGGGAAGATGCGATGTATGATGACTGCCACTGTATTCATTTTTATGCCCTTTATCTGCATGAAACATTTAATTCAAATAGCTAAATTGAAAAAGCAAAAGTCAAGTGAAAAACAAATATAGTAAATCTCTCCTCATGTTAGAGAATTACTGTCAAATATAGAGAGGATCCCAAATGGGGTTAAGAGGGTGAACTAGGTTTGGGCTCCCAAAATTTGGTCCCCCCACCTCCAAAAAAACCTGTAGCTCCTTGAAAGATTGCTAGGTATTTTACAAGAAACCAATTGCATCCCATGGTCCAATTCAGATCTGGGAAATGTAATAATTGAAGAAAGGTATAAATCATTTCTTTATTGCTGAAGTTATGAAAGTCATTAACATGTAAAGGAAAATATGAATCCTTGAAGGGGGGCACAGAAAGGCAATTTTATCAAATGATTTTTTAAAATTTTTTAACCTTTCTTGAGGAATTCCTTTAACAATTTTTGACACTCTAGTTCCATGCAATGAAATCCGGGAGGTTATGAATAAGTTTAAAATGTGATGTTTATTGTGACATATGAGAACATATGACAGCAGGTGGTGACTGAATTCATCTGGGAGACAGAACATTGATGAAGTTTTTAATTCTAAGAGAAAACCAGAGTGAAGATAATTCATCTCTAACAACAAAATTATTTGTCTCTGGAAGTATGGATAAAGCTGTAAATCAAGCACAGAATCCAACATTCAAATATCAAAAAAAAAAAAAAATAGAAATTATGTCTAATGACAGGCCAAAGTGAGATTAACTGAATTGAATGAGGCTGAGACACAGGACCAAAGGCAAGGAGTTGAGACACATTGCTTAGAAGTGTTGATGATATTTGTGTTTTGTTGCTATGGGTCAGTTGTGACATATTACAAGGCTGACAGTATTGAAAGATCAAAGTGGAGTAGGCAAATGGTTAGAATTAGAGAGCCCTAATCACAAGGAACATGGTCCCAATCAAGTCTAGGAACCACTGAAATGTTCTAGTACCAGAACTCATTAAGGTGTGATGAAAAACAGGCCTTGGTTCTTGACAACCTAGGTCGGTGTTTAAATTTAGGTCAAGATCTCCAGAAAACATACTCTGAGACAGTGGTTTGTGTGCAGGAATTTTTCTGCAGAGTACTCTCTGGATCAGAAGAAGAAATTGTGTCCTAGTTCTGTTTCATCTCAGAGATGAACAAAGGCCTTGACAAATTCCACATTGCACTAAGAATTCTAGAGTTGGTTTGGCTTTCAGTTTTTCCCCACCTTGAGATAAAGGGATCAATCTTCTATACCCCTTTATGACAAGTCATAGGATATGAGGTGCCTGCAGAGGGAGGTGTGACATTAGGTTAAATGGCTCTCTTTGGTTGAGGGTAATTCTTGGAAATCAACTCATCTGTGAGCTGCGGAATAAGTTGGTTACCAACAGCTTGGGAAATGAGTGCCTCATTATGGAAAGAAGGCTCTGGATAATGCAAAAGAGCATCATCCACTAAATATGGCCAATGTGCACATTATGGAAATAAAGTTTTAGGCAAGAAGAATCTCTTTTTAGCTTTTTATGGCAGGTAGGTGCCCTGTGAATACACAAAAAGCATCATATCTAAAAGCAATTCCAAGAACAGAACCATGTGATATTCCAGGGAATACACTCAGGTTTTCTTCACCCAGTTGTCTTCACTTCTAACTTTTTTAAAAAAAATTTATCTATATAGTTTATACAATGTATACAATTTTATGATAAAAAAGACCTTAAGAGTGTTTGTTGATGTCAGATAATTATTAATCACTAAGTTTTCATAGATTTACTACATTAAGTATATTACCCACAAGTAGCAATAGTTTTATGTATAGAAAATTATAAATTATACAGTGAAAAAATAAGAAGAGTAAATTTCAGAGAAGTAGAAGATTGAATTAACACTGTAGGTTCCAGGCTCTTTTAATGTGTATTTTAGGCAACTTAATCAAATTTTAGGGCCACAACACTTGTCCATCAAGTATCATTGTTGCAGAATTTGTGCTATGGGTTGAGTGTGTCCCCTCAGATACTCAGGTATTATCAATGTGACAGTGTTAAAAGGCGGGGCCTTTAATAAGTGATTATACTATGAAGACTCCTTCCTCTTGAATGGGATTTGGTGCCCTTATAAAAAAGCTTAACAGAGGGAATTGATTCCCTCTTGCCTTTACCCCTCTCACCATGTAGGGACGCAGCAAAGAAGCCCTCACCAGATGCTGGCCCCTTGATAGTGGACTTTGCAGCCACCAGAGGAATAAGAAATAAATTTCTGTTCTTTATAAATTACTCAATTTCAGGAATTTTGTTTTAGCAACACAAGATAGACTAAGACACTTTGTAAAATATTAATAATAAAGTTAATGATAAAAATCATAAGAATAGTAAACTTGTATTGGACGTGCATGTGCCAGGCCTTTCATGTATATTCTCATTTAATCCCATTTTATCATTGAGGAAATGCAGATTGGGGCTTAAATATAGCATAGTGGTTAGGAGTGTGAAACCTAGAATTATACTGTTGGGTTCAAATACTGACTCTGCTCTCTACCTTGGGTAAATTACATATTCTCACCACGATCAACTTTCCACCTCTGCAGAATGGAAATCTGAATGCTATCTACTAGGATTGTTTTGAGTATTATCTAAGCCAAGTGCCTAAAAACGTGGCTGTCACCGATGGGATCAAACAAATATTAGCTAATAATAAGTAATATAAATATATAAATGTACGTTTTCTAATGTCATAAGGTCATATAGTTAATGGGTTAAGGAGCTGAGACTTGAATCTTGGAAGGCTAACCACAATATATATGACTAGAACAATTATTCTAAATATTACATGACTATGCATTATTATTAAATGATAAGAGCTTATAAAAAGGCATATAACAGGAAGTTCTATTATAATAATAATTTTGAAAATAGTTTCCTGACTTCTTTGAGACTTTATACAGTGCTGGCAAAAACCATGGTTTTTCCAGGTATCCTTCCTGAGTCCAGGTCCCAATATATCAGATCTCAGTTTGCTCTTTCACATCATGGAAATAATTATAAGACCCACCTCATACTGTAAGGATTAACTAAATCAGGTAGAACATGCAAAATTCTATGCTTACTTATTGATTAAAGTAGTCACACACATCATCATGAGATAATTCCTTATATTGGCAAGAGGTCTGGTACCAAAGAGGAGACAGAATGTATTGTACCACACTATGTGCTCTCTGAGTTGTTTGTTTGTTTGTTTTTCTTCATTGATTATTACAGCGACACTGTGAACAAACTATTTGCCATTTTATTAAGTAAAAAATGGTGAAATAGCAGTTTTATGTTATTCAAACCAATCTGTAACTCCTTGCAGGTAAAGAAATAGGCTGAGTGAATTTATGTGGCCTCTATGCCTTGCCATTAATAGAGGGTGGCTGAGGCAGGAGTACCTTTCAGCTTTGACATCTTCTTTCCATGTCTGTTTTCAAAAGCACAGTTAACATCTTTGCTTCCAGAGGAGGCATAGCAGTGAAACTTCTTTGTTCTAAAATCATCTGAAACACAAACTCTAATTCTTGCAAAGAAAACTTGCTGAAAAAAATTTTTTTCTACTATTTTAAATAAAATACCCTACAGTTATTCTATCCCTGCTTTTCAATATGTTTTAGATCATCACTTCACATTCTTGAGTTAAATTGTATTGTTTGGCAGCTTACTGAGCATTTGAAGAAAGGCTGAGGCGAAATTTGAGCTTTGTCTTTCCACAGACCTTCCAGTGCAATCAGAAATACAAACCTTATTTGCTTTCTATATGCCCTGCTACATCGCAAAACCACATCCCTGGGTCCAATTAGAATTCCTCAGCCTACATTGCGCAGGTTACCGTACTGAGCATCATATTGTTTGTGGAGAAATCTCTCACCTTTATGATCTCCTTCATTTCTGCCTAATCGTCTAAGACAAGAATAGCACGCTGTGCCTAAGGGGGAAATTTTCCATTACTACTGGAAAGATAAATGGTAGGAAGCAAAATGAACCAGGCTCATTACAACCTTACCAAAAAAAAAAGCAAATTGGTCTCCAAAAATGATAGAATAGGGCTGACATTTTTAACACTTTTTCTTTGAATTGTGGCATTTTATATCAAGGTTTTCATAATGTACAATATAAACACTTACAGACATTTGGAATAATGCATGATGCTTAATATGTTTTCCCTGGAATTGTACCACCCTTCAGAAAATGTCAACTATTTTTTTAACCGATGCTGACAAAACGTGAACAGAAAGATTATATTTAAGGAAGTATAATGATCATTTAGTTTGCAGTAGCTGTGTTTTTAATCGGTATAATAATGGCTGTAATGTCACTTGATAAGCTGTGAAAATGCCCCAATTTCTAAGAATGGTTAAAGGCAGACAGCTCATTTGATGCTTTAAATATCTGATGAGCCAGTAGATGACAGAACTGAAGGGAAGATTGATTTTTCAGAACCAAATACAGTCTACAATAATAAGCCAATTTCTTGCTAGTGATTCATTTGCAGAAGCAATTTCTAAACATATTTTCATTAGCTGCAATGAACATTCTCAAGGTTTCACATCTTTGACATCAACTTGATGGGATGCTAATTCACTAATTGAGACGGGTATTTTATGAGTGGAAAGCATGGTAGTTATGGATGATCAAGTGTGATTCCTACATAGATAAAATCTATTATTCACATGAAGCATATGAACTTAAAGGATGCATGTATAAAGGAGGCTGAACTTGGTTCCACAACAAACTGGGCAGAATGAATGAAACTACATTTAACTCTCTAATTGAATGAGGATGCATGCAAGCCCTGGGCTCAGAGGATGACCTAATTAGTTGAGATGCTTTTACTCCAAGTGACCCAGATGTTGAAGGACACTGGCCTTCTCTTGTGCAGAACAATGAAATATCTATTATTATGCTAGAAACTAATGCTGGGCCTTATATTATTCAGAGATATACTGGTAATTATATTATCAATATAAAGATAGATAGATATAATATATGTATCAATACATGCAGTATGACAGAAAGTCAACATATTAGATAAAATTTGAGACTCTAAGAGATGAATAAGTCTATAAGAGTAAGCTACTCTTAACATATTTTGGTTTAGCAGATCCAGAATAATGCATTCAAGACTCTATCTGCCCACCTCTTTTTGCCATCTTGCTTGGTTTGCAAGGGGTAATAGAAAATGCATACTACAAAAAAAGCACACTCATAATAGTAAGGTAAGATCCTCAGGCTCAATTCCAACCTGGATCACCATCCTGGTGAGTGGGGCTGGAAAGTTGACAGGGCTTGGTAGAATTTCCATGGCATCTCTGGTACCTTATATTTTATTTTGCTAGGAGAAACAAAGAAATCTCTCAAGCAAATGGTAGAATTTACATAGTGAAAAAAGAGAAGACATGAAAAGAAAAAATTATAAGCCCCTTACTGGGTTCTTGATCTTAGTATTTTTGACTGTTCACTGATTTCCAGTGATAGGGAGCTCATTACCTCCCAAGACAGCCATTCTAACTTTCAATAGCTCTCTAAGTTCAAACTATTACTCTGTGGTCATGGACTCTATTGAAAAAGTCAAATGTCTCTTTGTTGGGTTGACTATTCAAGTATAGTCAGAGCTCTTTAAGCTAGTTTTCCTCTCCAGGTCAAATATTCCCAGTTTCTCACAAAACTTCATGATGATTTATGTCTTTATGGTCTGTTTTTTGCTCCATTTTCAAGAAGTTCAATTCTGATGTAACAGGATTTTGTCAAATATTCCATTGTCCATCATGAAACCTTGTCTTTAGGATAAAAATTATTAGCCAGAGTTCTACTGATTCTATTCCTCAAAGTTATGGGAGTGATGAGGAGAGAGTGTGTATTATTGAAAGACTTTAAACAGTTCTAGATTTTAGTTGGAAAGGCAATGTACCATAATAATAAAACTAGCAATAACAATAATGAAAGCAATAACATTTACTGTGTACTTATTCTGAAACTATATTGAGCAGATTAATTTTAATTAGAGTCAACTAGTTTAACTTGCACTGTAATTCTATTTCCAATTTTATGGATGAGGACACTAGAGTTTAGAAAGGTCAAGTACCTTGCAAAAGATTACACAGTTATAAGTCACAGAGATGAGGTCAAAGCAGAAATCTATTTGAGTCTCAACTACTACACAATGTTTTTCCAACACACATAAACACACATACACACATACCTGCACATATACAATTATTTGCAAATATCATATACTCTTCTTAACTATTTTAACCCTTGAAAAGGTAGGCTAGTTTCACAAACACTGCTTTTCTCATTGGGTAGATTTTATATGAACTGGATTTACTGAATTAGTTGTTTTGAATTCCAACTCTGAAGCCTACTGTGTTTATCTTCAGGCAGTTATTTAAAAATTGTCGAGTCTCAGTGGCTTCAAATGTAAACTATAATGTCTCAGATATATTTGCAGATATTTATTATCGTAATTAAATGAGAAAAAAATAACAAGACATTCAACACAAGATTCAAAATAAAAATGATCAGGTAATGACCCCAAATTGCTGTCCACATTCCTGGTAGACTCTCTTACCTTGTCATTTAAAAATAAAAGTGTGTTTCTAATCCTACTTTACTAACTAATTTATCTTGAGGGATCCAGTTATCCATATTTCCCTTCAGAGTCTGCCAATATCCTGACATCCTCAAAGCCTGCTGTGG
The DNA here is from genome assembly GCF_000001405.40 of Homo sapiens. NCBI lineage: Eukaryota > Metazoa > Chordata > Mammalia > Primates > Hominidae > Homo > Homo sapiens. Next base: position 12,330,996 of record NC_000004.12, read on the forward strand.
TTTTAACATCTCCTGCAAAACTCATGTTGGAATATAACTGCCAGTGTAATGGTGTTGAGAGGAACAACCTTCAAGAGGTCATGAGGTCATAAGGGCTTTGCCCTCATGAATGGATTAGTGCTGTTATTTTAGAAGTGGGTTAGTTTTTGCAGGGATTGGCCCTTGCTTAAAAAATAAATTTGGCTGCCAGCCTTTCTCTCTGTCTCTGTGCCTGTTCCCACCCTTCTGCCATAAAATAATGAAGCAAGAAGGCCCTCACCAGATGCTGGTGCCACACTCTTGGACTTCCCAGATTTGAGAAAAGGTAGCCAAATAAATTTATTTTCTTTATAAATTACCCAATCTGAAGTATTCTGTTATAGCAGAAGAAAATAGACTAAGACAGGGCCCTAACCCATATTTTTCCTGGACCCACTCACAGTTCCAGCCTTACACAACATGTGGTCAGCTGCTCACCAGCAAGCACTGTAGTATGTGAGTCCCTATGAAGCAGTGAATCTATTGAGCTAACACCAACATCAGTCATGAAAATAAAGTCAGAGTTCATAACTCTATGGAATAATCTTATTCTAGTTTTACTGAAACAAACCAACGACAAAGCACTGGAGATGGGTATTCTTGGCATGGAAAGAATGTGAGAACTACAGGAGACATTCTAGAATGTCTGAGGAAAACAGAGAGACACCTCTGTTGTGATTGGATTGAGTCAAAGTCCAATGCTTGTCAAATAAATTAAAATAATAAAATGCAGTTTATTCTAAATTTCCAGGTCACTAAAAACTTTGAATGAGGGAAGAATTACAAAGTGTCAGAGATAAAAGAGAGGCTGAATGCACAGATACACACTTCCATTTTTTTTCTCATGGTCTTATTGTACTTATCAACACAAATCACACAGTGGTGCCAGCTCAGTCTTTTATCCAGCTCCCAGCTTGCAGCTGACCCTTTCTTAAATTGTCATGGACTGCTTAAAAATTATTAAGGAAATCTAGGTCACTCAGGTGTGTGGCCTGCTTGGTGTGAAAAAAACTACAATGAAAAAGGAATCTTATAATTTTAAAGGTTACAAAATGCCTTTTAATGTTCTCTACATCCTTTAGTGCCACATTTTATTTGAAGTAAAATAAAAACAGAAGACTTGGGATGACACCTCATTTAACTCAGTCAAATTTGACATCTGTTTTATTAAATGTTTACTATTTGGCAGGAATTGGAGTAAGAATCCTAACAAGATTTAGGTGACTTCAAACTATTCGGGAAAAGAGAAAAACTTGTGTTGTGATTGGTACTATAATTTTGGTGTTCTCAGACTGCTTTGAAGGAAAAAGGGTCATTAAACATTCTAGGAATAGGCAAAAGGAGGCTCATAAAAATGGGATACGTGAACCAGAATACAAAAGTATTGGTGAATTTGGCTTACAGGCTATGGTAAACTGAATAAAACGCTCATTTCCTGAAATATGACCATGTCTTAATCTCTGGAACCTGGGAATGTAACATTATGTGGCAAAAAGGACTTTGCAGATGTGATTAAGTATCTTGATCTGTGTTGGCCTAATGTAATCATAATTGTCTTTACAAGGGGAACGCATCAGAAATCAGCCTCAGAAGAGAAGGCAACGTGATGATGAAAGCGGGTGTCAGAGTGACGCTCTCTGAAGCTGGAGAAAGGGCCTAAGAGCCCAGGAAACAGGCAGCTTCACCAGAAGATCACAAAAGCCAAGAAAATCCATTCTCCCCTCAGGGCCTTTGGAAAACAACAACAAACTAGCAATGATGACACATTGACTTTCCACTGGTAAAACTTATTTCAGATTTCTGACCTCCAGAATTAAAAAAACAAAAAAGAAATTCATTGTATTAGAGTTCTCTAGAGGGACACAACTAATAGGATAGACGTATACATAAAAGGGAGTTTGTTAAGGAGGATTGACTGACACAATCACAAAATGAAATCCCACAATAGGCCATCTGCCAGCTGAGGTGCAAGGAAACCAGTCGAGTCCCAAAACCTCAAAAGTAGGGAAACCGACAGTGCAGCCTTCAGTCTGTGACCTAAGGGCCAATAGCCCCTGGAAAGCCACTGGTGTAAGTACAAGAGCCCAAAAGCTGAAGAACTTGGAGTCCGATGTTCGAGGGCAGGAAGCATCCAGCATGGGAGAAAGATGTAGACTGGAAGACTCAGACAGTCTAGTCCTTCCATCCTCCTCTGCCTGTTTTTATCCTGGCTGCACTGGCAGCTGATTAGGTGGTGCCTGCCAAGATTGAGGGTGGGTCTGCCTCTCCCAGTCCACTGACTCAAATGTTAATCTCCTTTGGCAATGCCCTCACAGACACACCCAGGAACAATAGTTTGTAATCTTCAATTCAATCAAGTTAACACCCAATATTAACCATCACATTCATGTTCTGTTAAGCCACTTAGTTCATAGTAATTTGTTACAGCAACTAAAATAAACTAATGCAAAGTATTGAATGACAACTCACTCTAATGAGATTTGTTCCAGTAGTTTCATGCAGATCATACTTGGATATGTTAGAGAGACCATTACTTACTGCAATCTAAATGTTTGTTGTCTTATACTAAAAAGTCCCACTACAGTTTGTTTAGACATTTCAGCTCAGCAGTTTTCTTCTTACAAGATTTTCCTTTATAGGTATCATTGAAAACACAAGTTTGCACTTTACCATGCCTCTTTATTTTATTTGGAGGGAAAACAATATTGCAAGATGATAATAGCTAGAGTGTGAAAGATTTGTTTTATTTTTTCTAGTGCTTCCAATTCTTCTTTTAAAGTATGAATGAATCCACCTCTCCAGAGAAAAATTTAAGAACTAAAGAATAACTTATGCAGGCCGGGCACAGTGGCTCACACCTGTAATCCCAGCACTTTGGGAGGCCGAGGTGGGTGGATCATGAGGTCAGGAGATCGAGACCATGGTGAAACCCCCTCTCTAATAAAATACAATAAAATTAGCCAGGCACGGTGGCAGGCGCCTGCAGTCCCAGCTACTCGGGAGGCTGAGGCAGGAGAATGGCATGAACCCTGGAGGCAGAGCTTGCAGTGAGCCAAGATCACACCACTGCACTCCAGCCTGGGTGAAACAGCAAGACTCCATCAAAAAAAAAAAAAAAAAAAAAAAGAATAACTTATGCAAATCAAAACCACAACGAGATACCATCTCACACCAGTTAGAATAGCAATCATTAAAAAGTCAGGAAACAACAGGTGCTGGAGAGGATGTGGAGAAATAGGAACACTTTTACACTGTTGATGGGACTGTAAACTAGTTCAAACATTGTGGAAGACAGCATGGTGATTCCTCAGGGATCTAGAACTAGAAATACCATTTGACCCAGCCATCCCATTACTGGGTATATACCCAAAGGATTATAAATCATGCTACTATAAAGGCACACGCACACGTATGTTTATAGAGGCACTATTCACAATAGCAAAGACTTGGAACCAACCCAAATGTACAACAATGATAGACTGGATTAAGAAAATGTGGCACATATACACCATGGAATACTATGCAGCCATGAAAACGGATGAGTTCGGTGGAGGAGCCAAGATGGCCGAAAAGGAACAGCTCTGGTCTACAGCTCCCCGGGAGAGTAACGCAGAAGATGGGTGATTTCTGCATTTCCATCTGAGGTACCAGGTTCATCTCACTAGGGAGTGCCAGACAGTGGGCGCAGGTCAGTGGGTGCGCACACCGTGCACGAGCTGAAGCAGGGTGAGGCATTGCCTCACTCGGGAAGTGCAAGGGGTCAGGGAGATCCCTTTCCTAGTCAGATGGCACCTGGAAAATCGAGTCACTCCCACCCTAATACTGCGCTTTTCCGACAGGCTTAAAAAACGGCACACCAGGAGATTATATCCTGCACCTGGCTCGGAGGGCCCTATGCCCACGGAGTCTCGCTGATTGCTAGAACAGCAGTCTGAGATCAAACTGCAAGGTGGTAGTGAGGCTGGGGGAGGGGTGCCTGCCATTGCCCAGGCTTGATTAGGTAAACAAAGCAGCCAGGAAGCTCGAACTGGGTGGAGCCCACCACAGCTCAAGGAGGCCTGCCTGCCTCTGTAGGCTCCACCTCTGGGGGCAGGGCACAGACAAACAAAAAGACAGCAGTAACCTCTGCAGACTTAAATGTCCCTGTCTGACAGCTTTGAAGAGAGCAGTGGTTCTCCCAGCACACAGCTAGAGATCTGAGAACAGGCAGACTGCCTCCTCAAGTGGGTCCCTGACCTCTGACCCCCGAACAGCCTAACTGGGAGGCACCCCCCAGCAGGGGCACACTGACACCTCACATGGCAGGATACTCCAACAGACCTGCAGCTGAGGGTCCTCTCTGTTAGAAGGAAAACTAACAAACAGAAAGGACATCCACACCAAAAACCCATCTGTACATCACCATCATCAAAGACCAAAAGTAGATAAAACCACAAAGATGGGGAAAAAACAGAACAGAAAAACTGGAAACTCTAAAAAGCAGAGCACCTCTCCTCCTCCAAAGGAACGCAGTTACTCACCAGCAACGGAACAAAGCTGGATGGAGAACGACTTTGATGAGCTGAGAGAAGAAGGCTTCAGACGATCAAATTACTCTGAGCTACGGGAGGACATTCAAACCAAAGGCAAAGAAGTTGAAAACTTTGAAAAAAATTTAGAAGATTGTATAACTAGAATAACCAACACAGAGAAGTGCTTAAAGGAGCTGATGGAGCTGTAAACCAAGGCTCGAGAACTACATGAAGAATGCAGAAGCCTCAGGAGCCGATGTGATCAACTGGAAGAAACGACATCAGCGATGGAAGATGAAATGAATGAAATGAAGCAAGAAGGGAAGTTTAGAGAAAAAAGAATAAAAAGAAACGAGCGAAGCCTACAAGAAATATGGGACTATGTGAAAAGACCAAATCTACGTCTGATTGGTGTACCTGAAAGTGACGGGGAGAATGGAACCAAGTTGGAAAACACTCTGCAGGTTATTATCCAGGAGAACTTCCCCAATCTAGCAAGGCAGGCCAACATTCAGATTCAGGAAATACAGAGAACGCCACAAAGATAATCCTCGAGAAGAGCAACACCAAGACACATAATTGTCAGATTCACCAAAGTTGACATGAAGGAAAAAATGCTAAGGGCAGCCAGAGAGAAAGGTCGGGTTACCCTCAAAGGGAAGCCCATCAGACTAATAGCAGATCTCTCAGCAGAAACTCTACAAGCCAGAAGAGAGTGAGGGCCAATATTGAACATCCTTGAAGAAAAGAATTTTCAACCCAGAATTTCATATCCAGCCAAACTAAGCTTCATAAGTGAAGGAGAAATAAAACACTTTACAGACAAGCAAATGCTGAGAGATTTTGTCACCACCAGGCCTGCCCTAAAACAGCTCCTGAAGGAAGCGCTAAACACGGAAAGGAAAAACCGGTACCAGCCACTGCAAAATCATGCCAAAATGTAAAGACCATCGAGACTAGGAAGAAACTGCATCAACTAACGAGCAAAATAACCAGCTAACATCATAATGACAGGATCAAATTTGTATGGATATGACAAGATCAAGTTAATATGTGTATAACAATATTAACTTTAAATGTAAATGGACTAAATGCTCCAATTAAAAGACACAGACTGGCAAACTGGATAAAGAGTCAAGACCCATCAGTGTGCTGTATTCAGGAAACCAATCTCATGTGCAGAGACACACATAGGCTCAAAATAAAAGGATGGAGGAAGATCTACCAAGCAAATGGAAAACAAAAAAAGGCAGGGGTTGCAATCCTAGTCTCTGATAAAACAGACTTTAAACCAACAAAGATCAAAAGAGACAAACAAGGCTATTACTTAATGGTAAAGGGATCAATTCAACAAGAAGAGCTAACTATCCTAAATACATATGCACCCAATACAGGAGCACCCAGATTAATAAAGCAAGTCCTGAGTGACCTACAAGGAGACTTAGACTCCCACACAATAATAATGGGAGACTTTAACACCCCACTGTCAATATTAGACAGATCAATGAGACAGAAAGTCAACAAGGATACCCAGGAATTGAACTCAGTTCTGCAACAAGTGGACCTAATAGATATCTACAGAACCCTCCACCCCAAATCAACAGAATATACATTTCTTTCAGCACCACACCACACCTATTCCAAAATTGACCACATAGTTGGAAGTAAAGCTCTCCTCAGCAAATGGAAAAGAACAGAAATTATAACAAACTATCTCTCAGACCACAGTGCAATCAAAGTAGAACTCAGGATTAAGAAACTCACTCAAAACTGCTCAACTACATGGAAACTGAACAACCTGTTCCTGAATGACTACTGGGTACATAACGAAATGAAGGCAGAAATAAAGATGTTCTTTGAAACCAATGAGAACAAAGACACAACATACCAGAATCTCTGGGACGCATTCAAAACTGTGTGTAGAGGGAAATTTATAGCACTAAATGCCCACAAGAGAAAGCAGGAAAGATCCAAAATTGACACCCTAGCATCACAACTAAAAGAACTAGAAAAGCAAGAGCAAACACATTCAAAAGCTAGCAGAAGGCAAGAAATAACTAAATTCAGAGCAGAACTGAAGGAAATAGAGACACAAAAAACCCTTCAAAAATTTAATGAATCCAGGAGCTGGTTTTCTGAAAGGATCAACAAAATTGATAGACCACTAGCAAGACTAATAAAGAAAAAAAGAGAGAAGAATCAAATAGACGCAATAAAAAGTGATAAAGGGGATATCACCACCAATCCCACAGAAATACAAACTACCATCAGAGAATACTACAAACACCTCTACGCAAATAAACTAGAAAATCTAGAAGAAATGGATAAATTCCTCGACACATACACTCTCCCAAGACTAAACCAGGAAGAAGTTGAATCTCTGAATAGACCAATAACAGGAGCTGAAATTGTGGCAATAATCAATAGCTTACCAACCAAAAAGAGTCCAGAACCAGATGGATTCACAGCCGAATTCTACCAGAGGTACAAGGAGGAATTGGTACCATTCCTTCTGAAACTATTCCAATCAATAGAAAAAGAGGGAATCCTCCCTAACTCGTTTTATGAGGCCAGCATCATCCTGATACCAAAGCCGGGCAGAGACACAACCAAAAAAGAGAATTTTAGACCAATATCCTTGATGAACATTGATGCAAAAATCCTCAATAAAATACTGGCAAAACGAATCCAGCAGCACATCAAAAAGCTTATCCACCATGATCAAGTGGACTTCATCCCTGGGATGCAAGTCTGGTTCAATATACGCAAATCGATAAATGTAATCCAGCATGTAAACAGAGCCAAAGACAAAAACCACATGATTATCTTAATAGATGCAGAAAAGGCCTTTGACAAAATTCAACAACCCTTCATGCTAAAAACTCTCAATAAATTAGGTATTGATGGGACGTATCTCAAAATAATAAGAGCTATCTATGACAAACCCACAGCCAATATCATACTGAATGGGCAAAAACTGGAAGCATTCCCTTTGAAAACTGGCACAAGACAGGGATGCCCTCTCTCACCACTCCTATTCAACATAGTGTTGGAAGTTCTGGTCATGGCAATTAGGCAGGAGAAGGAAATAAAGGGAATTCCATTAGGAAAAGAGGAAGTCAAATTGTCCCTGTTTGCAGACCACATGATTGTATATCTAGAAAACCCCATTGTCTCAGCCCAAAATCTCCTTAAGCTGATAAGCAACTTCAGCAAAGTCTCAGGATACAAAATCAATGTATAAAAATCACAAGCATTCTTATACACCAACAACAGACAAACAGAGAGCCAAATCATGAGTGAACTCCCATTCACAATTGCTTCAAAGAGAATAAAATACCTAGGAATACAACTTACAAGGGATGTGAAGGACCTCTTCAAGGAAAACTACAAACCACTGCTCAAGCATATAAAAGAGGATACAAACAAATGGAAGAAAACTCCATGCTCATGGGTAGGAAGAATCAATATCGTGAAAATGGCCATACTGCCCAACGTAATTTACAGATTCAAAGCCATCCCCATCAAGCTACCAATGACTTTCTTCACAGAATTGGAAAAAACTACTTTAAAGTTCATATGGCACCAAAAAAGAGCCCGCCATCACCAAGGCAATCCTAAGCTAAAAGAACAAAGCTGAAGACATCACACTACCTGACTTGAAACTATACTACAAGGCTATAGTAACCAAAACAGCATGGTACTGGTACCAAAACAGAGACATAGACCAATGGAACAGAACAGAGCCCTCAGAAATAATGCCACATATCTACAACTATCTGATCTTTGACAAACCTGAGAAAAACAAGCAATGGGGAAAGGATTCCCTATTTAATAAATGGTGCTGGGAAAACTAGCTAGCCATATGTAGAAAGCTGAAACTGGATCCCTTCCTTACACCTTATACAAAAATCAATTCAAGATGGATTAAAGACTTAAACGTTAGACCTAAAACCATAAAAACCCTAGAAGAAAACCTAGGCATTACCATTCAGGCCATAGGCATGGGTAAGTACTTCATGTCTAAAACACCAAAAGCAATGGCAACAAAAGACAAAATTGACAAATGGGATCTAATTAAACTAAAGAGCTTCTGCACTGCAAAAGAAACTACCATCACAGTGAACAGGCAACCTACAAAATGGGAGAAAATTTTCACAACCTACTCAACTGACAAAGGGCTAATATCCAGAATCTACAATGAACTCAAACAAATTTACAAGAAAAAAACAAACAACCCCATCAAAAAGTGGGCGAAGGACATGAACAGACACTTCTCAAAAGAAGACATTTATGCAGCCAAAAAACACATGAAAAAATGCTCACCATCACTGGCCATCAGAGAAATGCAAATCAAAACCACAATGACATACCATCTCACACCAGTTAGAATGGCAATCATTAAAAAGTCAGGAAACAACAGGTGCTGGAGAGGGTGTGGATAAATAGGAACACTTTTACACTGTTGGTGGGACTGTAAACTAGTTCAACTATTGTGGAAGTCAGTGTGGCGATTCCTCAGGGATCTAGAACTAGAAATACCATTTGACCCAGCCATCCCATGACCGGGTGTATACCCAAAGGACTATAAATCATGCTACTATAAAGACACATGCATGTGTATGTTTATCACGGCATTATTCACAATAGAAAAGACTTGGAACCAACCCAAATGTCCAACGATGACAGACTGGATTAAGAAAATGTGGCACATATACAACATGGAATACTATGCAGCCATAAAAAATGATGAATTCATGTCCTTTGTAGGGTCATGGATGAAACTGGAAATCATCATTCTCAGTAAACTATCACAAGAACAAAAAACCAAACTCCACATATTCTCACTTATAGGTGGGAATTGAACAATGAGAACACATGGACATAGGAAGGGGAACATCACACTCTGGGGACTGTTGTGGGGTGTGGGGAGTGGGGAGGGATAGCATTAGGAGATACACCGAATGCTAGATGACGAGTTAGTGGGTGCAGCGCACCAGCATGGCACATGTATACATATGTAACTAACCTGCACATTGTGCACATGTACCCTAAAACTTAAAGTATAATAATAATAAATAAAAAAAAGAAAAAAAAAAGGATAAGTTCATGTCCTTTGTAGGGACATGGATGAAGCTGGAAACCATCATTCTCAGCAAACTATCGCAAGAACAAAAAACCAAACAATGCATGTTCTCACTTATAGGTGGGAATTGAACAATGAGAAAACTTGGACACAGGAAGGGGAACATCACACTCCAGGGCCTGTTGTGGGGTAGGGGGAGGGGGGAGGGAAAGCATTAGGAGATATACCTAATGTAAATAACGAGTTAATGGGTGCAGCACACCAACATGGCACATGTATACATATGTAACAAACATGCACGTTGTGCAAATGTACCCTACAACTCAAAGTATAATAAAAAGAATAACTTAAATTTCAGCTTTTCCAGCAGTGAAAACATCTCATAACTAGTTTTTAAATAATTTTTTCTGTACCCTAAATATTAATAGGTTTTCGTGTTACCCTCTCAACCAAATCTATCCACAATGCTTCATGAAGTCCATTCCTTCTAGGAAATCATCATTCTTGGATAAAGCAATTGGCCTTTTACATCAAGACCATGGCCTGTCTAACAGAGGTGATAGTGTGGGCTTCTTGAAACAAAGTTTTTTTTTTTGTTCTCTTGATTAAAAGATAAAGAAGGGCAGTTATCTTCAGTGCACAAAAGTGTGTATGTAAAGGAGAGGATGACATTATATTTGCATGAGGGCTTAACATTTCCTAATCATGCACCTAAGTGTTCTTCGCCAAGAAAGGTCTTATTGTAGGTGAGAACAATTCATAACATTGCATTCAAAATAACATTCTTCTTAATCTGACTTTGTAGCTCATTTATAAATCAAGTCTAAGCTCATTTTGAAAGGGAAAACAGTCAAGGTGAGAGGTTCTGAAAATAAATGTGAATGCTGCCTCTGTTTATCCTCTAGCCTTTCCTAAAGTTGAGACGCTAGTTTCAGGGATTTTATTATACTACTCTTCATCAGGAAGTTCTTTGTGCTAAATTATTCTGTGAACGTCCCTGGGTCATACTTCTGTAAAATATGTCATTTTGATAGCCTTTCATAGGATTCAATCAAGTTTTGGCATTTGCCTTTTCATTTATTTTGTTTTGTAAAAGGGAAGAGAGTAGGTAAGAATTGCAAAATACAAAATATAAGAAAATTATTAAGCACGCTTCAAAGGAATCCTAAGCATCTTTTACAAAATAAGTACACATATACATTTATCAGAAATACTGCTGGAAGGGAAATGAATGCCAGGAAGTTACCTCAGTATTCCCTGACTTATCATTCAGTGCATAACTGAGGGGACAGACAGGAAAACAACAGGGTTATGGTGCATCAGTCATAGTACAGGCCAACCAACTGTCCACAATTTTAAAATATGATTGTATTTAACCCTTTCAAGAATTCTGTGAAATCTCTTGTTTTGTCATCGATAATTATAGATACTTACACTGAGTGTATTTATGAATTTATATTTCTAAACCTGTGCAATTCTATAATGTAGTCCTGTCCCATTGTCTGTAGGTTCTATCCCCCCCAGAATTCCCATGGCAATCCTGGGAGCATAAGGAGTCCATAAAAGTCTCAACTTTCTTATTATCAAAATCCAAATCATATTTCCCCTGTTGGTACCCAGGAGGCAAACTCCATCACTGGGATTCTGTGGGATCCACATAGAATGAATATTTCAATGTGAAGACCAGAGAGGACATGAAACCCAGAGTGATAATCATTGACAAGAACCAAACTGGAATTCAAAGTCAAGAAAAAAGCCCAAGGGGAATCTATGGGGAGTCCCTAAACTAGAGTTTTTAGAGGTAGATTTTAAAGCTGGGAGCTCAGAAGCAGAAAATCAATAGCAAAAGAAATGTGAGTAAGCAAGTAAGTCAGAGCGATTGCATAAGGACCTTGAGCTGGTATTTAAATCTTAATTTTATCCTCCATTTGGAGGACATAGCTTTCTCAATTGGGAAGACCCCCAAACTTGAAGAGAGACTTAGAGCCTTTCAGCTAAATATGGTGAATACTAGGGCTATAGCATGCTCACAAAACTCTAGATTTCTCTCTTACTCTTGTGGCGGTACAGCAACACTAATTACTGGAATCCTGCCTCCATTTTCAGATGGATGCTTAGCTCCCAACATAACACAGAAACCTGTCTCTGAAGTTCTGTCTCTACATTAGGACTCTATTTTATTTGTCAGATTTGTGACATAGAGGACTGCAAGTGACAGCTGCTTTTCAGATTTATGTTATTTGGCCCAGCCAGATTTTAAAATTGTGATTTAGGTCCAACATTTAAATAACTGACATTTATATAAATTTACATAAATGTTATATAAATATCTCGAAATATGTCTAAGATCTCATGGTACTGGTCCACTTCTCATAAGAGTGAAATTGGCTGTGGCTGAATTCTTGCTGACCTCTTCACATACTAACCATATTAACTTTAAATGTAAATGGACTAAATGCTCCAATTAAAAGACACAGACTGGCAAATTGGATAAAGAGTCAAGACCCATCAGTGTGCTATATTCAGGAAACCAATCTCATGTGCACAGACACACATAGGCTCAAAATAAAAGGATGGAGGAAGATCTACCAAGCAAATGGAAAACAAAAAAAGGCAGGGGTTGCAATCCTAGTCTCTGATAAAACAGACTTTAAACCAACAAAGATCAAAAGAGACAAAGAAGGCCATTACATAATGGTAAAGGGATCAATTCAACAAGAAGAGCTAACTATCCTAAATATATATGCACCCAATACAGGAGCACCGAGATTCATAAAGCAAGTCCTGAGTGACCTACAAAGAGACTTAGACTCCCACACATTAATAATGGGAGACTTTAACACCCCACTGTCAACATTAGACAGATCAACGAGACAGAAAGTCAACAAGGATACCTAGGAATTGAACTCAGCTCTGCACCAAGCGGACCTAATAGACATCTACAGAACCCTCCACCCCAAATCAACAGAATATACATTTCTTTCAGCACCACACCACACCTATTCCAAAATTGACCACATACTTGGAAGTAAAGCTCTCCTCAGCAAATGGAAAAGAACAGAAATTATAACAAACTATCTCTCAGACCACAGTGCAATCAAACTAGAACTCAGAATTAAGAGTCTCACTCAAAACTGCTCAACTACATGGAAACTGAACAACCTGCTCCTGAATGACTACTGGATACATAACGAAATGAAGGCAGAAATAAAGATGTTATTTGAAACCAATGAGAACAAAGACACAACATACCAGAATCTCTGGGACGCATTCAAAGCAGTGTGTAGAGGGAAATTTTAGCACTAAATGCCCACAAGAGAAAGCAGGAAAGATCCAAAATTGACACCTTAACATCACAATTAAAAGAACTAGAAAAGCAAGAGCAAACACATTCAAAAGCTAGCAGAAGGCAAGAAATAACTAAATTCAGAGCAGAACTGAAGGAAATAGAGACACAAAAAACCCTTCAAAAATTTAATGAATCCAGGAGCTGGTTTTTTGAAAGGATCAACAAAATTGATAGACCACTAGCAAGACTAATAAAGAAAAAAAGAGAGAAGAATCAAATAGACACAATAAAAAATGATAAAGGGGATATCACCACCAATCCCACAGAAATACAAACGACCATCAGAGAATACTACAAACACCTCTACGCAAATAAACTAGAAAATCTAGAAGAAATGGATAAATTCCTCGACACATACACTCTCCCAAGACTAAACCAGGAAGAAGTTGAATCTCTGAATAGACCAATAACAGGAGCTGAAATTGTGGCAACAATCAATAGTTTACCAACCAAAAAGAGTCCAGGACCAGATGGATTCACAGCCGAATTGTACCAGAGGTACAAGGAGGAACTGGTACCATTCCTTCTGAAACTATTCCAATCAATAGAAAAAGAAGGAATCCTCCCTAACTCGTTTTATGAGGCCAGCATCATCCTGATACCAAAGCCGAGCAGAGACACAACCAAAAAAGAGAATTTTAGACCAATATCCTTGATGAACATTGATGCAAAAATCCTCAATAAAATACTGGCAAAATGAATCCAGCAGCACATCAAAAAGCTTATCCACCATGATCAAGTGGACTTCATCCCTGGGATGCAAGGCTGGTTCAATATACGCAAATCAATAAATGTAATCCAGCATGTAAACAGAGCCAAAGACAAAAACCACATGATTATGTCAATAGATGCAGAAAAGGCCTTTGACAAAATTCAACAACCCTTCATGCTAAAAACTCTCAATAAATTAGGTATTGATGGGACATATTTCAAAATAATAAGAGCTATCTATGACAAACCCACAGCCAATATCATACTAAATGGGCAAAAACTGGAAGCATTCCCTTTGAAAACTGGCACAAGACAGGGATGCCCTCTCTCACCACTCCTATTCAACATAGTGTTGGAAGTTCTGGCCACGGCAATTAGGCAGGAGAAGGAAATAAAGGGTATTCCATTAGGAAAAGAGGAAGTCAAATTGTCCCTGTTTGCAGACGACATGATTGTATATCTAGAAAACCCCATTGTCTCAGCCCAAAATCTCCTTAAGCTGATAAGCAACTTCAGCAAAGTCTCAGGATACAAAATCAATGTACAAAAATCACAAGCATTCTTATACACCAACAACAGACAAACACAGAGCCAAATCATGAGTCAATTCCCATTCACAATTGCTTCAAAGAGAATAAAATACCTAGGAATCCAACTTACAAGGGATGTGAAGGACCTCTTCAAGGAGAACTACAAACCACTGCTCAAGGAAATAAAAGAGGATACAAACAAATGGAAGAACATTCCATGCTCATGGGTAGGAAGAATCAATATTGTGAAAATGGCCATACTGCCCAACGTAATTTACAGATTCAATGCCATCCCCATCAAGCTACCAATGACTTTCTTCACACAATTGGAAAAAACTACTTTAAAGTTCATATGGAACCAAAAAAGAGCCCGCATCGCCAAGGCAATCCTAAGCCAAAAGAACAAAGCTGGAGGCATCACACTACCTGACTTCAAACTATACTACAAGGCTACAGTAACCAAAACAGCATGGTACTGGTACCAAAACAGAGATATAGATCAATGGAACAGAACAGAGCCCTCAGAAATAATGCCACATATCTACAACTATCTGATCTTTGACAAACCTGAGAAAAACAAGCAATGGGGAAAGGATTCCCTATTTAATAAATGGTGCTGGGAAAACTAGCTAGCCATATGTAGAAAGCTGAAACTGGATCCCTTCCTTACACCTTATACAAAAATCAATTCAAGATGGATTAAAGACTTAAACGTTAGACCTAAAACCATAAAAACCCTAGAAGAAACCCTATGCATTACCATTCAGGACATAGGCATGGGCAAGGACTTCATGTCCAAAACACCAAAAGCAATGGCAATAAAAGCCAAAATTGACAAATGGTATCTAATTCAACTAAAGAGCTTCTGCACTGCAAAAGAAACTACCATCACAGTGAACAGGCAACCTACAAGATGGGAGAAAATTTTCACAACCTACTCATCTGACAAAGGGCCAATATCCAGAATCTACAATGAACTCAAACAAATTTACAAAAAAAGACAAACAACCCCATCAAAAAGTGGACAAAGGACATGAACAGACACTTCTCAAAAGAAGACATTTATGCAGCCAAAAAACACATGAAAAAATGCTCATCATCACTGGCCATCAGAGAAATGCAAATCAAAACCACTATGAGATACCATCTCACACCAGTTAGAATGGTGATCATTAGAAAGTCAGGAAACAACAGGTGCTGGAGAGGATGTGGAGAAATAGGAACACTTTTACACTGTTGGTGGGACTGTAAACTAGTTCAACTATTGTGGAAGTCAGTGTGGTAATTCCTCAGGGATCGAGAACTAGAAATACCATTTGACCCAGCCATCCCATTACTGGGTATATACCCAAAGGACTATAAATCATGCTGCTATAAAGACACATGCACACGTATGTTTATTGCGGCATTATTCACAATAGCAAAGACTTGGAACCAACCCAAATGTCCAACAATGATAGACTGGATTAAGAAAATGTGGCACATATACACCATGGAATACTATGCAGCCATAAAAAATGATGAGTTCATGTCCTTTGTAGGGACATGGATGAAACTGGAAATCATCATTCTCAGTAAACTATTGCAAGAACAAAAAACCAAACACCGTATATTCTCACTCATAGGTGGGAATTGAACAATGAGATCACATGGACACAGGAAGGGGAATATCACACTCTGGGGACTGTGGTGGGGTGGGGGGAGGGGGGAGGGATAGCATTGGGAGATATACCTAATGCTAGATGACGAGTTAGTGGGTGCAGCGCACCAGCATGGCACATGTATACATATGTAACTAACCTGCACAATGTGCACATGTACCCTAAAACTTAAAGTATAATTAAAAAAAAAAAAACCCTAAAAAAAAAAAAAAAAAAAAGAACTACCTGAGGCTGGGTAATTTATGAAGAAAAGAGGTTAACTGACTCACAGTTCCACAGGCTTAACAGAAAGCATGGCTAGTAGGCCTCAGGAAACCTACAATCATGGCAAAGGTGAAGGGGAAGCAAGCATGTCCCACCATGGCAGAGCAGGAGATAGAGACAGGAAGAGGTGCCACACACTTTTAAACCGTCAGATCTCATGAGAACTCACTCACTGTCATGAGAACAACAAGGGGGAAATCCACCCCCATGATACAATCACTTCCCATCAGGCCCTTTCTCAGACACATAGGGATTATAATTTGAGATGAGATTTGGGTGGGGACACGGCGACAAACCATATCATTGCCAATCCCTTTGCAGCAACCACTTGAGTCACTCACTTACCTTATTCGCCTGATCCCTGTAGGCATTTGATTTATCGACCCCTTTTACAGAAATGTGCTAGGTCTCTGTCTTTCAAATACAGAGACCACCTGGAGCCACTCTTCTGCCACTCACTTGAATTTGAGCATTGTTTGTGTTATGCAAATGTCTATTGTTCTATCCCACCTAATGGATTGGGATTGATTTTATAAAATATAATCTGAAAAATGTCAGATTCATTGGGATGCTTATTCAAAATAAGCTTCCCAACACCCTCTAGGATTGTCATCGAATCCCTCTTCCAGAGCATTTACTCCTTTTAATGCATTTCTTGTCCTTGGTCACTGCCTTATCTTTTCACCCTCCTATACCAGTGTAAAATCCCACTCCAGTCTTCAGGATCCTTCTCTACTGTCCTTCTTCCAATAATCTTAGGAATTTATTCTGCCTCTATATCACAAAAAAAAAAGTCATACTCCTGCACAGACAAAATTATCTATGAGTCTGAAGCAGGTGCTGCAATTACCACTTCACTGATCTCAGGGTGAGTTAAATTCCTTTGATTGGCATGCAGGTGGCCTCTTTCTGTATTCACTCCCCCAACTCTACCCCTTTCTGAATATAGACACTCAACACAGAAGCTGATCCCCAAATGCAGAGCAATCATTTACCTGTTAAATGCATTGAAAAAAGCTGTTCTGCCTTGTTAAAATTCTAAATATAGGCTGTAATGTTCAACAAATATTAACTGTGTAGTATAAACAAAGTATTATTTAAGGCACATTCATAAGTAATATCTTTATCTCTCACAATAGTTCATGCCAATTCTTCCTTACATCTTCCCAATTATGAAGATGTTGACTTTCTGTTACATAATGGAGAAAGGAAGAATATGTTTGACACTCGTGATAAACTGGAGTGTTTCTTGGTGTTCTGTGATCATTTTACTAATAAGTAGACAAATACAGTAGCCAAGGTATGAGACAGGCACAGTAACTGAAAACTCAGAGCCTTCAAGATTGGGAGTCTGGGTCGCCCCACCAGGTGCGTCACTAGAGCAGTAGAGTTCCTCATTGAGTTAGTAGAAAACGTGGCAGAGGAGGCGGAGGATGAATCAGTTACAGCCTTGTGATCAACTACAACATGAACAGCTCTAGTTTGTCCTACCATCCCTTTCCTTATAAGTTTACCAGGAAACATTAATCGGAACTCTGGAGAAGCTGTTTCCTGATGGGTAAACTTACTATGAATGGCATGAGGGGTAGCCTGCTAGTGGACACTCGGGCGTTATACCTAGATCCTGTCTTCAGGAACAACACATCCATCTTGTGGCCTTTGGGAAGATGGGCTACTGGCAGATGACAGCAATTTCTTCACTGGTGATTACTCCTGACTCCAAGGTCACACACTTCCTAGGCAGCATCTGGCCTATGACTGGCAAATATCCAGCTTCCCTGATTCCATTTAAGACTATTATAGGCTTTCCTGGCAGAATCTGATGAGGCCTCAGTTAAAACTGCATTGAAGGTAACTTTTCCACCTGCCGGCAGTCTGCCTTCTTTCACTTCCTTACAAAGTTTGTCCCAAGAGCATTCTTTTCCTCCCTGCAACTTCACCTCTGCACTGCATGCGACTCTGTCTCAGACTCTGTCTCCAGAGAACCTAATCTAAGTCAACTGACTATGAGAATATACAGAATAAGAAGATATATATTCGTTTTCCCTTTATGTATTTCAAATCAGGTTTTTAAATTAATGTAATGTTTTATAAAACCTTAATTTATATATATTGTTAAAAAAGAAGCCAGTCTTTATTGTTCTTCAATTCTTTCTCCACTGAGTAGCTCATTAATTAGATTTTCTCTAGAAGTGTCTGGAACCTCTTTATTATTCCAGGGAATCAATGAAAAATAACCATTTCCAAAATTATCACATCATTGTCCAGTTTAGAAAGTACAGAAAAATAAAAAAAAAAAAAGATAGTAAATTTCATGGAGTTCAAACATTGGGGAATGTTACAGATTTATTCATAAATGAACATGTTTTATAGCTTATGTCCCTTAGTAATTATGAGACTGGGGATATTTCTAGTAGCTTTAAACTCTGTTCTATACATGCTCCTACATAAATTCACTTCCCTCAAATAAGAATTGCTTTTTCTTCTTTTGCAGCCAGATTTCACCGAAGTTAGTAAGTAAGCATTAGCCTGGAAGTCAGAAAACTTGGTTTGCATCTCAGCTTCACTGATTCGTATCTCAGGCAAATGTGTACTTCTTCAAACCTCCAAGTTTGTAAGATTGGCATCATGATCTCTGCTTTTCAAGTTTACCATTCAGATCAAAAGAGTTTCTAATGTGAAACTGACATATAGCAGGTCCTCAAAAAATATTAGTTTACTCTCTGCTTTTCTAAATACTTTCAAAAGTGTTGTATAAAAGGCTGCCAACAAGAAAAATGCTAGCCACTCAGTTTTGTGCACATCTATAACATACGTAAGTGCTGTTAACAACAGTATATGTGGAGTCTCTTCACTCTATAAATTAATAAAAGTAAAATATTTAGTTTTTATGGCCTAGGGTATTTTACCGTTAGGTATGTGACTGGTTTATTAATTTCATGAGGTTTAGCAAGGATTTCTTGGTTCTATTTATATAGCAAAAATGAAAAGTATTTTCAGGGAGCCTCCAGCTAAAGAATATCAGAGGTCCACTGAGGCCTGCTTCCAAGATTTGGTTATCTCTGATAGGTTTCTCAAAATATTTGGATTAAAAAGTATTTGTTTGACCCTTTGGAATAATGAGGCAAACTTTAAATTCAGTAACATGGGAGGCTAGTAAGTAAAAATGTGAAAAAAAGAGTTTTCTTCTTTCTTCTGAATCTCAATAGGAAAATTAGATGTATCCTATAAGAAGTGTTTTTGATCTGGTTTTTACATATCACTGCGTTTACTATGAATTTAGGTTAGGGTAAATTCAACAACTTCCACTTCCACCCTTCTGTTTAGGCTCCTGTAGCTGTCACCTGGATTATCACATTTGCTGCCTGAACTAACCCCCACCACATCTTGTCTCTATCTTATTCAATCTATATTGATGCCATCTATGGCATTACCAAATTACCTTTCTTAGGGCCATGTTTTTTATATGTTCAAAATCCTTTAATTACTCTACTTTGCCTATAAGCAACGTCTAAATTTTCAACCAAGCATACCTGATATGTATTAAACAAACCCCAAACTTTATCATGTCTACAATGTTTATCTTTATTCACACTTTTGCTTCTCATTAAGTGACACTTCGCCTTGTACATCTCTTCCTCTTGAAATTCAGTCATCCAAGTGATACTTTATATGCCTTCTCCTTCACCAAGCTTTGTCTGATTTCAATGGAAAAACACAGGACTTGGTACCTCTGTGAACCTTAACAAGTTACCATGTAGATGTAGGTTACAGTTATCTGTTATTCTTAAGACCATTCATTCTTGATGGGAACAATATCACCCCTAAGGGAATGAAATTGGTTCCCAGAAGGCAGAAATCCTAGATACTACAATAATCTCTGAATCTCAAAAACTCTGCAAAATCTGATTCCTTATAGTTTAATTTCTCTCATTAGGAATAATATAAACTTAATTGTTTTTGTTTCCTCTTCAGCAGGGCAATGCAAAAAAAAAAGAAATAAAGTTGAGAAGCACTGCCCTACACCATAGACATATTTTGTGCAGAAAATTGCACAGATTAATCATTAATCAGTATCTCCTCTACAGAGTCCAAAAATTATATTTAGCATGTAGTCAATCACTAACAATTGTTAGTAGAATTGAATAGAAACTGTAATATTCAAATTAAAGGGGCAAATTGCATTACATAGCATATTTTTCTACTTCTTAAAGGCAATAGTATTTCTATTCTCTTTTTTCAGTATTAACATTTATTTTTTTCTCCTCAGTAGAGTTAATCAAATACTAAACTATTAGCATATAAAAGAATCTTGATAATGCTCTATAATGAAGGCCAGGCAACATGGCTATTACAATGGGCTCATTATAACAATCATATGAACCATAGTGAACGATACACAACTATTGTATAGTAAACTATAGTAACCATACATGACCTATATCTTCACATAATTCACAGCATTCTCTTGATGTTTAGTTTAATCAAAGCTGAGATGTCAGAATTTGGAGTGAAGAGATTTAAATCTCTTTACACCTCAGTTATTCCAAAATAAGTTTAGTTCAAAACTGTTATTGAGAGAAAACCTGTAAAGATTTTTTAACCTGTTTTTCAATATTTGGAAGAACCTTTCAAGGTAACCACAACTTTGACATCTTTCTTAATTGGTGAAGAATACAAGTCTCAGAGATGTGGAGTAATTCACCTAAGGCAGTGCGTAAAAGTTGATATTGGAATCTCGATGTGCTATATTCCAAATCTTCTAGTGTTTCTACACCGCATTTTCTCATAGAGTGTGATTTATCAGTCTCTGTCTAAACACTCAACAAGATCATGATGTCCTTAAGAAAAAGTGCAGGGTTTCATTCCTGTCTGAGTCTACACATTTCAATTCACCACTTTTGATTCACTGCAACAAACATCCACTTTTAATACATTTCAACAAACCTATGAGTTGCTGCTTATCTGTAATTCTGCCCTCAATCAGCTAGCTTAAAAAAATGACTAGATGAGGAAACTCATTATATAAAATTCAGTGTTAAAATAATCGACTCCCAGAGAGGTTAAATGAGTCCCTAATGGTCACATACATAAACCCAAGACCTGGTTTCAGTGGCTACTGAATCTCCTTTCTCTCCTGCCCCAGCTATTGGGGTGACTTTTCTGGGCTCATCCATCCTGGTTACAGAATCGCTGTCCCCTCTACCACCCTTCCCTTATGCTTTATTCATGGTCCCTCTGTCTTGTTAATTATGCTTTTAATTTTCTTTAGTAATGGTCTAGACATTACCATAATGTTAAAATAAATACATTGTATAATATTTTTCAAATATGAAGTAGTTCAAAGTACATAAATGATCACATGTATATATTGTTCTACTTCTTTCCAATCCTTTTGTATACATGTAAATGTTAAATAATTTATAAAAGTACTTTGTAGTGTGGATTTTGCTGCTAACAGTAAAGAAACTTTTAGCATTATCAATACTTAAGTGATTTGGGTTGAACCCAGAACGATCTTCAGGGAAATGATTACAGAACTCTTCCATATATACTGAAAGGAGATTGAAGCACATTGTAAAATAAATATATGTCACAGTCAAGAACTAGAAAAAAACATACTATTTAAAGATAAAATGAGCTATATATTACGGCTGGGCATAGTGGCTTATGCCTGTAATCCCAGCACTTTGGGAGGCCAAGGTGAGCAGCTCACCTGAGGTCAGGAGTTCGAGATTAGCCACGCCAACATGGTGAAACCCCATCTCCACTAAAAACACAAAAATTAGCCGGGCGTGGTGGCAGGTGCCTGTAATCCCAGCTACTTGGGAGGGTGAGGCAGGAGGATCGCTTGAACCCAGGAGGTGGAGGTTGCAGTGAGCCAAGACCATGCCATTGCACTCCAGCCTAGGTAACAAGAGCAAAATCCCAACTCAAAAAAAAAAACAAAAACAAAAAACAAAAACAAAAGCTATATATTGAGATACTGTAAACGAGGAAGGTGTTTATGTATTTACTTGAAAAACAGTTTTTGAAATCTTAGTACATGTCTTAAGTGGAAGAAAAAGATAAATAAGAGACAGGATTTATTATCTCAAAGAGCTCAGTGTCAAGTGGAAGAGAAAAACAGGTAAATGAAGCATTACAGTTTAATAGAGTAGGTGGTATGACAAAAGTGCAAGGTTTTAGTGACAGAGAGATGACTATATGGCTTAGTGTAAAATGAATGGACTTAAAGCCAAGTTACTTGATATCTTAAACCACACTGGAACATTGAATATTTAATTTGTTTATGCCAGGAGACTCTTGGACAGAAATCCCTTTTATAAGACTGAAATAAGCTTGTCATATAAGTAATAATGTTTTCCTCTGTTTTAGGGAAAAATAAGATATGTAAATAAAAATGGCTTCTAATATTTCTCAGTAAGGTGAATTTGAACATAACATTAAATGCTTGTATAATTCCAAAAAAAACCCCAAAATTTAAAGATCTTGTCAGCTTGTCATTCAGCATTTGTTTAACATGCCAAGTAAAACTGCATCCAACGAAGACTGAAATTTTGATATTACCACTGCCTCCTCTATAGTCTACAGAAATGAGAAGGGCCAGCCATCTCATTCTCCTTTTGAAGTAGTTACATATATAATATCTAGTAAAATGCTCTATGTCTATACTCCTTTCTCCGAAAAATTTATGCCCAGCTATCCTTAGTCCTAGGAAAAAATAATTTAGCTCATAAGCAGAATGCTAGAAGCATTGTGGTCATTTCTGAGGTTTGTTAAATTGACCTGTGTAGGAAACAAAGAAACAGTATAATATTTCTCTTACAAGTCTCCTCGTTTCTTGGTGTCCTGAAATTTCACATTTAACTCTTCTTTCAAAAGAACCAAATAATGGACCTTGCCCAGCCTACAGAAAGGCACTACTCCTGAATTTTGGCAATTAACAAATAAGCTTTTCTGCAGTTTCTTCTTCTATAACATACATGACGTGCTGGATTGAGATGATCACTAAGAATCTTACCAGCTCTGGAATTCTATAATTCTAATAAAACCATCTAGGAGTGGGAGTTGCTCTAAAATGTGGAAAAGGAAGTAGATTATGCATGTATCTGTATGGATCATCAAATCAATTTTTATATTCATTGCTATCAAATGTATTATAATGGACAACCCTGAAGAATCACTGAATCTCTGTGTTTGCTTCTAAACTATCCAACAAGATTATTTTTTTCTGTGAACTACTTGTGATTTGTAATTCCGATGGTAATTTTCTTTCTAAAATCTTTCCACACTCCCCTCAGCCACTGTCATTTGTGATTCAATTACTGCACATCTTTCTCACAGATATTTTTGGAAAAATTAAAGATGGAAACAATCAATCCTGTATTATTATGAGTGAAAAGTGTCAACACATTTTTTCATGAGGATGTCATATCTGTGATACAAGAATATCATGCTTTTTTTGCTATAAAAAATGACAGATGGTTGACTGTGAATGATATTAGTGTCAAGTCATTTAAAGAGGAGATGGCCACTTTTGTGAAATTGAAAGAAGGAAATAGTGACCTCTTCATACTCATCACATAGGTATCATTCCCTGTTTAAACTGCCATTTATTTCATATCTTTGCTCCACAAGTCAGGCAGGTGGAGAAAGTTATAACTGAGCATAATCCCACCACATACTAGATATAGAATAGAATTGGTTAAGGTAAATCTGGCTTCCCTGCTCCTGTGGGATCTACCCAGGTACCATGAAAATAGCATCCAATAGAAAGGAGTGCTTGGCACCTCAACCCTATTACTATGATTTGAATGTGTCCCATCCAAAATTCATGTCTTGCCAAAATGAGAGTATTAAGAGGCGGGACCTTTAAGAGGTGATTAGTACATGAGGGCTACTCTTTCATAAATGGAATTGAGGTCCTTAAAAATATTCATTCAGCATTTGTCAATCTTTCTTTTGTGCTTTTTTGCCTATGAAGATGCAACAAGAAGGCCCTCAACAGAAGCTGGTGCCTAGATCTTGAACTTCCCAGCCTACAGGACTATGAGAAATAAATTTCTGTTATTTATTTATTTATTTATTTACTTATTTATTTATTTGATACAGGGTCTTGCTGGGTCACCCAGGCTGGAGTGCAGTGGCATGATCACAGTTCACGGCAAATTTGACTTCCCTGTCTCAAGTGATGCTCCCACCTCGGCATCCCAAGTAGTTGGGACCACTGGCACATGCCACCATGCCAAGCTAATCTCTTATTTTTTTTCAGAGAGACAAAGTCTTTCTATGTTTCCAAGGTTGGCTGCTCTTTAGAAATAACCCAGTCTCAGGTATTTTGTTACAGCAGCACAAATGAACTAAGACTTCTGCCAAGACAAAAGTTCCAAGTTACTGGGTTTTCCTCTTAATAATACCAACTTGTACCTAAAGTTGCTTGTGCTCTGAACATTTTTAGCTTCACATTTCTTTGGCTTCCTCTTACATTTGCACAATACTGCTCCTAGTTGCAACCATAGCCTTTTACTTAGGTATGCTTTTGCACTCCAATGCTTCAGGGTCATTGCCTCCCTGCTATATTTTTTGCCCACTGTCCATCTCAGTCTTTAAAAGGTGGCACCATAAGACTATACTCTTATCTTCACTATACAGATGTGGTCATGTAAGAAGCTTACAGCCATTTCTTTCTTTTTGATAAAGACCGTGGCTGCTGGCTCCATAATCTTCCTCCCCACCACATTCTTATTACAAATCACAGAGATGTCAATATACAAGTATGTAAATCATACAACACTTGGCCTCTCAATTCTTTATCTTCCCATTCCTCAAGTTATTTTCCTTTATGCCTCCTCAGCCTCTTGCTGCCATAATCACACACCTGGACCTCACACCACTAGAAAGGCTACTATTGTCATGCCATAATTGCACGGCTCCAACTCTATTATCACAGCTTCCCTGTTGCAGGATATCTATCACAACAATTCTTCACCTTCATGTCATCCAAATGCATCGACTCTAGTCTTTTCTTTTTGGTATCAAACAATCCCTCCTATTTTTCATTCCCTCCAGAACCAGCAAAAATTCTATTGTATTCCATCCCTTGAAAATATCTTCTGTTTCTTTTCCCTTTTGTTTTTTCAGAAATTAACGGAGCTAATATCATTTGGCCAAGACTTGTTACCAGATCAAACTTAGACTATTTTTTTAGTTATCCTCACATGGTAAATTTTAAAGAACGTTTGTTGACTGTGTCACCTGGGAGTCAGTTTTTAACTCATATAAGCTGCAATGCCTTGCACTAAGAAACTGGGAATCATACTATTTTTTGAAATTTATATAAAAATTACATGATTAAATAGAAAATAAATGGCATACTAATATACATATTAGTTTTTGACCCAAGTACAAGAAGTACCAACTAAGAAAATCAAATTTTTAGGTGTCTGTGTAACTGTGTTTCTGTATTTTGTTTTGTTTTGATCTGGTTTTGGTTTATTACTATTTTCCTTTTGTCCTGAAATACTATTGCTTGAGACTTACTGTATAATGGGATGTTTAATTTTATGTGTCAACTTGGTATGCTATGGTGTTCATTAGTTTGCTCAAACAACAGTCAGAAAATATTGTGATGGCTTTATCCAATATGCTGAACATTTAAATCAGTAGACTTTTTGTAAAAAACAGTATACTCTTTATAATGTGGATGAACCTAGACAATCAGACAGAGGCCTTAAAAGAAAAGACTAAGGTTTCCTGAAGAAGGAATCTAACCTGGAGAAGACTACAACGTAGAAATCCTGTCTGGGTTTTCAGTATTCCATTCTGCTTTGTGAGATTTGCACTTGCCTATCCCCCAAATCACATGAGCCAATTTCTTAAAATAAATTTCTTCTTTGCTACCTCTTTTTATCTCACTGTCTGCATCTCTCTCTGTATTTCTCTTTTTATTTTTCTCTCTGTTGCTGTAGAGAACCCTGATTAACCCACAGGGGCAAAAAGTAAGATGAGACTCAAAGGCAACGAGAGCCTGTCTTGTCTGGATACAGATGCTGGTAGAGAGAACAGAGTACCCAGATGGTGCCTAACTTAGGATGGTTTGACTTATAAATTTTCTACTTTATAACGGTGCAAAAGCAGCACGCATTTAGTATGCTCCTAGACTTATGATGAGGTCATGCCTAGATAAACGCATCACAAGTTAAAGTATCATGAGTTGAAGTGCACTTTTGATTTAACAATATTTTTAACTTTTGATGGGTTTACTGGGATGTAACGCCTTTGTAAATTGAGGAGCATCAGTATTCTGAAGTCATTCTGGTGTAGTTTCAGCCTTCTGATATTCCCAGCTTGGTAATGAGATAGCATACTGTAAGTAAGCTCAGCCTTGAAAATCTTAGAAACACAGGAATTGGAGAAAGAAGGAAGGGACTGACAAAGAAGAAAGTGTCAAAATGCATAACTCAGCTAAATAAATACATAAATGGTGTAAAGATTTCTATAAAAATTATAATGGAGGTACCTAGCATTTTTAACAAAGATATTCCTAGAAAGATGGGACTTGATCTGGTCATTTGTATATATCCTATCAGTTGTTTAATCACTCTTGTTTTAAGACAGCACCAAACTATCCAGAAGTCTAATTGGTTTGAAAATTAAGAACAGTGACATAAGTTTTCTTTAGTAATTTATTGTCACAGCTTGTCTATTTGCTTTTCTATAATAGTTCATTAAAAATTATATTACATTATTTGATCTACTAATTTCAGAGTCAAATTTATATATTTATTATGTCAAAGAAAAATTTCACTTCTACTATAGTAAGAAAAGAATGAAAATTTAATTCAGGTTTCAGAAGTTGTTTGATAACTCTTACCAGATGACATTATACTGTTTTAAGCAATAACAGGGCAAATGATATTGAGTTCTGAATTTAGGGGATTGAGAATACATTGACTAGCATGTGCAAAAAAATATTTTCTCATTGAAAAAATTAGTCAGTATTTTAAATGAATAGACCCTCAGTTGCCCTGGAATTGAGATATGTTTTCTACTGAGTAGTAAGTAAAGCAAAGTTTGGAAATAAGAAATTTTTTTAAGAAACAGCAAAACAACATGCTAAAATATTAACAATATATAAATATTGCATAGCTTCATTCTGAATGTATTTATATGGTATTATACTATAGCTGAAAGTTTACATTGAAATCTTTTCTCTCAAACTCTGTTAACAAAAATTGCTGCTGTGACAACTTTATAGAACTCTTGTGAGGATAAAATGGGATTATAGATGTGAAAGCATTATGTAAGCTGTGAAATTTAGATGTTGGCAATAAAATAAAAAGAGAGAGAAGAAAATATTGACAGATAAATGCATCCCAACAAACATTTTAAAGAAAACATTAGCAGTAAATTTACAGGATAAAAGTGGCAAAATTCTCTTGAGTACATCAAGTGTGGAAGAGGGAATATAGGGAACATGTTACTCATAATCTCTGCTAAGAGTCTAATTTAGTTCAGCCATGCTGGAGGGCATATGATAACAGTTAGGCTTATGTTATGATTCAGTAATTGCATTGCTTACCACCTATGCAGGTACACAGTCACTCCTCTGCAGAAGGGATCATACACAAATGTGTTCATTTTCATATTGTTGGTAAGGGTGCAAAAAATAGAGACAATTTACCCAAAGGCTGTACCTTACTGTCCCTATATTCTAAGCAAATCTCTCAAGAATTTTCACTAATTCAGCATAAAAAATAAAGACACACTAAAGGACAATTTCTTTCCCTTCTCCTTACCAAGTTACAACTACCCTATTGAAGATGATAAATTAAGCATACTCAATTACTAATACCAATGGAACTTAAATTAGGATCTTTCAGATAAGGCAAAAATCTTTAACCTTTAAATAAAAACATACAGATGCACATTTTAAGACTGAGGTTTCAATAATAAATGCAATGCCAACTAATTCTAACTTGTGGATTCAAAATATCAAAACACAAAACTGCTTGTTGTAAAAATCTGAAAACAAAACATAAAAGAGATTTCATCAATAAATAGCTAAATTAACTGTGGCATATAAAAAGAATATAATAAAGCACTTACACATGACAGGACAGATCTACATATACAGACATGCTAAATCTCTCAACACGTTTTTGAGAAGAGAATAAAAAATAATAAAGTTGTCCAATGAAAAATATATGTAATATACAATTTATGTAAAAATTACAAAAACAAAACCATGTACTTTTCCTGTGTGTCTGTGTTTGTATGCGTGCATGTGTCTGAACAAAAATGAATGTGCAACCATAGTAGTAGAGGTTATCTTTGAGGTTAGGGACTGTATTTTTTATATGCATCTTGGTATCTGAAAGAGGTCCACGTCCAGATCACTGTTGCAGGTTAGGTTCTTTGGAACACACTGAGACCCAGTATCATTGGACGTGTAAGAAAGCTGATGAGAAGGCTCAGATGATCCCTCCTGTGGCACATATAGGTAGTTCAAGCTATACAGGAGAACCTCTATTCCAGCTATACCCATTAACCACCATAAAACCCTAACAGCCTGCTTATCCTGCTCTCTTAAGCCATTTTGAATTATGCTCTGTTCTTCCTAGAAAGCGTCATTATCATTAACCTCTTCACACCCTCCAGGTGCATGAGTGCTATCATTGGTCTCAAAATCCAAACCAAATATGGTGAGTGGGGGGCTCCTCCTTCATCTACAGTGTGACTACAACAATCTAATGAAAACATTGACAAAATATTTAAACAGACACATCACAAAAAAAATGGCCAATAAACACATGTAAAAGTTTTCAACATCCTCAGTTATCAAGGAAACATAAATTTAAAACCACTATATGATAACCCCACATACCCAACTGAATAGCTAAAATAAAAAAAAAGAGCAAAAATTCAGGAGGCAGTAGGACAACTAAAACACTCACATATTGCTAGCAGGAGTTAAAATGTTATTACCACTTTGGATATCTGTTGGGTAATTTCTTATAAAGTTTGTCATACATATGTTCTATGACCAGAAATTTAACTATGAAGTATTTACACAAGATCATTGGAAACATAAGATCACAAAAATATTCGTACGTGAATATGTTACAGCTGCTTTATTCATAACAGCCCCGAATTAGAAACAAGCCAATTTGTTTTGCCTATTGGAAAAAATATAAATTGTTTTCTAGTAAGACAATTAAATATTATTCATCAGTAAGTATGAGCAACTGTTAAAACATGCAACAACAGAGATGAATCTGAAAAACATTATGTAAAGTAAAAGAAGTAAGACAAAAACAAGTATGAAAATCCACTGCTCAGCTTAGCTACCGCAGAAAACAGTACAGCCTCAGATACTGCCCTTTTGGTTCCACACCATATCTGTACCAAGACAATGAATGCTTCCATGGACTGCTTCCAACCCTGACTAAGCATGGTAAGGTACTCATGCTGGCCCATTTCTGCAAGACACAGGAGTCCTCTAATGAGTCACTTTGCCTTGGGGAAATTTAATGTGCTTAGCTCTATTTTTTTCTTGGAATATTTGCAAATGTACTGTAGTAGGAGACTCTCTCTACCCAATATTTCTTTTTTTCTCTTCCTCTTCACATTTGTCTTACCTGCATTACAGTCTGAAGGCTTTCCATGTCTTCTCTGCATCATTCTCAATAAATTGTTTGCCATGTGTTAGAATGGCTTTTATCAAAAAGATGTAAGTGTTAGAGAGGATGTGGGGAAGAGGAAACACATGAACACTGTTGATGGAAATATAAATTAGCACAGCCATTATGGTAAACGGAATGGAGTTTCCTCTAAAAATTAGAAATAGGGTTGACATATGATCCAATAATCCCACTACTAGGTATAGATCCAAAGGAAATAAAGTCAATATGTTGAAGAGATATCTGCACTCTCATGTTCATAGCAGCACTATGCACAATAACCAAGATATGGAATCAACCTAACTGTATATCAACAGATGAATGGACTAAAAAAATGAGCTACATATACACAGTAGAGTACTATTCAGCCATAAAAAAGAAAATTCTGTCATTTGTGACAAGATGAATCATGAATAAGTCTGGAGAGCATTTTGCATTTCCTAGAACACAAAGTACCAACTAGCTATCACATTTGTCTATCTAATACTTTGGACTTTATCTAAAGTAAAAATTTCTGCTCATAAACAACTCTGTGAAAAAATGAAAAGGTAAATATAACAGTAAGAGAATGTATACAAAATACCTATATCTGATAAAAAAAAACTCATATCCCAAATATATAAAGGATCCCTATAGATAATCACACAAATATAAACAAACCATTTGAATAAAGGTAAAAATGAAACTTCACAAAGTTCAAAAAAGAAAAACATGAAAGTTACTTAACGAAAATTGACTCAACATCATTAATGTTCAGGAAATTGCAATTTAAAACTGCAATGAGATACCACTCTATACACATCGAATGGTTAAAATTTAAAAAGCCAGAAACACCAAATGTGGAGAGGATGTGGAATAACTGGAACTCATACATTGCTGATAGGTATTAAAAAGATTATAGCCATTTTGGGAAATGGTGTGGCAGTTTCTTTTTACATAATTTATATGTCTAGCCTATAATCCAGCAATTTTACCTCAAGTTATTTACTTCTATCACCCCACAAAATACAAACATATATCTTAGATAAGACTTAAATAAGAATGTTCATGGAAAGTATATTAGTCCTTTTTCACACTGCTATAAAGATACTACCTGATACTGGGTAATTTATTAGCAAAAGAGTTTCAATTGACTCACAGTTCCACATGGCTGGAGAGGCCTCAGGAACCTTAAAATTATGGCAGAAGGCAAAGAGCAAGCAAGGCACATCTAAATATGGTGGCAGGAGAGACAGAGAGCACAGGGGAAACTGCCGCTTTTAAAACCATCAGATTTCATGAGAACTCACTCACTATCATAAGAACAGCATGGGAGAAACCATCCCCACGATCCAATCACCTTCCACTCAGTCCCTCCCTTGACACCTGGGGATTACAGCTCCAGATGAGATTTGGATGGGGACACACAGTCAAACCATATCAGAAGAATTATTCACAAATAGCCCAGACTGAAAACAACCTAAATGCTCATTAACAGAACATATAAACTAATTTTAATACATGTAAATAATGATATGTTACTTAGCGATTCTAAAGAGTAAACTATTGATGAAAGCAACAAAATAAATGATCTCAAAAATACTGCTAAAATTTAAAAGCCAGGCAAAAAAAATATATGTATATATAAACTGAATGATCACATTCATATAGAATTCAAGAGTAGGTAAACTAGTCTATGATGATCAAGATCCAGACAATAATTGCCTTGGGGTACAGGAGTACCTGATAAAGGAACAGGAGAAAACATTCTGAGGTGATAGTTATATTCTTTATCTTAACTAGTGTGGTGGTTACATGAATGCATACATTTGTCAAGACTCATCAAAGTGTATGCTTCAGATCTGTGCATTTTCTTACATGTAAATTATACTTCAGTTATTGTCTCCAAACTAAGTATCAAAACAGAAACTAGAAAATTGCATGTGTAAAATACAATTAAATTAATAGAAGGAAGAAGAAGGAGAAAAATAAAGAATGTAAAGGTTTAAGATAAAGGAGAAAAAAATGAAAACCAAGAGGTTTGATGGAAAATGGAGGAAATTATGGAGTAATAATCACATTATAATAATACAGAAAAGGATATTGGAAAAGAGAAATGGAAAAAAAATTCCGATGATAAAGGATAAATGAAGGTTTCAACCCAAAGGTTTGAAAAAATGATAATTTTATTTACTCTCAAGAGAGAACCATGAATGCTAGGAGAAAATTAATGCCCTGCTGAGTGACCATTTTATCCCATCTATAGATCACAGCATGTATATTATTCTTTCCTCCTGGGACTTTTAAAAACCTGTTTGCCTTCTATTTCTTACATAATCTGAGTCCTAAAGCACAAATACAAATGCATTGCAGTGTAATTTAAACTATAGTTCTATAAAGACTCCCAATACAGATAAAATGTTTTTCCAGCCTTTAACCCTTGTATAGATCTTAAATCTATTAAATAGAGGCAAGCAATACCTTAAGTAGAAAAGAAGAATAAAAAAGGTATTGGTGTTTATAGGAAATTTATTCTGCAAAAATAAAAATCTTTTAGGCAATTTACATGAGCTAACTCAGTTAACCCTTTTGATGTTCATAGAAGTTTCTTGATAGAAAAAACCTCTCTATTGAACATGCATTACTAATTGGAATCACTGACTCACAAGAATAGATTATAAAATAGGCATTTTATAAACCGGTTTATAGCTTGAAATTGGCCACGTGGGGAGTATTCACACCGGAAGAATCAGTACACACTACAAATTGTGAATTTTGGTTTTCTCCTCAGAGAGCTGGTTTACCAGCACAGCACTGTTTATATTCTTGTTCTTTGTAAAAAATTAATTTTATTAAATTAATATGTGTCTTCCCCCATTAAATTGCTCTCTCCATGATAAATATGGCCTATATTTTATTTTATTTTGCACTTTATTTTGAGACACAGTGCATAGCAATGAAAGCACAGGCTTGAATAGTACATTTTTCTAATTTACTGTTAAAGATATTAAAGCACATGGGTTACATAACTTATCAAAGTTCACACAGCAAGGAAGTAATAGAGCCATAAGGCAAATTTATCTTACTGGAAAACTCTATAAGCCATCATATCCCCTGTGACCTGCAGGTACACATCCAGATGGCTGGTTCCTGCCTTAAATGATGACATTCCACCACAAAAGAAGTGAAAATGGTCAGTTCCTGCCTTAACTGATGACATTATCTTGTGAAATTCCTTCCCCTGGCTCATCCTGGCTCAAAAGCTCCCCTACTGAGCAACTTGTGACCCCCCCACTCCTGCCCGCCAGAGAACAACACCCCTTTTTCCTTTACCGACCCAAATCCTATAAAACGGCCCCACCCCATCTCCCTTCGCTGACTCTCTTTTCAGACTCAGCCTGCCTGCACCCTGGTGATTAAAAAACTTTATTGTTCACACAAAGCCTGTTTGGCAATCTCTTCATACAGATACGAGTGAAATTTGGTGCTGTGACTCGGATTGGGGGACCTCCCTTGGGAGATCAATCCCTGTCCTCCTGCTCTTTGCTCCTTGAGAAAGATCCACCTACAACCTCAGGTCCTCAGACTGACCAGCCCAAGAAACACCTCACCAATTTCAAATCTGGTAATCGGCCTCTTTTTACTCTCTTCTCCAACCTCCCTCACTATCCCTCAAACTCTTTCACCTTTCAATCTTGGTGTCACACTTCAATCTCTCCCTTCTCTTCATTTCAATTCCTTTCATTTTCTGGTAGAGACAAAGGAGACGCGTTTTATCCATGGACCCAAAACTCTGGCGCCGGTCACGGACTGAGAAGGCAGCCTTCCCTTGGTGTTTAATCACTGCAGGGACGCCTCTCTATACACCCACGTTTCAGAGGTGTCAGACCATGCAGGGATGCCTGGCTTGGTCCTTCACCCTTAGTGGCAAGTCCCACTTTTCTGGGAGAGGGGCAAGAACCCCTCAACCCCTTCTCCTTCACCCTTAGCAGCAAGTCCTGCTTTTCTAGGGGGCAATAACCCCCAATCCCTTATTTCCGCGCCCTGACCTCTTATCTCTGTGCCTCGATCCCTTATTTCTGCACCCCAACCTCCTATCTCTGCACCCCAAACCCTTATTTCTGTGCTCCGACCCCTTCTCTGCTTTTCTGGAGGGCAAGAACGCCACACCCCTTCTCTGTGTCTCTACTCTCTTTTCTCTGGGCTTGCCTCCTTCACTATGGGCAAGCTTCCACCTTCCATTCCTCTTTCTTCTCCCTTAGCCTGTGCTTTCAAGAACTTAAAACCTCTTCAACTCTCACCTGACCTAAAATCTAAGCATCTTATTTTCTTCTGCAATGCCACTTCACCCCAATACAAACTCGACAGTAGTTCCAAATAGCCAGAAAACAGCACTTTCAATTTTTCCATCCTACGAGATCTAAATAATTCTTGTCGTAAAATAGGCAAACACTCTGAGATGCCTGACGTCCAGGTATTCTTTTACACATTGGTCCCTCCCTAGTCTCTGTTCCCAATGCAACTCATCCCAAATCTTCCTTCTTTCCCTCCCATCTGTCCCCTCAGTCCCGACCCCAAGTGTTGCTGACTCTTTCTAATCTTCCTTTTCTACAAACCCATCTGACCTCTCCTCTGCTCGCCAGGCTGTGCTAGGTCCCAATTCTTCCTCAGCCTCTGCTCCTCCACCCTATAATCCTTTTATCACCTCCCCTCCTCACACCCAGTCCGGCTTACAGTTTGGTTCCATGACTAGCCCTGCCCCATCTGCCCAGCAATTTACTCTTAAAAAGGTGGCTGGAGCTAAAGGCATAGTCAAGGTTAATGCTCCTTTTTCTTTATCCCAAATCAGATAGCGTTCAGCCTCTTTTTCATCAAATATAAAAATTCAGCCCAGTTCATGGCTCATTTGGCAGCAACCCTGAGATGCTTTACAACCCTAGACCCTAAAAGGTCAAAAGGCCGTCTATTCTCAATATACATTTTATTACCCTATCTGCTCCCAAAATTAAATAAAACTCCAAAAATTAAATTCCGGCCCTCAAACCCCACAACAGGACTTAACCTCACCTTCAAGGTGTGTAATAATAGAGTAGAGGCAGCCAAGTAGCAACATATTTCTGAGTTGCAATTCCTTGCCTCCACTGTGAGACAAACCCCAGCCACATCTCCAGCACACGAGAACTTCCAAATGCCTAAACCGCAGTGGCCAGGCATTCCTCCAGAACCATCTCCCCCAGGAGCTTGCTACAAGTGCCAGAAATCTGGCCAGCAGGCCAAGGAATGCCTGCAGCCCAGGATTCCTCCTAAGTCGTGTTCCATCTGTGCAGGACCCCACTGGAAATCAGACTGTTCAACTCAGCTGGCAGCCACTCCCAGAGCCCCTGGAACTCTGGCCCGAGGCTCTCTGACTGACTCCTTCCCAGATCTTCTTGGCTTAGTGGCTGAAGACTGACGCTGACCAATTGCCTCGGAAGCCCCGTAGACCATCACGGACGCCAACCTTTAGGTAACTCTCACAGTGGACGGTGAGTCTGTCCCCTTCTTAATCAATACAGAGGCTACCCACTCCACATTACCTTCTTTTCCAGAGCCTGTTTCCCTTGCCTCCATAACTGTTGTGGGTATTGACAGCCAGCCTTCTAAACCTCTTAAAAGTCCCCAACTCTGGTGCCAACTTAGACAATACTCTTTTAAGCACTCCTTTTTAGTTATCCCCACCTGCCCAGTTCCCTTATTAGGCCGAGACACTTTAACTAAATTATCTGCTTCCCTGACTATTCCTGGACTACAGCTGTATCTCACTGCCACCCTTCTTCCCAATCCAAAGCCTCCTTTGTGTCCTCCTCTTGTATCCCCTGACCTTAACCCACAAGTATAAGATACCTCTACTCCCTCCTTGGTGACCTATCATGCACCCCTTACCATCTCATTAAAACCTAATCACCCTTACCCCACTCAATGCCAATATCCCATCCCACAGCATGCTTCGAAAGGATTAAAGCCTGTTATCACTGGCCTGCTACAGCATGGCCTTTTAAAGCCTATAAACTCTCCTTACAATTCCCCCATTATACCTGTCCTAAAACCAGACAAGCCTTACAAGTTAGTTCAGGATCTGCGCATTATCAACCAAATTGTTTTGCCTATCCACCCCATGGTGCCAAACCCATATACTCTCCTATCCTCAATACCTCCCTCCACAATCCATTATTCTGTTCTGGATCTCAAACATTCTTTCTTTACTATTCCTTTGCACCCTTCATCCCAGCCTCTCTTTGCTTTCACTTGGACTGACCCTGACACCCATCAGGCTCAGCAAATTACCTAGGCTGTACTGCCGCAAAGCTTCACAGACAGCCCCCATTACTTCAGTCAAGCCCAAATTTCATCTTCCTCTGTTACCTATCTCAGCATAATTCTCATAAAAACACACGTGCTCTCCCTGCTGATCGTGTCCAACTAATCTCTCAAACCCCAACCCCTTCTACAAAACAACAACTCCTTTCCTTCCTGGGCATGGTTGGATACTTTCACCTTTGGATACCTGGTTTTGCCATCCTAACAAAACCATTATATAAACTCACAAAAGGAAACCCAGCTGAACCCATAGATCCTAAATCATTTCCCCATCCTCTTTCCATTCCTTGAAGACAGCTTTAGAGACTGCCCCCACCCTAGCTCTCCCTGACTCATCCCAACCCTTTTCATTACACACAGCTGAAGTGCAGGGCTGTGCAGTTGGAATTCTTACACAAGAACCGGGATCACGTCCTGTAGCCTTTTTGTCTAAACAACTTGACCTTACTGTTTTAGGCTGGCCATCATGTCTCCGTGCAGTGGCTGCTGCCACTCTAATACTTTTAGAGGCCCTTATAATCACAAACTATGCTCAACTCACTCTCTAGAGCTCTCATAATTTCCAAAGTCTGTTTTCTTCCTCACACCTGACACATATACTTTCTGCTCCCTGGCTCCTTCAGCTATACTCACTATTTGTTGAGTCTCCCACAATTACCATTGTTCCTGGCCTGGACTTCAATCCGGCCTCCCACATTATTCCTGATACCACACCTGACCCTCATGACTGCATCTCTCTGATCCACCTGACGTTCACCCCATTTCCCCACATTCTCTTCTTCCCTGTTTCTCACCCTGATCACACTTGATTTATTGATGGCAGTTCTACAAGACCTAATCACCACACAGCAGCAAAGGCAGGCTATGCTATAGTACAAGCCACTAGCCGGCCTCTTAGAACCTCTCATTTCCTTTCCATTGTAGAAATCTATCCTCAAGGAAATAACTTCTCAGTGTTCCATCTGCTATTCTACTACTCCTCAGGGATTATTCAGGCCCCCTCCCTTCCCTACACATCAAGCTCAGGGATTTGCCCCCTCCCAGGACTGGCAAATTAGCTTTACTCAACATGCCCTGAGTCAGGAAACTAAAATACCTCTTGGTCTCAGTAGACGCTTTCACTGGACAGGTAGAGGCCTTTCCCACAGGGTCTAAGAAGACCACCATGGTCATTTCTTCCCTTCTGTCAGACATAATTCCTCGGTTTGGCCTTCCCACCTCTATGAAGTCTGACAGCAGACCGGCCTTTATTAGTCAAATCAGCCAAGCATTTTTTCAGGCTCTTAGTGTTCAGTGAAACCTTTATATCCCTTACAGTTCTCAGTCTTCAGGAAAGGTAGAAAAGACTAATGGTCTTTTAAAAACACACCTCACCAAGCTCAGCCATCAACTTAAAAAGGACCGGACAATACTTTTACCACTTTCCCTTCTCAGAATTCAGGCCTGTCCTCAGAATGCTATAAGGTACAGCCCATTTGAGCTCCTATATAGACGCTCCTTTTTATTAAGCCCCAGTCTCATTCCAGACACCAGACCAACTTAGACTGTGTCCCAAAAAACTTGTCATCCCTACTATCTTCCATCTAGTCATACACCTATTCACCATTCTCAACTATTCATACATGCCCTGCTCTTGTTTACACTGCAGGTTTACACTGTTTCTCCAAGCCATCATAGCTGATATCTCCTGGTGCTATCCCCAAACTGCCACTCTTAACTCTTAAAGTAAACAAATAATCTTTGCTGGCAAGGCTATGCTGAACCTCCTTAGGCACTCTCTAATTAGATGTCCTAGGTCCTCCCAATTCTTAGTCCTTTAATAACCTGTTTTTCTCCTTCTCTTATTCCGTTTAGTTTTTCAATTCATACAAAACTGTATCCAGGCCATCACCAATAATTCTAAATGACAAATGTTTCTTCTAACAACCCCACAGTATCACCCCTTACCACAAAATCTTCCTTCAGCTTAATCTCTCCCACTCTAGGTTCCCACGCTGCCCCTAATCCTGCTTGAAGCAGCCCTGAGAAACATCGCCCATTATCTCTCCATACCACCCCCCAAAAATGTTCACCATCCCAACACTTTACCACTATTTCATTTTATTTTACTTATTAATATAAGAAGACAGGAATGTCAGGCTTCTGAGCCCAAGCTAAGCCATCATATCCCCTGTGACCTGCACGTACACATCCAGATGGCCAGTTCCTGCCTTAACTGATGACATTCCACCACAAAAGAAGTGAAAATGGCCTGTTCCTGCCTTAACTGATGACATTATCTTGTGAAATTCCTTCTCCTGGCTCATCCTGGCTCAAAAGCTCCCCTACTGAGCACCTTGTGACCCCCACTTCTGCCCGCCAGAGAACACTTCTGCCCCCTTTTTCCTTTACCTACCCAAATCCTATAAAACAGCCCCACCCCTGTCTCCCTTCTCGCTCTTTTCGGACTCAGCCCGCCTGCATCCAGCTAATTAAAGAGCTTTATTGCTCACACAAAGCCTGTTTGGTGGTCTCTTCACACAGACACGAGTGAAATACAAGATCCTTCCAAAAAGGTAGCTGTCAACAAATAGTTTAAACAAAGAAACAGATTCAAACATCTTATTTGATATAAGCATTTAAAGCAAATAATATGCCATCTGGATAGTTTTAATCAATCCAGATGTAATATTAATGTCATTTGTATCATGAAGGTGTAAAATGGCTACTTTATATACCAATCAATAGTTATAAAGAACTCCCGGATATATTGAATGATACTGAGATTTTATTTTTTAACAGCATAATGACTGAAAAGTTGGACTCTGGCCTCTAACTGAATTCCAATCCCAAGTGTGACTACTTCCCGGCTTTCTAGCCTATCTCAAGTTGAAAAAGTTATTCAATTTCTCTAAGCCTCAGTTTTCTCTTCTTGAAATCTCTAATAACGAAATAAGAAATTTTCATAAAGTACTTAGCCTGGACTAGAAAATGTAGAGTAAATAAATAGTAGAAGTTATTTTAAAATAGTAAATAAACTTTAATTATGAATGCTTGTTTTAACGTAATATGCATCCACATAACTTGAAAAAATTAGCTTTTATGTCCTCAATTAGAGGTAAAGTGAACTATGTGGACATAACTTAAAAGGTTGCCATCTGATATAGGGGAGATGAATTTGGGGTGTACTTTGTTTTAATTAGCATGATTGAAGTGTCACCAGAAAGGCATTTTCTATGGAAAATGATGTATAAAAAGAGAAAATGATATAGAAAAAGAGAAGGTCTTCTTGGACCTTAATGAACAGGGATGTGCATATATGTTTTTAGTACTTTGGTTTAGGTAGAATCTGCTGGACCCAAACGTCACAGCAACCTCAGGGGGTGCAGCTGCAATTGTTTATCAAGACAAAATATCCCTTGAGACCATCACTTTGCACTGTATAATCAATAAATAGCTCTCTGATGATTCATTCGGCTTCCAAGATATCTCTTAATAGGAAAGCCTAACTAATGGCTCTCCCTGTAATGTTAGACTTTATCATAAATTAAAGTTTTCTTATATCAGTTCATTTATCAGTCTCTTCTGAATATGCATAGTTCCTGACTGAATATACATTGACAAAATAGCAAATTTCTAGACCTGCAAAGCGGAAAAATAGATTTACACAATAGATATTCATTTTGAGCAGTGCCTGTTTGAGGTCCCCTTGCCCCAGGAACCAGAAAGATTTCCTTCCAGAAATTTCTGTGTAGCAATATTTGTATGCACAAAGACTTAGAAATGTGAAAGGTGTAGATACATATAGACAATGATCATCATTATCTCCTTTGGTTCCCCCATCAAAAGTGTGAAGAAAATAGAAAATTACACTATTCCAAATTTACATTTGAAAAAACTAAGGGCCACAAAAAGGCAATGAGTTGCTCAAAGAACATGGCTAGTATGAGTTAAAGTCTTGACAGAAAACAAAGACTTTCTCTCCGGAGTTAAAGCTAAGCTCACAGCAGATACTACCTCTACAGATAACAAGAAGTAAAACAAAATAATGATTCTTTGACTACTAATGAAGTTTCCTAAGCAAAGACCTAGAGAGATAAATAATATATCACAGTCCACTTTTTAATGGACTGGGATACACCCAACATGGGTGATATCGTTTGGATCTCTGTCCCCACCCAAATTTCATGTTCAATTATAACCCCCAATATTGGAGGTGGGAACTGGTGGGAGGTGATTAAATCATGGTGGCAGTTTCTCATGGTTAAGCACTCCCCCACCTTGATAATGTATACTGAGTGAGTTCCTATGAGACTGATTGTTTAAAAGTGTGTAGCATCTCCCTACTCTCTCTGTTCCTCTTGCTCCAATCATGTGAAGTGTTGGCTCCCCTTTTGCCTTCTGCCATAATTGTAAGCTTTCTGCAGCCTCCCCCAAAGCCAAGCAGATGCTGCCATGCTTTCTGTACAGCCTGTGGAAACATGAACTAATTCAACCTCTTTTCTATATAAATTACCCAGTCTCAAGCATTTCCTTATAGCACTGTGACAATGGATTAATACAAGGGTGATAAAAGTAAACACACATTTTTCTCTTCTTTCTTAACATATCATTTTTATATAAATTTATATTGCATTATATCTCTGTAAAATACTTATCATTAAATAGTTAATAATTATTGACTTGGTTATTTAAAATTTCAAGTGAATATCTTTGTTGCATTGTATCACTTAATAAAATTATTTTTTCCTAAAGTGAGCCTATCTAGGACTAGTAAAATAAATAGGAAGATATTTGTTAAAACTTGCACCATAAACAGAGTGCATTAAAGAAATGTTTTTAGGATAAATTATATGATGCTGGTGTTTATTTATTTTTTAAATCACTGCAGTTATATTCTCCAGTACATATAAATGCATTTAAATAGAATCAAGTAAAAATGCATGAGAAATTCCCAAGTGTGAATTCATTTATATAACTCCAAATGCAGTTTTTCATTGAGCCTTTTTCTTTCACAGAAACCTCATTAATTATAGTCACCAATAGTAGTTTTTTATTTTTTTTTATTTTTATTTTTATTTGAGATGGAGTGTAGCTCTGTCACTGGGCTGGAGTACAAAGGGCACGATCTCAACTCACTGCAACCTCCGCCTCCTGGGTTCAAGTGATTCTCCTGCCTCAGCCTCCCGAGTAGCTGGGATTACAAGTGCACAGCACCACGCCCAGCTAATTTTTGTATTTTTAGTAGAGACGGGGTTTCACCATGTTGGCCTGGATGGTCTCGATCTCCTGACCTCGTGA
Organism: Homo sapiens; assembly: GCF_000001405.40. NCBI lineage: Eukaryota > Metazoa > Chordata > Mammalia > Primates > Hominidae > Homo > Homo sapiens. The sequence goes on from NC_000004.12 coordinate 12,372,427, forward strand.
TCTGCCCACCTCGGCCTCCCCAAGTGCTAGGATTACAGGCGTGAGCCATCTCGCCTGGCAGTATTTAAAAAAAAAAAAAGAATTTAAAAGTATTTATACACATTTATTAAATCTTCACATTTTTAGCAAAATTATTTTGGCTAAAACTTTTAATAATCCCTGGGAAAGTGAATTTGACTCCAATCTAAGAGCACTAAATATGGAAGACAATGCTGCCCTTACAGTCACAATGGCTGTACAGAAAAGATATGCTTATCAATGCTTGACTGATTTTGACTTGACATTTTGACAGCCACAGTGGCTCCGTAGCTGATTGTCATATGAATAAAATGGCCTTAAGATAATCACATAATTTTAAAATGTAGAGATGTATTTAAGACATTTTGGAATAAGCATCTTTTTGCTTCTTTTTTTTTTAAATTAGCACACACATAAAGAGCTGGAGGCGAATTATGAAATTCCAGAATTTTAGCAATTTTAAACGGCATGTGATTTTATCAGTTTCCCTGCTTATAAAATAGAGATAGAAATGGAAGTGCACTTCAGAGCCTCTTAGGAGTCTCAAAGAGGATTGTAAGCAGGAACAAGCCTAGCCCCACACCTAACCCAATCATGCATCTGTTCATAAAGCACACATGATAGTGTCGGGAATACACCAATGAAGAAACCTGAACCCATTTTCAAGGAGCATGAAATATTGTTATGTATCTCTTCTCCTGAGCTATTCTTCCTTACCTCCCCTAGAATCATATGTCACATATCACTTAAGGGCTAATGATTCCCAAATTTGTGCTCTATTCTAGACACTGCTTTGGGCTCCAAAATCAATCATTCATCTTTTTGCTGCCCACACCTCCACCTTATTCTGCAAACATCTCCCATCTATGGGCACCAAGCATTACTTGTTTGCAAACCATTAAATAAATTCTTTCCTATCTGTCTTCTCTCTCTGTAACACCAAAGGAATGACATGGTCACATATGAATGCTTACACCAATAACCATTCTGTTTGCAAAGAAGACATTTCAGTTATCCTGAACACCTGCAAGTTCTTTAATGTTAATAAACTCAACACAAATACCCTCCAAAATGCCTCAAATGTGTCCCTTTGCTATTATTATTTTTAGTTCCATTGTTATAGTCATCTCATTTCTTCACAGGATTATTGACATAATCAGTTAATTTACATTCCCAGGTGTTCTCACTACAATCTATTAGATGGGCCTCAAATATACTTAAGGGGAAAAGGAATTTACCCATTCATTTAACTGTAAAAGTGTCCCAGGAATAGCTAGATCCTCAATGATCTAATAGGGCCCAGTGTATGCAAACTCCTTTCAGACAGACAACTCGGGATCCAACCCCTGGCAGTTCCAGCTTCCTATAGTCCTACCTTTGCAGCTGTTGCGAAGAGAGCTTTGTTCTGTTGGTAGCTATAAGATATACAAGAAATAGATACTAATTGTCTCTTATTTGATCACTGGGCCCAGTGGGTTAGTGCATTATAGATATTTCAACCTGAATCAGTTATGTATCACTCAGAATAAGGTGAGGAAATATAAGGTGATCAATAGTTCCAGCATAACCAGGTAAGAATGGAGTATGACTTCCCTGAAATTAAGGATGCTGAAACAATAAAAATAACTTACCTATTCTAGGAGACAATACTATCTTTCTCACTGGTAGCTCTAACATGGTACTATGGTTTATATGCCTTCTGTTTTCCTATTGTGCCTACAGATTAAAGGGCAAACTTATTTGCATGGCAGAAATTCTACAACCTGATCTCACTGTTCTTTCAAGTTTTTTTTTTCTACAGCCACTGCTTTTCTGCTACTATACTTTTAAAATCTCAGATGATGAGTTCTTCCCCAGAAAAGAAAAAAACAATCTCACACACACACACACACAAACACACAACCATTTTACAACGCGTTTCTCTCCATGGAGGTTTTGCTTATTATATCTGCTCATTTATCTGTTTGGAATGCTCGCCACGTCTTCCTGATATTTCTGTCACCGTGGAGAACTATTTGTCAGGGTTCAAGGAAAATCTTACTCTTTTTGTATTAGTTTAGGAAAATTAATGAATTCCCTTATTAGCATTGCATTCTGTATTAGTCAGGGTTCTCTAGAGGTACACAACTAATAGGATATATGTATATATGAAGGGGAGTTTATTAAGGAGAATTGACACATAATCACAAGGTGATGTCTCACAATAGGCCATACCCAAGCTGAGGAGCAAGGAAGCCAGTGTGAGTCCCAAACTCTCAAAAGTAGGGAAGCCAATAGTGTAGCATTGAGTCTGTGGCTGAATGCCTGAGATCCCCTGGCAAACGACTGGTGTGTAAGTCCAAGAGTCCAAAAGCTGAAGAACTTGGAGTGTGATGTTCAAGGGCCAGAGGCACCCAGCACAGGAGAGACAGGAAGGCTGGAAAACTCAGCAAGTCAGCTCCTCCCACCTTCTTCTGCCTCCTTTATTCTAGCCCCACTGGCAGTTGATTAGATGGTGCCCACCTTGAGGGTGGGTCTGCCTCTCTCAGTCCACTGATTCAAATGTTAATCTCCTTTAGCAACACCTTCACAGACACACCCAGGAACAATACTTTGCATTCTTCAATCCAGTCAAGTTGACACTTAATACTAACCAACACACATATGCTGTATATACACCTTGATTAGAGAATGATTACTAGTACTGCTTGTATAGTTAATAAGAAGGTCCATAAATAAAAGTATAGTCTAAAACCCATCAATATCGATGGGAATTATATCTCTACTATCTGTGACACTGGGCAAGTTATTCACCACTTGGAACCTTTCTTTACTTATTTATTAAATTTTAGTGTTAATAATAATACCTACATATCTACCTGTCAAGGTGACTCAATACAAATGGCATATACTCTTTTTTTGGTTTCTGATCTCTCTGCTTCCTTGGAATTCCTCTGACTTCAGTATCCATTTTTTTCTCTAGTTTCCTTTGCTGTTTTCCCACTCTTTGATTCAACCTCAAGGTGCTTTAAAGCCCCCAAAGTGTGGCCCTAAATATTCTTTCTCCTATCTACATTTGCTCACTATAAGATTTAACTTGATCTCATGTTTTTAAAGACCACTATATAATGATGACACACAATTATTTTACCACCAACCCTTCACTTTTCACTGAGCTCCAGATTTGTGTATATAAGATTTTAGATATGCATGCCAAATTCATAAATTCCAAAACAAAACCCCCTTCCTCTTCATAACCAACTCATCAGTAAGTTCTATAGTCTAAACATTCTAATGGATTCTACATCAACAAATTTTCACTATCTCCAACACTACCAATTTGTCCAAGCCATCATCATTTTCCATTAGGGACTCCCAGAAATAAAATCTTAATTGCTTTTCCTAGTTCCTCACTATCTCTTTCAGAATGCTTCCCCCTACATAATAGTCAGATTGAATTTATAAAGCATAATGACATTTTCCTCACTCTCTTGCTTAAAACCTTCTAATAACCTCCCATTATACTTTGAATAGCACCCAACTGCTTGCCATGCATGATCGGCAGCTGTCTAGTTTTCTATCTCCCTGTGCAGCAAAACACTCAAGCTGAATTTCTTATCATGTTTAAAGAAACAGCAGAAAATGACAGTGTTTAAAAAACAATCTGCTCAGTTTTGAATCCCAGCTCTGCCACATACTAATGTTGGCAATTTACTTGATACTTCTCTGCCTCAGTTTCCTTACATATGAAATGAGAATGAAAGTAATGTTACCTACTCCATAGGTTTATCATGATGATTAAATTAGTTAGTGTACATAGATGTCAATACCAATTCCTGGCACATGGTAAATGGCATAAAAAATTACTATTATTATTTGTCAGTTTGCTAGCTCATTGTCTTTTGCACTAGAATGTAAACTCTCCCAAATAGCGAATTTTTTTGTCTGGTGCTATTTTCCCAATATCTAGATATGGATCTATCCCATAGAAAAAGTTCAAGACACGTTTGTGGATATATTAGCAGAAGAATAATACATGCAACTTGCATGAAATATATGCAGCACATATTCAGTACATTAACTGTTTTCTCTTTTAACTTCAGTTTTTTCACCAGTGTGAATTTATTAGTCCAGGAGAGAAGAAAGCTACCTTAAAAGGCACATATATTATGATCTAGAATCTGCGCTAAGCACGTTATATAAATTATTCTGCTTATTTCTCCTAACAACGATTTGAGGTAAATGTATGCCCATTGTTTATAGATGAGGAAACCAAAATTGGTTAAGATTACAGGACTCTTATTGGGTTGTAGGATTAGCAAGTGATACAAGCAAGTCTTTAGGGCTTCAAAGCTATTTTTCTCTTTTCTCATCATGCTAAAATTTCAGTTTATTCATCCTTATATATTTATTCTGAAGCACAATGAATATCATAAAGTAGACTCATAATGAATGTTGGTGGAATTAAATGCACATAGTAAGCCCTGAACAGATAGATGTTGCTGAAAGAAACATTCTAGAATTAAAGTTGCAGAGGTAGTTTTGTATATGAAATAATCATTTCATGAGTTTGATTATTATTCTTATCTATGCAAGTGATGAAATTTCTTTTAGGCATTCTGAGATAAATATCAAATATATTTTTGCACCATGGAGATATCACAAGTTCATGTCAAAGTTATTCTAATACCGTGCTGCCCTGCTTTTATCTTCATGGTGCAATTATTGAAATTATTATTACAAATTTAAGACAATTCCATTTTAACTGATCTGTGAGTTTGTGGGTCTATTTTTTGTTGTTGTTGTTGTTATATCTAAATGCCTAAATCTTAGTCACTAGAATTCATTTTCTCTGGTCACATGCATTCAATTGCCCAACGTGATTAAAGCATTGTCAAAGGTACTTCAATTCTGATATACTTTTCTTTTGATTATACTTATCTTTGCCGATCTTCTCTTATAAAGCTTTAAGTAGCAAAGATTTCTTTTTACTTACTATAAGATTTTGTGAAAAGAATAATGAGGCTTCATGAATCCCACAAAATAGATCTTTATTTACAAATTATTTGACAATCTTAAAATACATCCTCTGTAATTTTTTTGAATTTCAAAAATCAAAATGCATACATTTAATAGGAAATGTGACAAAAAATGGGATAACTAATACTTAAATGGAAAAATATCTTAATTGCCTTTTTGCCAGAAATTTCAGACAATGTGATGACTATTTTAATGCATGTGTGATAATTGCTGCTATATATGGCATAATTTCACTATCATAAGAATTGTTAATATTTCTGTTGGTGGGAATTTTCATGCATAGTTGAAACAAGACAATTCATATCTGACACCTCAAAATGAAAAGCAAATTTTATTTAAATGTCAAAATTGAGCAATGAGGAGGCAGAGGGGCATGAGTTTGGAAACCATTGCATTTTTAAATTTAGGGGTAAAAGGGACAGCTTCTCTCTAAGCTTTCTTCAGAACATCTTTCAACTTATGGAGTCTCAGAATATCTCTGTTTCTCAGCTTCCACAAGTGAAAACAATTCCTAATACATTATGGTGTTCATGAGGACTTAATGAGGAGCCTTCTCCATCTTAACGGTATTCCATATTTCTTTCATGTTTTTAAAATTGTGGTAAAACACATACAATTTTCCATTTTATACATTTTAAGCGTATAATCGTTGTCACTGTGATGTTGTGCAAACATCTCCACTATCATTTTCCAAAACTTCTTAAAAATATAAATCAGGACATTTCACACTCTGCTTGATAGTCTACAATATGTTCCTAATGCACCTAAAATACAATAGAATCTCTTTAACTTGGCCTGTGATGGCCTTCTAATAGACTCCTACCTGCCTCCTGGAATGATTTCTTTTTTATTACTCCACCCTTCTTCCCCATACTCATGGGCTCCAGCCACGACAGCTCTGCTGTCTTTACATTCTCCAGTATTGGAACTTGAAATATGTTTCACCCACTCTACCTATGCCCACTTTTCCTCTGCCTTCAACTCTCAACTCTCATTCTCCAAAGAGCTCACTAAAAGCTTTACCTGTCCCAGGTTTTAGATAAGGAAACTAAGGCTTAAACTGGCAGAATAATTTCCCCAAGTCATCCCTACTTTCAGCACAGCAACTTTCAATGAAAGAAAGCATACATATAATGTTCAAAAAATCTACATCTTCATCATTCTTGACTAATTATTTGTGGTCTCAACAAATGATGCACACCCTTTCCTATGTAAACGAATCACTGCCTCCACCTGTGCTCTGCTTTCTCTATTCTACTGCCTCCTAGAAGAGGCTTCAATATCAATGAGCTCTACTTTAAAATTTATTTTAATTTTTCTCCTTGACTTTGGTTCTTTCAATTCTATCCCTCTGAAAATTTCTCCTCTCTCATGATATTTTCTCCAGCATACCTACATCTATGCATGTTTAACTTCCTTCTGGCATTGATCACATTGAACCATTTTTATTGGTTTATGAACCAAGACACCTCAAACACCTACCCTACCTCAGCCCAGCGCACCAATACATGAATGTCCTACAGCAAGCAAAGGTTGATAAACGGCTGACCTGCCTCTTGAATCTGTTCTCCCATTAGTGAGAACAATATTTCATGTGTATTGTTATTTAATCTATGCTGTTATCATTACCATTAGTGTTTTGTATTTTTAAATGAAATCGAAATGCTTTCTGGAAGCTTTGCCCTCTGAGGTTACCTCTGGTCACACCACTCCCTGCTATTTTTAAGTCAAATTTTTAAACTTGTATGTTATCAGCTTGTTGTCTGAAGCCCTTAGAGAAAGCTTCTTGGGAACAGTGATTATGTCATCTCATTCAGTGTTGTCTGAGAAGCTCCTCAGGTTTGCTTAGTTAGATTTAGGGCTTATATTCAGCTGCTAACTGACCGTAAAGATTGCCAAGACAATAGAATACTTTCAGACAAAATGCTGAATAGGCACAACTCTGACCCTTATTCTCTCAGTGCCCCAACTCCAAGATTACCCAACCTTGCCCTGAAAATCACTAGACTGTCTGGCAAACAAGCAATCAAAGATATAATGCCTGGCATGGCAGTGGCCTCTAGGGCCTAGTTCCATCCTACAATGTGAGTACACTCTGATGGGTTGATTCTCCCTACTGGCTTATGGACTATCAAACATAAAATTTTACTCTAATTAGTATATGTCTAAGATTTTATATCTGTAACTGAAGGTATGGATATATCACAAGCACAGAACATGCACACACGCACAATTAGTATCAAAATGTTGCCTCAACTTTAGTACTAATTTAAACTGTTTCTACTTTAATATTTTCCTTGTACTCTTGCCTACCTTCATTTCACCTTTTCTCATCCATGTAAATCTCTCTCACAAGCACACTTTCCTGTGATTTAAAGAGGCTCTCACATGCTGTTGAAGTTACAAACAATATGCAGAGCATGTGTATGTAAAATTGCAGTGTAAAATATCCAGTCCTTAGACCCCCAGATAAATACTATCCCATGAAGAGTATGTGGCAGGCATTGCGCTAGACTTTTTGCATAGCTTATTTTAAAATCTTGCAACAGTGCTGCAAGATAAGAAATGTAAAGTCATGTTGAACTTAAGAAAGTTAAGTGCTGGAGAAGAATTCAAATCTGGCTCTTTATGATTTCAAAAGCATGTACTTTAATCACTCTGCTGACTAGTTCTCAAGGCAGAAAATTTGTAAGCAAGAAATATAGAATCATCCATCATCATTGTCATCATTATCATCATCATCCCATCTATAGTGTCCTTAGCCCAAGGGCATGAATGTCATTATCATTTTAAGTATGCCCTGGCCAAAACATGTAATTTTTACACATATTTATTATATATACTTATTATTCACATCTTAATAGGCTATAGGAACTATGCCTCTGCCTTTCTCTTATATTTCCTACTGACCTTAAGTGACTCAAATAGTTCTCACTTCGATAGGTCCAGGTGTTTGAATCAGAGAAGCTGATAATTCCCTAGTCCTGGCAGCCATTAGTAAACACTCAGAGTGTTTGTTTTCCACTGTATTCATCCATTTTCATCACTATAAAGAATGTCTGAGACTGGGTAATTTATAAAAAATGAGATTTACTTTGGCTCATGGTTCTGCAGGCTGTACAGGTAGCATGACACAAGCATCTGCTCCTGGTTGGTCTCCGGAAGCTTCAGTCACATCATAAGGTGAAGGGGACCAAACCTGGTCACATGGCAAGAGACAGAGCAAGAGAGAGTAAGGTAGGAGGTGCCAGGATCTTTAAACTATCAGATTTCCCAAGAACTCAGAGGGAGAGTTTGCTCATTATCATGGGAAAGGCACCAAGCATTCATGAGGAACCCACCCCCATAAAAAAAAACATCTCCCACCAGGCCCCATCTCTAACACTGGGCATCACATTTCAGCATGAGATTTGGAAAGGACAAATATGCAAACCGTACCACCCATTGAATTTAAATGTATTTTAGATGTATTATCCAGGTAGCTGTATCAAAATCTCTAGGCTGGAAGATTAGAGGAACTCCTTTTCCCATACACGCAATGAGATTTCCATTGATTTGTAAGACTATGACCCTTACTGCAACTTTTTGTCACTGGCAATTAGATAACTTCTCCTTTGCAAGTGGTTCTATAGTGGTATAAGGCAGCAAGCAGGTCATTTAGTTTGAAATTCTGAAGTATAGGAAGCTCAAAATTGAGTTGAAATCAAAATTGGATGAGATTTGAAAGTTATCCTAAAGAGTACGGTTTTAATCTCTGTCATGAGGACTTTAATTCCATGTAAATAATAGAAAACCACCAGAGGGTGGCATTTCCAGAATAATGAGGCAATGAGCTTTGAAATTCATTTTTTCATAAAATATAACACTGGCAAGAACTCACGAAAATGAACTTCTTCTCTAAAACTATTAATATTAATAAAAGCTTTAAACAAGCTAGAAGTATTTATGAAGACAAACAGTTTATTCTGGGCAAGAATAGTAAGTTTTACTGTGTTGAAACTTATCCTATTCCCATCTTTTTCCCCTTATTGCTGAAGTAACCTTGAAAACCAGGACTCTCACAGTCATGTTGCCTATGAAATCAGCAGACTAGCAACTACTGGAGGGGATAACAAATTTCTAATTTCCAAAAGATCTCCATCACCAGATAATTATTACTACTTAACTTGTCTCACAGCTTAATGAAAAAAAAAAAACACAAACAAACACAAAAACAAAACAAACAAACAAAAATTTGCAGGACTTGCCATTATTTGACCTGATAAAGAGCTTACTCAGTGGGAAATGTCCTATACCCAGGATGTCTTTTAAAATCAATCAGTGACAATTGTTTAATTTTGTAGCTACCTGAAGTGGCAATGTCAGCTGTGAAAATAAGGGGCTGTACAAAAAATTATCTATCTATCTATCTATCTATCTATCTATCTATCTATCTATCTATATCAGGAGGCTTTGAATGGCTCTGTTATATTTCTGAAGATCCAGAAGACCATACACATGAAAAAAAAAAAACTAATTTATGAGATTTTCTGAACTTGAAGTCCTATGGAAACCAAATAAAGGCTCAGGAAAAGTTGTAAACTTCTAGAATGTTAATAGCATGCCACAACACACAGGAAATCACTGCAAAAGAATAGAAGATTTATTTGTTCAAAGCATTTAAGGAAATATATGCATAATTATCAACAGATGAGTAAGGCAATAAAACAGAGATTACTATGGCTGCACATAAAAAGGAATTCAAACTTTACAGAAATAGTTTAGAAAAGACACTAAAGGAATAAACAACTTCAACAACAACAAAACAGTAACAACAACAAAAGATCTGAGTATGTTTGTCAGATTGCCATATTTGTCACGTTTATTATTTTAAATGTACAGTTTACAACAAAAAAAGACACGTGAAAAATGTTATTAATATTATTCAGTTTGACATTATCTGACATTATCCAGAAAGAAAAATGAATGGAGACAAATGAACAAAGCCTCAAATACTTGTGAAACAACATGAAACATATCACTATACAAATAAGTCCAAGATGTAATGGAGAAAGAGACAAGAGCAAAAATAATATTTGAAGAAGTAATGAGCAACAATTTTCCAATTTAATGACATGCGTAAATACTAACCTTCACATCCAAGAAGTTCCATGAATCAAAGCCAATGAATTCAAAGAGATCCACACTTAGACATGCCATACTCAAAATGTTGAAACCCAAAAACTCAAAGAGAAACTTGAAGGCAGCAAGAGAAAAATGACATCACATGTAAGTATCTTTAAATAAAATTGACAACTGACTTCTCATCAGAACCCATGAAGGCCAGAAAACAGTGGGATTACATATTGAATATGCAGAACAAAAAAGAATGTCAACCTAGAATTCGCTACTCAGTAAAACAATTCTTCAAATACAGGGGTGAAATTAAGTTAGTATCTGAAAAAGAAAAGCTGAGTTTGTTGCTAAGAGACTTGACTTGTAAGAAATAGTAAAAGTCTTTCATGCCAAATGAAAGAACACTAGACAGAAATTGAAATCCATACTGAGAAAATAAGACCATGGGTAATGTTAACTTTATGAAAAAATATAAAAGACAATCTAAATATATATTTGGTTGTACAGTTTTTTTCTGTTATAATTTAAGAGATAAACACATAAACTAATAATTAAAACAATTCTTAATAAAGTTACAATGTACAAATGTGTAATTTCTGTGGCAATAAGAGCACAGGAAAGGAAAAGAAACTAAACTGGAACAAAGCTTTTTTTTGTATCCTACTGAAATTAAATTTATATTAATCCAAACTAGTTTGTCTCAGTCAAGATGTTGGTATAATTCCCAGGGCAACAATACTAGCACAATAACAAAAGAATAGAGTAAAAGAAACAAAAAAACAAGTACAGTGGTTTTGTTTTATTTAACAAAAAATATTACACCAATGAAAAATTAAAGGAACAGAAAATAAGACATGCAGAAAACAGAAAAAAGAACAGATATAATTCCTCCCTGGTGTTATTTTTAATTATCAATATTATATAAACATAAATAAACTAAACACTATAATCCAAAGGCAAAGATTGGCAGAATATTAAAGTAAAAATGATCCAACTTTATATTTTTAACAAGAGTAACACTTCAAAGATAAAAATTGATTGAAGATAAAGAGATGAAAAATATTGACCATACTAAGAGTAACCAAAATAGAATGAAGGTGACTGAACAAATATAAGACAAAATAAAATACATTTAAGATCAAATTATTATTACAGATTTAAAAAGGATATTTTATAATAGAAAGGTCAAACCATCGTAAAAAAATTTACATACTCACCTAGCAACATAACTATAAAATGGAGAGCAATAATACTGAAAAAATTAAATGAAGAAACAATAATGCAATAATAACATTTTTAAAATTCAATACTCAGTTTTTAATAATATACAGAATTGTACAGAAAATCAACAAAATAATAGAAAGCTGAGCAACATTATAAACTGCATAGATCTAACAGACATCTATAAACACTCCACTAAACAACAGCAGAGCCCACATTCTTCTAAAGCACACATAGTACACGTTCCAGGATACCCTACAGTTAAAGCCATAAAGTAAGCCTCAGTGCATTTATAAACAGATTGGAATTACACAAAGCATACTTTAGTATCATAACAGAATTAAATTAGAAAATATTAACCAAAGGAAATTTTGGAAATTCAAAAATATGTGAAAATGTAAAAACCTATTCAGAATTAACATCAGAAAAGAAAGTACAAAGGAAATAAAATAATTCATGAGATGAATAACAGCAAAGTACACCATACTGAATCTATAGGATGTAGCTAACGAAGAGTTTTAAAATAATTTCTTAGCCCTAAACACGTAAGTATAAAATAAGAAGAAAGATCACAGGTAAATAACCTAACCTTTCACAACTGGAAACTAGAAATAGAAGAACAAACTCAACCTAAATCAAGGGGAAGGCAGAAAATTACAAATATTAGAACAATAATAAGTTATGTAGAAAACAGAAAAATAATAGAAATAGCAAAACCAAAAGTTGACTCTATAAAAAGATTTCAAATATTAGTAAACATTTGTGTGGTACCAGAATAGAAATAGATACATATATTAATAAAACAGAATTGACATTCCAAAAATAAGCCTTTACATTTATGGTCAACTGACTTCAACTGTGGAGCCACAACTTTTCTATGAAAAAAATATTCTTTTCAATAAATGGTCTTGTCTATTAATTATCCACATGAAAAAGCATAAAGTTGGACCCCTATGTTATACCATATGTAAAAATTATAACAAAATGCATCATAGACCTACATGTAAGAGCAAAAACTATAAAAGTTTTAGAAGAAAACATATGTGTTACTTTGGTTGGACAACAGCTTTTGAGATAAAGCATCAAAAGGGCAAGTGACAAAATAAAACTTAAATAAATAGAGTTTCATCAAAATTAAGATAACACTCTTTGTACATCAAAGAACGTCATTAAAACCGGAAATGACAACTCATAGAATAAGGCAAAATATTTATAAGTCATACGTTGGATAAGAGACTTGTATCCAAAATAGCAGTTTTACAAAATATTTTACAATCAGAATAAAAACAGAACTAATGCAATTTTAAAATGGGCAAATTTACAGGAAAAAAAAAACCAAAAGACCTCATTAAAAAGTTGGCAAAGGACATGAACAGATACATCTCAAAAAAAAAAAAAAAAAAAAACACGTGGCCAACAAACATGAAAAAAAGCTCTACATCACTGATCATTAGAGAAATGCAAATCAAAACCACAATCAGATACCATCTGACACTAGTCAGAATGGCAATTATTATAAAGTCAAGAAACAGCAGATGCTGGCAAAGTTGAGAATAAATAGGAATGCTTTTACACTGTTGGTGCAAACATAAATTAGTTCAATCATTGTGGAAGACAATGTGGTGATTCCGTAAAGATTTAGAACCAGAAATACCATTTGACCCATCAATCCCATTGCTGGGTATATACCCACAAGAATATAAATCATCCTATTATAAAGATACATGCATGTGTATGTTCATTACAGCACTATTCACAATAGCAAAGACAGGAAATCAACCCAAATGGCCGTCAATGGTAGACTGGATAAAGAAAATGTGGTACATATACACCATGGAATACTATGCAACCATAAAAACGAATGAGATCATGTCCTTTGCAGGGACATAGATGAAGCAGGAAGCCATTAGCCTCAGCAAACAAACAGAAGAATGAAAACCAAACACTGAATGGTGTCACTTATAAGTGGGAGCTGAACAATGAGAACACATGGAGATGGTGGGTGGGGAACAACACACACTGGGGCTTGTCAGAGGATGGCAGTCAGGGGAGAGCATTAGCAAAAACAGCTGATGCATACTGGGCTTAATACCTAGGTGATGGGTTGATAGGTGTGGCAAACCACCACGGCACATGTTTACTTATTGTATTAGTCAGGGTTCTCTAGAGGGACAGAACTAATAGGATATATATATATTCTATTATATATATATCCTATTTTACATATATATTAGTCAGGGTTCTCTAGAGGGACAGAATAGGATATATATATATTCTATATATATATATAGGAGAGAATATATATATCTTATTCTATATATATATCCTATTCTATATATATATATCCTAATATGATAGGATATATATATCCTAATATGATAGAATATATATATCCTATATATATAGAACATATATATATCCTATATATATAGAACATATATATATCCTATATATAGAACATATATATATCCTATATATATAGAACATATATATATCCTATATATATAGAACATATATATATCCTATATATATAGAACATATATATATTCTATATATAGAACATATATATATCCTATATATAGAACATATATATATATTCTATATATATATAGAACATATATATATATATATATCCCAATAGGATACATATTCTATACATACATCCTAATAGGATATATATATCCTAATGTATATAGGATAGACATATATATAATAGGATATATATATCTATCCTATATATACATCCTAATAGGATATAGGATATATATCTATATATAGAATATATATATCTATATATAGGATATATATATCTATATATAGAATATATATATTCTATATATGATATATGTATCTATATATGTATGTATATCATATATGTATATATCACATATATGATACATATATGATATATATATATAAAGGGGAGTTTATTAAGTATTAAGTCACATGATCACAAGGTCTCACAATAGGCTGTCTGCAAGCTGAGGAGTAAGGAGGGCCAGTCCGAGTCCCAGAACTGAAGAGCTTAAGAGTCCAGTGTTTGAGGGCAGGAAGCATCCAGCATGGGTGAAAGATATAGGCTGAGCAGCTAGGCCAGTCTTGTCAGTTCACATTTTTCCTGCCTGCTTATATTCTAGCCACACTGGCAGCTAGAAGCACAATCCAATAAGGTCTCCCCAAAAAAGATTATGACACAAAGCCAGAGAGTTGATATAACCCTAAGGTAGGACCATAAAGTTATATTGTTGGCCTTGCCAGCTGAAGGCAAATTGCTTCTGGTAGGCCTTATGGACAGGAATAGAGAAAAAGGCATTTGCCAAGTCAACGTCTGTATACCAGGTCCCAGGAGATGTGTTAATTTGCTCAGGCAATAAAACTACATCTGGTACACTAGCTGCAATTGGAGTAACGACTTGGTTAAGCTTATGATAATCCACTGTCATTCTCCAAGATCCATCTCTCTTCTGCACAGTCCAAATGGGAGAGCCGAACAGGGATGTGGTGGGAATCACCACCCCTCTGTCTTTCAAGTTCTTGATGGTGGCACTTATCTCCACAGTCCCTCCAGGGATGTGATATTGTTTTTGATGCACTATTTTTCTAGGTAGACGCAGCTCTAATGGTTTCCATTTGGCCTTTCCCACCATACTAGCCTTCACCCTACCAGTCAGTGAGCCAATGTAGGGGTTCTGCCAGCTGCACAGTATGTCTATGCCAATTATGCATTCTGGCAGTGGGGAAATGACCACAGGATGAGTCCAGGGACCCACTGGGCCCACTGTAAGTCAGACCAGAGCTAAAACTTCATTAATTACCTGACCTCCATAAGCCCCTACTTTAACTGGAGGACCACAATAACGTTTTGGGTCCCCTGGAATCAATGTCAGCTCAGAGCTAAGGTCCAGTAGTCCCTGAAATATCTGATAATTTCCCTTTACCCAATGCAAGTTACCCTGGTAAAAGACTGGAGGTCTCCCTGGGGAATGATGGGAGAAAGATTAACAGCATAAATGTTTGGTAATGTAGTGGGGTCCTTCCTCAAGGAGACCTCGCCTCCTCTTTATTCAAGGGGTTCTGGGTCTGTAAACTGGTTCCAGTCTGGAAGTTGATTGAGGGGCCATGATTCTCTATTTTTATAATTCAAATTAGCCTGTTGTCCATTAGACCTAGAATTGTTCTGCTTGTATAAATTAAATAGGAGTGCAGTAGTTTTCCCATCAATTTCACTTCTAGGAATACTGATTAATTAGCCAATGTCAGAGCTCTACATGAGTCAGACTGTTCTGATTGCTGCTTTGCCTCTGCTGTCCATTATGGTAGCTACACCTACCTTGCCTTTGATGGTTGAGTGCCTCCTCGTGGCCCCTGCCACCTTGGGATCCAATTATTCCCACTGTATTTCAATTTGGTATTGAGTGACTGTGGCTCCCACTGGTAGATCTGACATATAAAGAAGAGCAATTACAGGGCTCTTCAAAGATTCAGGTGCTGCCCTCATAAATCTATTTTGCAAGGCATTGGTCAAGGGTATGTCTTCCAAACCCTCCCAGCTGGGATGAGTAGGTCTAAAGTGACTAATCCACTCCACCATCCCAATCTCCCTAAGCCTTTGGATCCCTTCCTCTACATTAAACCAAGGGAGATCAGGCATATCCGGCTCACTCACATTGGGCCATCTTTTAATCCATGTTTCAGTTAACCAAACAAATAAACTATTAGCGCCTTTTTTTTTTTTAACTCACTGAACTGCAACATTAAATGCAGAGTACCTACTTAGCAAGCCCAAATCAATAAATTCAGCCTGAGCCAACTCTATATTCCTTCCACCATTATCCCACACCATTAATATCCATTCCCATGCCTATTCTCCAGATTTCTATTTATATAAATTAGAAAACTTAAGCAATTATTTTTGAGTGTAGCACACCTCTTCATGGGTCACACTCTCAACCTCACCTCTAGGGGCCCACTGGGACTTTAGTCTAATTTTAGGTCTAGAAACAAACAGGGGTGTTAGGGGTAGCTCCTGAGGATAATCAACATTATCTTGCCTGGCACCTGCCTCAGGGGAGGCCATCACTGTTGCCTCAGGCAGTACAGGGTTTATCTCCTCAGGCAAAGGTGGAAAGGCTGATGGCAGCATGAGTCGAGGAGGGGATGTTGCCACTATGGGTTGGGGAGGCTGTTTCCTCTGGCAAAAAAGGTTCATCAGAGTTTAAAAACTTAGTGTCCCTAGCTTCATCAGGGCCCTCCCACACATCTGCATTTCAAGTTGCAGGGTCCCATTATTTTCCAATCAATGCCCTCACTTTAACAGTAGACACCTGTCAAAGCTCTGCATGCACCTTCCGTTGCAGTCAGCCACCTGCATGATAAGAGCTTGTGTCTGTTTTTCCACAATTTCAGCTCTTTTTCTACAGGAGATAAGACTCCCACTCAGGGCAATCTTAGCAGATACGAGGCTCAGTATCTGTCCTGAAGCCGGGAGATATAATCCCTAAGTGTATTATTTTCTTTCATCAATGTGTTCACTGAACTTAGGAGCCGCCAACCAGCTTCATTATGTTCCTTGGCTCTCCATATATGGTCAACGGTATTCTGTGTAGAGTCATTGAACTCCTTGCCTCACATGAGCAGTGAATCAGGAGTGTCAAATCCATTTATTTTGCATAACTCTCTAAACAGTTCTGGCCAAGGACTATCAGTATTCTTTATACTATTAGAAGTAGAGTCCTGAGAAATTTTGAGTCTAATCATATTAAGCATCTAACTCTGAGAACCCCAAAACCAATGAAAGAACTCCATCCTTACTCTCAGGGTCACAAGGTCCCACAGTAGGCTATGTGCAAGCTGAAGAGTAATGACAGCCAGTCGGAGTTCCAAAACTGAAGAACTTGGAGTCCGATATTCAAGGGCAGGAAGCATCCAGCATGGGAGAAAGATGTAGGCTGACAGGCTAGGCCAGTCATGTCAGTTCACATTTTTTCCTGCCTGCTTATATTCTAGGCATGCTGGCAGCTGATTAGATTGTGCCAACCCAGGTTAAGAGTGGATCTGCCTGTCCAAGCTCACTGACTCAAATGTTAATCTCCTTTGGCAACACCTTCAATCAACACTTTGTATCCTTCAGTACAATCAAGTTGACACTCACTATTAACCATGTAATAAACCTGCACATGCACCCTGGAATGTAAAAAAATAAAATAATTTAAAAATGGGCAAAGAGCTTGAATTGACATCTCTCCAAAGATAACAAAGGTTCAATGAGCACAAAAAAAGACACTCAAAATCATAAGTCATTAGGGAAATTCAAATCAAAACACAATGAGATATATTACTAGGATGGTAAATTTTTAAAAAGCAGACAATGAAAAGTATTCATGAGAATGTGGAGAAAATGAAATGTAAAATGATGCAATCACTTTGGCAGTTCTCCAAATCTTAGATATAAGAATTATCACATGAGCTAGTAATTCCACTCCTAGGTACATACCCAAAATAATAGAAGATATGTATCAAGCAAAAACTTGTACGTTAATTTTTACAATGGCATTATTCATAATAACCAAAAAGTAGAAACAATCCACAAGTCTATCACCTAATAAATGGCAATGGATGTGTTGTATATCCATACAGTGGAATGTTATTTAGCCATAAAAGAGAATGTGGTAATAATTTATGCTACAACATGGATGAACCCTGCAAACATTACACTAAGGAAAAGAAGCAAGATACAAAAGGACACATATCATGTGATTCCATTTAATGAGATGACTAGAACATACAAATTCAATGAAGTAGAAATATACTAGTGGTGGCCAGGGTCTTCGAAAAGTGAAGGATAGGCAATGAATGCTATGGATATGGTTTTCTTTTTGTTGTTATGAAAATGTTCCGGAATAATATAGTAGGGGTGGTTGCATAGCTATGAATATAATAAAAACACTGAAGAGTACACTTTTAAATGATGAATGCTATGATATGTAAATTATATCTCAATTAATACTAACACATGGCACTACAACATTAAATAGCTGAGATTCAACCACAAGCTTCCTGTAATCATGTATCCAAAATATACAAAGATATAATCTGATGCTCTGCATCAAGGGCATTGTATTGATGTTACAGTAAATGTAGAATTAGCTGGCATTATATTTTTACAGTAATAATGTTGGCCACTTACTATATGCTAGGCAATTTGTTAAGTGTTTTATGTGCTTTACCTACAGAAACGAGATTAGTGGTTGCAGGCAGGGCTGATGACAGTGTTGGGGAGATGGGAATGGGAAGTCACCACTAACAGATATGTTTTTTTGGTGGGAAAAGGGATTAAAATATTCCTGAATTAGAAAACATTAGTTTTAATGTTCACAACCTTATGAATATATTACAAATCACTAGATTGTATACTTTCAATGGTAAAATTGTATAATATATGGATATTTCTACAAAACTCACTTTTAAA
Organism: Homo sapiens; assembly: GCF_000001405.40. Classification (NCBI taxonomy): domain Eukaryota; kingdom Metazoa; phylum Chordata; class Mammalia; order Primates; family Hominidae; genus Homo; species Homo sapiens. The sequence continues at coordinate 12,391,268 of NC_000004.12, forward strand.
AAAAGAGAAAAAATGGAATCTTTTGGTGAAAGAAATAGTCATTTTGACGTCATTAATAGTAATTATAATAACATTAAGAATAGTTCATGTTTAGCAAGGTTTCAGTATGTCCCAGACATTATGCTAAGGGCTTTATCATACTTGCCATTGTGTGACCTCATGGAACTAGGTATCATGATTAACATTTTTGGTATCTGTAGTGTACAGGTGACATGAACTTAATGTTTGAATCATTCATATCTTTCTGATAACAAACAACTAGACAGTGCTAGTGCCATAATCCATATTCCAGTGAAAACTGCAGAACTAGAGCTTTCATTCTTCTACTACATGCATCTATAGTTTTGAGATTACCTTGCTATGTTACTGCTATTCCATCCCAATGCACTTGTTACCCAGTAAGATTAGATGCTGGGTAGCATCTTTCTGCATTACCAACTTCCATCTCTTCCCGTCAACAAACACAGCTCCAGTGTTTTCCTGGGAACTCTCTCATTGGCTCAGTTTTCTGTGGTCTGTCATCAATTGCCGATGATTTTGATATGCACCTTCCTTATGATTTGATGGAAGTACCTTGACCAGAAAAATCAAGCAGCTAATGGAGTGAATGCCAAGCAGAGAAAGCCTGTGGTGGAGCTTACATCAGAGGTAGAGCTCTTATTTGGCTCCTCATTTGGAACTAGACTGTTAACATCTAAAATGTGGTGGATAGACATGTGTCCTGGAGAAGGAGACACCCCTCTTGCTTCATATTTCCATGTAAATGTACATCAATTAATGCAACATTTTTGTCTGGTTTTGCCTATTCACTCATTCTTTTCCAGAAGATTAGATCCCATGTGACCTAGTTATCTAGATCACATGGGAGCATGAATTGGGATTGCACAGTTTTTCTATTTTTCCTCTCGTCTCTCTGGCATCTACTAGCTAGGAAAGTATGTACACTCTTCTACTGTAAACCATGGGGCAAACTTATTGGTAAAAGCTATTTCCCTTTTGGAGTGTGAGGAACTGGTGTTGATGAGATTGGGAACGAGAAACAGTGCTGAGATTATCTAGCTTTGTCTGTGACTCGGTGTGAAAATCTTTCTAAATGTGAATGTTGCACAGGCTGGTTAACATACCTACGTCCTCTTCTCCATCATCATCTCTGTCAGCAACTAGCTGCCATATTGATCACTGTCTGCCTGACTCCCTCTTTTCAACGACTAGTTTTTAACTCAGTCAAAGAAAAATGTTTGTTCTTTATTGGTACTCCAAACAGGATCTAAAGGAAAGGGAGTACAGGGCAGACGTCATATCAGTAGATTCAAGTCTAGGCATAAAATTAAAGAGGGTACATATTTTCCAGGATGATATGTAAACCTGTCCTGCTCACCGGAGATGGATTCAGGACTAATATTTTAACTAAACTGTACAGGGCCACTAAGTTCTATTGGAGCTGAAGTTGAGTTTTGATTATTAACTGCAATATTCTAGATGCCTAGCACATTACCTGGCCCATAGTAGATGTCTAAATATGTTATAAAATTAATAAATGAAGGCTTCTTAGGTGTTTTATGTGTGATATATGTGTGTATACACATGTGTGTGATATATGTATGTATATATATACCATTTTATATTTTATTTTTATAAATACAAACATTATGCAAATTGCATGTTATGTATTACATGCAAGAAATTACATGTAAGTTACATAATTTATATTTTATATTTAATTTATAGATTATTATATCTTTATATATGTTAATAACTATATGTGTGTATAGTCCTAAAGGACCAAGCAGGGGTGGATGCTACACAAATGGATAGCTATATGTATGTCAAAATTTGATGATTTTTGGTTCCGTTCATGCGTTTTTAAAAATTACATTCCACGGAAACGTGTATGTGTTTTTATGTTAAGCATAATTTCATTATTTCATTACACAAGCAAGATTTGTAATATGGTCCTAGTTTTATATATGAAGCTAGAGTTTTGTGGTTTTAATTTTAAAGGAACACCTTAATTCCACTCCTCAGGAAAGAAGTACATTGAGAAAATTAATTTTCAGAACTTAAATTCAAACAAAACCAAGAATTTTGGTGAAGAATTTAGCCCAGTAATGAGATCAATCAAGAAGCTGTTTGATTTGTGAAATGGTTGTGAAACGGGAAAGTGAAGAATTTCAAAACTTGAAACATTAATCCATAATTCAACTGAGAAAATTTTTTTTCATTAGAAGTTACATGACTGTTTCCAGAAGGGAAATTTAGAAGAAAAATTTTAGAAGGGAAAGGCTACATCTGTGAAGCCAGTTGAAATGCAGAGGTGAAACTTTTTTATTTCTCATAGACCTAAAATATCTAACATTGTATGTTCCCTTAGGCTAATCATAAAAGCTAGGGCATTTACTTAAGCTCACTTTATTGATTCTCAGTCTAGCATATTTCAAAGGGTGACTGTATCAATAGAATTTTGTTGAATATACTTCAAGATAATTTACCTACATTGAACTGATTTTATTCCTAATGTGTGAAAATGAAACTGGTCTGACTCATTCTCAGGCTATTCTCTGCTTAGAGCAAGTAAACACACTCAAATCTAAATCTGACCATACAATTTTCTAGCCTAGAGTCTTTCAACGACTCCTTATGACCTATAAAATGAAACACATACCTTGTAATAAGTCAAAAAAAAAATAACCTCCACTGTTTTTTCTTGCCTGCTCTCCATTATGATCCATTGCACTGCTTCCCCGCCATCTCAAATGTATCACACTTAGCATGTGCCTTGGTGTCTTGGCAAAGGCTATCTTCTCTTCCAGGAATAGCCTACTATTTTTTTCCATGACATACTTGTTGATTCCTGGCACTCTTCTACACATTCATAAAGACCCAGAAAAACATCTTTTCTTGCAAGACTTCTCTGACTGACCACCAAAATTGTTCATCTCTTCCCTTTTTCTGCCAAGACTAAAGCTATTCTGAGACTTTATTAAAGGTTCTTTCCCTTCACTTACTAGCACTATGGCCTTAGGTTAATTACTTGACTTCCATAAGGTTCAGTTCCATTAACTATGAACTAGTAAGGTTAATAGTAATACTTATCCCTAGAGTGTGTTGGGACCATTTATTGATATGATGAAGGTAAATTTCTTAGCACTCACTGTTCCTGGGACATGGAGAACTCAACAAACGTTTAAGTTATTATATTATTGTTCTACTCCTATTTTCTCTTCCTCTATTCCTAGAAGAGCTTAAGGTCCTAAATCAAGAGAAACATTTAAGCCGGTGACTGCAAGTTTGCAGTGAGTTTACCACACTCAGACAACTGAGAGAATAAGCTTTTATACAGACTCAGCCCCGGGCTATTTTCAGACACCTTTGCTGTTAAATGGTACAGAAAACACTGCGTGTTTGGCAGTTGTGTATGTTAACATTAGCATGGATTTTAACTCAATGTCAAGAGGAAAACAAGCTCTATCTATACGATACTCAGAAGCTCTTGGAAATCTAGACTCACTTTTACCATTTTACACTAAACTCAAATTTTTGTCCTCCAGGCCTTATTCTTTCCTATGTCAAAAACTTTTTTTACTTACCTTCTTTCAATGTGGGGCTCTTGAATTTGCTTGCTGCTCCTCCTCCACTTACTATTGATTTCTTTTCCATGTGGCTCTTTGCTTCCTAAAGAAATGTCTGAGTAATCAGGTGCTGATCTTATGCTAACACTTCTGGGCAGAGTGCATATGCAGTTCAGTCATTACTTAAACTTCACTCTACTTAGTGAAACACCCACCATATTCTTTTGGCTCATCTCTCTTGTAGTCACAACAAGAACAATGTTTCACAACTATAAAGCTTTTGTTTTTGGTCCAACTCTGCATGTCATTCCACATGGTTTTATATCAATAAACTTTCACAACATTACTGGTGCATAACAAATAACTACAAGAAATTAGTAGCATAACAAAATTAAGCATTTATTCCTCAAGCATCCGGATGGTCATCCAGATGATGCCTCCACTGGGGTTCAGATTATCCACATGTCTGACAGTAAACTGTTTTCAAAGTCATATGGCAAAGAACACAATTACAGCAAAAGGTGAAGAATTTGGCCCACTAATGAGATCAATCTGTCATGAAACTTGTTTACATATAAAATCTTCCCTTAATTTAACCCTTTACTGTTTTCATTTTAATAACATGTTGATATCTTTTCCCCCGTAAATATGCACTATGATAAACACTACAATATTACTTACTATCTGTTGAATGGGAAGTGATAATCAGAATGAAACATACACACATACTAACACATATATGTCTATTCATACACATGGACAGAAAAGTCATTAAGGAACTAATTCAATTAAAGAGAAAGCATGTAAGGCAAGCTAAGCCCTGAAGAAGATATGGTTATACATTATGGAGAGAGATTTAGGGAAAGACAGAGATCCATAACTGGAAAAGAGTCAAAGAGCTCAAACATATTGCAGTTCCAGAAAAGAATGCAATGCTCAAAACCTGATGAGGATAATTCAGAAGTGCACAAACGGTAACTTGAGAGGGTTTCCAATAGTCAGTGAGGTACAAGTTGAGCCAAATGATGATGATGTTGATGATGATAATGATGGGATATAGCCCTAGAAAATATTACAATCCTTGAGTCTATTCTATGATACATGAAAAATTGAATAAACAAATATATGGAAGATAGGGAAAGCTCTTCTTCATTGGAGAATTCCAAACAATAAATATAAAAGAATTGAGGAAAATAGGAAAACACTACTTGGAAAATTCTAAAGTAATATATTTTTAGGCAAAAATCATTAATGAATACTAAATTTAATGGGTGAATACATGATGATATATGGGAAATTTACATGTCTAAAAGTAATTCCCATAAAATATTTACTAATTACAAACGGGAAAACAATAACATTATAGTAGAAAAACCTGAAAACAACGCTGTAATTAAGTGATCAAAATTAATATCATCACAACCTAACATCATCTGTTCATTAAGATTGACACATAATTTATGATGTGTTGCTATCAAAAATAAATAATCTGAATTTTAAAATAAAGAGATATTCTATAAATTGAGAGAAATTCTACCAAATATCTTGCCAGTAGACCGCAAAAGTGTTGAAGTAATGAAAGACAAAGAAAAACTGAGAACTGTTGGAATTTAAGGGTTTTAAGGGTGTAGTTCAACTAAATGCAGGATCCTGTGTTGGATTCGGACCAGAAATAGAATATTAGTGGGATTATTGGCAAGATTTGCATAAAATTTATAGATTATAGTAATGCATCAGTGTTAATTTTTCATTATTTAAAAAAATCACTACACTATGCATATGTAAGAACATTTGAAAAATTTGAATGAGGGTCATATGCCAGGATTTCTCAATGGCAGCACTGTAAAGATTTTGGCTGTAGCTGTCTTGGTTGTGAAGGGATACTACGTGTGTTGCAGGATGTTTAGCAGCATCCCAGGCCTCTACCCAATTAGATATCAGTAGCAACAACATTTCTATGTTAACTTGTGATGACCAAAAATGAATGCATACATTACCTTAAGGTGTAGAAGGCATAAAATCATCCTCAGTTGAGAATCACTGGAATAAGAAATTCTGTGTATTATTTTTGTAACTCTTTTATGAGACTGAAATTGTCTTAAAGTGAAAATTTCCAAAATTTGTAAAAATGCCTAGCACAGTACCAGTAGGTTACTGAGCACTAACTATGTAATAGCTCTTTTAAAATCCAATGAATAAACCTCTCTGAAAATTTATACGTATTTGGAAAGCCCACATTTCTATTATTTAGTTTTATTTATTTAGTTTGGAGACAGGTCTCATTCTGTTGCCCAGGCTGGAGTGTAGTGGTGTGCTCAGAGCTCACTGCAGCCTCAAACTCCCAGGCTCAGGTGATCCCCCTGCCTCAGCCCTCTGAATAGCTGGGACCACAGGTGTCTGCCACAACAGGCTATATATATATATATTTTTTTTTTAGTAGAGATGGGGTTTCGCCATGTCACCCAGGCTAGTCTCAAACTTCTGTGCTCAAGCAGTCTACCCGCTTCAGCTTCCCAAAGTGCTGGGATTACAGGCATGACCTTCCATGCCCAACTGGAAAACCCATATTTCAGTGAGAACTTCAACAGCTCTGTCCAATTAATCAAAAATTTATTACAATACTCTTTAAGTTCAAAAATCTGCTGGGTTTTGACATCTTCAACTCTAAATTTGTCCTCTCAGTATCCAAACAATGCCTATCTATGTGGCAGGTCAATTCTGCCTTAGTCTTTTGGGCTTTTTCAGAATACAAACTTTTTCTATTTGGGTTAATTTCACACTTAGAATCTCACCAAAACCTCATTATTCATTTTTTTTTTCAGGGATCAGCTCTGCTGAACGCTAGATATAATGATAACAGGAAAATCTGTAATATAGTTTCACAGAATTTTAAAATTCAATGTGATCTAAAAGAAAATGGAAACTGAATACAGATAAACACAAGGCCTATTCTTCTTAGATGTGACATTTCCTTGACAGTTCAGATTCCAACTTTGAGTCTTCCCTTACTATTCATGTTGTTCAGAACTGCCAGTTAGTAGTCAATGACAATGAAGAAAGGTGGCACTGTCTTAATAGCAGGCCCATGCTTAGTGATACACTGCCGGCTCAGAGAGAAAGAGAAATAGGAGAAAGACAAAGAGAAGAGAGGGAAATCAGAAGACAGGACAGCAAATGAAAATGAGAACAGAGCAGGGAATTGATCTGCAGCACAAGAGAAAGATAGAGAAACAGAACAGCAGTGATAGAGATAAAGTTCAAGAACATGACAGGTTAAGAGACTAAGAACAAAATAGAGAAAGGGAACACAAGAGTGACAAAAAAATAGAGAAAGAGATACTGAGTGAAAAACAGACAGAAAAGCAAGAGGTAAAATCTACAATGAAAGACAACTCTAGAAATTTAAATTTTAATTTGCCTTGAAATTCTGAGCTTTAATTGGCGACTTAAGGTGCATCCAAGAGAGTGTGTCCAGAATAATAAGAAATTAGGAAACAACAAATTATGAAAAAAAAAAATAAAGGAGCTAGAAATATCTTATGTAAAATTGAGAAAACCTAAAGGGGATATATAGTATTTTTCAAATATTCACAGGTTTCTATGTTAAGGGCATGGAAAATGAAGTCAGTCTTTCCTTGCTGTTATAGTTCTAGGTAATAATGGGTGGCTGACGGACAATTATGAGGATACACATAAAGATTTTCTAGTATTTGGATTGTTCAATGATAGACTAAGCCACGGCATGACTTCCTGAGCTTTCCATTACTTGGCAAGATTCATGCTGCCAAATACTAGAAAAAGGCCTTTTAAAAATTTTGTAATAGCAATAGGGCTAGGATCTCATATAATTTATTATCCAAGCCATTACAACTTTCAAAGTAAAAAAAAAAGTGTCATTTATTTATAATTACTTCTACATAACACACTTAAGTTCATATTCTCCTGGACAAACTGGAATAGGTAGACATCCTGAAGAGGACTAGCTGACTTCTGAGAATACTCCCATTACTCTGATCTTATAGCCCCCCTGATTTTCCCTTCCTTGATGGGTCATTTTACTGGAACCTTTCTCAGCCTTTTGATACTACAGCAGTAATCAATTCTCCCTATCTATTACTATGAATAAAAATTAGTACAACAATTAGAGGATAGTGCAAATGAACTGTTTTCTGAATTTTTTTCTTCATTCATTCATTCATTCATTCAAGGAATGATGGTTGAATATGTCTTATGTTCCAGCCCTTATGGTCAATACTAGGGACTGAATGGTGAAAATGAGAGACGACATTCTTATTATATTGATGTCTACATTCAAGGAAATGACAATCATGACTAATACTTATGATCTTGACTGAAGTAATGATGTCCTCTGTAAAGACCATTAGTTTTATTCTGTCTTAGCTAAGCACTCAATTGAAACTAATTTATTGATCTTTCAGTATATTTTATCTCTTGCATTAGGCTCTCCAACATCTTTGTTCAAACAAAATCCACATACACAATATTACTCAATGGAAAATAAGTATTATTAACTCAATTTTAGAGATGAGTAAACTTAATTTTCTAGAGACTGAATAACCACTTAGGAACTCAAAAGTGGTTTGAAACAGAAGGGATTTCATAAATCAGTTTTTCTCTTTCTCTTCCAGTGTGACCTCTGTTAAACTACAATTGTGTCTTATAAAAACAAGTGTGCCTATTTAAGAATCTTTACTCCTCAAATTATAAAAATGCTATACAATTTGGATTTTAGCAAATTCTCTTTCATTTTGAAAAAATACAATAATTGTCTTTATCTCTAGAACAATATACTAAGCTATTTATATAAACACATTTCTGGAGCAATACAGAGGAAGATCACTGGATTAGTCCATTCTCACACTGCTATAAAGAACTATCTGAGGCTGGGTAATTTATAAAGAAAAGAGTTTTAATTGACTCACAGTTCCAAAGGCTAAAGAGCTGGGGAGGCCTCAGGAAACTTACAATCATGACAGAAGGGTGAAGGGGAAGAAAGCATGTTTTCACAAGGGAGCAAGAGAGATAGAAAGTGAAGGGAGAAGTCCTACACACTTTCAAACAACCAGATCTTGTGAAAAATCTTATCACGAGAACAGACTTCCCCCATGATTCATGACTGATTCACAGGGGAAGTCTGCCCCCATGATTCAGTCGCTTTCCACCAGGTCCCTCCTTTAAAATTTGACATGAGATTTACGTGGGGACACAAGATCCAAACCATATCGACCACACAGCTAAAGGAGTGGCAAATTTGGGATTTGAGCCAGTGTTTTGTTTACATTGACTGTTACATGCAGATAATTACAACCATTCAATTTTACCAATTATGGCAGGGTTGCAATGATTTTCAGGTTAGAGTTGATTGATCCTGGAGGTTGGGAAACAAAAGGAATGATGCAAGTAATGGCAACTCAACTGAAGATTTCCCAGGAGAGGATGTTAACTAATTAATGTTAATCAGTTATACACGACAAAAAGCATCCACAAACCAGCATCATTTAAAAGAAGTACTTTTCGCTACCTACAAAATTCAAGGGTGTTCCTGAAATCACTCTTTGCTATATTTAAGAGCTTGAAGAAATTTGAATAATTGAAATTCTATTCTCCTCCCTCAAGCTCTGTTTCTTTATATGATATATTAGTCAGTTTTCACACTGCTGATAAAGACATAACTGAAACTGGGAACAAAAAGAGGTTTCATTGGACTTACAGTTCCACATGGCTGGGGAAGTCTCAGAATCATGGCGGGAAGTGAAAGGCACATGGCAGTGGCAAGAGAAAATGAGGAGGAAGCAAAAGCAGAAATCCCTGATAAACCCATCAGATCTCGTGAGACTTATTCACTATCACGAGAATAGCATGGGAAAGACTTGCCCCCATGATTCAATTACCTCCTGCTGGTTCCCTCTCTTAACACATGGAAATTCTGGGAGGTACAATTCAAGTTGAGATTTGGGTGGGGGCACAGTCAAACCATATTATATAATAATTCATTTTAGGATAGTTTCATATTTCCATATTCTAGTTATCCTAGCTGATGTTTCTGGAAGTTCCAGGCTCACATTCTCAAAATATTGACTCCAGTAAAGGAAGGACAGGAGGAGGAAGAGGAGGAAAACAGAAGCAGAACGACAAGAAGGTGTGGATAGAAAGGTAGGGGAGGGGCAGAAAGAGGGGAGATTAAAGGAAGGAAAAAGGAAGAAAGGAGAAAATAAGGGAAACAAAAGGACACCCTAAATCTGACACTGCCCAAAATTGGATAGTAAGCCCATTCTTTTGACCCATATGATGACATAGCCACAGGGAGGCACAAATTAAATCTATTACATACAATTATGACTGCCCTTAGAATAGCGAGGGATCAAAACCATCCAAATCACATTGGTTGCATCTAGAGGAAGGAAGAATTACCAAGGAAATTTGGAGAGGCTGGTAACAGAAGAAAAGGGAAAAGAAGCTGGGCAACCACACCCAGGAATTGTTCACCACATTTCTTATCTACAGTCAACATAAGACTAAGTGCTTGGTGAGATGGAGAAACAAAATATAAATTTGACAGCTTCATATCTACATTGTGTTCTGTGACTCTTTGGGACAATCACATATTTTTGTACTTTGTAGTGCAGAAGTGACTAGCAGAAATAATGCATACTGAATGTAGTGTAATATTCAGCAAATTCTCAACTCAAGACCTCTGAGTAAATTACTAGAAGCATGGAGGTTACATGTTCAAATTCCTTGGGCACAGGAGGTGCTTACTAGGCTTACGAGATATTATCTGTCTTACTTATGCTCTCCTTTTTTCTCCCTGCCTCCTCATCCTTTCCTGATTAATCCACAGCCCTAGCTCTGCCCTTTGGGGTCACAAAGAATTAGTATCCCTTCTTCTACATAACATTCAACTCACCCATATCCTCTTCTTCAATTCAAATGTCTAAAATGTATTCAAATATTTCCACAGCTGTTTTCCAGACCTCTCAAATTTCCTATTGCACCCATCTGGATGCATACTAATTCATCAATAACATAACAGAATACAAGCTCAATCGATCGTATATCATATTCAATTATTGTTTGTTTCCAGCCGTTCCTGAATGTCTAAGTCCTCAGATTATCTATTCCAACTCTCTGAGACATAGAAAGTTAGCTTTTCCTTTCTAAATGTGTCCTGGATTTTTCTTAATGCTTTTTATTATCAATTCCTTGAAAATGCCTCCAGTTATTTGTGAAGAAAGGTTATTAAATCAAAGAAGAAGAGCGTGGTGCAATGGAAAAGGAACGAGCTCCAAGACCAGAAAACCTATGTTTAATGTTATTTTGCTTATTTGCAAGGGAAAATGATAAATAATTTAGCCATTTTGAGCTTCAATTTCACAATCTGTGGTGATGGTGATAATAATACTGTATGTTTCACAATGAAGTGGTCATATCTATCAGAATTATTAAAGTATACCAAAACGTAATTTAATTATTTAAATCAAAATATAATTTAATTACTTTATGATCATCCTTCAAAATGCGGAGGTTGGGTCTCTTCTTTCATTATGTGGTAGTATAGAAGAGTTGATCATCTTTTTCTGATTGGCTATTAGAATAGAGCTTTAAACCTATATTGGAAATTGCTTGTGATTGTTTTCTCAAATATGAAGTTCCCTTGAGAATAAAAATAGGGAGAAATAATTTTGCTGTTTCGTAGGCAACTGTAACATTCAGAAATGTAATGTTTCAAATATGTTCAAATGAATCAATATGCCCTCAGTGTGACTTGAGTATAAATTAAAATTTATGGTCCACATGTGGCATACTGTGACCAAACTGAATGAATATGAGAAAGTGGCATAAGAGAAATAAACATTTATATGTGAGAATGGCTGGCCATTAATTTTTATAAAAGCATTGAAAAAAGCAGAGTGAGAGACATTTTTGCATGTAAATGATAACTTGCTCTACTCTAAAAATTCAATATGGCAGAGAACACCATGAAATTACAGTAAATTTTGTTCATAGTAACTAACAGTACAATAATAACAAGAACATATATTTTAAAAACTGCACTCATAGTTACATATTATCTTAAAATAGAAAATACTAAAGAAATTCAGTGAATATCATCCCTAAATTACACCAATACGAGATGAAATTAACTTGGCCAGGGTCAGAAAGGTGGTTAGCAGCACGGCTTCCATCATCAACTCTATATACATTATCATCTAATTTATATTTTATATCCACGTCTCTTTCTCCAAATTTTATAACTCTATACCAATTATAAACTTGTAGGCTTGTCATATTTAGCAAAAACAAATCCAGGATGTCCAGCTAAATGGAATTTCAGATGAAACAACAACAGCAACAACAAATAATTGTCTAATATTAGGCATATCCCATAAAATGTTTCGGACATATTCATAATATAATTATTTATATGAAATTCAAATTTTCTTGGGTGCCTTGTATTTTACCTGTCAACCTTATACACTAGGGAGTACCAGTTGAAAAACCATGAATCCCCTTATGTCAGCAAATTTAAAATCAAACTTGGTATCTTTATCTTTAAACTTGCCCTCCCTCCATCTCCATCTCCCTATTCTTCATTAGTAACATCCTCGTCCATTCAGTTATTCAAGCCATAATTCTGACATCTTCTTCATTTTCTTTTTCATCAACTGCCTCCATACTCATCAATCACTTCTTAAACATCCCCTAAACACATCCCCATCTCTCAGCTCTCATTGTTACTACTTAATTTAGCTCATTCTTATCTGACCTGGTGACTGTAACTCCTGTCTAATTATTTTATCCACTCTTAGTCTTGCCTCTTTCTTCTACTCATGACATTACAACCAGAAAGAGAAAGATGACATTACATATCTGATGATTTTGACTTGCTTGTAGCCTTCAAAAATTTCTCATTAATGAGAAAGGAGGACTTAAAACTTCATATTCACGGCCATTTATAGTCAGTCTCCTGCTTGCTAATACAGCCCCAAATTTTTTGATATTCCCTTGCCCTCTACATTTTTTTTTTTTTTTGAGATGGAGTCTCACTCTATTGCCCAGGCTGGAATGCAATGGCGTGGTCTTGGCTTACTGCAACCTCTGCCTCCCGGGTTCAAGCGATTCTCCTGCCTCAGCCTCCTGAGTAGCTGGGATTACAGGCACCCACCACCACGCCCAGCTAATTTTTGTATTTTTAGTAGAGCCATGTTTCACCATGTTGGCCAGGCTGATCTCGAACTCCTGACCTCGTGATCTGCCCGCCTTGGCCTCCCAAAGTGCTGGGATTACAGGTGTGAGCCATCATGCCAGGCTGCCCTCCACACTGTAAATTCAGAGTTTGCAAATTCCTGCCCACTGCCTGGTTTTGTAAATAATGTTATATTAGTGCATTGCCATCTGCATTTGTCCACATCTTGTTTATGCCTACCTCTCTGCTACAACTAAAGTAGTTGCAACAGATTGGTGGGTTTCAAAGCCTGAAATATTTACTACTTCGTTTTTTATTTTTAAAGAAGTTTGATTATCCCTGCTTTAAATACACTGAATTATATGTAATGCTGTTGAAGTTATCATGCTTTGTCTCATCAGTAGGTAAAAATGAATAATTTCTGCTCAAAATGTTCTTCCTTTTCACATATGCCACTAAATTATTTTCAAAAACCCCACCTTGCCTCCAGAAAAACTGCTGGTATGACACAGCTGGTATAAGGTATCCATCTCTGTGTTTCTGTGGACAATTCCTTTCTAGCTATTTGTTGTACTTATCACATATTTACATTAGCTTTACTTTTATTTTCAAGTGTATAATATTTGTGCCTCTTTCCCTGTTTTGGTGTTAGCACAAAGATAGCATGAACTAGGTGCTCATTTTAGACTTTAAGATTAATTTTAACACATGGGGGGACCTCCATTGCTACAAAATATGCAAAAATTAGCCAGGCATGATGGGGTATGCCTGTAGTCCCAGCTACTTGGGAGGCTGAAGTTGGACGATTGCTTGAACCCAGGAGGTCAAGGCTGCAGTGAATTGTGGCTGTGTCATTGCACTCCAGCCTGGGTGAAAGAGCAAGACTGCTTCTCTTAAAAAAAAATAATTTTAATAAAATAGCAAGAGCCTGAGTGCAGTTATCCAGAATCACAATCCAGAGCTAGTCACATCCTTTGAAGACTCTTCCTTTCTCAAGTATCAATAGCTTTATTTTAGGTTTTTGAGCGTGTATCTACCACATATTCACTGTTGTCACTCTCACTTGAAAGTCAATGTTTGAAGTTAAGAATTCTGTCTAATACATTAGAGTAATTCTCTGTATGGTTAATATCCAGCAGTAAGAGTCAAAGAAAAGAGTATTAGTATTGAAGGTTCTACATAGAAAACATTAAAATCTTTGAGCAGAAGGCACAAAGTTAAGCAAAGGATTAAAAAATAACACCTCACAGCTGCCTCAGAATATTTGCTAGTTATGAAACAATTTTGTTTTTTTCTTTTGCTGCTGTTTGTTCTCTTTATTTTTATTGTCATTGTTGTCTTGTTTGTTTGTTTTTCTACTGATTCACCTGATGTTACATAGAATGAGAGACTGGTTTGTCAACACGCAAACCGATTAATCCTGTAAGTCCCATTGTGTTATTGAAAGACTTGAATCAAACAGCTTTTCTCTGAGAGAAGGGTAGGAGCATTACTATCCTCATCCCAAGATAGGCTATCTAAAATTTATATAATATGCATAGCTATTTAAATGTATTTTATATTGCAAAAGAAACTACATATAAGAAGTAAACAATACTTATATTATCAAACATTGGGTGGAAGAAGAATAGAAGATGTCAGGTGATGGAATACAAATAGCTGATACTAAAGCAGTACTTGTAAGGACAATGTAAATTTATGTAAATAACTCCCATAAGAACTGAATACAGCCAGGTGCGGTGGCTCTCACCTGTAATCCCAGCACTTAGAGAGGCCGAGGAGGGTGGATCACCTGAGACAAGGAGTTCCAGACCAGCCTGGCCAACATGGTGTAACCCCATCTCTACTAAAAATACAAAAATTAGCTAGGTGTGGTGGCAGGCAACTGTAATCCCACCTACTCAGGAGGCTGAGTCAGGAGAATCATTTGGACCCAGAAGGTGGCAGAGGTTGCAGTGAGCCGAGACTGTGCCACTGCACTCTAGCAGCCAGGGGCAACAGAGTGAGACTCTATCTCAAAAAAAAAACAAAAAACAAAAAACAAAACTAAATACCAAATTGTTGATAGCAGACAATTCTGAAGTGTAAGATGAGTAATGAGGAGGGGCAGAATAGGAAACTGACACTTTTCATCATAAGGCCTTCTATATTATATGTTTTTTAATGTCACGCACTATTTGATATTTAAAAGTAATATTTCTAATATATATTTTCACCCTGGATCTTATCTCTGGAATAGCAATTGTGAGTATTTTAATCCCTTATTCATAGGCACACATTTCAGTTCTACTTATTAAATGCAAAGACTTTGATTTCTCCCTGAAGGATTGGGCATTATATTTTCTGTTTTGTTTACATTCAGCTCAATATTTGCCACATAGTATGTGTCTAACTCTGAAGCATTTTTATGCAGGCTTTCCAAGGTTCCCAGTGGTACTGATTCCCAGTTTGCCACAGTAATAACCATTCATTAGCACACACTGTATCGAGACTCTTTTCTTCCTAGTTTTAATTCCCCTAACAGAGCAACTTGTAATCCACTCAAAATATACTATTTGCACTCAAAGTTGTGTATCAGGATCTGCTTTGAGGAAAACAGCTTGTGGTAATTGCAAGTATGATTACAAGCCATAGGTACTGGTTTCTGGGATCAGATTGCTAAATGACCAGGTAATAACATGGCACCGAACTGGGTGGTAAATCAGTTTAATAAGACTGTCAACCATGGGGTGTAGGTGTGAGAAGATGTACTGGCGTATGGGGCAATGGAAATTTCAATAATTCTGGCTGTTAACAATTGTCATAGAACTCTGAAGGAAGAAAATTCTAGTCTCGGTTTTGATAACTATTAACTTAGGGCGCATTTTAAAACCAAGTAAGCCTCAGTAACACTGTTTAAAAAGATTTCATCAACACCTGAAAGACAGATGTTGCTGGATATCAAATACAAGGTTTAATTACCAGGGTTTTGGAGTTGGGATGAAGGCTGAATTCAGAGCTCCAACAAGTCTTCTACAGTAAAGTGAGGTTCATGATAAGAAGAAAAAACTCTAGGCCAGGAGCAGTGGCTCACGCCTGTAATCCCAGCATTTTGGGAGTCCGAGGTGGGCAGATCACGAGGTCAGGAGATGGCTAACACGGTGAAACCCCATCTCTACTAAAAATACAAAAAGTTAGCTAGGTGTGGTGGCGGGTGTCTGTAGTCCCAGCTACTCGGGAGGCTGAGGCAGGAGAACTGTGTGAACCAGGAGGTGGAGCTTGCAGTGAGCCGAGACTGCGCCACTGCACTCTAGCCTGGGCAACAGTGCAAGACTCCGTCTCAAAAACAAAAATAAAAGAAAATAAGAGAGAACATTAAGACCCAAGACAACAACACTGGCCTTACATGAATGAGAAATGTAAATCTTAAGACTTTTCTAAATCTCTAGGTGGACAGAGTAGCCCGCCAATATTTACTAGAGAAGAACAGTCTCACGTTGCATGAAGACCATATATGGGCTTTGCCTAAGATGAATACCAACCAATGTGATACTTGCCCTTCTCAAGATCTTCCCTGACTCTTATTGTTCTAAATCAATACTAAGTGTCAGCATGGTCCAAGAATTAAAGGGCGTATCATGAACAGAGGTAGATAATACATACCATCATGGAGATAGTATGTTTGGGTAGCCTTGGAGAGTCCTGAAGAATATGCTGGCTATGGGGGAATGTATTGATATGGGAACACTCTGCAGTATTTTAGGATTGAACACTCTTGCAAGGATGCTTTACATCAACCGTAACATGCTTTTGGAATAGGCCCTTGAGGCTTGGAAAGAATGACTGTCTACAAGTAAATGAAGGAGATGCCAAAATGGCTTTAACACATAGGGATGAAGAATTTCAGAATTACTGAGGTGAAATGGTGCATACAATTACTAAAGATAAGTTGAACACATATAATATTACAGGCAGCAAGTCCAAGAAGCCAACAAGAGTTTGGTGATGGCATTCAAGGGGCAAAATATGCAGACAGCTAATGAGAATAATGTTTTACTTACATAATTAAAAATAAGAGCAGACATACAGAAGGCTATGTCAGCAGCTTTATCAGAAAATCACTCTTCCCTGATTCCTAGACTGAAATCACTTGTTGGACTCAGAGTCTATTGATCGAAATAAATGACTCTGTAATATCACAGCAATAATGAACAATAAATATGTCTTCTCAAAGCAACATACAGCCATTTACAAATGTAGGTGTTCACTGGAGAAAAAGGACTATCTACCTGTTTGGAAAATTGTTGAACATAGGTTCTGAACTACTACTGTTAATAGAGGAATATGTACAGCCCATCTTTTAGATTGCAGATGTAGAAAACATATGTAATAATCAGCCTCCTAATTCAAATATATCTCACCTCAGCTTTCAAGTGCATAATGATGGGGGTCATTCTTCCAGCCTTTAAGAGCAAAATAGTCATGGATATATTTAGCATCTTGCAGTACCATCACCTTGTTCCCTCATCTGTGGATGAAGAGTTATTACGCTATAAAGGGCAAAGTGGAAGCTTGTGAAACTGTCCCATTGCCCATTTACAGTAAATCACAAGACTACTGAAAAGTGGCAGAGATTAATCTACCCTTAAAAACTTAAAGGACATGAAACTGGTGTGACTCATTATATTCCCACTTAATTCAATGATATGGTATCAAAGATAAAATAAAATAAAAAAGA
Source organism: Homo sapiens (assembly GCF_000001405.40). Taxonomy (NCBI): domain Eukaryota; kingdom Metazoa; phylum Chordata; class Mammalia; order Primates; family Hominidae; genus Homo; species Homo sapiens. Next base: position 12,408,762 of record NC_000004.12, read on the forward strand.
TGGATCTTGACAGATGATGGTAATCTTTTATAATTGTAGCAAAGAATGTCACAAAGTGGTAACCCCAATAATATTTTCTGTGTTGGAATTATGTAGAAGAAACCACCCTATCTTGCTGGCTATCGATATGTTTCTATTGATCTGAAAAAAAAATGACATTTTTTAATCCAGGAAGGATGAAATCAGGAAGGATGGCATCGTTAGCATTCACTTGGAAAGACAGTAGTACACTTTCACACTTGTCTGAGGGCTACGTTAACTATTCTACTCTCTGTCACAAGGTAAACAAAAGGGACCTTGATCATCTAAACATGTTGCCATGTATTGTAGTATTCCACTATGACAGGGTTTAAAAAACTTTTACTGTAAAGAGACAAATAGGAACTGTTTAACGCTTTTCAGGCCATAGAATATTTGTTAAAACTATTAAACTTTGCCATTGAGCTTAGATAGATATTATATAAATTAATGGATGTGGCTGTTTCCTGATAAATTCTTTTTTTTTTTTTTTTTTGAGATGGAGTTTCACTCTTGTTGCCCAGGCTGGAGGGCAATGGTGTGATCTCAGCTCACTGCAACCTCATCCTCCCAGGTTCAAGTGATTCTCCTGCCTCAGCCTCTCAGTAGCTGCGATTACAGGCACCTGCCACCGTGCCTGGCTAATGTTTTTGTATTTTCAGTAGAGATGGGGTTTCACCATGTTAGCCAGGCTGTTCTCAAACTCCTGACCTCAGGTGATCCACCTGTCTCGGCCTCTCTAAGTGCTGCGATTACAGGTATGAGCCACTGCACCTGGCCCTAATAAAATTTAATATGCTAATTCAGATGGGAGGCTGCATTTGGCCCAGGGATTACAGTTCTTCTGTCTCTGCAATATACAGATGGCATCATGTTAATTTTACCTGGGGACCACAAAATGGCAAGTTCTCTGAAAGTGCTGACAAGGCACATACACATCAGAGGGAGGGATATTAAACCTTATAAAGTTTGGGAGGCCTGACATGTCTGTTAAGTTTTTAGGGGTCGAAGAGTTTCAGAAATACTAGGACATTTCTTTCAAAGTTCAGGATATTTCACTTTGTACTTCCTACAACTAGGAAACTGGGACAGTGCTTGGACGGGTGTTTTGGATTTAGAAGACAGTATGTACCACTTTTAGCAATATAGCTCTGACTCATTTATCATCTGACTCATTAGACTTCCAGTTTTGAGTGAGGTAGGAGCAATAGAGCCCTCTACAGTAAGTTAAGAAAATGCTTCCAATGGGTACCTTCAATGAAATAAATGTGTTAATGTTTGATCTGTGGTGGTTTACTACATGATGACTCTCTGAAAAGCCTCAAAAGGAGAGTTGCATTGCAAATTCCTAAGGTTTTGAAGCAAGGCTGAGCTCTCTGCACCAGTTCACTATTTACTTTTGAAAAGCAACTCTTGAAAAACTGCACTAAACCATGAAACATCTAGAGTCTATACAATGGAATGTACCTATTATGAGCTGAACATTGTCAGGACAGCACTAAAGCAATCCATCATATGATGGAAATAGTAGTTTGAGAACTGGGCAGGACAAAAGGGGGTAAAATAATGTATACAAATGCGTAGTCCAGATTCCTATGTCACTGCAGTCTTCTTTAGCAATGCCTCTCTTTAGCTCATGCCTATGGCCTTGTTGGGTATTTCCTAGGACTATCTGACATTGGAATAACCTGAGACTGATTTATGAATAGGTCAACTCAATATATTGATGTAAGCAGAAAACAGACAGTTGCTGCAGTACAACACTAATTTGGATATCCATAAAAATTCAATGGTGATGGCTACTCCTCCCTAGTGGGCCGATATGGTTTGGCTGTGTCCCCACCCAAATCTCATCTTGAATTGTAGCTCCCATAATTCCCATGTGTTCTGGGAGTGACTCAGTGGGAGATAATTGAATCATGGGGGTGGTTTCCCCCATACTGTTCCTGTGGTAGTGAATAGTCTCACGAGATCTGATCATTTTATAAAATGTTTCCCTTTTGCTTGGCTCTCATTTTTCTCTCGTCTGCCACCATGTGAAATGTGCCCTTCACCTTCCACCATGATGGTGAGGCCACCCCAGCCACATGGAACTGTGAGTCCATTAAACCTCTTTTTCTTTATAAATTACCTAGTCTCAGGTATGTCTTTATCGACAGTGTGAAAATGGGCTAATACATGGGCAAATCCTGAGCAGTACTTCTGTTCATCTACTTAGTGGGTAAAGTGGTCATAGATAGGAATACAAATAGTGACACCTAATGGCCTGGAAGAAACTGGATGTGGAGTACAATGAAATTAAAAAGTCACTGGGAAGATGCTTGGGGATGGGCCAATTGAATCATGATCAAAAAGTCATGATCTTTTTCTGTTAGGTCAATCCCATCCAAAAAGAGCACTCATCTGAACAGAAACCCTGAACAACCAGATAAACAGGAGGAACCTATTCCATGGATGCCAGCCAGCTTCTTGTCTTTTCCATTCCAGTGGTTGCACAACATGCCCGTAAATTGAGTAGCCACGGTAGTAGAAATGAAAGCTATTTGTGAGTCCAACATTACGGGCTTCCTTCACCAATTATGTGGTAAATACTGTATTGCTGATGTCATACATGCCATCAGCAAAGTCAGAAACTGAGCCTTTACTATGGTACTATTGAAGAAGATCAGTGAGCCACTTATGGACACGTTGATTACAGAAGAACTCTATCACCTGCACAAGATCAGTAACTTTTTTCTATAAAAATTGCTATGTTTTCTGCGGCTGGAGTTTGACTTCCCTGAAAATGCTGTTGAGATGCCAAACACATCTCCTTTGCATTCAATGCTCCTGTGCATTACTGACTTGGTAGCTTCCTACAAGAACCTGGAAATTCTTTCCTGAGCATTTTATCTAGCCACTGAAATAGGCTTGGCCTCAACAGCAGACAGACTATAAATACCAGTGATATAGCATGGCAGAAGCAGCACTCAATCAATGATTAATGGGAGTTGGGTGCTTAGAATCTTCAGCTTCCTTGCTTCTTGGATGGGAGAATTCTGTGGTTTATTCTTTGCAGTTTTCCAGAGGTCTCTAGCAAGATGGATGCCCTGTGACCCAAAATAGTAACCAATTAATTAACACACGTTTTAGTGACTTCATTCCTTTCTTTTCACACTTCTCCACACTCCTTCCATGATTATTGGGACTACTTCCACAAATAAACCGCTTGAATTCAAATCTTTGTCTGTTTCTTCTCAATAATTTCAACCCTGGCTGGGCATGGTGGTGCATGCCTGTGATCCCAGCACTTTGGGAAGCTGAGGCGGGTGGATCGCCTGAGGTCAGGAATTCGAGACCAGTCTGGCAAACATGGAGAAACTCCATCTCTAGTAAAAATACAAAAATTAGCTAGGTATGGTGGTGGGCGCCTGTAATCCCAGCTACTCGGGAGGCTGAGGCAAGAGAATTGCTGGAACCTGGGAGGTGGAGGTTGCAGTGAGCCGAGATTGTGCCATTGCACTCCAGCCCAGGTGACAACAGTGAAACTCTGTCTCAAAAAATCAATCCTAATACATTGTGGATTTATAACATTGTTCATAAAGACGAACTACTTAATTGAATCTATAAAATTTCTTTCAAAATATTCATCCACTTAACAAAGAACTATTAGATACCTAATACATGTATAATACATACCTCTTGTCTTGAACAATCCAGGAACTATCGATTTGAGAAACAAATATATTAAAATTAGAATACAGCAGGATGAATCTTTAACAAAAAATTCTAGAAGATACAATGATAGGATGGGGAGAGAGGAAAAAAAGAAAGGAGACAGAGAGGGAGAGAGAGACCACAATTTACTTAGCTCAAGTGTCAGGAAAAATACCATATTTGAGGCTGTGAGAGATTTGTATCAATGAGTGAGAAGGTTGCTTTTGCTTTGAGGACTCATAGGCTGACAAGATAAGGAAGAACATTATATACTAAAGAAGGAATATATAGGAAAAAATGCATAGAGGTGTTCTCTGGATAAATAGAGGGAAATCATGCCATTGTTCTCTTTATTTAGGAACAGAGAGGAGGCATTGAAGGATTTATTATTTTAATATGTAATTTTCTGCCTTGGAGTCGTGTTCAGTCAACACTTATACTAGAAGATAAATGAGTTCTCAAAGTGGAACCAATGAATATACTTTTGAACATGTTAGATTTTTTTAATAATAAAAATTTTATGAGGTAGGAATGAGAGAAGATTAATGCTTCAAGTGGCAAATGCATATCTATAACTCCTAAATCTCAATGACATCTTTTGATTCTAGATTGTAAAGAACAACACTTTTTTGTAATTTTTGTTAAAATCAACCTTATTGTGTGCTCTCTTTTGAAAAGTTCTTGTGTGTATGTATGTGTTCAGGATGGTGTCAGGGGAGGGTTTTCTCCACCTTGTGCTCTTTTTTGCCTGTAAATAGAAATTCCTCTCAATTATTTTACCTTTCCAGCAAATATTGGGTTGGATCCTTTCTCTCTTCTTGCTACGCATCACTCACTATTTTCTGCAGCAAGGGCAAAGGTATTGGTATGTATGAAAGATAGATATTTGTTGGTTATATTGCTGATCAGAGTTAGAAGTAGCGTATGTTCCTGCCTTTGGGCTTTCTCTAAAGGAGTCTACCCACAAGCTGAATACATTTCCCAATCTACTCCTGCTGTGGAGTAATAAACTTCCCACAGTTCTCTTGACTTTCCATCCATAATGAGACTCAATTTACAGGAGAAGTGGTAAGAATCCCAACCCTTATTTCATGTCAAGTCTGCATTTTCTAATTGAGATATAAAAGAAATAAAGTGGATTTTGTATTTTTATCTTGATTTAGTTCCTCTGTGCTAAATATTCCATAATCTGGTGGGTAGAGAAGAAAGATTATTAGGTTTCTCCAAACTTCAACAGTTTTTATCTTTAATTGGATAGGCATAAGAATGCTGTTATATGTAGCACAACGCATATTATAGCATGTTAGAGCTGAAAGAAACCATGGGAACACACAATCACAGCCATGGTTTGTAGCTCGAGAACTGAGGCCTGGAAATGTTCAATGACTTGCCTAAGGTCATAGATCCACTTAGGGGAAGAACTGGTACCAGAGCCTGGGTCTACTGATATTCATCTCAGGATATTTTTTTTTTCACACGATCTGACTTCATTAAATATTTACTTAAAAACAAATTAATATGCTATGAAATTATAGCAACATAGCATCGGTGGATTTAAAGGATACCATAGTATGAACCCAAAGACCTTAAGAGGATACAGCATCTTAGCAATTATTTCAAATAAGACTTTCCGACGCTCAATTTCAGCAACATTATACCTCATGACTATAAGACTGAGAGTGTTAGTTATAAAGGGAAGTAATGTAGCTTTACAAGAAAGGATAAAAATGGTTCACTGAGGACCTCACACTACTTTGGGGGAAACAGGTGTGCAAACAAATCGGTATACTGCCTATAATGTGTCCCTTGCTACTGTAGAGTTTTGGGAACAGCTTCAGGCCAATGCAAGTGAGTAGGCAGAGGGATCTCTCTTGAGAATCTGAGAAGGCACTGCAGAGCGCGGAGCTGAGCTGTAAAGGTTGTGAGATGGCTAAGGATATTCTTGGTGGATGGTATAGAAAGAAACAGAAGAACAAGAGTGGGAAGAAAAGTGGGAAGAGGGAAAGGCAAGGAATCTTGTGTGCAGAGGAATGCAGGGGAAGGAAAGGAGTAGGAGAGCCCGGGGCTCTTTCTTCACAGAAGAAGGCTGTCAGGACAGGCTGATTCTTATTTGAGAGTCACCAACAGCTCCAAAGGTTATACTAGAACTTGGATAAAAACAGGACATCTTGTTAAAGCACTGTTCTGATGTCACAGCCTGGCTTTAATATTTATAGAAGCTCTCCCATGTCTTCTGGATAAAGTCCAGCTTCCTAGTCCTATCTATTTTTAAACCTACTCAATTTTCCAACAATACATATGATTCTAGTCTAACAAAGTATTTTCTTTATCCTATATGTTCCCTTTTCCCTTTCAGTCGACACTCTCCAACACTTTCACCATAATTTTCTGAATACTTTTCTGCTTGTCTTTCTCCCATTGGCACAAGATTCAATCCAATTGATATTTACCTCAGTTCAAAGTCATGAGACCTTTCTACCATATACTGACATTTTCCTCTTCTCTGAGCTCCTCTAACAACTAGCTGTAACTTTCTTTTAGCTAGGTGCATACCTTATTGAAGATTATGTTATAGAGAGGGAGAGAGAGACAGAGCGTGTGTGTGTGTGTGTATGTGTGTGTGTGTGTGTGTGTGTAGACTTATTTCTCCCTCTACACTCTTTAATCCTTGAAGAAAGGATCCATGTATGTCTCTAGTCTGTGACCTTCACAGCAGTTGAGAGACAGATTGGTGACTACTACCTCCTGAATTATGATTTGTCTTTCTGTATGCAATAGAGTTGAGGCTTTAAGTCCATTTCATTAGAAGAAAAGCACCATTTCCAATTAAGTGTCTGGAAAGGTAAGTATAATATCTGTACTTTTTTCCTAGAAACAAATAAAAATGAGACAAATGAAAATGTTTTTCTCTTAGTAAATGTGATACAACTAACATTAAAATACCCCTTTGCCATTCTAAAAAGCGGTAAAGTTACACAAACTACCTCATTTGGAATTCCACAGGGACCCTGATAAATAAAAGTTATTGTTGCAATTTTCAGAGCATTTCAACTGGGTCAAATAGTTTGTTCAGAGATACATTTATTTCTTTTTCTTTTTTTTTTCTTTTTTGGTCTGGATTCAAACTCAATTTCTCTGAATTCAATACACTAAACCAAACTCCTCCCCAAAAAGATAAAACTATTTTACCAAAACACTTCAGGCTTCTTTCCCTTTTTTGATTAGATGCAACAGCAACTAGGTAAGCTTAGGAGTATAGATAATCCCCAACTTACAGTGGCTCAACTTACAATTATTCAACTTTACAATAATGTAAAAATAATGTACATTTGGTAGAAACCATACTTCAAGTATCTGTAAAACCATTCTGTTTTTCACTTTCAGTACAGTATTTAATATACTATATAAGACATTCAACAACATACTGTAATATGGGCTTCATCTTAGGTTATTTTCCCCAACTGTAGGCTAATGTAAGTGGCCCAGGCACATTTAAGATAGATGAGGCTAAGCTATGATGTTCAGTAGGTTAGGTGTATTAAGTGCATTTTCAATATATAATATTTTCAATTTATAATAAGCTTGTGATGTAATGCCACCGTAAGTCATGGAGCATCCTCATATGTTTTCCTATTTTTCAAGAGGAGTCTCTGATTCAGACAAATAAAGAAGCTTAATAATATCTGACTTCTCACGAGGGCTTATTCTGTATCATTTTTTAAGCATTGCTCATAGGTACTGTTAGTCTTCTCATTTTATCCATAAAAATGCGGAGACACAGAGAGGCCAACTAACTTTCCCATTGCTTCAAAGCTAATGAATCCTAGATCTGGGACCCCAATCAAGTTTTCTGACTTTAAACCTGTACTAATTTCACAATACTATACTGCCTGAAAAAAAAAAAAAAAAAAAAAAACAGATAAAGGAAACAAACAAAAAGAAAAGAAGGAAGAAAGAAAAAAAAAGGAAAGGATGATGAGAACCATTTATAGAAAGCAGGCAGGACACTTAAGACAAATATTAAATTCTTCTCAAATTTCTAAGAGCTAAAGCTTCTCGATGACTAAATCTTTTCCTAGAGGTAACATATGTACTGAGAGAGCCTCATACATTTTGTTAGGACACAGGAGAACTATTTAGAACAACACTTAGTAGACAGAACATTTATGACTTCCCCATCTAGAAAAAAAAAATGATTCTTCAGGAAACAGCAACTGAAATATCAATGTCAGCACCAAAGCTAAAAATTCTCCCCTGTGTAGATTCTTGTATTATCTCTATTTCATTCTTCTTCTTGGGACCTATTGGATTATTCACAAAGTCATTACCTTTCAATAACAAACTGTACAGTTATACAAATACTTTAGTAAATGTCTTTCGGGATCATGTAATTCCTTTAGGGAATATGTGAGGAAACCCCCTGTCTACTTGATTTACAAAATGCAGATGGTTAGTAATTCTTGAATTGTTATTGATGCCTCCTAACATCTTTCTCAGCACCCTTAAAGAGAGTGATATAATTCTTCAAGACATAATATTACACTTAGGAATTGCTCTAAAAGATCATTAATCTTTTGTGCATGACTCTAAGCACTCAGCTAGTGTTAAATAAACCATGACAAGAAATGAAATTCAAAATACTCTGATTTCTGCAAAATGCTCTCCATTTGCCAATTATGTCCTACCATATTTCATTTTATCAGTTATTCATTATTCTTGGCTAAAAACACAGTTATGACAAATAGTGTATCTCAGAGGAAGTTTCATGATTTTCCAAAAAAATATGATCAATATGTTTCAGCCAAGCCATTGCTTATATTTTTCACTTGGTGAAAGTAATATTGTGAATGATGATGATGGTGATTTTATTTGTAGCTGTTGATAAATTTGGCTTTTAGGAATATAAATATAACTAAAAGGAATATAAAACCAAATGGCACAGTTATCAAAAAGATGTCTGCTTAATATAGAATGAACTTTCACCAAGAAGAAAGGGAATCAGTGAAGAAAAATTCTATTCTTATTACATAATTTAGAATAACAAAAATAATAAATTCAATAAGCAAGAAAAGGAGCTCCACCCCCCACCTCCCACCTTCTAGGAATAGACTAACAAACATCAAAGCTTTAAACTTTAAATCATCCACTTTCTTCTTATAAAAGAAATATTGTGACCTATAGAGAGGGAACGGAACTGCTTATCAGATATCAGTCTGATCTTGGGCCTTGGATACTGTGCAGCTTAAGAAAAATCACTTAAACTGTCTGAACCTCGAATTTTTTACTACATTAAGTGTTTCTAAGCAGTACTTCAAGTAGCAAACAAGATAATAAACTTAAAAAATCAATACATATAAAGAGCTTTTAAAGTATAAAGAATCACTCTTATTATGGTACATTCCCTAGATAAAAAGTATTTTCATAGTATTAAAACAAGATTCAAATTAAAATCATGAATTATTCATGTCTACAAGCAGTAAAACCACATAAACACAAATTTACTAATAGTTTATACATTAAAAACATACATATGAATCAATAGATTTATGAAATTAACATAAATTTATATATCATTATACATCACCATTATAAGCAATACACTGTAACTAACAACAGAAGTTTGAGGTATTCAACAACATAATAAAATTTGTCTATACATCTTCTAACCTGCTGTGTTTCTTTGATGCTTCCAGAATTTTTCTTTTTTTTTTTTGGCATTCAAACCTATAAGCCTCTTGAAGTCAAAGATTCTCAAAGATTGTCTGTATATCCTAGCTATTGACACATCCACATTTATGGGATCCTGGTTCCTTTTTTATTTTTACAGAGAAGAACCAGGAGGGCTTTTTGATTAAAATCTAAACTTTTGAAGCTTGCAGAAAAGGGGTATAGGTTCAAAGGGTGGTGGTGAGGGTAGAAAGATGTTACACATAAAAGCCTTAGCAAAAAAGAGAATATAGTCAAATGTCACATGCTCTGGTATGTTGGAGGACGAGTCAGGCCAAGAGGAGGGATCTGGGTCTAAGACTAAGGGGGTTAATGCTGGGATGGGTATGTGGTAACACCAGAGTGAGGGGATACTGAATGCTACTCTAAGAAATGCTCAATTTCCTCGTGAGTAGTGGGGAAATTTTAGAGCCAGGTAGTGAGATGACCAGGACCTTGGTTGAGAAAGTTTGCTCAGGCCTCGGGTACAGGTTAGAATACAGCAGGAAGAGAGGCAAGAGAACTCAGGAAAGAAAGATCCATAAGAAAGCATGTGGTTCTTTAATATCTTCCTTCGCTTTGTACTGGTTTTCTTTTCCTAAGTGTTTAGCTAAGTAATATATCCTCTTCTATCCTGCTCCCTCACTCTGAGATTCCTATATTCACAGTAATATGATCTAAAAAAAAGATTGTAAATTTTGGGATGTAATACAACTATGTGCAAATCTCAGCTCTCCAAAATACTAGCTGTGCAAACCTAGAAATTTTCATGACTTTTCTGAGTCTTCCTCATCTATAAAAAGGGAATCATGGCAGCCACCTTTCAGGCAAAATATGAAACTTACATGACACTTAGTAGGCCCTTAGGAAAGTCTGGTTGCTATCATCTTCATTCGTGCTCTTTAATCTAATGTGACCTTTTTTCTACAGAAGAGCAAATGGGTCCATTGAGGAACCTATTTGGGCTTGCCCAAAATGCCTTAGCAAGATAAAGAAGTGGTACTAATGGCTCCTGACCATTAGGCTGAGGCCTGCATCTTCACTGTTTCATATATTTTTCCTTTCTTCTCAATGTGCTGATATGCAAATGCTCAGGTAAGCCACTCCCTGCTGCTTCTCTTCTGCTAGTGCTGTCAGCAAATCCTCCAGGTCACGTAGCTTTATTCCTGCCATCACCAGCAGCTTGCATATGCCATGCTTATATGTGTGGAAGATATGTCTGTACTTTGTTAGCCTCAAGCTACATATTAAATCTTATCTTCTGTTTTGTTGACTTAACTGCAAAGGGAAACTACACTTGTATATTATTTCTAAGTATTTATAGATATAATTTTTAATACACACAATCTTGTCTGGTATATTCTTCATTCTAACACTAGTCAGTTGGATTTTTATTTACTATTTAATTTTATAAACAGCATAGTAATAGTCATCTTTGGGTATACAGAAATATTGTGTATAGACAAATTTTCTTAATTTCAATTTCCTATATGATGATGGTCATAATACAAATTGCCATCATTCATTGGTTTTTTAATTCTAAGTTTGCACTGAGCACTTCACATGCTCACTGAATACAAAGAGAATACACACCCACTCACTGAATATGCATGACAATTCTGCTAGATTGTGCTATTGTTCTTCCCATTTTTAACAGATTAGAAAAGTGATGTTCAAAGATACTAAGGGCCCTGTCAAGGTCACTCAGCTAGTAAGTGGAAGTACCAGAATGAGGGCCAGGTCTGCCAGAGTTCAGGGTCTGTGAATACACCTTATTATATTATTGTGGCCTGCATATGTTTTAAAAGACACAAAAATATAAAAGGCCTATAAAATCTTAAAAAAAAAAATAAAACACACACGCAACAAGAAGTTAACAAATTATCTGAAACTTAATCTTGCTATCATCATGGTCTCAATGGGATTTCCTCCTAGAACTCATGCAAAGTGGGAAGTACCTTTTAGGTTTCATTTTTAACTGGAAGAATCTAATAATGAGGATGCAAGACACTAACAGACCCTTTACTGTGAGATTCCTCGAGATGTGAGAATGTTGCCATCTCCCTAGCAATTGCTAAATGTTTAAACAAACCACTGTATGGGTGTTACTAGCAAGGGAGAGAGTTCTAAGATTCTGTAAGTATTCTGAGGACAAAAACAGATTTAAAAAAACAACAATTTAAGGATGACAGAAAATAAACAATGCAGCTGAAACCAATTATCAGAGTGCTGCTGACAATATTCAATTGAAAATGCCCTTTAAAAAAAACAACAACATATACAACCATTTATATCTGGTCAACAAAGCCAATATCCAGGCCTTCAAAAGACAAAACCCCTTGCCATTTAGAGGAGGATACAGGAGTCACACTAACACAGCAACAGTGAATGATTGAATAAAATTACAGAATTGAGTATTTGACCATGAACCATGCACTGTTTTTTAGGCTGAGGACTGAGTCATCAATGGAGCCTCAATAGCAGGAAAGTTTTATAGAAGAAGCAGAGATTGCTCATATGATTCTGTAGAATTTAGGTGCAAGAAAGGTAATTTGGGTTTACCTGGTCCAACTCACTCTCTGAGCCACATCAAACTGCTCTGACTCTGTGACTTGAAGATGTGAAAGGAAAAGAAATCTCAGGACCCCAAAAGCATCAAGCCAAAGGGAAAACTCAGCCTGGGAACTGCCTTGGGCAAACCTGCCTCCCATTCTATTCCTAAATAAGATAGCTACAGAGAGAGAGAGAGAGAAGGAAGGAAGGAAGGAAGGAAGGAAGGAAGGAAGGAAGGAAGGAAGGAAGGAAGGGAAGGAAAACCTACATATCTCTGTCACAATTAGCCCACAAGGAAATTCCTCATGGAAAAAGGACTGACAGAATTCTAAGTCATCCCTCTGCTCAAGTGAGACAAATGCATATCCAATTGCTTCCTTTACCCTATCATTTCACTAAGCTAGACTATGGCACAAGTGGCTATTCCTGTAAATTGTGTATTCAGCTAAAGGCTAATCAGAAACTCAAAAGAATGCAACTATTTATCTATTTTCTACCTATGATTTGGAAGCTCCCTCCCTGCTTCAACTTGTCCCTCCATTCCAGACAGAACCAATGTACATCTTACATATATTGATTGATGTCTCATGTCTCCCTAAAATATAAGTAAAGCAAGCTGTGTCCCTACCACTGTTAAATATAGTGAATTCCAAGTTTATCTTCAAAGAATCAGTATGTCAGTATGTTCAGCTCTCTTATTCTTTGTTCTCCATTTTAAAGTTTAACTTCCTGGTTCTCTTCATCCTCTTGCCTCTAGTTTCAGTAAACAACTTACCCGCCAGTTCTAATCAGTAATTCACATCTGTTCCCCTGGTCACCTGCTTTGACCTGAGTCACCCCTGGTCACCTGCTCCATACTGACTCATCCTGAGTCACCTGTTCTGTAACTGTCCTTCCTGCCAAACTACTCACCCTGCCACTTTGACTCGTACCCCTCTCTCTTTAAAATAACCAATCGTAATTAGCGTAGACTGTGTGGTCCAATCCTAGCCAATAGGGGAACAACACAGCAGCAGAGGCTACCTGCGTCAGGAATAAGAATCCCCTCCCCTCCCTTGTTCAGGTATTCTCTTTCCATCGTTCCATCCACAAGTCACATGCTTCTATAGAAGTAAAGTTGCCTTGCTGAGAAAAATTCTTGGTGTGCTAGTTCTTCTTTTTGGCACCAAGGAACAAGCATTTGTTTCTAACACTACCTTAACCTTGGCAAAATAAAATTTCTAAATTGACTGAGACTTGTCTTAGATGTTTTGGATTCACAAATTGGTGACAAATGGAAGGGACATTGAGTGGAGGTGGCCCTAACCTTTGGCAAATCTCCTATCAGTGCTTGGTACCAACTTGAGCTCTTTATGGCTCAAATCAATAGGACAAATTGCTGAAGCTTTGGAGCCCCCCGCTTTCTCTAGAGAATCTTTAATCTCCCCAATTTAGTTGACATCCAAAGTTTGTTTTGCTGTAAAACTCCTTTTCTGGAGTCAAGAGACTTCATACGTATCTCTACCAAATACTATAAGGGGTCAAAATTTGAAATAAGAGTTATTAAAATATAAACCCAGACCAAAACAGAATGACCTTTGCTTGTGTAATTTTTGATAAATAAGACATTAATATTGGTTTAATGAAAATAGCTAAAACTTGAATTATTTTGTAAAATAATCATGTATCTAAACTTAAGGTTCTCACTTAGGTAAACACCTGAAATCCACAAGCTATAAAATGGTTGACAGGAAAGTAACATTAAATGATAACTATTGCAGGTTTCGTAAATAATCTAGGTAAACTATTAAAATAAAATAATTATGGAAATGTAATGAAATAAGTACTTGTAGATAAACTTGTCATAATTTAGAATCTAAACTTATATTCAGGTAAATAATAGACATTTCATTAAATGGATATTTTTCAATTAAAAAATGTACACATGTAGGAAAACATTCTTTCTTAAAAAATATGTGGTCTTGTTAAAAGGTGAATATTGTTTGTCTACTTCAAAACTTATTCAAATGTTATATATAAAACAAGGTGAAAGGAACCAGGAAAAAAGAGAGATGTAAAGAACATTATAGAAATAAAGAGGTATTTTTGTTAAGAAAGTTTAAAGAAAAATAATTTATATGAGAAAGAACCTCATAAGGTAAATTTTTGTCCTAGAATAAAATGACTGGTTCTTTAAGAAAGAGGGATGTTCAGGACAAACCAGAATGTCCAAGCATGTAATAAATGGTTTGTATAAATCATAATAAGGGAACTTTAGGGAAAAAAAACTTATATGATCAAGTTGTCTATAATTAAAGGGAAATTATAATGGTATTTCCAGAGATTGGGTTTTCTATTAAAAGAACATGTATACCATAAAGAATTGGTTAGAACAAAACAATTTTCTTAAGGTAGTGCTTTATTCTTAAAAAATTTACTGGATATTATTTTTTAATGCAAAGTTCAAATTTATCTGTTTCAGCTTTCTCTCCCCTTACAAAATGTCTGAAATAATAATTCTATCCAACTCATTTTCAGCTCCTGTAAGTATTTTTTCCCCACTTTGGGTTCTAACTGTTTGCTGTAGCCTGATGCCAAAAATGTTTTATCTTAAAGGTCTAAAGGAAATGTTTGTTCTAACATAATATTATTTGCTTTTGGCTTAATTTGTTCTATGAATCTGAAAATTTGCACTTACGACCCAGGAAACACTCCTCCTGTGTCTAACTAATTCAAATATCATTTTCGTAAGTTTTGATTTGCAGGTTATTTAAATGGACTACCCATAGGGAAGAGCAGTAGTACTGCAGAAGGTCTTTTCTTTTGCCTTTGGGAAACTGGCCTAATAAACAGATTTATGCTTTATCAAAATAATTCCTATGCCATTATTATTAGCTTTTACTTTGCTTAGAAAAAAATGAGAATAAAAAATTAATTAAGGTTATTACATCTTTGTAACTTTCCATATGTGCTTTTAAAGTCACTGGGCCATTAAGTTACAGGGCTTTGCTCCTGGGTCTTTAAAGGACATCTAGTCCTGCTAAATCTTAAACATTGACAGCAGTTAAGGCCTCATCTTCATACCTGCTAGAAGATGCCAATCAAAATAAACTGTGTTTGTGAGACACAGGGCAAGAAATTAAAACTATTTAAAAATTTGAAAAACAAATTTAATTGGCCTCATGCTGTCTTTATTAGGGCTTATTTTCTGAGAAATTAAGTATCCTCTCAAAGAATAAAGTTTTTCTCCTTTTTTTTGAAATTTTTATCACTTTAGCTAAATGAATGACTTATTTTAAAATGACCCAGGATTCTATTTTGTGATATCAAATGTTTTAAAGGTTTTATATTTGGCAAACTTTGAAAATCAAATTCTTACTTAGGTCCTCACTAATTTTTGTTATTTGTCTCCCGATGTCCCAAAAATACATATTTCACTTATCTGATATATAATAAAATAATATAGAAAATATTGCCACATATGTAACAGTGTTTAACCTTCTTTGAATTATACTTATATAAATATGTTATTAGCATGTGTTCCAGAATTATATGATTTTCCAATGATTCTGACATGCCTTAGCATATGTTATTAGTAGTAATTATGCTTATTAGGTAAAATTGTTGTATGCCACAGAAGTAACCAAATTTCCTTATCAGTTGTATCTTTAACTATGCCTGTTCCAAGACTTTTGTCATTTACAGTTGTTTTACTTTTATTCTTTTCAAAAAGTGGTTTTATAATCAGCATAGGACTCTGGCAGGTGCTCCTGAATGTAGGTATCTGATAACTTTGGAGATTGTGACACTAGAATAGAAAAAACTTTGATGACTCCCATGGAGAGCTGAAATGTCCACAAATATCAAGCAGAACAAGAGTTAACTGTATGGACTGAAATTATAGAAGACTGAAATAATCTTTTCATGACTTTTTGCTTAAAATGTTGCTGATCCTTTGTTTTTCAGGGCCAAGGAAACTTTTATTTTGAGTTATTTACAGCTTTTAGCAATTAAGTATACTTTTATAAACAAAATTTGAAGCATATTTCTCTCTATCTGATTTCTCCAAAATTTGGAATCTAGTTATGGGTATTCTTAACTATGGTAATATAGTTATTTGCATAAGTGCAATAAGAACCTGTTTTATCTTGTAACAGGACACAACTGGTTATTTTACTAAAGTTTTCACTGGAATGACATGCTTTCAGATGCAGGCTCCTTGAAGGAATTAAATTAACTTATAGAGCCAACAAAAGCACCTTGATAAAGCTGGCCTCACACCTTATCTACACAGTCCCTGTACAGGTTCCTGGCCTATAGTAAGTAAAGAATGTAACTCTCTAACAGGCCCAGGAGCCCCAAATTTTCTTGGGACTTCAAAGTAAGGCATTCATCCAGTTAATACCAGTGTTTAGCAGAAATTGGTTGGACTTAAGGCATTAAAGTTGAAGCTAAGATTCCTTATGGAATAATGTTCCTGCAAAGCCAGTTTAAAAACAAAAATACAGGAGGCATTATGGCAAATAATTATTCTTGCTGACTTTATACAAATACTATGGCCAAGAATAATAAGACTAAAACTTATTTTGCAAGTGGATTTGTCCTATAATTTGTCTTTAGTGAAAATAGGACTGGAGAGAGAAAAAACTGTATTTCAAAAGATTACTATAGTGCACCTGTTGTTAGATTCTAGTCTTGCCTAATGTTTTTCCATTTTTATTATTTTCTTCAGTTTGAACTGAATTCTAAGATTTTTCCTGGCTACAAGTCTCCAAAATAACATTTCCATTTTTTCTTCTTCTTTCATTTCGGTTTTTTTAGCCCATTTTTCCTGATTTTACATCACTAAAAATTAGGCTGTGCTTTCTTAAAGCCATGCAAACTGAAGCTACACAACTTAAACTTCAGAAGAAAATAACAGCCACCTATTTACCTACATAAGCCACTCTCATACTTCCTACTGATGTATGGACTTCAGAATAATATGACTGTTATAAATAAAGTTTTGTTGCTGCAAAGAAATAGCACTTGAATATAAAATTTTATTTTTAATTCTCAGCCAGGCAATGTACTTCTATAGAAGGGTGCACCCTTAAAAATGGAGCAATGGTGAGTGCACACTTGGACAAGGGAGGGGAAGGGGTTCTTATCCCTGATGCATGTGGCCCCTCCTGCTGTTTCATTTCTTTATTGGCTAGGGTTAGACTGCACAGGATAAACTAATTCTGATTGGCTAATTTAAAGAGAGTGATGGGGTGAGTGGTTTGGTGGGAAAAATGGTTATGGCAGAACAGGAAATCGGAATGAGTCAGGGTGGAGAATGAGCAGGTAATCAGAATGAGTCAGGGTGGAGCAGGTAATCGGAATGAGTCAGGGTGGAGTAGGTAATAGGAATGTAGTCAAGGTGGAGCAGGTAATTGGACTGAGTCAGGGTGGAGCAGGTAATTGAAAAAGTTGCTTTATGAGGAAGTTAAGTTTAAAAGTAGAAGGTAAAGAATTGAACAAACTGACATATTGATTCTTTGAAGACAAATTTAGAACTCATATCCAAGAACCCCTCCTCTTGCGTTTCCTTACAGTTCTTTCTCTTCAAACTTCTTTAATATGTCTTGGCTTAGTTGTTCTGCTTGATTTTCCAAAAGAAGAAGCTTCTCTGGATACGGTGGAGGATAGTTAAGGGAGGTTTGAGTAAGTGCCATTTTTATGAGACTCTGCACCAACCCACAGATGCATGGTGTGACACAGCACCCAACAAGAATAAGTACACCCATTATGGCTGCGAGGGAAGTAAGGATTGAGGCTATTATTCTTTTCCATTTACTGAACCACTTTTCTAGCCATCCTGTAAAGGGGTCATTTACCCCTGAGTTGTTGGCTAACTCACTGGACAGAGCAGTCAGACCTTGCAATGCCTTTGTTATACTTCCATCAGGGGAAGTATACCAACTGGAGGACCACCCTAGTGGAAAAGGGACAATCTGGGCCTCTGGCCTGCCATGTGCTTTTGTTTAATGTGTGGATGGAATATTTGATCCATTTTAACCAGGCATTTGCATCTTGGTATCCTGTCTTAATTGCTAAAATTTGTTTTAAATCTTTAACTTCTACGATAGCTATCTTGCTCTTGTCATTAAATGGAGAAGCAATTGTTTCGTTGTGAGAGGTTTTGGAAGAAGAGGAAGGTGCAGGCGGTGGGGGATCAAAGAAACACATTTCAAAGAATCCAATAGGGTCTGTCCCTGAAACCTCAGACCCCCCATACCATAAAACCGGCTTAAAGAAGAGAATTGGCCTAGAAAAGGGGAAGAACTTTGAGGGTTCAAGATAATAACCTGTATAGCTTTGTACTGATTTAGTTGACAGTTTGTGTGTGGTGGGGGAGGGCTCTCCCTCTAGTAAAACGCATGTATAGTTTTAGGAAATTACAAAAACTGGTTGGGCCAGTCCATCCTTGCTCTTTGGTGGTCCACAGAACATTGGACCAACTACGGTATAAAAGCTCTGCATCGGGGGGCAAGACTTCTGGTTGACACTGGGTCTTTGTTGAAATCTCCCCAGATTAAATGGTCCGAATTCACTAATGCCCAGTCTGAGGGGAGTCAAGAGGGACAGAGGTGCTTTTCTGAGGTAGAGAGCTGTCTTTGACTTGGCAAGTCCCCACAGGGTATAACAAGGCAAGCATCAAATGCAATAGTTTGAGGCAAAATTGACTTAGTTATGTTAATAACTAGATGGTCAGCAATAGAGCGAGAAAAGAAGGAAGAGTAATAGAATAGATAAAAGAGAGTTAGGTTTTTCTTAGCTTTAGTTTGGTAGGGTTTTCTCCTGGGACTATGGCCCATGACTTTGGAAGGGTCAGCGCTTTCTTGACTCGAGTGTGATAGTCCATCCCCCTTCCGCTGTATGCATAGCAGTCTCTGTGGTTAGCAACACAAGGCAGGGTCTTCCCAGGCTGGCTCGAGTTTTCCTTCTTTCCACCCTTTGATGAGAATGGGATTCTCAGGCTGGTGCTGGTTTACTGGAAATTCTAGGGGTGGTACCTGTGCTAAAAGACTTTTAGTTTTGAGGGAAAGGAAAGTGGAAGATAAACCAAGTATATAATATCTAAGAAACTGATCTTTCGTTTTTAATGTGGGGACATCAGCAGTGGTCTTTATAGTCCTTGGTGCCTTCTTACTGAGACATTTCCTTTAGCACCTATTTTTATTAGTTTTTAGACCAAAGAAAGCCAAACACCATTTTATATTAGACATTGCTTCCTGGATAATTTTTATACCAGATAAGCTGAATTTTACCTATATGTTAGTATGTTATTAATGTTAAACTTAATTTTAATAAAACCTTGTAGACATATTTATCCAATTGTTAATGTCTGACCATAAGGTAAGATTTTTATAGACTCTTTTTAGCCTTTTATAATTTTTGTTAAAGAACAGGTTAGTGCTTTAAGAAAGATCTGCTGTGCTTTTATTTTAATGTCCAGTTCACAGAAAAACTGGATGATACCCCTTTAACCTTAACCAATATGTTTACACACAGAATTTCCTTTACAATTAACATTTCAAAACTTGCTTAAACCTTTAAAACAAAATATGTTTTAACGTTTTAATGTAGGTGAAAATCCACATTCTTATGACTCCTTATAGTCCTTTTACCAAAGGTATATTTTACTTTGCTTACATGCCTTGCACATAAACTGTTTCTTCAATAGTATTATGTTCAGGAGGCCTAATTACTTTTTTTTTTTTTTTTTTTGAGACAGAGTCTCGCTCTGTCGCCCAGGCTGGAGTGCAGTGGCACAATCTTGGCTCACTGCAAGCTCCGCCTCCCGGGTTCAGGCCATTCTCCTGGCTCAGCCTCCTAAGTAGCTGGGACTACAGGTGTCCGCCACCACGCCCGGCTAATTTTTTATATTTTTAGTAGAGCTAGGATTTCACCGTGTTAGCCAGGATGGTCTCGATCTCCTGACCTCATGATCCGCCCGCCTCAGCCTCCCAAAGTGCTGGGATTACAGGCGTGAGCCACCGCGCCTGGCCATTACTTTTAAATTATACAACATTTCTTGCATAAATTCCCTTTTATAACATTTTTTTTCCACAACTTTCACAGACAATTCTTCAACATGCCTCAACTTTCTGACTTGTTGCAAACATCCCTTTCTTTAAACAATCAATTAATTTATTTTAGGACAAGAATTTACCATATAACATTCCTTTTTACATAAATTCTCCCCACCCCCCCTTTTTTTTTCCTAAAGATGATAACCATTCTTTTCCAAAGTGAACTTCATGTCTGTGGACTAGACTGCCTAAGGCCATATGATTAGAAGTTAGGATAATACACGTTACACTGTTAACTTTTAGCAAACTTTACTCTTGTTGAAAACCTTGTAAATTTGGGATTTCAATTATCCTTTGCCCTGTTAATAAGACCTTGTTTAGTCCAAATTAACTTAGAATTGGTATAGATGGTTCCTTCCTGGTTCTCTAAGTACATTAAGGCTTGGCTGAGTGGAAACAGCTCACATGTTGGAGCAGACCAATTATTAGGCAATTTTCCTAAGTCTGCTTCTACAAGAGTTTCCTTATCACTTACTGAATACCCATTGCGTCTTTTTCCCTCAATCACCAGGGAGGAACCTGTCCTGAAGGGAGTTCCTCCTAGGTCTGGCTGGACCTTTGTATGGTAATTAAGATTTAGATCGCCTGTTAGGAAAGATGCTGGGTTAAGGGAATTTTCAGTGGTTAATGTTAAATCATCTTTTTCTAACAGAATAGCCTCATACTTTAAGGTTCTTGGGTCAGTAAGCTATCTTTTTGCTGGTTTTTTTTTTTTTTTTTTTTTTTTTTTTTTAACATAGGATAGTTCTGACCTGATCAGGTGTGCTCACAATGAGGTTTCCTCTAAAAGTTATTTTTCTACTTTATTCTGTTAGCAAAGCAGTTGCCGCTACAGATTGAATGCATTTGGGCCATCCATGGGTTACTGGGTTAAGGATTTTTGATTAGGAAGGCTACAGTTGCCAGTGGCCTCAGTGCTTTCGGGCTACACCCTTGTTTACACTGACAACAAGGTGGTTTGGGAGTGTTATGGGGTCACAGAGAAGACCTTTAATTATTAATTATAGGTTTTAAATTTACCCTGGCTTTTAAAGGAATAGAAAAAACTCTTTTCTCTTTACTACTTCTATCTCTTTTCTTTCTCTCTCTCTCTGACTTTGTCTCTCTCTCTGACTCCCTCTTTTGTCTTTCTTTCTCTCTCTGCTTCTCTCTTTCTCTCTCTCTCTCTCTTTGACTCCCTGTCTTTCTGTCTCTTTCTCTCTCTCTCTGCTTCTTTCTCTCTCTCTCTCTTTCTCTCTTTGACTCCGTCATTCTGTCTCTTTCTCTCTCTCTTTCTCTCTTTGACTCCCTGTCTTTCTGTCTCTTTCTCTCTCTGCTTCTCTCTTTCTCTCTCTCTCTTTGACTCTCTGTCTTTCTCTCCCAGTTTCTCTTTGCTTTTTGCTGGTCTTTCCCTGCCTCTGCCAGCTGCTTATGCTGCTGTTCTCTCCTCTCCTTCCCCTTCCCGTAGGGGAGGGACTGGCAGGAGTGGAGCTACTCTTTCTTCCCCCGAGAAGAAAGGAGAGAAGAGTTCTGAATATTTTTCTTACTACTGGAGGTTTGTGTGAGGTTCAACCCCCTGAAATTTGCAGAAGTCTCAACCCCTCAAACCAGGGTTGTCTCTCCTTGCCTGCCCCGGAAGACTCAACCCCTCAAACCAGGGATGTCTCTGCTTGCCTGTCCCAGAAGGCTCAACCCCTCAAAACAGGGGGTGTCTTGTTTCGCTGCTCTGGAAGGTTGACCTGTTTCCTCCCTTTCCCCCTCTTAAGGTCCCTTGCACACTTCCCACTCGTGTTGTCATCCCTGGCTGCTCCCCCAAGGGAGAATTAGGCCGCTCTTAGTGTTGGCATGCTGGTATAAATCCCATGGCAGGATCTGCCCTAAGCCATATGAGGTAGCTACAGAACGGCGGAGAGGACCCACTCACTCCATCCAGCAGTAGTACTTGTCACCATCCACATGAACAACACTGCAAGTGGGGTTGTTTGTGATCATTCACGCACACACACATTTAGCCCTCCAGAATTTGACCACCAACGAAGTACTTTACGGGCTCCCGCGGCTTCTCCTTCCTTGGTCTGTGCACAGAGTTGTCGCCACAGTATGTGAGAATCATTCAAGCTAGTTTGCTGGCCAGTTTCTTTCCGTGTTGCTGAGAGCTGGGGTTATTCTTCACATTAGGTGGGTCCTGATTTCTCAGCCCTGAGGCAGCCACAAGTGGGTGGGGCGTGCCTCCTCATGAGAGAGAACTAGAGACCACCCCCAGAGGGGAATGTAATCACGGGCAAGCCCCCCAATTATTACAAATAAAGATTTGGTACCACAAAAGAAACAGCACTCTAATATAAAATTTTCTTTTTAATTCTCAGCAAGGTAATGTACTTCTATAGAAGGGTGCGCCCTTACAGATGGAGCAATGGTGAGTGCACACTTGGACAAGGGAGGGGAAGGGGTTCTTATCCCTGACGCACGTGGCCCCTGCTGCTGTGTTGTTCCCCTATTAGCTAGTGTTAGACTGTACAGGCTAAACTAATTCCAATTGACTAATTTAAAGAGAGTGATGGGGGGTGAGTGGTTTGGCAGGAAAAATGGTTATGGCAGAGCAGGAAATTGGAAGGAGTCAGGGTGGAGAATGAGCACGTAATCGCAATGAGTCAGGGTGGAGAATGAGCAGGTAATCGGAATGAGTCAGGGTGGGGCAGGTAATCGGAATGAGTCAGGGTGGAGCAGGTAATCGAAAAAGGTTGCTTTATGAGGAAGTTAAGTTTAAATGTAGAAGGCAAAGAATTGAACATACTGACATATTGATTCTTTGAAGAGAAATTTAGAACTCATATCTAACATGACTTATATTGATTTTCCAATATTGTTCTCCATTTTTTGTTTGTTGTTGTTCTTCTCCCTCCCTCCTGTAGGATGTGAGACTTCACCACCTGCTAAAATTGAGCTTTCCTGCTAACATAAGACCTACATGTATTAGAATAAACCATCCTGGCCACGAGAGATCAGACAAAATCTGAGAACAGAGACTCATTTACTTCTAAAATGCTTTCTCTGGAAGATTTTAAAAAGAAAAGGGGAGAAATGTGAAAGGAAAATAAATCTCAGGAGCCCAAAATCACTAAAGCAAAGGGAAAAGTCAAGCTGGGTACTGACGTGCATATCTGACTCTCATTCTATTCCTAAATAAGATAGCTATGAAGACAAAAAAAGCTACATACCTCCCCCATAATTTGCCGACAAAGAAATTCCTTGCGGACAACGGAGAAACAAAACTCCAAGTCATCCCTTTGGTTAAGTGAGACACATGCATATCTGATTGCTTTCTTTATCCTATTGTTTCACTAAGCCAGACTAAGGCACAAGTGACTATGCCTATAAACTGTGTATTCAGTGAAAGGCTAATCAGAAACTCAGATGAATGCAACCATTTTTCTCTTATCTACCTATGATCTGGAAGCCCCTTCCCTGCTCCAAGTTGTCTTTCTAAATCAAACCAATGTATGTCTTACATGTGAGGACTAAACTCTGATTTTTTTTTTTTTAATTTTGCCCAAATTCCTGTGTAAGGGGCCTGGGGAGTTATGCCCTACAAATCATAAATTCTCATCAGATAGGTTTTATTTAACCCTATATATCCTGACTCTGGCATAACATTATGAGACAAAGAAGATAAAAATATTTTACCCTAAAACATGTTTCTTTGCCATTTTTTGAAATGGCCCTGCAAAGCTGTTCTTTGTGGGGGAAAATTTGCATCTTTAAAGAATCTTTTTTAAGATAGCTAGACATTTTTCTTCTAGACCCTCCCAATCCTAAAGAGATTAACTAAGGTCTGAATAGGAAACATTTGTCATCTATCATCTCTAAGTGTAAGACTTCAAAAGAACTTTGGTCTCACAATCTTTATCTTAACCTGAACATTCCCTTTCTAACAATCCCAGGTCTTTGGACAAACTCACCCAACTGTCAACCAGAAAATATTTAAATTAACCTATAGCCTGGAACCCCCAGCTTTGAGTTGTTCCGCCTTTCTGGACCAAACTAATGTATTTCTTCAATGTATTAGATTAATATATCATGACTCTCTAAAATGGATAAAACCAAGCTGCACCCTGACCACCATGGGCACATGCTCTCAGGACCTCCTGAGCGCTGTGTCATGGGCCATGGTCATTTATATTTGGCTCAGAATAAATCTCATCAGATATTTTACAGAGTTTGACTCTTTTGATCGAGACAATTATTGATTGACGTATCCTGTCTCCTTGAAATGTAGAAAACCAAGCTATGCCCTGGACACCTTGGGCACATGTCATCAGCATCTCCTGAGGCTGTGTCACACTCACATCCTTAACCTTGGCAAAATAATCTTTCTAAGTTGACTGAGACTTGTCTCAGATATTCTGGGATCACAAAGTCAACCCAACCCACAATTTCACCAAACCACTACTTTCCAAATCAGTCCTCAGAACAAGAGTGTAAGAAGATCTGTAAATTGTTGCTCTAATTAAAATAAAATAATGGAAATTTGTAGGGTATATTTACAGGGGTGCTGGTTACAACAGCTCCTTTTCAGAGTTCATAAGTACTTTTGCATAGTAAAGATCTGAGCAGAAAGGAATGTCACCTGGAACTGCTTACTTCTGTTTAATCCAGTTTAATCTAAGTTTACCCTATGAGTGAGAGCCCTTTTCATAGAATGGTTATGCAGATCTAGACACTCAGTTTCTCTTGTGTTTGTCTCAGAATTGCTGCCTCATCATCTTAGAAATCCATGTGAACTCAGATGAATCCAGAATATGCAAACTTTACAGAACTCACTCTTGGTTGCTGCTGAGCTTGTATCAGCCAGGTTATAACCATATTGACCTTCTTTCTGTTACTGTTTTCTGTTTACAGTTGCACTCATCTTATCCATTTACTTCTCTAAATCTTCTCACATACCAGTTCTCAGCACAGCAAACTCTTTCAACCTCACAGAACTCAACATCCCTTCATTTACTTCCCTGTCTTTGCTCATGCCATTTTCTCTACCCACTTATCTGCTGTCTCACACCCCACGTTGCCTAAAAAAATCCTGTTTGTTATTAGGATTCAGTTTCCAGGATTAACAAAGTTGGGCAACTGGCCTGGTGTGGTGGTTCACATCTGTAATTCCAGCACTTTGGGAGGCTGAGGCAGGTAGATTGTTTGAACCCTGGAGTTTGAAGCCAGCATGGACAACATGGCAAAACCACTTCTCTACAAAAAACACAAAAATTAGCCAGGCGTGTTAGCACTGGCCTGTAATCCTAGCTACTCAGGGAGGTAAACTGGGAGTATCCATTGAGTTTGGGATTCTGAGGCTGCAGTGAAAGCTGCTCTGGAGCTCAGGAGAAATAACTACAAGTTCTGCTGGTGCTACAGATATGTCTGGTAGCTAAAGGTGCTCTACTGGAGCTCCCATAAGCTTCAGGAGGAGAGTCACAACATAGACTCTATTGATATTCATTCGATACTTGAAATATAGCCTGTGTCATGCCAAGAGGCTCTGGTAGAGACTCTGTGCCTGACCATAAGAAATCAAGTGGCTGAGAAAACACAGATGTCTATCATAAGCCTGGTGTTTTCAGGCTGACCAAGTCATAAGTTTGGTTCAGCACTCACCATCCTTAGGTACTGAAAATGGTGTATTTGAAATTGGGACTTAGCTGATGGTCCTGATGCTTATAATACCCACCTGTTTCATGGATGTCTGTCCTTCAACTTATTGTCTTCAACAATATGCAGAGTTCCCTGCAATGGGCTGATAGAAGAAGAAAAACTCAGGCCTGGTTCATTGATTTGACAGAAGCCAAAAATGGATCTCTGCTTCAGCATATCCCTGCCTAGCATACCTCCAAGGACAAAGGTAAGGAGAAATCTTTCCAATGGGAGTGTGTAGGTGGGTGTACAGGTAGAGCATCCAGCTGCTCAGTTTTTAAGGTTGGAGGAGTGGCTTGAAGTAAGAATATATATGGTTTCCTGGTCTGTGGTGAATAGCTTCTCTGGTTGGTCAAGGATCTGGAAGAAGGAAGTTTCGAACATTCATGTTTGGAACATGAATCTAAAGGAGTGAGGACAAAGCATGCAGATTTTGGGTACTCATATCATTGCCAACTAGAGTATCCACATCAGAGAAAAAAAATGTCAATCAGAAGAAGGAGATGACCTACCCAGTGGATTATAGCCAACCACTGTCATTAACTTGAGCAATAAACCCAAGAAAGGACTAACCATAGGGTCAGGATGGAGTGTGGGATTCTTTTTATCAAAGCTGATCCAGCACCTGCTGCTAAATGCCAATCTGTCAGCAAAAAGCATGGAGCCATCCCTTGAGTAGAGCAACTGGACACATGATACAGGTTAAGTTTATTGGATTCCCTTCATTCTGGAGGAGACTGCATTAAATCTCTACTAGACTTAATAAATACTCCAAATATTAATTGATTCTTTCCTTCCTGCCTGATCTTTGTTAGAATTACTATAAGTCATTCATAAATGACTGAATTCATACCATGGACCACCATATATAATTCCCCTACACTCATTTTCTCAGCAACAATTTGAAACAATTGTTCTAATACCCTATGATCTACTGATTCTAACCTATATTACCATAATATCCAAAAGTAGCTCACCTAAAAGAATAATGCAGAGGCCTATTAATGTCTTGGTTAAGATGCTAGCTTTGGAATGGCATGTTGTGTGTTTGGCATGTGCTCTTCCAGGTTACAGTAGAACAACGGAAATTGTGGCTAACTCATGGTTCTATGTCCCTATTAGGTAGAATATGTAGATCTGAAAACCAAGAAGTCAAGTGAATGTGTGATTAGTTCCCCACAACTTTAGGCTCTAATAGGTTAGATTACTGTATTCCAAGAAGTTGGTTGTAGGGGTAAAGGTTAAACCAGTAAAGGTTCTACTGAACCTGAAGATACACTACCACTTGGTAATTTTAATCCTAACGGCAGTCAAACACCAATCAAGAGAGAAGTTTTATTATAATAATGGGAGTATTGGACCCTGAATCTGATGAGGATCTTGGGTGTCTGCTGTGCAATGGAAAAAGTGGGGAGTATTTTTAAACCTCAGGGAAGTCACTGGGGTATCATTAGGTGCCTTGAGATAGTAGAGGCTTAGAGGTAATAGTAAATAGGCAATTGCAGCAAACATCCTGAAAAGGCAAAGAAACAAAAGGCTCAGGTATTCAGGTATGAGGGTTAGGCTCAACCCACCAGACTAGCAGTTTGGGGTAAATGAAATGAAGTGTCAAGCAAAGGGAGGAAACTGTAAAAGTGGACAGTGGAGGAAGATGATTTTTTTAGAATAACATATAAAATAATGCA
The DNA here is from genome assembly GCF_000001405.40 of Homo sapiens. Lineage (NCBI taxonomy): Eukaryota > Metazoa > Chordata > Mammalia > Primates > Hominidae > Homo > Homo sapiens. The sequence continues at coordinate 12,436,180 of NC_000004.12, forward strand.
GAATACAAAGAAGATAATGAATAATTTTACTTGTGAACAAATTGATTAGGGGAGAGTAGAAAGGCCAGTAATAGAAAAAAAGAGAAAGTCTGTATGTTTTAACAGGATGGAAGAATGAGAACATGAGTACAGATGGATGTAAGCCAGAGTCTTGATGGCAGGAAGATAAAGACATGCTTATAGGCATCATGCAATGTTAGCTGTGGCCATTGATTACCATTGCGTGTGGGCATAGAGAATGCTGATGTTTTTAGCGGGGAGACAAATATGTGAAACAGTTTTCTGGGAGAGGACAAAATGAACTATTTAGAAAGCATGGTTTCTTATTTAGAACAAGATGATTGTTGGAGAATGGGATACTTAAAATAGATATCTTAGAGGCTGAGCAGTTATAGATGGAACAGAATCCAGTGTAAGACTATGTGAGTGCACATGAGAAAATGGGAATGAGAAGAGACAAGGTCACTGGAGCTGGAATGTCTAGAAAATACAGTCCAGGGTATTGGATTGTATCATCATGGTTGTGGTTAAGGCCACCAATAATGTGAGCAGGAGTTATTGGTAGAGAAAGACAGTCAGCCAGATGCTAAACACATCAATGAATAAGGGTTACTGACTAGTGAGAAGTTGATGACAGCAATAAAAAAGAAGAGAAAAATGGGTGATAAAATTTAATGACAGAAACTTAAAAGCTTTTTTTTATAGCTAGTGAAGAAATAGTTTTGAAGTTGCAATGAGAAGTAAGCAGAAAAAGTATTCCACTGCAAGAACTGACTAGAGCTTAAAGAAAACCAAAAAGCATTTTTTTCTCTGACTCTCACATCCCATACACACATATGTGTTTCTGTGTGTGTATATATACACATATGTGTGTGTGTGTTTATATTCACATATATGTTACCTGTATGATACGTAATTATGTGAATATGTATACTCTCACTCAAACAGAGTTATGTAATGACAATAATTATTTTTAAAATATTTCTATGATAATATGGGATATTCATTTTCTATGCCAACTATTGATAGGTATATTATTTCAATATTTATAGCTAATTTATAAATTTTATACCTATCTAATTGATATACGCCTCCGTATGCATTTACATGGATTAGATGTGTGCATGTTTCTATGGATATTTTCATTTGCTCTCCTAAGTTTTTCCCTTCCAAAACCATGTTTGGACAGTTCAAGTAGATGAGTTGTGACTCCATTTTTTTTTTTTTTTTTAGAAATAGACATGCAATGACTTGAACAAGACAGGTGAAAGAATGGAGAGCCTGGGGGTGGGGGGGCAGGAAAGGTGGACAGAGGGAGCGGGGTGGGGGGCGGGGGACAGGGGGAGCGGGATGCAGGAGAAAGTGTTGCTGACACCATTGATTGCCTGCTTTCTTTATTACTCTAGCCCCAATGTTTATCAGCCAGGCTTGGCTTCAGGAGCATTTGTTCTCCCCAAACCAAAATGTGATTTTTAACTGGATTAGAACGTTCCTGATACTTTTCCTCCCTAGCCAATGACTAGTGGTCACATGATTCCAACACACAACCCAAGAGAAAATCCACTGAGGACACTTCTGAGAATGATTTTTGTCTCATTGAAAAATGAGTCTTTTGAGAGAATGGGGGGAGGGTGATGATCTCTGATTCTGGCTTCCAGGTATGATGTCTGGAAGCACCATAGCCACATTGGAACCAGGGTTAGATTTTTCCCCATGGGAAAAGCTACACTATAAAGAGCAAACAGTGTGAAAAGTAATTTTTGATATCAAGGATGAGGTTCAAAATTCAAATAACAAAAAATATGTCTTTTACCCATCTTATTTAGCACAATAATTTCCCATTAATATGTAGTTCAATTAGTATTCTATTAGTTGTACTTTCCCTTCTCTCTAGTGCCACTAGATAATCCTATTACTAGTACTGGATACAATGTGTTAACCAAAATTAAAAGGCAATTACGTTTTTAAATAAACAGACGTTTTTGGGCTGAATATTAGACTGGTAATAATGTGTCGTTAAAAACTATCATTCTAAAGGAAGTTAAACTGAGGGCCTAAAGGCCACTCTGAAGTATATATACATGTCATGGCAAAGAAACCCACATTATAATAATAAAAATGAAATAGCACTATTTTAACATTATATTGGTTATATTTTAATACAAAAATATATATCAATTATGATTAATAATATAATGTATAATAATGTAATATATAATAATATATTAGATATTATAACATATAATGATATTGATGATTACATTTAATAATAAAGTAAGAATGAGGGTGCCTAACATGCTTGTAGGACTTTTCTCTCAAAGCGCTTCTTAAGTCATTTCCTTTAACCTAGAAACCAGTCTTCCAGCTCCCTTTCTAGTGATCTTTCTACTACTGCCTTCTGCTCTTATAAATCTCACAGTGTAAGGAGACAGGAAGATTCATAGAGCATGCAAATTTTTGTTTCCCTTCTGTTTGACTACACACCATTATTATTTTTTTCAGAGCAGGTAGGAAGAGACTAAATGTAAATAATAGCAATGCTTTCAGTCTGTGAAACTCCTGAGAATTGTGAATCTGTCTCCATAAGATGATGAAGGACGAAACAGTGATATAGAGAGTGAGGGCTTGGCAAAGAGTCTCATCTGGTGCCTTTTAGACAGGTGACACATCATCTCTGGATTTAGGATGATGGCTGATGTGCCAGAGCATATCTACATTGATAGTTCCCGCAGAGTGGTAAAAAAGACAGTGGGAGGGCTGGAGTAAGAACAAGAGGACATTTTTTCATTGACTCCCACCACAAGTGAAACAATATACGAAGTGATTTTATGTGTCTCCTGTGTATGTGTTTCTGTGTTTGTCTGTCTGTGTATATCTAAATTGACAGTAATTATGTATACAATTCCTGCTAAGATCCTCTCTTAAATACTGCCTCAGGAATTTTGGCCGTTACATCCACCAGCTGAGATGACCTCCCGGCACATAATAGCTCCAAAAAAGATAATTCTTAAAATAATGAGTGAATATTAGATGTGGAAAGTGATTTAAAGGCCATCTAAGCCATCTGTTTCACAGAGAAGAATTTAAGAGCTATATATATTGTCACTAGTCCAAAGTTACATAAATGGCAGCAGAACTGGGATTCAAATGTTTTTAAATTAAGAGAATAAGCCGAAAACCTGTACCTCATTCAGGCTGTTCATATGTACGAAGGCTCATCCATACCACACGGGTCAGCCATCCAGCAACAGCCACATGAAAAAAAAATAGTGCAGAATGTAAGAGACCCAAGAATCTGAAGAAAAGGGTATACTGATGGATGAGAGGTGGTCATAAAGTAATTAATTTTTGTTCACCATTTTATAATTTTCAAAGAGTACTTAATACCTTATATCTTTAAATGCAAAGCAAATATTGCTATTTCCAATTTACTAAAGAGGCTACTAGGGCTAATGACTCTCAAATAGTGGTCAAAGCCCACCGTTGGGAAAGGGAAGCTGGGCCCAGAACCCAGGTCCTTACACTTTGATCCATAACACCACACTGTCTTTTTCATACAAAGCAGCTTCCATCTGTGGTAGCGTTCTATTTCTATCGCAGAGTACTGCTCTAACTCACTTCCTCATGACCAGTTTAGAGAACACATGTTGAGATGGTAGCATTATAATACACAAAAAAAGTCAGGATTTATGAGTCACCTGGAATTTCAGGAAACAAGAAATTGTGTGGGCAAGAAATTAGCTTGTTTTGTTGTTTTTTTAAGCCATTGACTTTTAAAGGTTGTTCATTAGCAGAGAATAACCTAGTCTATGTTAACTAATTAAGTTCATTTACACTCTTAGGGAGTTGATTTAAAAATTGGATGAGATAAAAGATGTGAAAATGTTGAAAAACTCTAAATATTATTTTGTTTTTAATCCTGCAGCTGTATTTCAGTGAAATCATTGGTGGTTATAAACAAGTCTGGGCATCATAGCTGACTTTACTCAGTGGATATTATTCATTCCTACAAGAAAAATTACAAGCTTAATATGTCGAATTATGATTTCAATTTTAATTTGGCAGAAAAGTCAAGCTCTCACACCAGAAAAACACAGCCGGAATGGGATTTGTGGAAAGCAAAGTAAGCTTTTTAAGGTTTTCTTGGGCCTCTACGTTCTACTGCCCAATCCAGGGTCAGACACATAATGGCCATCAATACATTTTTATTTCTAAGACTGCAGACTCTTCTTTGGTTCATGTTCTAAATATCTTATTAGGATTGGTCAAACATATCAATGTGTTTGATACTACATATGGCAGGCTTAAAGTAATAAAAATTTACCGGCTAAGTTACTAAGTTATTGTAAAACAAAAAAGAAAACAAAACAAAACAGGATTTTAGCCAAAGCTGCCTATATTCACAGCAGAGATCTGAACCACTTGTTTACACTGAGGTGATGTGGAGTGTCTCCCAGTACCTCTGAAACTAGAAAAGTCTATATGTTCTCCCACATTAAGCAGGCCAAAAAGTATTTTGTTCAGAGCTTATGGATTCCTGAATAATCCAAATATAATCTGTACAACTTTTAAGGGAACAAAATCAATTGATAGTTAATGATGAAAAAAGATGATAGCAAGTTTTAAAAATGCTCAAAATAGATCAGAATGGAGACAACACTTTAAAAATCGTAAGGTACACTGCTTTACAATAAACAATGAGATAATCTTGGTATTTAACATCATAATTTTTGCATTTTTTTGCTGTAAATTATTTGTAATTTATTGAATAGTAATATTAATGATACTAAAGTTCATACTGAGATTTCACTAAAAGTCAGAAAATGTGCAGGGCAGTTACATATATTAACCCATTTAATTTTCACAACCACCACAGGAGGTAAGTAAATATATTTATTCCTATCTTACAAGGAAATTGAGGTCCCCAACAGTTATATAACTTGCTTTAAGGTTTTCTAACTGCTAAGTGGTGGAGAAAGGCTTTGAACTAGGAACATACGTTGCCAGTTTTTCTCCCATTGTCTATGAGATATCAGAAGTCTAAAACTTATGAGATCTCTCAATTTCTAACTTTCAGCAGCTAATTCAAATGTTTTAAAACTTATATGTAGGCCCGATTTTTCCCATATGCTGCTAGATTGTGATCTTTGTTTTATGCAGTAAGAACAGATGACTGTTATAAAATGCAAAAAGAGGTAGTTTAGAAGACTTGCAAAACTTGTCAGCCATCCCCTTTTTTAATGATGATTTTAACTCAATCAACATTGTACATTTTCTTCCTCAGCCCAGAAAGAATTAAAGTTTCAAAATGCCTATTCATTTGACAAGTACCCCTCCACCCAGCCTGCCCACAGAGAAATAGGAGAGGTAAAATAAGGCATAAATAGCTACTCAGAGACACCATGCAGACAGTAAAAGGAAGGACCCAGGGAGTGTCTATGTAAGTGGAGGAGCCTCCGAAAATGTTGGAGGAACGATCCTGGGAGGAGCAGCAACATTTTACCCTCTTCTTACATTTCTGATTAACCCTTAGAATCATGTACAAGTGCTAGAGAATGTGAGTATCCACCCAGTGTCTCAGTCTAGGCTTACAGTTTTTCTTCAATAAAATATAAGATTTCAAATGGGAACTAATAATTTGCTGATATTTAAAAGAGACACTGTAAAGCACCTAGTTTTTATCTCTATATGTTAAGAGGTAAAAATTCGAATATAGACAGTGAAATCATTTGGATGAAAGTCAAAATATTGATCTTATTGATGGAATGTCTGAAATTGAGTTTGTAACTAACCTATGTCAGTGTCTAAAATAGACTTTTAAGTACTTTGCTGCTGGCCACTCGATTTTGGTTCCATATTCATGTGAAGAGGTTCTAAAAATTCAGTCCCCAGGGTCTATATTTCCATCTTTATGTCTGTGTGTATCCAATGCTTAGTTCCCACTTATAAGTGAGGACATGTGATATTTGGTTTTCTGTTTATGCATTGGTTCACATAGGATAATGGCCTTCAGCTGCATCCATGTTACTGAAAAGGACATGATTTCATTATTTTGCACAGCTGTATAGTATTCCGTAGATTATATATACTATATTTTCTTTATATAAAGATGATGAACCCCTGGGTTGATTCCCATTACTGGGTACATACCCAAAGGAAAATGAATTGTTCACCAAAGGGATGCATTTACCCATAAATTATCACAGTGCTATTTACAACAGCGAAAAATCATCTATTGTTAAAGGCAGAACTAACTGGCCCTGACTCCAGTATCCTTTTGACGTGAGAACAGAGGCAAAGCATAATGACCATGTTGTTTGAGTAGAAAGATTCATAAGAGGCTACAGAAGGCTTGAGCTACAGAGGAGCAGCAGTTATTTTTCCCAATTACACTAATACTACAAGTCACTACTTTGTAACAAATGAGTAAAGAAACGGGGGGAAGTACACAAGCCATTTCACCAATCCTTACAAGAGGTTTGGCTCAGGGAAGAATGTGGAGAGGGGACAAGAATGTTTTATCTTAACCTAGCTCATCATAAATTGCTTGATGCTAACCTTGTCTTTCATAGAAAGAAAATATCCAGGTCCTTGAATCTCTGAATCCCTACTAATTTTTAATATCACAGATCCCAGAGGATGATATGCAGGTGTCACTCCAGGTGAAGATTTAAATTGTTTTATAATAGGACTTTAGCCATAAGTCTTTAGTTTGTCTTCTTCCATGTAATCTAGACTTATCTACATATGAACCTCAATTTCTTTACTCTTTCTAGCCTATGACCTCAACTGCCTGCTGACCAACTATATCAGAATCCTTTGAAATAAGCCCCAGCATTGGGATTTTAAGAAAACTCTTCTAGCTACAGTTGAGAGCCACAGATCTCTGGACTATGAAAGTAAAACATTAAAAGCCTGTGTTGCATTAGTCCATTTTCATACTGCTATGAAGAAATACCTACGACTGGGTAATTGAAAAAGAAAAAGAGGTTTAATGGACTTACAGTTCCACATGGCTGGGGAGGCCTCAGAATCATGGCAGAATGTGAAGGAGGAGCAAAAGCACGTCTTAAAACATGGTGGCAGGCAAGACAGTGTGTGCAGAACTGCCCTTTATAAAACCATCAGATCTCATAAGACTTATTCACTATCATGAGAATAACATGGGAATCCCCCCCTCCACCATGATTCAATTACCTCTTACCTGGTCCCTCTCACGACATGTGGGGATTATGGGAACTACAATTCAAGATAAGATTTGGGTGGAGACAGAGCCAAACTATATCATATGTGGTCACAGACCTAAATTGCACATCCCAATTCAAGTGAAGTATCCTTCTTGGATGTGATTTTTTAGCACCTATTCTGACCATGAGCTGTTGAGTTCTCAGTGTTCTGAAGGCTGAGGGAAGAAGGATGCTTCTTACTCAGTGTACAGATGGTCTAAACAGCCTCCTTTTACCTGGGCTGCCCCATCAAGGAGCTGTCCCATAGGAGGCAATTGTGGACCTGACATGGTGCACTAGTCCCATGGGAAACTGGGGAAATGCTGAGACATTACCAAAAGGCCGTAGGCCAAGAGAGACAATTCAAGGAGGAAAAGAATATACAGCTTCCAAAGAGGTCCTAAAAGTACCCAATGTATTTGCAGAACAAACTGGAACTTTATTATCTAAGAACTTGGAACAGTCATATTCTTAGGAGTGGGGAGGGTAATTTGATCTCCTTCCAGAAGTGTAAGTATCCTAGTAATACTGGCATTATAGATAGTGAGTAGTAAACATATTTTATCCTAATTGCCATGTATAAGTTTGCATTTTTACCCTTATTGTGAATTTCACAAATGTAAATATATATGTGATTGATTAAATGTATTTACTTATAGCATCAATTGAGAAAAGTGATGTTCAGCTAAAATGGACATTATAGGTAACAAGAAAATTAAAAGTGCCTTCTGGGAAGAGGTAGTTATGTGCTATACCAATATTCTAAACTACCTAATGAGAAAGAAAAAAAAGAATCTGTGTTTGTTTCAATTTTGGATAAAAGGATTTAAGCAGAAATTCATGGAAGGAAAGGATCAGCCATGAACCTTGCTGCCATATAGCCCTTCTTTCTTGCCATCCTGACTAAATCAGGGGTTGCACAGTACCCATTCTGTTGGAATATGTATTTTTAAATAAACATTGATAGAAAAGAAAAGAATATTGGGAAAAAACATACATTTCAAATCTCTGTTAGTTACCAGAGACTAGGCAAAGTGTGGGGTCGGAAGAATGAAGAGAGGTTGGTTAATGGGTACAAACGCACAGTTAGATAGAAGGAAGAAATTCTAGTGTTCAATGACACATCAGAGTAACTGTAGTTAACAACAATATATTGTGTATTTCAAAATAGCTAAAAGAAGATTTCAAATGTTCCCAACACAAAGAAATGATAAATGTCCTAGGTGATGGATATTTCAAATGCCTTGATTTGATGATTTCACATTGTATACCTGTATCAAATATTATGTGTACCCCCTAAAAATGTATAACCATTATGTATCAACTAAAAATAAAAAAATTAACCTGAAAATGGTACTATATGAAATAAAATATTTCCATCACACTGAAAACAATCTGCATTCCACAAATAGTTTTAATATTGTGTTGATTTGGGTTATAATCTGAAGTCTGACTCTATATTAGTCTGTTCTCATGCTGCTATAAAAAACTGTCCAAGACTGGGTGATTTATAAAGGAAAGAGGTTTAACTGATGTATTAGTCCATTTTCCTTTTTTTTTTTTTTTTTTTTGAGACAGAGTCTCACTCTGTCATCAGGCTGGAGTGCAGTGGCGCAATCTCAGCTCACTGCAACCTCCACCTCCCAGGTTCAAGCCATTCTCCTGCCTCAGCCTCCCAAGTAGCTGGGACTACAGGTGTGTACCACCATGCCCAGCTAATTTTTGTATTTTTAGTAGAGACGTGGTTTTACCATATTGGCTAGGATGGTCTCAATCTCTTGACCTCATGGTCTGTCCTCCTTGGCCTCCCAAAGTGCTGGGATTACAGGTGTGAGCCACTGTGCCCGGCCTTATTAGTCCATTTTCATGCTGCTAATAAAGACATACCCAAGACTGGGTAATGTGTACAGAAAAAAGGTTGAATGGATTCACACTTCCACATCGCTGGAGAGGCCTCACAATCATGGCAGAAGGCAAGGCGGAGCAAAGATACATCTTACACATATGGCAGCAGGAAAAGAGAGCTTGTGCAGGGAAACTTAACCTTACAAAACCATCAGATCTCATGAGACTTATTCACTACCATGAGAACAGCATGGGAAAGACCTGTCCCCATGATTCCATTACCTCCCACTGGGTCTCTCCCACAACATCTGGGAATTCAAGATGAGATTTGGGTGTGGACACAGCCAAAACAAGCCATATCAATTGATTCACAGTTCTGCAGGGCTGGGGAAGCCTCAGGAAACTAACAATCACGGCAGAAGGGGAAACAAACACATCCTTCTGCACATGGTAGCAGCAAGAAAAAGTGCCGAGCAAAAGGGGAATAACCTCATATAAAACCATCAGATCTTGTGAAAACTCACTCACTATCAGCAGAACAACATAAGGGTAAATGCCCCCATGATTCAATTACTTCCCACTGGCTCCCTCCCATGACACGTGAGGATTATGGAAACTATAGTTCAAGATGAAAATTGGGTGGTGATTCAGCCAAACCTTATCAGCCTCTTACTATAACAGGAAAGTAGTTTCCCCTCTGGGCCTCAATTTCTTAAAATCTAAACAAAGTAGGATCTGCTGTATGGCCTTTCACTCAATTCTAGGATCTCACTCTTTGGGAGGAAAACCCTAAGGTGGTGAACAGCTGCTCAGAATCTAGGAAAACGCCCTGAGAAGCTGTCTCAGTGGGAGCTTGGCTAGCCAGCCAACTAGGAAGTTCTCTTCCTAGTTTTCCTGCCCCCAACTCCCGTGGGGTCCTCACCCTCACTAACCCACCCCCAGTGTGTTACACACAGACCTGTCAAACTGGCTCTCTAGATGAAGTACCAATAGAAATGTAATCTTTTTGTTTTTGTTTTCCTAAAAATGCCTGTTTTCTATCACCTTGTAAACTCAGGACCAGCTGCCGGGGTCTGGACTTGTTTGGAAATTTCACTTTACCGCATGAGTGCCAGACCCAGCAGACACAGCTTTGACATCAATTAACAGCACGACAAATCAGCAGCTGATTCTGGAAACGGCTTCCACACTGACAGTCAAGCACGGCAGTTGAGAAACAGCATCTCCAGTAACACTTTGTCATTCTTTGACATTGCTGACAGACTCCTTGCTTTCCCCAGACTTATTATACAAACACATATGCATACACACATTCTTACAAATAAGAATGTACATCTGAACTTGCACATTCAGACATACACACAAATCAAGGGGATTGTGCATGGAGGCACTCATTTCCCTTTCATATAGGTGTTCATGTACACACACAAATACACACTTATCCTTAAGAACTTAAATGCATTCATTTACTCACACATGCATCATTTCACAACTCCACAGACATAACTATCCTAACATCTGCAAAAGCATACACACACATGCATGCAAATAGACTACTGTGTGCCCTTCTGATTGTCCACAGGCTCATTCACACACTGCAAAGCCAGCACTCACAAGATCATGCACTCAGAGGACACAGAGACATAATTTCTCAGACAGATGTGCTTAAATGCATGAACTCATACAGTTAAACACGCACATGAGCTTGCCCAAACATACACACACACACACACACATGCACACACACTCACTGCCCAGTGCAAGAGACTGAAGACAAGTTTCTGAAGTGAAGTTGGAAAGGGCAGCTGTTTTTGCTCTGAACAAAGACTATAAAATGCAGAGTAAAGAAAGGAATGTCCGCACTTTCTAGCATTAATATACTTCACTGTGAATAGCTTTATCTTCCACATTTATCTCTTTTTGTTTTTTTGCCATTCAGGGTATTTGAGTTATGTTTACATAACAATGTTTTGGAACATTTAATCAAACTAATATTTCTTTTATGTAAAAAGGTACTGCCTTCAATAGCTGTTAGCTGTTTTTTAGCACCATTTACTCTGAAGAAGCTCTTCATGGTTGTTTAGTTTTGACATGTTGTGCCACAAATTGTATCTGTTTAGTGCATCTAGCACCTATAATCACCTCGAAAAGTCTGCAGATCACTGGCAAGGAAAGAAGAAAGGCTGTTGTTCCAAGTCTCCACATTTGTTTGCCTTTCAGATGTTTAAAAATCTAAGCATCTTTTTTAAATTAACACACATTTTGGGGCATGTGAGTAGGAGAAAATGTAGAAAGGGCATGCTGTTTTCCTCATCTTATGCAAAAACAGCTGGAGCTGGAGAACAAAAATAGAGTAACAGAGTGGATTTACTTCTTCAGGCTAAAGCTACACTCCTGGAATGTAAGTGGGCAATAATTCACGGACAACGGAGTGAAAAGCGCAATAAGTCATGGAGCCTGGTCCAGAACACCAATCTCTTTACTGAGTACTTGTGGACTGGGGCAAGGTAATTTAAACTCTGAGATTCAGATTACTGGAATATAAAATAGGGTTGATAACACCTCACTGAATTTTGTTTATCAGAGAATTGTTAGTGTAAACTTTTTGGTCCTCACAATTATTGTATGCTTTAATCTTTCTTTTAACTATTGTCTGTAAAATGACC